>NC_000023.11:106837542-107462542 GCF_000001405.40 Homo sapiens
CTGTTGAGGAGAATGTGAAGAATTGAAACTCTCATGTATTGCTGTTGGGAATGTAAAATGGTACAACCCTCCCACCCCATACTTTCTGTCCTCTAATAACCATCATTCCACTCTATACTTTTATGAGCTCAACTTTTTACCTCCTTCATATGAGTGAGAACATATGGTATTTATCTTTCTGTGCCTGACTTATTTCACTTAACATAATGTTCTCCATGTTCATCCATGTCGCTGCAAATGAAAATGTTTCATTCTTTTTTGGGCTGAATAGTATTCCATTGTAAAAATTTATCACATTCTCTGTATCCATCCATCTGTTGGTGGACATTTAGGTTGATTTCATATCTTGGCTATTTTGAGTAGTGCTGCAAGAAACATAGGGGTATAATTTATATATTTGTGCTTATTTAACATTGCATGCCTGTATCAACACATCCTCATAAGCAATTGGTATTTTCAATGTTTTGGGTTTTAATAGGTGTGTAATGTTGTTTTAATTTGCAATTACCCAGTGACATCTGATGTTGAACCTCTTTCATATGATTATTTGCCATTTATATCTTCCTTGGTGAGGTATCTATTTAGATCTTTTGCCCACTTTTTAATGGGTCCTTTATTTTTTTAAACATAGTTTTAATTCTTTGAATATATTTATAATAGCTACTTTATAGTCTTTATTTACAAAATCCAACAAGTGGGCCCCCTCAAGACACTTTCTATTGGTTGCTTTTTTAAGTTCTTGTTTCTATTTTTAAGCCTGACTTCCTTGGATCACCCCCTGAATCAGTATAATTTAGTGGTTATTCAGTGATGGGTTAGATTTCCTTAAATGCCTTATGCTACCAAATATTCTACCTTTTTCTCAAGGATATCTGTGTGAAGGTATATGTCAAACTTCAGGCAATTTTCACATCAGCTTTAGCTTTTATTCCCTGCTTTCAAAGATAGCCAGAGTTGAGTGACTGGGGCTTTCTTCTGTCCCATTTCTTTCCTAGGCATGTTCACAGCCCTGTACATGTATTCATTCTTCTAGATCCCCAAGAATATGTTGCAGCCCTTCAAAGTTCCACATCATCATCTGGTTTTTCAGGTCTTCCTTTTAAATCTTTAGCCAGGCTCTTGTTTGCTCTAGCTGAAATCATAGCCTTGGACAGCTGGGTTGTTACCAACCAATTGCTATTGTTTTCTATAATACCCTGGGAACAGAGTTTTTTCACCAAGCTGAGCTGTGAATAAAATCAAATGATAACAACACCCTGGGAATAGAGATTTTCCAGGGAGTTGCAAGTTTGGTCAAATATTGTCTATGCCCTAGGGATAGGGCTTTTAATGAAACTCCAAAAGATCCACTGGTTGCCATACTGCTGGCTTTCATTTCTGAGCTTGGGCAGGTGGATAGAGTTAAAAGACCCACAGACTCTTCTGGTCTTACTCAGGCAGGCTCATTAGTTTTTCTCGAATAGGTGCTTTTCAGTTTATTGCATGCCTTTGGTTAATTCCAGTGTTCTGAAATGGTTTATTTTGAATGTTTTGCCACTATTTTGTTGCTTTTGTTGGGGAGTGTGTTCACAGGGGTTCTGAGCTTGCCATTCTAGAAGTCAGGTTGTTGACATATCTAATTTTGATAGGTATGTCTCTGAGATATTGCTTTAATATTTGTTATGTATACAGATTGTGGCTTATAAATAACAGTAAACATTAGAACTTTTTTTTCTTGTAGAAACGTAAGCATGCATCTGGGACAACTACATTCTTTCTTTTTCAGCTTGCTATTAGTTCTGAGTCTACAGAGCCATCTGATAATTTTGAGGTGCAATCTTTGACAAGTCAGAGGGAATGCAGTAAAACTGTGAACACTGAAGCCTTAATGACAGTATTTCACCCTCAGAATTTGGAGACTCTTAATTCTAAAATGGTAGGAAAACAAAATATTTAAACCTATGGGCTGAAACATTTGGTGAAAAGTAAAAATCTTAAAAGCAGACTAGAAGGTATCACAACTGAAAACTCTTCTTTTGGGACTTGAAAAGTTTTCCAGCAGGTACTACTGTGTAACTTATTTAGTTCCACTGTACACAAGGACTATTATCAGGAATGAAGATAAAAGATAAAAGTTGGACATTGGGGATTTTTACAGATACATAATAGTCGTACATATTTATTGACATTGGGTTTTATTTGCATGGATTTCTAATCCTTACATAGATGTGATTTGGGGAGAATGATGGTTTAAAGCTTTGCCTCCCAAGTATAACACTTTTACCATTTTTATATGAGTTTAGCTAAGAATTAAAATAGTAAATTAAGCTGCTATGCTCACATGAGTTTAAAAGATTTTCATGATGACAAGGATTCAGTGTTTCACCCCTGGGTGAATACTGATTTTGGTTTTCTATGTTCTTAATTTCTATAGATGTTGTTTCAAGGTAAAGAGAGTGGGAAAGTTATTTTGCAGAAGTTAATTTCTCACTAAATTTAGTTGTTTTGATTTTTCTGTCATTACAGTTGAAAGAAAAAATGAAGGAACAGTCATGGAAAATACTGTTTGCAGAATGTGGACGTGGTGTTAGTATGTTTCGAACCAAAAAGACTCGAGATCTTGTTGTAAGAGGGATTCCAGAAACATTAAGAGGAGAACTCTGGATGCTTTTTTCAGGTATTACGTTTATTCATTGTATTTATTTAATAGACATTAACTATGCCTTTCTAGGAGTTATGCCCTAAGCTAAAGCAAAAGAATTACAAAGATGGTTAATACAAAGTCTTACTCATCTTGAGTTCGGACTAGTCAAAGAAAGAAAGGTAAGTAGTTATCTATACCTTACCTATCTATCCACACATCCAGCATCTGAGCACATTAGTTTATTAGGCAAGATATGTATACTGGGGGAATCTTTAGTGTCAACAGTCAGTTAAGGGGGAAAAAAGCTCATGAAATTGGTATTCTGTTGGATAAATTAGTAGCTTGACATAGATTCTAGTGTAAAGCTCTTTTCTGTTTGTGCTCAGAAATCACTTAAGCATAAGGCTAAATATCAAGGTAATGAAATCCAATTATTTATGTATATATGGAAATAGCTTCATTATATCCACCTTCTGTTGTATGTTAATGTAATAATCTTCACAGGTGCTGTTAATGACATGGCTACTAATCCTGACTATTATACTGAAGTGGTTGAGCAGTCCTTAGGGACCTGCAACTTGGCTACTGAAGAAATTGAACGTGATTTACGTCGCTCTCTGCCTGAGCACCCAGCCTTTCAGAGTGATACTGGCATATCTGCTCTGAGAAGGGTACTCACAGCTTATGCATACAGGAATCCCAAAATTGGATACTGCCAGGTATGACTTAACTATGAGCCCAACTGTGTGTATGTTCCAAATAAAATCACATCAAATCCAATTCCACTAATTTGGAAGTGGCGATTATAAGGAAAGAGATGGGGGTGAGATAGATAGAGCATAGTATTAATGTAAGTAGGATGGTAGTGGGAATACTTAGGAGAATTGATATTTCATTATTTTTCTTTTTCACTTAACAAATGTTTATTGAACTTCTGCTCTATAAAAGATACTCTGCTAGGTACTTAAGGCTATATAAAGATGTATCAGATAAGGGTCCTCCCTTAAAAGTATGTAGACCAGGAGACATTAAAGCATATTCATTAAGAAACAAAAATCAAGTGAGAAAAACTGTTAGAGAAATATAAATTCCTGTCATGATTTATAACAAGGAGAAACTATTTTTCATCTGGAGGAGTCAGAGAAGGCTTCGTGGAAAAGGTAGCATTTGCAAGTCTTAAAAATTGGTGAATTTTGGACATATGGAAATGGAATGAAAAGAACATGCCAGGTGATGGAATCCATGTAACCGAACATAGGTAGAGGTAAACGTAAAGTATGTATAGGACCATGTTTGTTTAGTTTGGTAGAAACATAGGGTGGATGAAGTGAAGTAGTTGGAGAAAAAAAATCAATAAGGTAGATTGGGATAGAGCTGGAGTTTGAATTTTATTTTATAGGCAGTGGAGGAATCATTGGAAAAAAATTATTTAGGAGCACACAATCAATTAGGATAGGCTAGACTGCTAACACAAACACAGATAATAGATGAAACAGTATAATTTTATTTCTTGAAGGAATAAACAAAGGAGATTGACTCTTCAGGTCAGTAGGCAGCTCTCCTCCATGAGATTATTCAGGAACTTAGACTGTAGACTGACAGCAGACTGTCATTTTCAAAACAAACCTTCCCGAGTACATTTTCATCACCATTAGCACTCACAGGAACAGGGAAAGAGCATGGAGAAACAACTGTGAAAGATTTTATGGGCTAGGCTTGAAAGGGGCAAATATCACTTCATGCACATTCTATTGGATGATCTTAGTCACGTGGATACACCTATTCACAAGGAAGTCTGTGGAGTATAGCGTGGCTGAGCAGACATGAGCAGCTACTATGGAAGAAGAGGAGATTGGAATGTCATGGATAGGTAGCACTCTGTGCCATACGTTTATTTATAATGGGTTGAATACCTGTAATTGTTACATGTCAATACTACCTATCCACTGTAACTTGTCAATAGAGATTTTTTTTTTTTGAAAAACTGTTTAAGTGAATGGAACATCTAAATGGCAAGGATTTTTAGCATATTTTAGGATCTCTGAAAGGTACAAAAGAAGCATAATGCTTCTTTTCTCAAAGAGCTTATACTCACAGACCCTGTGATATTGTCTATAAGCAGTAGTTTAGAGATAGCTTCAAAATAGGCAGCACTTAATATTGACTTCTAAAAGATGAGAGCAAAGTTAGAAACATGGAGGGCAGGAGGAAAGTTATTTGGGGCTAAAGTATGAGTGATACCATTCAGGTGAGAATAAGCCCACCTTGGGAGATAAGATTGGCTAGGTTCACATTGGAATAAAAAAGTAAATTTGTATGGCACAAGATCATGAAGAATCTTTCAAGCCTGGGAAAAGAATTTAAACTTAATATGGTAGACAGATTTTGTTGGTTTTGATCAAAAACCCACGTGAGACACATGGCTGGCTAGCTTGCTCTATCTATCTATCTATCTATCTATCTATCTATCTATCTATCTATCTATCTATTCTGTCTCTCTAATCTTTTCTATCATCTGTCTCCATCTATCTATCTAATGTTGATATATAATTCACTTACCACAAACGTCACCCCTTTAGTGGTCTCTCATATATTCACAAAGTTGTGCAAACCTTCACCATTATCTAATTCCAGAACATTTTCATCACCCTAAAAAGAAGCCCCATATCCATTAGCAGTTACTCCCCATTTCTCCTACTACCAACCCAAGCAATCACTGATCTACTTTCTAGCTCTATGAATATGCCTATTGTGCACATTTTATATAAATTGAGTGATACAATATGTGATCTTTTGTGCCTGCCTTCTTTTACTTAGCATATCATTTTCAAAGTTCATCCATGTTGTAGCATGTATCAGGACTTCTTTCTTATGATTTAATAATATTCCATTATATGGATATATACCACATTTTGTTTATTCAATGTTAATAGTTATTTGAGATGTTTTCTTGTTTTGGCTGTTGTGAATAATGCTGCTATGAATATTCATGTACAAGTTTTTTATGGACATTGCTTTATTATTCTTGTGGGTAAATATCTTGAAGTGAAATTTCTGGGTTATATGATAACTGTCTGTTTAACATTTTGGCGCACTGTCAAACTATTTTCCAAAGAGACTGCACCATTTTATATTCCCTCCAGCAATGTATGAGGGTTCTATTTTTTCTTTGTCTTTATTTTATTTTATTTTTTTACCAAATCTCCCCTTCATTGTATGTACAAGGATTCTAATTTCTGCACATCCTTGACAACACTTCTTAATTGTCTTTCTTTTTGATTGCAGCCATTCCGGTGAGCGTGAAGTGGTGCCTTGGCACTCTTGTTGAAAATTAGTTGACCATAAATGTTAGAGTTTATTTCTGGACTCTCAATTCTATTCCATTGATTTATACTTCTACCCTTATACCAGTGCCACATTGTCTTGATTACTGCATCTGTGTAGTAAGTTTTGCAATCAGGAAGTGTGAGTTCTTTAACTTTGTTCTTTTCTAAGATTGTTTTGGCTCTTTTAGTTCCTTGTATTTCCATACAAATTTTAGGATCAACTTGTCAATCTCTGCAAACAAGAAAAAAAAAAGGCAGCTGGGATTTTGATAGTCATCATATTGAATCTGTAGATCAATTTCGGGAGTATTTCATATTAACAATATTAACTCTTCCAACCCATAAACACAAGATGTCTTTCCTTTTCATTTATTTAATCATTCTTTAATCTGTCTCATCCAAAGATGTTTTATAGTTTTCAGTGTTCAAGGCTTGTACTTCCTTTGTTAATTTTATTTCTAAGTATTTTAATTTTTTGTTATTATAGTAAATTGAATTGTTTTCTTGATTTCATGTTTTGATTGTTTGTTGCCAGCATATAGAAATACAACTGATAACTGATCTTGTGTTCTGTAAGTTTGCTAAGCTTATTTATTAGTTCTAGTAGATTTTTTTGTGGATTAATTAGGATTTTCTATATACAAAATCATGGCATCTGAATAGTGTTACTTTTACTTCTCTTATTCCAGTATGGATGTCTTTTTTTCCCTTATTCTTGCCTAGTTGACCAGGCTAGAACCTTCGGTACAATGTTGAATAGAAGTGGTAAGAATGCATGTCCCTGTCTTGTTATTTATCTTAAGGGGAGTAATCAGTCTTTCACCATAAAGTATAATGTTAACTGTGGGTTTCTTGTAGATCATCTTTATCAGGTTGCGGAAGTTCTCTTATATTGCTAGTTTGTTGAGTGTTTTTATCATGAAGGAGTATTGATTTTGTCAAATGATTTTTCTGTGTCAATTGAGATGATCATGTTATTTTTTCCATATATATATATATATAAACATATATATAT
Organism: Homo sapiens; assembly: GCF_000001405.40. Lineage (NCBI taxonomy): Eukaryota > Metazoa > Chordata > Mammalia > Primates > Hominidae > Homo > Homo sapiens. The sequence continues at coordinate 106,844,507 of NC_000023.11, forward strand.
AAACATATATATATATACACACACACACATATATATAAACATTGATGGATTGTTATATGTTGAATCACTTTTGCTTTCCCAGAATAAATCCCACTTGGCCTTTTGGGATCCTTTTTATGTGTTCTTAAGTTCAGTTTGCTAGCATGTTGTTGAGGATTTTTATGCTTATATTTGTAAGATATATTGATATATAGTTTTTTTGTGATGTCTTCGTCTACTTTGGGTGTCTAGGTTTCTTAGAATAAGTTGGATAGCGTTTCCTCCTTTCCTATTTTTTGAAGAGTTTATGAAGAATTGGTGGTAATTATTCTCTAAATGTTTGGTAGAATTTGCCAGTGAAGCCATCTGCTCTTAGAGTTTGCTTTGTGGAAAGTTTTTTCATTACTAAGTCAATCTCTTTATTTATTATAGGTCTATTTCACTTTTCCCATTTTAGTTTCAGTAGTTTGTGGTTTTTTTTAGAAACTCGTCCATTTTATCTAGATTATCTAATTTGTTGGCATATAATTTTTCATCATAATCACTTATAATCTTTTTTACTTCTATAAGGTTGATAGTTCTCTATTTCCTGGCTATAATAATTTGAGTCCCCCTTCTCACACTCTTGCTCTTGCACACTCTCACTTTTGCACTCTTGATCTCTCACTCGCACTATCTCGTTCTTGCTCTTTTTTTTTGGAAAATTTTTTTAGTTAGGCTACCTAAAAATATTTCTATGTTTTTTATCCTTTTTGTCTTTTTTAATCTTTTCAAAGAACCAACTTTTGCTTTTGTTGATTTTTCTCTATTTCTAGTCTTTTTTTTAATTATATTTTAAGTTTTAGGGTACGTGTGCACAATGTGCAGGTTAGTTACATAGGTATACATGTGCCATGCTGGTGTGCTGCACCCATTAACTCATCATTTAGCATTAGGTATATCTCCTAATGCTATCCCTTCCCCCTCCCCCCACCCCACAACAGTCCCCAGAGTGTGATGTTCCCCTTCCTGTGTCCATGTGTTCTCATTGTTCAATTCCCACCTATGAGTGAGAATATGCGGTGTTTGGTTTTTTGTTCTTGCAGTTAGAATTATTTCTAGTCTTTATCACTTTCTGCTCGCACAAAGCTGGAAGATTAGCTGGAGATAAGAGCTTAGGTCTTTTCTGTTCTTTCCTAAGAATACATACAACTGTGAGTATACATAAAGCCATATGCATGTAGTTGGCCTTCTGGGTTCCCAGGAATATGTCACAGTTTTTCAAAGCCCCCACTTTTCTTTTAACACTTTGTTAGCGTATTGTTTGGCCCAACTGCTATCCACTGCCTTGGATAGCCACATGTTCAACAACTGCCTCTGATTGTTTTCAACAAACACCACAGGGGAAAAGGCTGTTTACACCAGAGGAGCTCTGTGTCAAGTCAAATAAAGACAGTCTTGTGAGAGGAGTCTTCCAGGGAACCACTAGACAAGTCAAATAACAACAATTATTTGGGAATGGGGCTTTGCTGGAGTTCCAACCCCAATCTGTTCCATTCAGTAGCTACTAGGTACTGGTTTCCACTGTAATTGCTAGATGTTGGTTTCTTTCTTTTTTCTCTCTCTCTCTCTTTTTTTTTTTTTTTTTTTTTTAATGATAGAGTCTCACTCTGTTGCCCAGGCTGGAGTGCAGTGGCATGATCTTGGCTCACTGCAACCTCCACCTCCCAGGTTCAAGCGATTCTCCTGTCTCAGCCTCACGAGTAGCTGGGATTACAGGTGTGCACCACCATGCCCTGCTATTTTTTCTTTATTGTATTTTTAGTAGATACTGGGTTTCACCATGTCGGCCAGGCTGGTTATGAACTCCTGACCTCAAGTGATCCACCCACCTCGGCCTCCCAAAGTGCTAGGATTACAGGCATGAGCCACCGCACCCGGCCTAGATGTTGGTTTTTAAGGCTACTGTGAAACTGGGGAGGGGGGTGGGAATAGGGCAATTTAAAATGCCACAGAGCTTACTGGTTTTACTGAGATTCAGCCATTTTATTAAATAAATGCTACCTGAATTGCTGTAAGCTATTGGTTAATTTCCAGAGTTCTAAAGTTGATTCCGATGACTTTTGTCAGTGTTCTTGTTGCTTTTATAGAGGAGAGCATTTTTAGAAGTTCTTACTCTGCCATTTTTACTACATCCCCTCCTAGTATGGCTTCTTGCATGGGAAAATGATTCAGTAAAAACTAAGCTTGACATCAAACAGTGTACTAGATTAGGCAAGAAATTGGCATAGTTAATATACAAATCTATATGAAAGGTATGAAAGTATAAAAATGAGCAATGGACATGAAAGGATTAATCACAGAAGAGAAAATACAGGTTGATGTTAAAGTCTGAAAAAGAAAGTTCAACCTCAAAGAAATTAAAATTAAAACAATGAGCTACCATTTTTCACTATCAAATCAATAAAGATGATTATAGTTATTACGATTCACAATATTGGCAAAGATGCAGTGAAATAAACATTTAAACACTATTGGTCAGAAATATAAATTGGTATTTTCTTTCAGGAATTTAATTTGGCAATAATATGAAGTCTTTTAAAAATACCATGTGACCAAACAATTTCATTTCTAGGTATGTGTCCTGAGAAAAAAGTATAGTTGGATGAAAATTTATATAAAAAAGATAACCATTGCAGCATTATATGTAATAGTAAAAAATTTGAATTAACCTAAATGTCCAACAATAGTAGAATGGTTAAATAATTTATATTAGATCCACCTTAGATTTTTTTAGTCATTAAAAATACTGTTTTAGAAGAATATTTAGTGGCATTGAATATTACTATATAGTGCTAAGCAAAAAAATAAAGATTTAGTACACAGTGTGATACAAATTTTAGGAGAAAAAGGAAGAAAAAACTGCAGAAAAATATATCAACTTGTTAACAGTTTATTTCTGGGTACATAGGATACAAGAGGTTTTATTTTCTCATTCATACTTTTCCATTCTCTCCAAATTCTATCCATTAAGGATTTATTACTTTATAATAAGGGATGTGGCAATGTATATAAAAGTAATGATCTGACATTTGTATGCAAGATAGGTAAGAAGCAGCAGCAAGTTAGAGTGGTAGTGGGAATGGGAAGGAAAAAGCAAATCCGAAAGACGTTTTATAAGAAGAAACTCTAGGATATGAAACAGATGCAGCAGATAGAGGGTTTTCAGCATAATCAAAACTAGGATAGGTAAGAAGAATCCTACTTGATAGGGGAAAGAAGATATTCAGTTTTGGACAAAATTGAGGATGATTCATATCTGAGGGCTATTTCTTTATAGGTAGTTGGAAATACAGATGAAGTTCGTTTTCTTTCGTTTTAGTATGTCTTTGAAAATTATGTAGGCTTTTTTCAGATTAGTGATAATTAAGGTTTTTCACTCTTCGAAATTAGAGAGGTTTTGCTTATTATGTTCTGTATTTATTATATTACTGCTTCACTTTTCTTGAATGTTACTTTATAAAATAACTGATTATCAAATGTTAGCCTGACTTCACCTTGTTTTGCCTTGGACTGGCTCAGAGTTCTCATGTTTCCACTGTTATTACACTATTATTACTCTCAGTTGTTCTTGTTGCTGTCAAAAACTATTATGTTTGAAGAAGTATAATTATTACTTGAGCAATATTTGCTTTTTAATACTGTTTTCTATGAATTTTAGGCAATGAATATTTTGACTTCAGTGCTGCTTCTATATGCAAAAGAGGAAGAAGCTTTTTGGCTTCTGGTTGCTGTATGTGAACGAATGTTGCCTGATTATTTTAATCGTCGAATTATTGGTAAAAGAAAAACCACACACACACATATGCATACACACACAGAGATGTATATTTCCTTTCTAAACAATTTCAGTGTCTCTTGTCTAATTACTAATAAAGTAGAAGGACTGATGGATTATGTTGTGGTATAAAATGCAAGCAATATCAAAATGTCACATTCACTGACATTCTCAAAAGAAGAGCTTTTTGTACTGAATGTATAGTCAGAAAGATTGTTTAATATGTTGCTTTTAAAAATAAAATACCTGGTCTGTTTCTTAACAAAAATGGAAGCATTAAGTTTATAAACTCTATGTTGCTAAAACAATGGTGATCTCAAGTATCCACAGCTACTGGTGAATTTTTGTAGTTTTTTGATGGGAGGGAGATTTCAATCTGCTTAAAATCTCCATATTTGTATGAATTATATAGATATTTGCAAGATTTCAAAGAAGGATCGAGTTCTTAGTTTGTTAATTGTATAATTTTTATTTTATTTTATTTTATTTTATTGAGACGGAGTCTTGCTCTGTCGCCCAGGCTGGAGTGCGGCCTCGGCTTACTGCAAGCTCCACCTCCTGGGTTCACGCCATTCTCCTGCCTCAGCCTCCCGAGTAGCTGGGACTACAGGCACCCGCCACCACGCCTGGCTAATTTTTTTTTTTTTTGTATTTTTAGTAGAGACGGGGTTTCACCGTGTTAGCCAGGATGGTCTCAATCTCCTGACCTCGTGATCCACCCACCTCGGCCTCCCAAAGTGCTGGGATTACAGGTGTGAGCCACCGCGCCTGGCCAATATTTTCTTTAATCATCAAATATTTACAGATCTGTGACCACTTACCTTAAAACTTATGAATGGTCTCTTTGTACCGTAATAGGCTTTCAGGATTGTGGTTAGGTCATCGATTTTACTGTCTTTCATTATAATTATTTGTGTATTTTTTTTTTTTTTTTTTTTTTAGGTTCAGATGATTTTATGCCACTAGTAAGAATCCAAGGACAATGTGTTATTGGGGAGAAGTAGAAAAAGGAAAATCTGGGGTAGCACCTGGCATGCTCTTTCTCCAATTTTCTACTACTTACTCCTATTCCCCAAATTCTCCCATCAAGGAGGAAATGAACTCTGAGACAGAAGATGAGTTTTCCTCAAAGCTTGACCAGGATATAAGTGGATGCCTTATTGGGCAAAGCAGAGGGTAACCAATTAGAAGGCCCTGGCTTCTCTTGATTGATAGCTGAGAACTCATCAGAGGGATCAGTGCTTTCTCTGTGTATTGCTGGAGTCTGAAAGTGTGACTCTCATGTCACTGATTCATTTCTGAAGTGTTAAATTCAGAATAAATTTTTGATAATCAAAATGAACTTAGAGAACTTTGTTGTTTGGCATTGTCAAGAGTGAAGAATTCTAATTATTTGTGTATTTATCTTGTGTTATGCTAGATATTAAACTCCCTGAACATGAGACTATTTCATTAATTGGTATAGCTCTTATAATACCTAGTACAGGTCTCTGCATATAATAAAGACTCAATAAATAACTCTTCAAATGAATTTGAATTGTGTTTCTGAAGTACATGACACTACTAGCAGTTAGATGTATAAAATACAGAAGAGGTTCTGAAAGAGTTCATAATTTAAGGAAGAAGAATGAGATACATCAGCATGCTAATAGAAGTGGGGAGGTATGGAAACAAGTCCTTTTGAAAAATGTTTATTTTTAAACTTCTTTTGATATTCTGTAGGTGCCTTGGTGGATCAGGCAGTCTTTGAAGAACTTATCAGGGATCACCTTCCTCAGCTGACAGAACACATGACTGATATGACATTCTTTTCCTCAGTTTCTCTCTCTTGGTTTCTCACACTTTTTATTAGTGTGCTACCTATTGAAAGTGCAGTGAATGTGGTGGACTGTTTCTTCTATGATGGAATAAAGGCCATTTTGCAACTGGGATTGGCAATACTTGACTATAATTTAGACAAACTGCTGACTTGTAAAGATGATGCTGAAGCTGTGACAGCCTTAAACAGGTATTGTAAGAACCATAACATTTAAATCTGGAGGAGATTTGAGAGATGATGTTGTTCAATCCCCTATTTTACAGAGGAAACTGAGCCCTAGAAATTTCAGTTTGTCCGAGATTACAAAACCACTTGAATGAAAGAGCTACACCTAAAGTCCAGTCCTCTATCTCCAGAAAAAATATAGCAAGAATAAATCACTTTGAAGTGAACCACTAAATTATGTACACATTTACACTAATATTGTTGATTCAGTATGCTAGGACTTTCATATTCCCAGTTTGAGCTATAAAGTGTCTATGTAGAATTAGTTCAAGCAGGAAAAGCATAGTTGATAATGTTAAATATCCAGTGGCCGGGAAGTTATTCTGGTTTCTATGTGGTTTCAGGTGGGTTGAACTTTATTTTCCTAGTAGCTTCTGTATGAATGCTATTTTGTATTGGAGCACATGTGTTGTATGTGTGTGTATGTGTATATGCACACATTTGTATATGCTAAATGAATAAATTTGAGTGGGCAACTATCATAATGCCACATGAAATCCCATTATGTACAGAATAAAATACAAACATCTTACTCTGGCATTCAGAACTCTGTGGTAAGGGCTCAGTGTACCTTTCTTCACTTATTTCCCCCTATATGCTTCTACATACCCTATATTCCACTCTTACTGAGCTGTGTGGTATTTGCCAAGTACTCTCTGAGCCTGTTTGCTTCCTTCAAAACCCCAAAATGATTCCTACACTATCCCATTTCCCTCACCCATGCCCTCCTAATGCTCAACCATCTTCAAACTCCACTTCTTGACCGGGTGCGGTGGCTCATGCCTGTAATCCCAGCACTTTCGGAGGCCGAGGCAGGTGGATCACCTGAGGTCAGGAGTTCAAGACCAGCCTGGCCAACATGGCAAAACCTCGTCTCGACTAAAAATACAAAAATTAGCCAGGCGTGGTGGTGAACACCTGTAATCCCAGCTACTTGGGAGGCCGAGGCAGAATAATTGTTTGAAATCAGGAGGCGGAGGTTGTAGTGAGCCAAGATTGTGCCATTGCATTCCAGCCTGGATGACAGATCAAGACTCCATCTCAAAAACAAAAAACAAGTTCCACTTCTTTTTTTGTTATTATTATACTTTAAGTTTTAGGGTACATGTGCACAACGTGCAGGTTTGTTACATATGTATACATGTGCCATGTTGGTGTGCTGCACCCATTAACTCATCATTTAACATTAGGTATATCTCCTAATGCTATCCCTCTCCCCTCCCCCACCCCACAACAGTCCCCAGTGTGTGATGTTCCCCTTCCTGTGTCCATGTGTTCTCATTGCTCAATTCCCACCTATGAGTGAGAACATGCGATGTTTCATTTTTTGTCCTTGCGATATTTTGCTGAGAATGATGGTTTCCAGTTTCATCCATGTCCCTACAAAGGACATGAACTCATCATTTTTTATGGCTGCATAGTATTCCATGGTGTACATGTGCCACATTTTCTTAATCCAGTCTATCGTTGTTGGACATTTGGGGTGGTTCCAACTCTTTGCTATTGTGAATAGTGCCGCTATAAACATATGTGTGCATGTGTCTTTATAGCAGCATGATTTATAATCCTTTGGGTATATACCCAGTAATGGGATGGCTGGGTCAAATGGTATTTCTAGTTCTAGATCCCTGAGGAATCCCCACACTGACTTCCACAATGGTTGAACTAGTTTACAGTCCCACCAACAGTGTAAAAGTGTTCCTATTTCTCCACATCCTCTCCAGTACCTGTTGTTTCCTGACTTTTTAATGATCGCCATTCTAACTGGTGTGAGATGGTATCTCATTGTGGTTTTGATTTGCATTTCTCTGATGGCCAGTGATGATGAGCATTTTTTCATGTGTTTTTTGGCTGCATAAATGTCTTCTTTTGAGAAGTGTCTGTTCATGTCCTTCGCCCACTTTTTGATGGGGTTGTTTGTTTTTTTCTTGTAAATTTGTTTGAGTTCATTGTAGATTCTGGATATTAGCCCTTTGTCAGATGAGTAGGTTGCAAAAATTTTCTCCCATTCTGTAGGTTGCCTGTTCACTCTGATGGTAGTTTCTTTTGCTGTGCAGAAGCTCTTTAGTTTAATTAGATCCCATTTGTCAATTTTGGCTTTTGTTGCCATTGCTTTTGGTGTTTTAGACATGAAGTGCTTGCACATGCCTATGTCCTGAATGGTATTGCCTAGGTTTTCTTCTAGGGTTTTTATGGTTTTAGGTCTAACATGTAAGTCTGTAATCCATCTTGAATTAATTTTTGTATAAGGTGTAAGGAAGGGATCCAGTTTCAGCTTTCTACATATGGCTAGCCAGTTTTCCCAGCACCATTTATTAAATAGGGAATCCTTTCCCCATTGCTTGTTTTTGTCAGGTTTGTCAAAGATCAGATAGTTGTAGATATGCGGCATTATTTCTGAGGGCTCTGTTCTGTTCCATTGATCTATATCTCTGTTTTGGTACCAGTACCATGCTGTTTTTGTTACTGTAGCCCTGTAGCCTGGTAGTATAGTTTGAAGTCAGGTAGCATGATGCCTCCAGCTTTGTTCTTTTGCCTTAGGATTGACTTGGCGATGCGGGCTCTTTTTTGGTTCCATATGAACTTTAAAGTAGTTTTTTCCAATTCTGTGAAGAAAGTCATTGGTAGCTTGATGGGGATGGCATTGAATCTATAAATTACCTTGGGCAGTATGGCCATTTTCATGATATTGATTCTTCCTACCTATGAGCATGGAATGTTCTTCTATTTGTTTGTATCCTCTTTTATTTCCTTGAGCAGTGGTTTGTAGTTCTCCTTGAAGAGGTCCTTCACATCCCTTGTAAGTTGGATTCCTAGGTATTTTATTCTCTTTGAAGCAATTGTAAATGGGAGTTCACTCATGATTTGGCTCTCTGTTTGTCTGTTATTGGTGTATAAGAATGCTTGTGATTTTTGTACATTGATTTTGTATCCTGAGACTTTGCTGAAGTTGCTTATCAGCTTGAGGAGATTTTGGGCTGAGACGATGGGGTTTTCTAGATATACAATCATGTCATCTGCAAACAGCAACAAAGTTCCACTTCTTCATAAGACCTTCCCTTGTCCTCTCAGTTGAAAGTAACCTCTAACTAACTAGGGAGAAATTATGTGTCATTTCTCTGCTTTAATAATGGTAGTTCCACTAATTCTTGTATTACTATCACTTTTCAATAGGTTCTTTGACAATGTCACTAATAAGGATAGTCCATTGCCTTCAAATGTTCAGCAAGGTTCAAATGTGAGTGATGAAAAAACCAGTCATACTAGAGTGGATATTACAGATTTGATTAGAGAATCAAATGAGGTAAGTTTTTTCATGCCATAAATATATTAGCTAGCATATTTAAAATGATTGAACTATGGTCTATCTCTAATGGTATATTAAGTGTAAGATAATAATGCAAGTAGACATACAACTTAAAATCCAACTTAACTTTTAAAATGAGTTCTGTGAACTGTTCTAGGTTGTGTAACCTCCTCTGCCTCAATTTGTTTTTCATTAAATGAAATTAAATTCACTTGCTTTCACAAATAATGACCACTTTAAACATCTATCACTGGATTAAAAGGTGAATTATTCTCATTATTATTATTCACTTCTTAGAGATTAAGAATTTTACCTATATTTTTGTACTTAGTCTATTCACATAGTAGATGGAATTCTCTCCAGTGAATATATTTAAAAACTGAAACGTGGGAGGTAAAAATTTGCAAAATCATTGAACAAGTCAGGAAATTCCCTAGAAATAGAATCAAGGCCTCCAAGAATTCAGTCTGATAAAACTGAATTGTAAAAGAAAAAGTGGATGTTTATTATGAGTGAGTAGCCACTGAAATCATATCTCTTGCAGAAATATGGTAATATTCGCTATGAAGATATACATAGTATGCGCTGTCGAAATAGGTTGTATGTGATACAGACCCTAGAGGAAACAACAAAACAGAATGTGGTAAGTATGCAACCAATGAGGAAAAACCAGTTGGAGTAATTTTTTTTTTCTATAACTTTCTTTAGAAATTATCTTCTGGGCGAATAAAATGAAAAGGACTAAACTTTTGAGCTAGATCCTTGCCAAGGTTTACCCTATGGTAAATTCTTTTTTAGAGAAAATACATTATTTTCTTCTGGTTGAATTATGTTGCTTTCTCCAACATGTTTTGTACTATTTGACCTTCAAGACCACTGAGACAGGGTCTCGTTCTGTTGCCCAGGCTGGAGTGCAGTGGCATGATCGCAGCTCACTGTAGCCTCTACCTCATGGGCTCAAGAGATCCTTCTTCCTCAGCCTACCGAGGAGCTGGGACTACATGCACACACCACCATGCCTGGCTAATTTTTAAATTTTTTTTTTAGAGATAGGGTCTCAGTATGTTTCCCAGGCTGTCTCAAACCCATGGGCTCAAGAGATCCTCCTTGCCTAGGCCTCCCAAAGGGTTAGGATTACAGGCGTGAGCTACCACACCTAGCCTGCAGCTCAGTGTTGAATGCTATCATGTTGGCATTTAAGCATAACATATTTGTGATGTGCTGCATCAGTAAGAACAGCCGATCTACATAGTAGTCAGTGCTCCAATGAATATTATTATCCTTGGATACCTAAAGTAAATACTATGTTTTAAATACTTGTCTTTTTAATATTTGGATGGCTCCATAAGCAACTGTTAATATTGGTTGCCTTTGGTGAATCGGATTAATAGATTGCTGGTCAGAAGGAGGAGAGTTTTACTTTGCTGTTTATATTCTTCTGTACTGTTTGAGCTTTTATCATGACCATGTGTTGTTTTTGTAAACCTACTTGCTTAAAGGCCAAGGTCCTCAGAGATACAAATCTGGGAAGATTAATGTTTCTGAAGATTCCAGGTTTAGATTTCAATTGAATAATTCAGTGAGGTTACTGTGACATAGTTAGCATAGGGCCCCTTGTTTTAGTTTTTATATGTTAGCATTTTTAAAAATTTACTGAAGTAATACATGCTCACTGTAAATAATTTAAGCATTACATAAATGTAAAAAGTAGATTCCCCACCCCAGAAGTAACCATCTTAAAATAATTTGGCATATATCCTTTCAGATCTTTTATCTAGGTGTCTGCACACATGCATGTGTATTGGAAGGATATAGTTTTTGAAATGAGATCATACCAGTCACTTTGCTCTGCAACTTTTTTCATTCAGAAATAGATCATGGTTATTGAATATCAGTAAATATAGATCTACCTCACTCTTCCTAATGCATTGAATAGTATGCCATAATATGGATATGCTATAATTTATTCACTGCTGATGTACATTTAATATGTCTCCCTTTTTTGCTCTTACAAATAATACTTTATGTAAACATTCTTGTATATCTATTCTTTGCAAGATAGATATCTGGAAGTGGAAGCTGGGTAAAAGGGTATGCCCATTTAAAATTTGACAGGTCCCTGCCAAATTATGCTTCAAAAGATTTTGCCAAATTGTAATCCCACCAGCAGCCTGTAAGAATGCCCCTTTCCCCACATTCTCACTAACACCAGATATTTAAAATCTTGAATTTGTTGGCCAGGCATGGTGGCACACACTCGTAGTCCCAGCTACTCAGGAAGCTGCGACGGGAGGATCACCTTGAGCCTGGGAGTTCCAGGCTACAGTAAGCTATAATCATGCCACTGCACTCCAGCCTGGGCAACAGAGCTAGACCTTGTCTCTAAAACAAACAAAACAAAACAAAATCTTCAATTTGTGCCAATGTGATAGATCAAATACTTTTAAGGTTTCAATTCACTGATCACATATGTTTATTAGCCTTTTTAATTTCTTCTCTTAATTGCCTATTCATAGCCTTTGCTTATTTTTCTATGAGATTGTCTTAAGTATTGATTTGTAGAAGCTCTTTTGACTATTAGTAGTACCAGTTCTTTGTCAGCTATATTTGTGGCCTAATATTTTCCCCTAGTCTTATTATTTCTTTCATTATCTTTATAATGTCTTTCAGATTATACAAGTTACAAATTTTCTTGAAGTCTTTCTCTTTTTTATTACATGATATCTGGGTTTCATATCAAACTTAGCAGGCTTTCCCTATTTAAAATTATATAAATTATAAAAATATTTTTTCATATTGGCCTATAGTACTGGTATTGCTTTTTTAACATTTAGAACTTTAATATACCTAGAGTATATTTTTTTATTATGTAATATTATGTTTTTCCAACCAAAATCACTCATTTTCTAAAAACCAATTATTAAATAGTTTATCCTCACAGTACTCTACTTTCTTCATATGCTAAATTCTTATATACATACATGGGCTTTATTTTTGGACTCTCTTTTTTTGTTACTACAACAGTACCACACTCTTTCAATTACCATAGTTTGTCTACTTTGAAATCTGGTAAGGCTTTTATTCATTTTAACAGTCTGTCTTTTTAAATGTTCTTTAGTAAGCATTTTAATTTTCATCATCTAGGTCTTACACATTTCTTATTGGGTTTATTCTACCCCTATATATTTTATGGTTTTGCTGCTAATATGAATGAGATCATTTTTCCTTTACATTGCCTAATTCTTTATTGGCTGTGTGTGTAAAAGTTATTGATTTGGGTATGTTGCTTTTCTAAGTGGTCGCATTATTGACTCTCATTAATTGTACTATTTTTTTTAGTTGACCTCGAATTTTCTGAATAGACAAGCATGTCATTTCCAGTCTTAGAATTTTGACCCTTCCTAACATTTATACCTCTTTTCTTTTTTCTGTGTTATTGCATTAAGTAGGATCTTCAGAGAATTATTGAATAATAGCAGTAGAAGCAGGCTTCTTTGTCTTATTCTTTTTGTTTTTTTTGAGACTGAGTCTCACTGTCGCCCAGGCTGGAGTGCAGTGGCACAATCTCTGCTCACTGTAACCTCCACCTCCTGGGTTCAAGCAATTCTCCTGCCTCAGCCTCCCGAGTAGCTGGGATTACAGGTGCCTGTCACCATGCCCAGCTAATTTTTGTATTTTTAGTAGAGATGGGATTTCACCATGTTGACTAGGCTGGTCTCAAACTCCTGACCTCAGGTGATCCACCCGCCTCAGCCTCCCGAAGTGCTGGGTTTGCAGGCATGGCCACCACACCCAGCCGCAGGTTTGTTATATAGGTAAATTATGTGTCACAGGGTTTCGTGTACAGATTATCTCATCACACAGGTAATAATGGTACTCAATAGGTAGTTTTTTGATCTTCACCCTCCTCCCACCCTCCATACTCATGTAGGCCCCTGTTTCTATTGTTTCCCTCTTTGTGTCCATGTGTACTCAATGTTTAGCTCCCACTTATAAGTGAGAACATGCAGTATTTGGTTTTCTTTTCCTCTGTTAGTTCACTTAGGATAACGGTCTCCAGCTCCATCCATGTTGCTCCAAAGAACATAATATTATTCTTTTTTATGGCTGCATAATATTCCATGGTGTATATTGACCACATTTTCTTTATCCAGTCTACTGTTGATGGGCATCTAAGTTGATTCCATGTCTTTGCTATTGCAAATAATGCTGTGACATACATACACATACATGTGTCTTTATGGTAGAATAATTTATATTCCTTTAGGTATATGCCCAGTAATGGGATTTCTGAGTTGAATGGTAGTTCTCTGTTAAGTTCTTTGTGATATCTTCAAACTGCTTTCCACAGTGGCTGACTTAATTTACATTTCCACCAGCAGTGTATTAGCATTCCCTTTACTCCACAACCTCACCAGCATCTTGTTATTTTTTGACTTTTTAATAATCATCATTCTGATTGTGTGAGACGGTATCTCATTGTGATTTTGATTTGCATTTCTCTAATATTTAGTGATGTTGATCATGTGCTTGTTGGCTGCATGTAGGTCTTCTTTTGAAAAGTGTCTGTCCATGTCCTTTGCCCACTTTTTTATGGAGTTGTTTGATTTTTGGGTTTTGTTTTTTGTTTTTGTTTTGAGACAGAGTCTTGCTGTGTCACCCAGGCTGGAGTGCAGTGGTGCGATCTTGGCTCACTGCAAGCTCCGCCTCCCAGGTTCACGCCATTCTCCTGCCTCAGCCTCCTGAATAGCTGGAACTACAGGCATCCGCCACCATGCCCAGCTAATTTTTTGTATTTTTAGTAGAGACGGGGTTTCACCACATTAGCCAGGATGGTCTCAATCTCCTGACCTTGTGATCCACCCGCCTCAGCCTCCCAAAGTGCTGGGATTATAGGCATGAGCCACCACACCTGGCCTGGTTTTTAATTTTTTAACTTCCTATGGATTCTGGATATTAGACCTTTGTCAGATGCATAGTTTGCAAATATTTTTTCCCACTCTGTAGGTTGTCTGTTTACTCTGTTGATAGTTTTACTGTGCAAATGCTCCTTAGTTTAATTAGTCCCATTTGTCAAATTTTATTTTTGTTGCAATTGCTTTTGGCATTTTTGTTGTGAAATCTTTGCCACCGCCTATATCTAGAATGGTACTCCCTAGGTTTTCTTCAAGGCTTTTTATAGTTGTAGGTTTTACATTTAAGTCTTTAATCCATCTTGAGTTGATTTTTGTATATGGTGGAAGGTAGGGATCTAGTTTCAATCTTCTACCTGTGGTTAGCCAGTTATCCCAGCACCATTTATTGAATAGGTTGTCCTTTCCCCATTGCTTGTTATTGTTGACTTTGTTAAAGATCAGATGGTTATAGGTGTGCAGCTTTATTTCTGGGCACTCCATTCTGTTCCGTTAGACTATGTGTGTTTTTGTACCTGTACCATGCTGTTTTGGTTACTGTAGCCTTGTAGTATAGTTTGAAGGTGAATAACGTGATACCTCTAGCTTTGTTCATTTTGCTTAGTATTGCTTTGGCTATTTGGGCTCCTTTCTGGTTCCATATGAATTTTCTAGAATAGTTTTTTCTAATTCTGTGAAGAATGTCATTGGTAGTTTGATAGGAATAGCACTGAATCTTTAAATTGCTTTGGTTGGTATGGCCTTTTTAACAATATTGATTCTTCCTATCCATGAGAATGGAATGTTTTTCATTTGCTTGTGTCACCTCTGATTTCTTTGAGAAATGTTTTGTAATCCCCATTGTAGAGACCTTTCACCTCCATAGTTAGCTGTATTCCTAGGTATTTTACTCTTTTTTTGGCTATTGTGAGTAGGATTGAGTTCTTGATTTGGCTCTCAGCTTGGACTTTGTTGGTACATAGAAATGCTACTGATTTTTGTATTCTGAAACTTTGCCAAAGTTGTTTACTAAATCTAGGAGCTTTTGGGCTGAGACTTTGGGGTTTTCTACATATAGAATCATATCATCTGCAAATAGAAATAGTTTGACTTCCTCTCTTCCTATTTGGATGCCTTTTATTTCTTTCTCTTGCCTGATTGTTCGGGCTAGGACTGTCTGTACTATGTTGAACCAGAGTGGTGAGAGTGGGCATCCTTGTCTTCTGGTTCTCAAGGGGAATGCTTCCAGCTTTTACCCATTCAGTATGATTTTGGTTGTGGATTTGTCATAAATGGCTCTTATTATTTTGAGATACAGTTCTTCAATGCCTAGTTTGTTGAGGCTTTTTAACACGAAGTGATGTTGAATCTTACTGAAAGCTTTTTCTGCATCTATTGAGACGATCGTGTGGTTTTTGTTTTAGTTCGTTTTTGTGATGAATTGCATTAATTGATTTGTGTATGTTGAACCAACCTTGTATCCCAGGGATAAAGCATACTTGCTCATGGTGTGTTAGCATTTTGATGTGCTGCTAGATTTGGTTTGCTAGTAGTTTGTTGAGGATTTTTGCATCTGTTCTCCTCAAGGATATTGGCCTGAAGTTTTCTCTTTTTTTTGTTGTGTCTCTGCCAGTTATTGGTAGCAGAATGACACTGGCCTAAAAGAATGCGTTAAGGAGGAGTCATTTCTCCTCAATTTTTTGCAATAGTTTCAGTAGGAATGGTACCAGCTCTTCTTTATATGTCTGGTAGAATTTGGCTGTGAATCCATCTGGTACTGGGCTTTTTATGATTGGTGTGTGTGTGTGTGTGTGTGTGTGTGTGTGTGTGTGTGTGTGTGTTTCTGATTCAATTTTAGAACTTGTTTTTGGTCTGTTCAGGGTTTCAATTTCTTCCTGGTCCAATCTTGGCAAGTTGTGTGTTTCCAGGAATTTATCATTTCTTCTAGGTTTTCTAGTTTGTGTACATAGAGGTGTTCATAGTAGTCTCTGAGGGTATTTTTTGTATTTCTGTGGGGTCAGTGGTAATGTCTCTTTGTCATTTCTGATTGTGTCTATTTGTATCGTCTCTTTTTTCTTTGTTAGTTTAGCTAGTGGTCTATCAGTCTTATTTATTCTTTTAAATAGCCAACTCATGGATTCATTGATCTTTTGTATGGGTTTTCATGTCTTGATTTCATTCAGATCAGCTCTGATTTTGGTAATTTCTTGTCTTCTGCTAGCTTTGGGATTGGTTTGTTCTTGTTTTCCTAGTTCCTCTAGGTGTGATGTTAGGTTGTTAATTTCAGATCTTTCTAACTTTTTTATGTAAGCATTTATGCTGTAAACTTCCTTCTTAACACTGCTTTAACTGTGTACCAGAGATTCTGATATGTTGTATCTTTATTCTCATTAGTTTTAAATATTTCTTGATTTATTCCTTAGTTTCATTGCTTACCCAAAAGTCATTCAGGAGCAGATTGTTTAATTTTTATGTGATTATATGGTTTTGAGCAATCTTCTTAGTATTTATTTTCATTTTTATTATGCTATGGTCCAAAGAGTATAGTTGTTATGATTTTGGGTTTTTTGAATTTGCTGAGGATTGTTTTATGTCTGATTGTGTGGTTAATTTTAGAGTATGTGCCATGTGCAGACGAGAAGAATATGTTCTGTTGTTTTGGGGGGAAAAGTTCTGTAGATATCTGTTAGGTCCGTTTGGTCAAGTGTTGAGTTCAGGTCCCGAATATCTTTGTTAGTTTTCTGCCTTGATGATATGACTAATACTGTCAGTGGGGTGTTGAAGTCCCCCACTATTATTGTGTAGTTATCTAAGTCTCTTTATAGGCCTCTAAGAACCTGTTTCATGAATCTGAGTGCTCCTGTGTTGACTGCATATATATTTAAGATAGATGTCTTCTTGTTGACTTGAATCCTTTACCATTATATAATTCCTTTTTTGTTTTGTTTTGTTGTTGTTGTTGGCCTAAAGTCTGTTTTGTCTGAAATCAGAATAGCAAGCCCTGCTTTTTTCTGTTTTCCATTTGCTTGGTAGATTCTTCCTCAACCTTTTACTTTGAGCCTTTGGATGTCATTGCATGTGAGATAGGTCTCTTGAAGACATCATTCAGTTGCATCTCACTATCTTATCCAACTTGCCACTCTGTGCCTTTTAATTAGGGCAGTCTAGTTACATTCTGGTTAGCCTGTTTACATTCAAGGTTAATATTAATATGTGTAGATTTGATCCTGATATCATGTTGTTAGCTGATTATTATGCAAAACTGATTGTGTAGTTGCTTTATTGTGTCAATAGTCTATGTACTTAAGTGTGTTTTTGTAGTGGCTGATAATCGTCTTTCCTTTCCATATTTAGCACTCCTTTCAAGATCTCTTGTAAGGCAGATCTAATGAACATGAATTCCCTTAGCACTTGCTTGTCTGAGAAGGATCTTATTTCTCCTTTGCTTATGAAGCTTAGTTTGGCTGAATACGAAATTATTGGCTGGAGTTTCTTTTCTTTAAGAATGCTGAATATAGGCCTTCAATCTTTTTTGGCTTGTAGCATTTCTGCTGAATAGTACACTGTTAGGCTAATGGGATTTCCTTTTTAGGTGACCTGCTCCTTATCTCTAGCTGCCTTTAATATTTTTTCTTTCATGTTGACCTTGGAGAATCTGATGACTGTGTGGCTTGGGGATGGTAATCTTATATAGTATCTTGCAGGGGTTCTCTGCATTTCCAGAATTTAATGTTGTCCTGTCTAGCAAAGTTGGGGAAATGTTCATTTATTTTTGTCTAAGTTAATTCAGAGAACCAGTCTTCGAGTTCTGAGATTCCTTCCTCAGCTTGGTCTATTCTGTTGTTAATGCTTGTGATAGTATTATGAAATTCTTGTAGTAAGTTTTTCAGCCCTATCAGATCAGTTTGATTCTTTCTTAAAATGGTCATTTTGTCTTTCACCTCTTGTATCCTTTTATTGTATTCCTTAGATTCCTTGGATTGGGTTTCAACATTCTCCTGAATCTCAATGATCTTCATTTCTATGTAGATTCTGAATTATATGTCTGTCATTTCAGCCATTTCAGCCTGGCTAAGAACCACTGCTGGGGAACTAGTGCAGTTGTTTGGAGGTAAGGTGACACTCTGGTTTTTTGAGTTGCCAGAGTTCTTGTGCTGGTTCTTTCTCATCTGCGTGAGCTGATATTCCTTTAATCTCTGAAGTTGTTTTCCTTTGGATGGGTTTTTTTTTGTTTTTTTTTTTTTTTTTTTTTTTTTTGCTTTTATCTTCTTTGATGCCCTTGGGGGTTTGATTGTGGATTCAGTTGACTGGCTTTGATTTTGAAGATTTCAGATGGCCAAGGCTCACCTGAGCTCTCCTGAGATGAGTGTGCTACCTCTGCGGGGCTGGTACCAGACCCCCAGCTTTGTTCTCTGGGCCCTCGGGGCTAGGAACCTGCTCTGCCAGAGAGGCCAAGGTGTTCCCAGTCCACTGGCCTCAACACTACAATGGAGGTGCTAGCCAAAACACTTAGTCGGGGTGGTGGCGGTGGAATCCATGCTTGCTCGTGCATGCCAGCATCCGTGGCAGCGTGGCAGCATACACATGCATTGGCTCAGGCTGGGTGCTCGTAGGAGCCTTTACCTTAGTTTTCACAGGTGGTGTATACTGGCAGAATATTTTAGTGTTGTCTTTTGGGCTGCGATCCAGTAGGTGGCGCTTAAGAGTGTTAGCCAGCAGATAGCTTCTTGCTCTGCTGCATGGCTCCAGGGTAATGGTCTGTGAATGGGGACAGGGAGATGGCCCATTCACCTAGTCCACCCCTGGGCCTTGGAGGAACCCCTTCTGATTACTGGCTTCATGCCCGCATTTCTTTTGTTGGGTGCTCTGGTCCACAGGGCTCCCTCAGGTAGGAGCCACAGTTGGCAAACAGGTCTTATCCTTACTGGGTCGGCCCTGTGGAGGGAGGCACACACCACCCCTCTATCAAGCTGCGAACCTGGGTGTCTCATCTCTCAGTGATGCTTGGGCACCACCTAAGTCAGAAAGTCCCGCCCAACTGGGAGCTGCGGGAGTGAGTAGTGTCACCTAATCTGCTGTCCAAGTGCATCCTGAGGGTACCAGGGGTTGCAACTGCCAGCAGAGTTTAGGCAGAAGCTGGACCACTGGACTGGAAGCTCTAACAGGCATTGCCCACCTGGCTACCAGTGGTGGAGCGTGGTGGGGTCACCTGCCCTGCCTGTTGGGTGTTTCCAGTGACAACAGGATGTTGCAGCCACTGGCTAAGTTCAGGCAGAAGCGGGACATCTGGGCTGGAAGCTCCAGCAGGTGTTGCTCGCCTGGCTACCAGTGACAGGAGCAGGTGGGGTCGTCCGCCCTGCCGTGTAGGTGTTTCATGGGACAACAGGAGGCTGCAGCCTCTGGCCGATTTCAGGCAGAAGCGGTAGTGCTGGGCTGGAAGCTGGCACCAAGCCTTGTCTGGTGAGGAGGGTGGACCAATCCTACTGCTCCCAGGCACCATGACTTTGGCCTCTATTGGGGCTGTGGCGCTGGTGTTGGTCTGTTCCAGGATCCGAGGCTTGTAGAGGTCCCCTTGGACTTAAGAGTTGCCTCTGCAAACCGTCTGGGTGGCTCTCTGCCTCAGTTTAGAGGTGAGGTGGGAGGATGAGAGTGGCAAGTAGGGGGTTAGGGCAGGGGAATTCTCCCACTCCCAGCCTTACACAGATCCCCATGGAGAGTGTGAATTACCCTCTCCCGTATTGGGGAGCTTCTCCTGACTCCGCATTGATGCCAGATAGGCTGCTGCCCAGCTTCCCTCCTCTCTGCTCTCTGTGTCCCCTTGCTGCTTTGATGGTTCCCAGTGTGGTTTCTTAGATGATTGGCTTTTAGGGTCAGTGTTCACTAAACCCTTTGTTTCCCCTCCATAAGAGAGCAGCACCCATGATCTGCTTCTAGTTTGTCATATTGGCCCCTCCCATGCTGGGCACCTTTTTTTTTTTTTTTTTTTTTTTTTTGAGACAGTCTCACTCTGTCGCCCAGGCTGGAATACAGTGGCATGATCTCGGCTCACTGCAACCTCTGCCTCCCGGGTTCAAGTGATTCTTGTGCCTCAGTCTCCTGAGTAGCTGCGATTATAGGCATACGCCACCACACCTGGCTAATTTTTGTATTTTTAGTAGAGACAGGGTTTCACCAAGTTGGCCAGGCTGGTCTTGAACTCCTGGCCTCAAGTGATCTGCCTGCCTTGGCCTCCCAAGTGCTGGGATTACAGGCATGAGCCACCATTCCTCTGCTGGGCACTTTAAATGACTTCTGTATCCATGCTTAAATTATCCACTTCTCGATGATAGTCATTTGTGATTTCTTTCATCTCACTTGCCAGAAATGTGTCTATCTTATTGATTTTTTCAATAAACCAACTCTTAATTTTATTTACTGAGTCTACCGGGTTTTTTTAATTTTCTGTATTTCATCAATTCTAGCTTTTTTCTTTACCTTTGCTTTCAAATTTCTTAGATATCATAATGATTGTATCATTAGTCCTTCTTCTTCATGGAATAGGATAAAAGTACATATTTTCTAAGCTTATTACTTCTTGGATTATGTTTTTTGGCATAGAGAGGGAATGTACATCTCCCAATGCCTTTGAAGTATTTAATAGCAACCTCACATGATGACTAGATATGCTGCTTATGTGGCAAGAGAGGAATATATGGAATAGGACTTAGAATACTGTTACTTATATTTATAGACATTAAGTGGCTGTTCTTTGGCAGTGATTTCTGAGTATGAAGAGATGAATATCAAAGTACATATTAGAGTAGAATTGAACTAGTCTACTACTACTTTTTAAAAGGAAAAATAGATAATAACTTTATAATATAATAACTTATAATAACTTTTTATTATTCATTTAAGAAGTTAAAACACAAATATTTTCTTCTAGCAGAGAGAGACTCTAAGGTAATTCAAAGAGAATTTCTTTACTGCAATGTTAAAATCTGTGTACTAAATTGCTTTTAATCTTTTTAAAGTTGCGTGTTGTATCACAAGATGTGAAATTGAGCCTTCAAGAATTGGATGAACTTTATGTCATCTTTAAGGTACTGTTGTTCTTCTTTAAATGAAAAATAATGCTTTTTTTTAGCAGAATTGTATCACAGCCATTCTAATTATTTTTATCTTTATTTTAGCAGACATGGTTTTTAAAATCTTCCAAAATTACTTTTTCTAATTAGTAACTTTCCTTTTTTATTTATTTTTAATAGAAAGAGCTGTTTTTATCTTGTTATTGGTGTTTGGGTTGCCCAGTATTGAAGCATCATGACCCCAGTCTGCCATATTTGGAACAGTATCAGATTGACTGCCAGCAGTTCAGAGCGTTGTATCACTTGTTGAGTCCCTGGGCTCATTCTGCAAATAAAGACTCACTAGCTTTATGGACATTCAGATTGTTAGATGAAAACTCTGATTGCCTTATAAACTTCAAAGAATTCTCCTCTGCAATTGGTAAGATGATTTTTTTAAGCAAAAAAAAAAGGTGCTCCTAGAAATACTTAGTACTGCCTATTATTGCCAATTTAGTCAGATTATATCACCATGGGTTACAGTGTGTTTAGCTTTAGTAATAAATGGACCCTTTTCTGCATTTGTTGCTAAATCTAAGTATTTTGATATTATTTTCCCCAACCCTTTCAGAAAAGCAAGCTGTTAGATGTGAGTGTTTTAAGGGTTAACATAAGGAAGATAACGTCCCAATTTTCCCACACTCAGATGCATGGGTACTACCGAAGGACTTCCCCCACCCCACCGACCTCCCCGTAAAAATTCAACCACATAGCCTAGAAGAGTGGTAGATAAATACCCAGCAAACATGTTGTACCTACAGATAGTCAAGATGTTGTACCTGTAGATATTGTTCATTTGCTTTTCCAGATACCCCAGCATGCTTTCTTATCAGGGATCACCCCTTGAAGAACAGTTCTCTCCTGCACAGGCCTCATTCAAAAGAAAAGAGAAATCTGAGATTGGGGGGAAGGAGCTAGGAAAGAGAACATTTTACTTTTTTGATAAAGAGTATTTTGCTTATACAGTTATACACTTGAAGGAGAGCATCTGATTGACTAGGTGGTTGTTTAATTGTTAGCTTAAGTAACAGGTTTCTAAATCCTAATTTTTGACTAATGTCTATATCTTAATTAATCTTTGTTGCTGAAATTGATTGAATGTTCTTTAGATACATGATTATTTACAATTGAATTTTATTGAACAGACATAATGTACAATGGAAGTTTTACTGAGAAGCTTAAGCTGCTTTTTAAGCTACATATTCCTCCAGGTAAGAGTTTACCAGTCTTTAACGATGTACAGCAGGAATTTATTCCATTTTAGCAAGTATAATTACAGATTTTTTTAACAACTAAACTAATTTTCAACATGATATAAGATCGTTGCTTCACTGTGGCCCTCAAATTATATTATGACTACTTTTTGCTGATATAGATACAGTGATCTTCTATGGAAGAGATTCTGTGTAACATATGGGCCCACAAGTTTCCTTCCTGTTAGTAGTCAATTTAATGATAAGTAGTTTGTATATAAGAATCACATATCATTTGATTGTTGGTATAATGTTGAATTGTTGTTGTTGTCATTAGAGTGGAAATTAACTTTAGACAAACTGCCAAACCTGCGAAATACTACAAATTATTCAGAAAAATGGGACAAGGAAGCAGGGATATTAAATATTTTAAAAAGGAAGCACAATAAACGCTATCATTTATTAAGCACCTGCTCTGTCAAGACATTAACTTTACATGCATTTTTAAAATTTAATTCTCATAATATCCATGATAGGTGGCATTATCCTTCCAATTTTGATGATAAGGAAACTGAGAGCTGGAAAGATAAAAATTTGCCAAAGATCACATCGCTAATAAATTGCATAGCAAACTGAAGTCTGACTCCAAAGCTCACATTTCTTTATATTCTTCCGTACTACCTCAAAATTACCACACCATTCAGTTTACTTGTTTTTCCCACTGACCTGAAGAGGATGCCTTGCCAAAGCCTGATCCCTACTTTGTGAAAACAGTCTTAGGCTTTAAACTGAAGGAGCATTGCAAAAAGTACCTTTTAGCCGAGATGGGGTAGTTCACAAAAACAAACAGCACCTCATAATTTGTTTAAAGCTACACCTGGGATCCCTTTTCAGCTTTTCTCAGGATAGCCGGGAAACATTCTTTACCACACCAACAAGGTAAAGGCCATCTTTAACCCTTCACACACTCAAATCACAAACACATCATTAAAAGCAAAAGACAAATCACCTAAAAATTTAATTATAAAAGGAGTTTCCATTGTCAAATCAGGCTACTGTTAGAATGTTTAATATTGTCATCAACTATGCTTTTAACAGAGGGATAAAAAAATAGGAAAAACATTATGTACCTGTTAAAGCACAAGTAGGAAGTAAACCAAAGCACCCAACTTTCTGTTTTCCTTATTATTGAGGATGTTTTTTAAATGGCTGAGGTCACATTTTCAGAGATTTCTAAATGCCAGATTTAAACAATTTCAACTTTTAATAGCTCTTGGAAAACCATTAAAAAAACAAGTAGGAAAAAAATAGAACTCAAAATGATCAACTACTTCTTGTATTTACTATATTTTATATATATTACATATATTACAGTATAATTACTATATATTACAGTAGAGTAGAACCACTTCTGTATTTCTTCACTTACATCTTTCTTATACAGAAACTCTTTAACACCCAGTTCCCAGATATACCTGACCCATTATGAACCTCATCTCTGCCCCTGGTTGTTAATAAATGTAATTTGGGTTATTTATATGTTTTCAGCTTACACTGAAGTGAAATCTAAGGATGCTTCAAAAGGAGATGAACTTTCCAAGGAAGAATTACTTTATTTCAGTCAGCTGCATGGTAAATACCTGTTTAAAATGTTAACTGTTTTGATGATTAGCCACCCATAAAGATCTTGCTGACTTAGATATACTTTACCCAACTAAAATTGGGCTTCATTTTAACTTATACTTCTTTTGTATTACCACAGCACTTAGCATGGTCCATAAATGTTTGACCGGTTAACCAAATTGCATTTTGGTGCTTTGATTTGTGGAATTTCTTGCTTATTGGAGACTCAATAATGTATTTTGTTTCTACTTACGTTGCAGAAATTTCTAAAATGTATTAGACCATTTTCATGCCTTGATAAAATACAATAGAATCTTTGATGATTAAAGGCCATAGCTATTTTTCAAACAGTGAATACTTATTATAAATCACTGTAGGTGTAGGAGACAGGGATGAGTCTGTCTCCAAGACAAAATTTAAAGTGATATGAGTTTATTTTTGTGTCCTTTAGTTTATTTTCATAAATATTCAATGTCCTATAGAGGGATGAACCCTGATTAATGTATATTTGTGGTTATTATATGTTAAAGTGTTTGAACATTAAGTTTGAAGGGACCTTACAAATCATCTAGTCAAGTCTCTTCCTTTTATAGATAAAGGCACTAAGGCCCAGAGAGAAGTGACTTGTGCAAGGTTTCACAGTGAGTTGTTGCCACAGTCAGGGCTTTGTAGCACACTCTTCTGACGTCCAGTATGTGCTTTTTTTCTCCTGATAATAAAAGTAATATAACTTTATTTAAAGAAAGTCACAAAGAAGAAAATACCACCCAGAAATAAATACTTAATATTTGGTATGCTTCCTTCTAAGATTTTTTAAAATACGGATTTTCCCCCAATGTTCTTTTTACTGTGAAAGTTTTGGAATATTTTGTCTTCTGATGATAGGTCAAGTCAGCTAAAATTTGTTTGCAGAATTGAATAAAATAATGTGCTTATACGTCTATATGAAACATTATTTTGCTTTCAAAGAGTATTTGTTAAACATCTTACAGAATGCAATTACATCTTTTCTTATAGTTTCCAAGCCTGCAAATGAGAAGGAAGCAGAATCAGCAAAACACAGCCCTGAAAAAGGTACTATGATCTAGGAGTTATCATTTAATTTATTTAGTTATTTTTATGTAAATAAGGATAGCTACAAAGGGGGAAAAGGTGGATTCCTTTTAAAGGCTATTGATGTCTCAGAAATTATAGAAAATATGATAGTAAATGACCCATATTCATTTAATTTTATTATTTTTAAAAGATTTGTTTTTAATTACAAAAGTAATAGATAATTCTTAGAAAAGAAATTCAGACAGTACATAAGTCCTTTTGTCTTCACTCAACCCTACCCGAAAACATTTTTGTCTATATCCTTTTCAGATCTATTCCTATGTATACACAATATATGCAGACATCTCTCTTTTTTAAAAAAATATTCCATAAGTACTGTTTTATAATTTCCTTTTTGGATTTTGCAGTATATCATGGACATCTTTTAATGTCAGTACATTTGTATCTTAAACTCTTTGAATGAATAAGTAGTGTTTCAAATTTTTGAAAAAGAGCTACTAAAGACCACTTTGTTTTGTTTGTTTTGAGATGGAGTCTTGCTCTGTCGCCCAGGCTGGAGTGCAGTGGCATGATCTCAGCTCACTGCAACCTCTGCCTCCTGGATTCAAGCCATTCTCCTGCCTCAGCATCCCGAGTAGCTGGGACTACAGGCGCCCACCACCACACCCGGCTAATTTTCATATTTTTAGTAGAGACAGGGTTTCACCATGTTGGCCAGGCTGATCTCGAACTCCTGGCCTCAGGTGATCTGCCCACCTCGGCCTCCCAAAGCCCTGGGATTACAGGCGTGAGCCACCGTGCCCAGCCCACTTTGGAACAATATATGCATATTAAGAACATAATATAGAAGCTGTTTTAAACTTAATAGTATACATGAGAATGACTACATAAAATTTGCATTATTAAGTCGGGGTGTATTGTTTTAATCTAAATATGTCCTTTCTCCCTCTCTCGCCACATATTCCCTAGTTCCCAACTTTCCTAAAGTAAACGTTTTAGTCTAAACAGAAATGGGAAAAGTATTCTGAGAGCCAGTGGGTGAAATGAAAGGTAATTTCAGATCATTTCCTGGATTAAAAAAATGGGATCTTATATCTCAGTGAAATACCTTTTAATCATAATTATTATTTTTGAATTTTGGGAAAGTATAGTGGGCTGTTCCTTATGAAATGGTTTTACTCCCTTTCTTCAGGCAAAGGGAAAATTGATATTCAAGCATATCTAAGTCAATGGCAAGATGAGCTTTTCAAAAAAGAAGAAAACATTAAGGATTTACCAAGAATGAATCAGGTATAGCATTTTTAAAAAGAAAATTCTAAGTTCTTGCTTTTTTGTATGGATGTGGGTGTAACCTCTAAAATAGCTAACATGCTATTCCCAAAATAGTTAAATAATCTATCTATTAGCTCTCTAAGTTTCAGATGAGCATGGAAGAGTGGGAAGAAATTTTTTAATGATTTTTTTATTTTTAACACTCAAATGTGTCCAGTGTTTCAGAGAATTCTTCTGCTGTGACATGTACCTATAGAAAAAAAGTATGTGTAGTATATTTCCAACTTTATTGGAAATGTTCATTTATTCAGTAAACATTTGTTTACTGTATACCAGATACCAAACCCAATGCTAGGTACTGGGAATGATAAATTACTGAGATGGGTCACACCCTGGTTCCTACTGATCTTATATCTGAACATAATTTTAAGTTCATCTCTTTCTTATACACTGCCTAATCAAAATATGTTCTTCTTTTTGTAATTAAAATCTGGTTAGTACAGATACTGAGGATCCCGAGAACTTTACCAAAATGAAAACTATCAAATAACTTCATATTTCTCAGTGGACTATATCATTTGACAATTGAATAAGTACTTTCTAAAATGAGTCAGTATGACATATTTATTCTAGAATTACTATAAATGAACAGTACTATTGTTTAGGGAAAAATTCTCTCAAACTGCCTTTTTTCCTCTACTCTCACACCATGACAATAACAATCATCAACATAGAAGAAAATGTCTGTGGCCAAATGTGTGGGGGTTTTCCCCCCAACCAAGCAGCAGATACCAGCTGAGTGTCCTCCAATTAAATTCCAACACTATCTACCTAGAAATAGTATGAGATCCCACAGGTTGAGTGTTCAGTCCCCAAGACTGCTCCCTCCTTTCCCCCAGTAACAAGTCTGAGCCTCCTGAACTTCTGGCTGACCAACTTCAAGTTGGGGTTCCCACTATCCCTTCTTTGAGTTCGATTAATTTGCTACAGAGAGACTTACAGAACTCAGAGAAATAGTTATATTTACTGGTTTACTAAGAAGGATATTTTAAAGAATACAAATAAACAGCCAGAAGAAGAGATACACAGGGCGAGGTCTGGAAGGGTCCCAAGCGCAGGAGCTTCTCTCCACGTGGAGTTGGGGTGCACCACCCTCCCGGCATGAGGATGAGTTCTTCTTTACCTTCCTCCTGTCAGCCTCCATGCATTCAGCTATCAGAAGCTCCCTGAACCCAGTTATCTTGGGTTTTTATGGAAGCTTCATGATGTCAGCATTCCTTCCCCTAAGGGTATGAGGTAAGACCCTTTCTAGGGAGGGTTTTAAGACCGACTATCAGAAAGCTACTCTGGAGGATGAGGCAGGAGAATCACTTGAACCTGGGAGGTGGTGGTTGCAGTGAGCCGAGACTGCACCATTGCACTCCAGCCTGGGCGAGCTGAGATTTAACCATTGCACTCCAACCTGGGTGAGCTGAGATTTCACCACTGCACTCAAGCCTGGGTGACAAGAGCGAAACTCTGTCAAAAAGAAAGAAGGAAGGGGAGGGGAGGGGGAGGGGGAAGGAAGGGGAAGGGGAGGGAAAGGGGAGAGAAGGGAAGGGAAGAAAAGACTGTAACAAAGGACTATGGGAGTTGTGAACTAGGAACCCAGAAAAATATTTATATATATATATATATATATATATATATATATGGAATTCAGGATTAAACATCTTAAACAATTCTTAAACAAAAGCCTATGATTCTAATGTCAGTGACTTTTCATTCCATGGAAGCAGGTCAAAGTGCAGCCTAATTTATGCATAATTTTAACTATATTTCTGTCCAGAATTCTTGTTCACCCTCTGAGGACAGCTTCAAAGGGACTTTGCCTAATTAGAAGTACCACCTGGCCAGGCGCAGTGGCTCATGCCTGTAATCTGAGTGCTTTGGGAGGCCAAAGTAGGAGAGGAGCACTTGAGGCTAGGAGTTTGAGATCAGCCCAGGCAACATAGTAAGATCCTGTCTCTACAAAAAATGTGAAAATTAGCCAGGCATGGTGGCATGTGCCTATAGTCCTAGCTACTTGGGAAGCTGAGGTGTGAGGATCACTTGAGCCCAGCAGTTGGAAGCTGCAGTGAGCTATGATTGCACCATGGTACTCAAGCCTGGACAACACAGCAAGGCCTTGTCTAAGGAAAAAAAAATAGCACCTAACATTTAAGTAATGCTGGCAGGCAAACAGTCCAGGAATTAGTCTGGATAAAATGTACTATTAGGCAATAAGTGAGAGCACTTAAATGAAATTTTCTTCCATGGTTCATACTCATCTTTTTTTTTAAGATGGAGTTTCTCTCTTGTTGCCCAGGCTGGAGTGCAATGGCACGATCTCGGCTCACTGCAACCTCTGCCTCCATGGTTCAGGCGATTCTCCTGCCTCAGCCTCCCAAGTAGCTGGGATTACAGGTGCCTGCCACCACGCCCAGCTAATTTTTTGTATTTTTAGTAGAGGTTTCACCACGTTGGCCAGGCTGGTCTCGAACTCCTGACCCCAGATGATCCACCCGCCTCGGCCTCCCAAAGTGCTGGGATTACAGGCATGTGCCACCGCGCCTGGCCCATACTCACCTTTCTAGAACCAATATGTATTTTGGGGTTAATCACCAGTTCTTATAACTTCTAGGGTGAAGCTTCTATGGTACAAATCCTATATAGGAGACTATTCACTTCTAAGTTCTCTTTATATTTGCTAAGTCTAATATTCAAACGTGATATTTTCAACTTGTGTCTTCTAGTCTCAGTTTATTCAGTTTTCAAAGACCCTCTATAACTTATTTCATGAGGACCCTGAAGAAGAATCATTATATCAAGCCATTGCTGTTGTAACCAGCCTTTTACTCAGGATGGAAGAAGTTGGAAGGAAACTACATAGCCCTACATCATCAGCCAAAGGATTCTCTGGTACTGTCTGTGGTTCTGGAGGACCCAGTGAGGAAAAAACAGGGAGCCACTTGGAGAAAGATCCTTGTTCCTTTAGGGAGGAACCTCAGTGGTCATTTGCATTTGAACAGATTCTTGCATCGCTGTTGAATGAACCAGCATTGGTGAGGTTTTTTGAGAAACCCATAGATGTAAAAGCCAAGCTGGAAAATGCAAGAATTTCTCAGTTAAGGTCTAGAACCAAGATGTAAATCCCTAGGAATTGCCTATCATAGACAAGTTTACTAACATTCCTGTAGCTGTCAGTTTGATTCCTGTGAGTAGGGCTCAGGGATTTATCTTGTTACCAATGTGTCTGAAGGCCAAAATATATATCCAGAAGCACAATGCATCATTCCTTTGTTGTTGATAATGGGCTTTGTTAGCACTTTTTAAAACAAACAAACAAACAAAACAAAAAAGCAAACCACATTTGTTATCTCAAATTTTGATGATATTCTCAAATACAAATATACTTTTTTATATTTCACAATATATGCAATATCAGGGGAATATGCTAAATGTTACCACCAGAGGGCACAAGCATATCACTTTTAGTAAGGAAATTACTAGCTTGTGTTGCTATTTACATATGAATTACTGATTATTTTGAAAAGACGGTGTTATGCTTGGGTGTTAGTGAGGCTGATATGTCATGTCAATCGATAAACCCTACTTTCCAAATTATCTAAAAGATTACCATTTGGGGCCCTTGTTTTCAAGTTATCTAACTGAAATATTATTAATTTTTTTAAGTTAATCTCATTCAGTCTTCTAGTAATAAATGCTTTTTTAAGTACCTTCTACAGTCTTCCTACCTGAGGGGTTCAGAGGCTGCTGACTCACACTGCTAACTCTGTTACTGACAAAAGCAAATCAATAACTCTAAATTCTGGGCTGATATAAAGAAAAAAACAATATTGGATTTGGATTTAATCTGGGTAAAATCAGCCTTCTGAGAAGGGCTAAGAAACAGTTCAATTAACTGTATAGGTCTTTCATTAGACCGAGACATCACTAGAAATTCTGGGCACTGCTGTTTGTGGTATTTGTCTCAGAGTAGCTTATGACTGTTTTGGTTCTAGCTTTAGATTTTGGATTTTCACCAGTCATGTGTTAATTTACATTAGATAGTAAAGAATGGCTACACTAAGACTGAATTATCTTATTAGTCTGGCAAGCATATAAAGTATACTTGTATGTAATGATTGCCAAGGTAACAGAATTGCTGACATCTGTCTAAAAAGTTTTGACTATCCAATTTAGATGTGTAATTTCTATATACTTTATGCTGTTTATATTTCAGTCATTACACCAAGTCCATTTAGAGATAATGGGCTTTGTTAGCACTTTCAAAAAAAAAAAAAGCAAACCATACTTGTCCACTGTCCTGTGCTATTCCTACCAAGGACAATTTATTAATCAATTGACTTAGAAAATAGGGGGAGAAATCATTCATTGGAGCTTCTTTCTTTAGAAAAGACTTTGGTTATAAGCCTTTTGACTTTTCTAGATGTGAAACCATGAAAGGGCAGACCTCCTTCAGAGTGACTCAAGAGGTCTCCCTTTCTTGGAGGGAGTTGGTACAGTCAGCCTTTGGGAAGAATCCACTGTGAACAAAGCTTAACACATGGGGCTTCATCGCTCATAGAATATGTTATTTTCAAAGAAGTTCAAGAATTTTCAAGTTGAGCCTTTGAAAATCCCATAAATTGGTTTTAGCTAAACACTTACTAGTAGTGTCTTTAAATTATTTAATCAACCTTGTCTTTTCAAGGAAATTACCACTTAAAGAGATAGTTGGTAAATAAACATCTATGCCTTTTCTCAGAAATGATTTGCTGAACTATGTCCATATTTTACAGCTTAGATAATAGTTTATATGGAAACTATTATACATCTGCTATTGTGCAATGATTGTTAAATTATACTGAAGTAGCTCTAGAAAGACACATGTATACAAGGCACTATTGTACACACTTTGCTGAATATTTTGTCAGTTGTATTTACAAAGAAAGGTACTTTCTTAAGAGCATATATGTTATTAATATTTGATATGATTTTAAAGTCAGAATAGTACAGATTGCTGAGTATTATACTTTAGGCTAGATTAATTAAAATTGAATACTGAAAGAGATTTTTTGAGTTGCAAAAAGTTTATAAATGCAAAGCAAAAAGAAAACATTTATTTTCTGAGTCTGCAGGAGAAACAAACTAAACATTATAGTTTTATAGCTGCTATCTTGTTAACCAAACAGGTTGTTCATAATATTAAAAATCTTACGTAGTTGTGTTAAACTGAACCAGTTCATTATACCTTATGCATTAAATTAAATATGTTATAAGGTGGCTTTACTTGTCTTTATAAAAATAAATATATCTACTAAACATGAAAAATGGTTTACTTAAAAAGATTAGTATTATTTATTATGATGTCTTTTTTTCCTTTTTCTTTTCTTTTCTTTCTTTTTCTTTTTTTTTTTTTTCTTTATTGAGACAGGTCTCAATCTGTCACCCAGACAGACAGGTCTAATTCTGTCACCCAGATTGGAGTGCAGTACAGCCTTGATCTTCCAGGCTCATGCAATCCTCATGTCTCAGCCTCCCAAGTAGCTGAGACCACAGATACACACCACCATGCCTGGCTTATTTATTTATTTATTTATTTATTTATTCATTCATTCATTTATTTATTTATTGGTAGAGATGTGGTCTCCCTATGTAGCCCAGGCTGTTCTCAAATTCCTAGGCTCAAGCAATCCTACCGCCCCAGCCTCCCAAAATGTGGATTACAGGTGTGAGTCACCATGTTCAGGCTTTTTTTTTTTCTTTTTCTAAATTTCAGTTCACACAGAACTATGATGTATTTTTACTTGCACTTCACTCAGATATCACTTGAGGACTTCCCTCTTGTATCAGAATTCAATTGCAGAGAGCTAATTCACTCTAGTTAGTTTAATCAGGAAAAGATTTATTACTAGATATCAAGTGGCTTACATAATTATCAGGAGGATGGACTAAACTGAGCTTTGAAGAACAACTTCCAAAGGCACACCACTATCAGGCCACCAAGGGAATTGCTAACTCTTCAGTGTTAAGGACACTGCTACTTCCTACTGCTGTCATAAAAAGCCATCACTACTGCTGCTACCTCAGAAACCATGCTTCAACTGCTGTGACTTACACTAGCAAAATAGATGGCAGGCACCCTGCCTCTCATCACCCACAAACTGATGACTAAATTGCAATAGAACAGCCAAACATCTTCACAACTATGTTTACCAGCAGAAATGGCAGAAACATAGCCAACACCTCACTTCTGTCATTCAAATCTCACATGTGTGCATCTGATTGGCCTCTAATAAATCCAGAATCCTAGTTGCAGAGGAATCTGGGAAATTTACTTTTAGCTTTTTAGCCTCTACAGTATAGAAAGGCAAACTAAGAGGGTGGAAAGCAAATTGAACAGTGTGTTTGTTTTCTATTGTTGCATAGCTAATTCCATCACACATTTATTATCTCACCATTTCAGTGGGTCAAGACTCTGGGCTCAACTTAGGTCGATCTTCTGCTTAGAGGATCTCACAAGGCTGCAACCAAAGTGTCAGCCAGGATGGTTCTCATGTAAAGGATCATCTAAGGAATAATCCACTTCCAGGTTCACTCAGGCTTTGGCAGAATTCATTTCCTTATGGTTTCCAGTCTGGGATGCCAGCTTCTTGCTGGTAGTCACTTGGCAGCCACCCTCAGCTTCTAGAGGCTTCAGTCAGTTCCTAACAGCTGCCCTCACCTTCTGTGGACAGTTCTTTGCCACATCAGCTTTCCCCAAAATGGCCACTTACTTTATCAAGGCAGCAAGAAGTCTCTAGAGCAAATCTGCTAGAAAGACAGTGTCTTATATAATGTAACATAATTACAGCCATGACATCCCATCCCTTTCACCATGTTCTGTTGGTTAAAGGCAAATCACAGGTCCTGCGCACACTCAAGGCGAGAAGAGTAACAGTGATGCATGTGACGCTGGGGCCCTGTAGCTCCGGATCCCTAAAGGCAAGGCAAATTATTCCGGTAACTACATTCATAGGCATATAATCATCAAAAGAAGCACATTTATCCTATCTCACGTTATGCTGCAGTTTCCATTTCTGTCTTCAGAACTACATATTTCTCCCATTGCAGAAGCATCAAGCAATGTATTTCCTAGCTTCTAATTCTGCTTGTCTTCCTTTTGCAGGTAATGCCATTTCTTTATGACTACTTTTAAGATCTTGATCTTTCAGTGTTCTACAGTTTCCTATGATCTATCCAGCTTTTAAAAAATCCTGTTTGAGATAAATTATTAAATTTTGATAATTGACTATCATTTTCTAAGACCTCTTTACCTTTGGCAGAGTCCAAACAGACAAGTTAAAGGAGGGTAGGATAGAAATCACCCCCACCTCCCATACACACGCATGTTCTTCAAATCTTTGGTACACACTCATCTCTGTGGTTTCCCTAGGGATGTGTTATTGACAGACCCAACTAATTCTACTTGGCCCTTTCTACCATAAAAAGTTCTTACTACACTGGTCAGGGAGCAAATGTGGTATATCTGTCAGTTGCTGATTGTGGCTATTTCAAGTTATACATTCATGAACTGAGAAATAGCTATACAATATATTTGCAAACACACTAGATCCATTGTAGATGGATTCAAGATAAAACTGTATCTCTTGACTCCATAAGCCCTGCCTCTGACCACTAGATGACCATTGTGTTCTAACCCCCTCTAATCTCTCCCAGGAATGAATGTGAACTCAGAGTCAGTGTCAAATAATCTCTGAAAGTCCAAGTCATTTGCCCAGTGCAAATTACCCTGGTAAATGGCCACAGGTTCCTCTTCCTAAAAGAAGATTTACAACACATGCTCATGGTATTGCAAAATCCTTCCTCACGGGTACCTGGTTTTCCTTCAGGAGCCTCTGAATGTGCAAACTGACTCAGGTCTGCAAATTGGGTGAAAGACCTTAAATCTGCATCATGATTACTCAAATTAGGTCTTTGTTCACCAGACTGGAAATATTTTGGCTATACAAATCAAGTAGGAATTAGTAGGCTACCATTTATTTTAATCTAAGAGACCTGAAGAAAAATTAGCCACTACCAAACATCTCTGCAAGTCAAAACATTTAGATGGCTTCCCTGGCCATGCTCCTATCATACTCAACCATGCTCACCCCATCTCTAGTCATTAAGTTCTCCCACTTGGTCTCTGCCATTCTAGGTTCCCATTATTCTCATTGAATTAGCAAGTTCCTGACAATGGCAGCGTGAACTAAGAAATTAAGGAGACCTACAAATAATATTGTTAAAATGTTCATACTACCCAAAGTGATCTACAGATTCAATGCAATTTCTATGAAAAAAATGACACTCTTCACAGAAATAGGAAAAAAATTCTTAAAATTCATATGTAACCACGAAAGACCACGAATAGCCAAAGTAATCCTGAGCAAAAGGAACAAAGCTCAAGGTGTCATACTACCTGACTTCAAAGTATACTACAAAGCTACAGTAACCAAAACAGAATGTTACTGACACAAAAACAGGCACATAGACCAATAGAACAGAATAGAGAACACAGAAATAAATTCATGTATTTATAGCCAACTGATTTTCAACAAAGACACCAAGAACGTACATTGAGGAAAGGACAGTCTTCAATAAATGGTACTGGAAAAACTAGATAGCCACATGCAGAAGATCGAAACTAGACCTCTATCTCTCACTATATACAAAAGTCGAGTCAAAATGGATTAAAGACTTGAATATAAGCCCAGAAATGATAAAATGACTAGAGGAAAACATACGGGAAATGTTTCATGACATTGGTTTGGGCAAGGTTTTTTTTTTTTTTTTTTTGATAAGACCTCAAAAGCACAGATGACAAAATTAAAAATAGACAAATGGGATTGCATCAAATTAAAAAGCTTCTGCATGGGAAAGGAAATAACAGAGTAAGGAGACAACCTACAGACTGGGAGAAAATATTTGCAAACTATGCATCTGGCATGGAGCTAATAATCCAGAATATACAAGGAAGTCAAACAACTCAACAGCAAAAAAGAAGCAACTCAATTGAAAAATGTGCAAACCACCTGAATAGACATTTCTCAGAAGAAGACATGGCCAACAGATATATGAAAAAATGTTCACCGTTTTCTTCAGGGAAATGCAAATCAAAAGCACAATCAGATATCACCTCACCCCAGTTAGAATGACTGCTATCAAAAAGACAAAAAATAACAAATACTGGTGTGAATGTGGAGAAAGGGGAACACTTACACAGTGTTGGTGGGAATGTAAATTAGTATAGCCATTATGGAAAACAGTGGGGAGGTCCCTCAATTAAAAATAGAACTACCATATGATCCAGCAATCCCTCTTCTAGGAATATATCCAAAGGAAAGGAAATCAGTACATCTAATAGATATCTGCACTCCAGTGTTTGTTGCAGCACTATTTACATAACCAAGGTACGGAATCAGCCTAAGTAATCATCAATGAATGAATGGATTTTTTAATGTGGTATATTTTCACAACAGAATATTATTCATCCATAAAACAGAATGAAGTTTTGTCATTCATGGCAACATGGATGAACCTAGAAGACATTATGTTAAGTGAAATAAGCCAGACACAGAGAGACACATACTGCATGATCTCACTCATATGTGAAATCTAGAAAAGGTTGATCTCATAGAAGAAAGTAGAAATCATGGTTACCAGAAGGTTGGAAGGGTAGTGGGGAGGAAGGGATGGAGAGAGATGGGTTAGGGAGTACAAAGTTACAGTTAGATAGGAAGAAGACGTTCTGGTGTTAGAATAGTAGGGTGACTATGATTAACAATATTATATATTTCAAAATAGCTGGGAGAGAAGATTTTGAATGTCCTCACCGCAAAGAAATGATAAATATATGAGGTGATGGATATGCTAAATACCCTGATTTGATCATTGCACAATGTATACATGTATTGAAACATCACACTTCACCCCATAAATATGTACAATTATTATGTGTCAAAAATTAATTTTAAAAAAGAAGTTAAGGAGACTTAATTTCACCATAAGTCATAGCCTACAAAAGACAGCCACTGTAGCATGTTTCAAGGATACTGAGACTCCTCTCATTAAGGTAATTTTCAATGCCTTGAGTAAGAAAGCATCCTCTGGTCCCTGTTGGAAGAGGGACATGGTTAAAATGTAGGTGACTGAATCATATAAATGTACTCCAATGTTTCTATCTCCTTAAGTCTTTGGAGTACTTCCTCTTCATCATACCAAGGAATATCTGCTATATCAACTTTATTTAATATGGGCTACTTTTGAGCCTTGG
This sequence comes from Homo sapiens, assembly GCF_000001405.40. Taxonomy (NCBI): domain Eukaryota; kingdom Metazoa; phylum Chordata; class Mammalia; order Primates; family Hominidae; genus Homo; species Homo sapiens. Next base: position 106,881,135 of record NC_000023.11, read on the forward strand.
CTTCCATCAATCAACTGATCAGAGCCACTTCCAATTAGGTAAGCTAGCAATTGAATTTAGACTCTCTGGTAAATATGTAGATGTTGGTCTATTTGGCCTGATCAAAAATTATTTTTTCCTCTGTAGTATACCATTCTAAGACACATTCCTACACATATTCTCCAGATTTCTGTCATTATAAATTAGCAAAATTTTGCAATTCTTATCTCCTTCCAGGTCAGACTTCATATTTGTACTCTTGGAGCATACGCTTATCTGACTCTAGTTATAAGTCTGAAAGCAATGAGGAGGGTAGGGGTGCTTTATGAAGAAAGTTGACATTCCCCTAAAAGTAAATTCAGAGCGTTCAAGGAAGGCAGGACCAGCCTTATGAAACTGGGGCTGCTTCTGTTGGCAAAGCATACTTGTTGGTAAACTACTTAGGTTGTCTGAATCTACCCAAATGTACACATTTCTTTTTTTAAAAAAATTATTATACTTTAAGTTCTGAGATACATGTGCAGAACATGCAATTTTGTTACATAGGTATACATGTGTCATGGTGGATTGCTGCACCCATCAACGCGTCATCTACATTAGATATTTCTCCTCATGCTATCCCTCCCCTTGCCCCCACCCCCCGACAGGCCCTCGTGTGTGATGTTCCCCTCCCTGTGCCCATATGTTCTCATTGTTCAACTCTCACTTATGAGTGAGAACATGCGGTGTTTGGTTTTCTGTTCCTGTGTTAGTTTGCTGAGAATGATGGTTTCCAGCTTCATCCATGTTCCAGCAAAGGACATGAACGCATTTGTTTTTGTGGCTGCATAGTATTCCATGGTGTATATGTGCCACATTTTCTTTATCCAATCTATCATTGACGAGCATCAAATGTCCCCATTTCTATTCTTGGGTGGTCTCACTCTATCCTGATAAATATTCTTACTTTCATAAAAATGAACCGGTAAGGCTGTGAGTTCAATGTATACTATAATTTAATGACCCATTATATCAGACTCTGTGGCCAATTTTCAACTATGTCAGTTCTACATCAACAAGAAATAAGGGAATAGAAACTCGTAGTTGTCTGTTTCTTGTGCTGACCATGTATATCCCAATGTAGCCATTTTCTTTCTTTAAACTGTAGAGTACAGTTAGAAAAAGTTATCCCACTTCACAATTCTTGGGTTCATTATTAGTGCTAAAATAATCTGTAGTGGCAGTTACCTGGTCCATCTAGCCTTGCCTTCAATAGGCACATGTACCACTAACATCCCGTATTATAATACTAAAAGAATTATCACTGCTTTCAAACTCAACCAGATTATGTAATAATCTCCAGTTTTCTATTTCCTTGAAATGTTATCACCTGCAAGCACTCCAGGTACTACATTCTTTATTTATCATCTCAATAGATGCAGAAAAAGCATTTCATAAATTTCAACATCTTTTCATGATGAAAACTCTCAACAAATTAGGTATAGAAGGAATGTGTCTCAACATAAAAACACATACAACAAACCCACAGCCAACATCATGCTGAACAAGGAAAAGTTGAGAGCTTTTCCTCTAAGAACTGGAACAGGACAAAGATGCCCACTTTCACCACTCTTATTCAACATAGTACCAGAAGTTCTAGCCAGAACAATAGGCAATAGAAAGAAATAAAGGGCATTCAAATTGAAAAGGAGGAAGTCAAATTGTCTTGTTTTCAAATGACATGATCTTATATATAGAAAAAACCTGAAGACTCCACCCAAAAACTCTTAGAACTGATAAATTCAATAAATTTGCAGGATACAACATCAACTTACAAAAATCAGCAACATTTTCATACACCAATAATGAACTAGCTGAAAAAGAAATCAAGAAATCAATCTCATTAACAATAGCTATTAAAAATATAATAGCTAGGAATAAATTTAACAAGGTAAATGAAAGATCTCTATAATGAAAACTATAAAAGACAGATGAAAGAAATTAAAGAGAACATAAAAAATGGAAAGACGTCTCATGCTTATGGATTAGAAGAATTAATATTGCTAAAAGGACCGTATTTTACACAAAGTGATCTACAGATTCAATGCAATCCCCATCAAAATACCAATGACAGTCTTCACAAAAATAGAAAAAATAATCCCGAAATTTGCATGGGACCAATAAAGACCCTGAATAGCCAAAGTAATCCTGAGCAAAAACAATAAAGCTGGAGGCATCACACTACCTGACTTCAAAATATACACTACAAAGCTATAGTGGACAAAGCAGCATAGTACTGGCACAAAAACAGACATGGACCAATGGAACAAAAAAGAGAACACAGAAATAAATTCACACACCTACAGCGGAGTTCACTTTCAACAAAGGTACCAAGAACATACATTGGGGAAAGGATAGTCTCCTCAATTAATGGTGCTGGGAAAACTGGATATCCATATGCAGAAGAATGAAACTAGACCCCTCCCACCATATACAAAAATTAACTCAAATGGATTAGAGCCTTAAATGTCAGACACAAAAAATATGAAACTACTATAAGAAAACAGGGAAAACACTTCAGGACTTTGGCCAGTGATTTTATGGATAAGACCTCAAAAGCACAAGCAACAAAATCAAAAATAGACCCAATGCGACTATACCAAACTAAAAATCTTCTGCACGGCAAAAGAAATAATCAACAAAGTGAAAAGATAGCCTGCAGAATGGGAGAAAATATTTGCAAACTATTCATCCAGCAAGGCATCAATATCCAGAATACACAGGGAACTTAAGCACATCAATAACAACAACAACAACAAAACCCTCAAATGATGCAATTTAAAAATGGGCAGATAAGGTGAATAGACATTTCTCAAAATAAGACATACAAAATGGCCAACAGATACATGGAAATATGCTCAACATCACTAATCAGGGAAATGCCAATCAAAACCACAGTGAGGTATCATCTTACCCCAGTCCAAATAGCTATTATTAAAAGGACAAAAAATAACGAATTGCTGGCAAGGGTGTGGAGAAAAAGGGAACTTTTTTTTTGTTTTGAAACAGGGTTTCCGTCTGTTGCCCAGGCTATAGTGCAGTGGCATGATCACTCACTGCAACCTCTACTTCCCGGGCCCAAGTGATCCTTTCGCCTTGGCCTCCCAAATAGCTGGGGCTATAGGTGCACGCCACCACGCCCAGCTAATTTTGTATTTTTAGTAGAGACGGGGGTTTCGCCATGTTGCCCAGGCTGATCTTAAACTCCTGGACTCAAGCGACTCGCCTCAGCCTCCCAAAGTGCTGGGATTACAGGTGTCAGCCACTGTGCCCAGCCAAAAAGGGAACTCTTATATACTGTTGGTGGGAATGTAAATTAATAAATTAGCCAATATGGAAATCAGTATTTAGATTCCTCAAAAAAAAAACTAAAAATAGAAAACCATATTATCCAGCGATACCACTACTGGGTTTCTATTCAAAGGAAAGGAAATCAGTATGTCCAAGGATATCTGCACTACCATGTTTATTTCAGCACTATTCACAATAGTGAAGATGTGGAATCTACCTAACTGTCCATCAACAGACAAACGGATAAAGAAAATGTGGTACATATACCCAGTGGAATACTATTCAGCATAAAAAGAATGAAATCCTGTCATTTGTGGCAACATGGATGAGCCTAAAGCATATTATATTAAGTGAAATGAACCAGGCACAGAAAGTGAAATATTGTATGTTCTCACTCATGTAGAAGCTAAAAATGTTGAGACAGAAATAGAGAACAGTGGTTTCTAGAGGCTGGAAAGTGTAGGGGGAGGGAAGGATAATAACAGATATTGAAATTATAGCTAGATAGGAGAATAAGTTCTAGTGTTCTATATCACTGTAGACTGACTATATTTATAATTTATTGTATATTTTCAAATAACCAGAAGAGATAATTTTAATGTTCTCAGCACATGAGGAAAAATGTGTTTGCAGTGAAGAATACATTAATACCTTGATTTAATCATTACACATTGTATACATGTATCAAAATATCACACTGTATTCCATAAATATGTACAATTATATGTCCATTAAAAATAACATGAAAAACTATATAAATTGAATCTTATGGCTATGATACAACATGCATTTTTTTAGTTGGCTTCTTTCACTCAACATTATGTTTTTGTAATTCATTTATGTGACGTATCAGCAGTTCATTCCCTTTTATTGTGTGTGATAATTCATTGTATGGCTATATTGTGGTTTTTAAAATCCATTCTACTGTTGATGGAAATTTGGATTGTTTCCAGTTTCGTGATATAAAAATAATGTGGCTGTAAGCATTCTTATATTTGTCTTTTGATGCCCATATTTATGCATTTCTTTTGGGTATATATTTAAATATCTGGAAGTGAAATTGCTACATCAATAGAGTATGTATATGTTCAGCTTTGATAGATGCGGCTAAATAATGTTCCAAGTGGCTGTGCCAATTAATACTCCAATCAGTCATAAATAAGAGTTCTGATATCTGTATATCCTCACCAACACTTGGTATCGTCTATCTTTTTTCATCTTAGCCAGTCTGGTGGGTGTAAAATAGTATCTCATTGCAGTTTTAATTTGCATTTTTCTAATTATTTTTTAAAGTAAACTTTACTGAAGTATAATTTACACAGAGTTAAGGCACTCATTTAAAGTAAACATTTTGACAAAATGTATAATGTATGATTTTTACAAAATGTATACACCCGTGTAACCAACCACACCACAATCAAGATATAGAATATTTCCATCACCCTGAAAGTTCCCTTGTTCCAGGTCAACCTCCCCTACCCTCATGAGGTTCCAGGTAACCTCTGATCTGCTTTCTGTCATTATAGATTTATCTTTTCTAGAGTTTTATAAAAACTGAGTCATACACTAAGTTTTTCTGCCTGCCATTTCTGGCATAATGTTTGTGAGAATCATCCATGCCCATATCAGAAGTTTATTCCTTTTAGTGTTCCATTAGTATAAATATACCACAATTTGTATATTCATTCACCTTTTGATTGTCATTTGGGTTGTACCCAGTTTTGGGCAATTATGAATAATGTTGTTAGGAACAGTTGCTTACAAGTCTTTGTGTAAACATATTTTCATTTCTATAGGGTAAATATTCAGGAATGAAAATGTTGGGACATATTTTTTAACTTCCTAGGGAACGTCCAAACTGTTTTTTAGATTAATGTACCATTTTGCATTCCTGCCAGCGGTATATGTGAGCTCCAGTTGTTCCACATTCTCACCAGCACTTGGCATTTTAAAAAGTTTGTCTTTTTAAATTTTGGCCATTCTAGAGGGTATGTAGAGTATTTCATATTGTAGTGTTAATTTGCATTTCACTGATGGCTAATGAAGTCCAATGTCACTTAATGTACTTATAGATGTTTCTTTTATCATCTTTTGTGAAGTCTGTTAAAATCTTTCACTGATTAAAAATATTTAAATCAATTTTATTGAGAGATAATGCATAGATAATGAAATTTTACCAATTTTAAACAGTTTGAGGAGTTTGGAAAAAGTATACACTCATACAACTGCCACTCCAATCAAGATATAGAACATTTCCATCAGTTTAAAAAGTTCCCTCGGGCCCCTTTGAGGCAATCTCCTCCTTCCACTCCTCACCCTTGGCAACATTGAACTGCTTCCTATCACTGTAGTTTTGGCTTTTCTATACTTTCATATAAATGGAATCATACAGTATGTAGCATTGTTTTATTTTATAAGATGTTATTTTTATTGTTCATATACTTGTAAAAATAGCTTTTTTGAGATACAATTTATGTACCACAAAATTCATCCTTTTTTGTTTGTTTTTGTTTTTTGTTTGTTTGTTTTTTATTTTTGAGACAGTGTCTCACTCTCTCACCCAGGCTGGAGTGCAGTGGCATGTTCATGGCTTACTGCAGCCTTGAATTCCTAGGCTTAAGCAACCCTCCTGCCTCAGCCTCCCAAGTAGCTGGGACTATGGGTGCATGCCACCATGCCCAGCTAATTTTTAAATCTTTTGTATAGATGGGGTCTTGTTCTGTTGCCCTGGCTGGTCTCAAACTCCTGACCTCATATGCTCCTCCCGTGTCAGATCCCAAAGTGCTGAGATTACAGATGTTAGCCACTGTGCCCAATGCAAACCCACACACTTTTAAATGTAAAATTCAATGATTTTTAAGTAAATTTACAGTTTTACAACCATCACCAAAATCCAAATTTAGAACATTTCCATCACTCCAAAGAGAGCTCCCAATCCTCATTCCCATTCCTGGCCCAGGTAACCACTAATCTACTGTCTACCTTTTGTAATTTGCTTTTTCTGTACAGTGAATATAAATGGAATCATAAAACATTTGGTCTTTGCATGTGGCTACGTTTACATATAATGTTTCTGAGGCTATTCCTGTTGTAGCCAAGTATCAGCAGTTAGTTCCTTTTCATTGCTGAGTTGTTTTCCATTTTATGGATATATTGCAATCTATATATTCATTCAACAATTGATGAACATTTGGATTGTTTTCATCTTTTTGCTATTATCAATAATGCTGCTGTGAACATTCATGATATGTTTTTGTGTGGACATGATTTAATTTCTCTTGGATATATACCTAGGAGTGAGATTGCTGCGTCATGTGGTAACTCTATGTGTAACATTTTAAAGACCTGCCAAATTGTTTTCCAAAGTGAATGAACCATTTTACATTCCCACCAGCAGTGTATGAGGTTTCCATTTTCTCCACATCCTTGCCAACACTTGTTATTGTCTGTCTTTTTATGTAACCATCCTAGTAGGTATCTAGTGGTATCTCATTGCAGTTTTAATTTGTATTTCCCCAATGTGAGCATCTTTTTATGTTCTTATTACATATTATTGGATGAACTGTGTCCCCTCCAAATTTATATGTTGAAGTCCCAACCCCCAGTAACTCAGAATGTGACCATATTTGAGATAGGGCCTTTAAAATTGTTATTAAGTTAAAATGAGACCATTAGATTAGGGCGTTAATCCAATATAAGTGGTGTCCTTATAAGAAGAGGTGGATATACCAGGGGCACGTTTGTACAGAAAGACAATCATAAGAAAAGGCAGCAAGAATGGCCATCTACAAGCCATCTACAAGAGAGGCCTCACAATGAAACCAACACTACTGACACCTTGATCTTGGACTTCTAGTCTCCAGAACTGTAAGCAAATTAATTTCTGTTGTTTAAGCCACACAGTCTGTGGTATTTTGTTATGGGAGCCCTAGCAAATGAATACAGCTAATGATGTTGAACATCTTTTCACATGCTTATTCACTATGGATATATCCTCTCTGGAAAAATATTTGTTCATGTCTTTGGCCAATTTTCTAATTGAATTGTTTTGGGTTCTTTATTGTTGAGTTTTAAAAGTTCTTTTTCTATTCTAGATGTGAGTCCTTTGTCAGTTATATGGTTTGCAAATATTTTCTCCTAGTCTCTAGCTTGTCTTTCTGTCTAATTCACAGGACATTTCACAGAGCACAGGTTTTTAATTTTAATGAGGTCTAATTTATCAATTTTTCTTATATAGTATCATGATATTGGTATCAAGTCTAGAAATCTTTGCCTAATTGTAGATACCACAGATTTTCTGCTATAGCTTTCTCTAAAAGTTTCATAATTTCACATTTTACATTTGTTTATAATCCATTTTGAGTTAATTTTTGTATAAGATGTGAGGTTTAGATCAAGGTTCATCTTTTATTTTTGTCTCTGCCTGTCTGATTGTTCCAGCACCATTTTTTGAAATGGCTGCTTTTAGATCTTTGATAAAAATCAATTTTGCATATGTGTGTGAGGATATTCACCTTAATTTTACAAAGATATTTTTACTGGATATCAAGTTCTAGATTACTCTTTTGCTTTTATTTTTTTAATTTTCCAGCACTTTGATAAGCTCATTCTTTTGTCTTTGGCTTTTATTGGTTCTCTAAGGTGTCAGTTTTATTGTTGCACTTTTGAAGTTAATATGTCTTCTTTTTTTCCTCCAACTGTCTTAACCATTAACTTTAAAGTCTAAAAACAATGAAAGCCCTTTAAGGAACATTTAGAAAAAAAGAGGAAATAAAGTAAAATCACATCTAATGTCATCAGCCTAGCACAACCACAGATTTGCACTTCTGGATACTAAACATTTTAAAGAGGGTTCATTATTCAATCCCCTGTCTATTTCTTTATTTTTAATCCTACTGTCATTTTTCCCCCCTTGTGAGATGGGATCTCATTCTGTCGCCCAGGCTGGAGTGCAGTGGTGTGATCTTGGCTCACTGCAACCTCCGCCTTCTGGGTTCAAACCATTTTACTGCCTCAGCCTCTCAAGTAGCTGGGATTACAGGCTCCTGCCACCATGCCTGGCTAATTTTTGTATTTTTAGTAGAGAGGGGGTTTTGCTATGTTGGCCAGGCTGTTCTTGAACTCCTGACCTCAAGTGATCTGTGGCCTCCCAAAGCGCTGGGATTACAGGCATGAGCCACCATGCCCAGTCTAATCCTACTGCCTTCTATTTGGTTAAAGTTGTGGAGTCTCCAGCTGCATGCAATTTTATTGGACTCATAAAAATAGATATAAGGAAGCACTGCAAACATCTACATTTATGATTCTTACCTTCTATTCAGATAGGAAGAGCAAAATTTTCATTTCTACTAACTCCTCATGAGCCTATGTATGGTTTTCCATATATCTAATAGGGGAAGAGTCCACAAAAAGTGTATAATATTTACATAAAAACTAGTATCTTCACCCTTCCTTTTCTTAAAAGTAAAAAGAAACTCTCCTACCTTTGATCATTTTATTTGTATTCCCATGACTCTATCTTCATTTTACTTTTTATGTTTCAGCAAACATTTTGGTCAGTTGGAATTTTGCCTACCATTTTTGGTGGTGTTCTTGTGCCTGGAATTATTCTCTTATGGATTATTTGTAAGTTTTTCCACTATTTTAGAGAAAAAAAAACTGAAAATTTCCCTCTACCTTTTTGGAGTTTAAATAGTATGAATCCTTAAAGTTGTTTGTAGGAAAAAAAAAGTCAATTTTACTAACATGCTGAGTGCCTTCAGAGTGAAATAATATGTAGCCGGGTGCAGTGGCTCACGCCTGTAATCCCAGCGTTTTGGGAGGCTGAGGCAGGCAGATCACTTGAGGTCAGGAGTTCAAGACCAGCCTGGCCAACATGAAACCCCGTCTCTACTAAAAATACAAAAATTAGCTGGGCATGCTGGCGCTCGCCTGGACATTTTCTGGAGTTATATAAAACATAAGAATTGCTTGCCCCCTTGAGATGGAGGTTGCAGTGAGTCGAGATCGCGCCACTGCACTCCAGCCTGGGCAACAGAGTGAGACTGTCTCAAAAAAAGAAAAAAAAGAATGAAATAATATGTTCGTGTTACTCAAATGCACAAGCAGCCTAGCCTCGGAGAAATAATGTGAACTTCAGATTTTGTAAGCTATTGCCAATGGCAACCACCAAATGTCACCACTCTCAGTAATTCAGGCAAAGTTACTGCTCCCACATTTACAGTTTCACATACAGGGCCTCTTGGAAAACTGCCCCAAGTTGATTAGGAAATGGGGTATCCAGGAAAGGTGGGCAGACAAAAACTATTTCTACTACCTTTTTAAGTGAAGCCATGAGGTTTAGCTTCTCTAGCAATTTGCATGAATGACTTCTATGAAGATCGCCAAGGGTTTCTCCCAGAAATTTATAGCGCTTGTGTCTGCATTTTGAAAGGCAGACTATTATCCTGAAGTTCTTTTCACAGTGCTTATAAAATACAACTTTATGTAACATTTTACAGTTTTCTGAGTGGTTTAATCATATAACTATATACTGGAACCTCATTCCCAAAAACCTGCGAGGTTGATAGGCTAAAGGTTGTCCCCATTTTAGAGATGAGAAAATTAAATCACTTGTCCAACGTATTAGAGGACTGAACAAGTAATAAATGACAGAACTAAACAAGTACCTGAGTCAGTCTCCTGATGCTTGGTGCCCTTTCCTTCCCAGCGCACTGCCCCCATCTCAGAAGATATTAAATATCCACTCAAAAAAATCTGCTAAGTTTACAAAGAATGGCTTTTTATTTCAGGGCTTTCTTACACGTGGAAATTGTCAACAGTTTTCCAAGAACGTTTTGGTACTCAAGTTTCTATGGTTGTGTTTGAGCAGGGGGAAATTTGACTGTTAGTCCAAGGCAAAGCTCCTACTCCCAGGCTAACGATTTCATTACATGGGCAGGTCACGTCTCGGTATCCGTGCAAGAGTTACACACTACTGAAAGCTCAATATAAAATTTGATTTTCAATTGGATGTACTCCCAAAATCCTCGAGAAATCAGTGGAAGGTGAGGAAATTGAACACGTGCATCCTTTCTGCCCAGTGTAGACATAGGCTGGGACAAGACTTTGACCTTGGGCAAACCTTCCTAGATGTTGTGGGTTCAAGTTGGAGTTTTTATTCCTGAATTCCTGAATCTTACCCTTCTCCTCAACCCTTCCCACCAAGAAAATTATATGTATAATGAGCAATAGTAGAATAGTAAGCAAAGTATTTATTAATAAACGCTTGATCTGAGAATTCAGCATAGGCTTGGTAACCTTGTTCTCCTCTTTCTGTTGCAGGTTCTTTGGTTTAAAAAAATTGATTGGAAAGTGCAGCTTAAGCTACTCCCTTCACTCTGAATCTGAGAAGCTAAAGTCTTCAGAACAAATTTGGCCTGACCCAATCATCCAGCAGCAAGTGGAACCGGCTATCTAGTCACAGATGTGTATGATTCTTTTCACTGTAATGACCTGAGTCACTGGTGAGCTGTGGCCCAATGATTGGCCTCAGACCAATGAGATTGGAAACTCCCATGCAGGAAGAGCAAAGGTGCCCGAAATTGCAGGTGAAAGTATTTTCTATCACCACGGACCAAGGCTGAAGCACGGAGAGAGGGTTAAAAATGTTTTGCTTCCCTAATATTAGAGAGGGAGTACACTTGCTGTTCCACATATGTCTATTGGGGAGAGATTGATTTCAATGTTGGCTCCCGCTCTCGAGTTGCCATGGTGATGAGCAAGTAAAAAACAAGTGATAGCAGAAAGAAAAATTCAGTGCCACCCAGAGATCCAACACTCCAGAAGGAAGTAACAAGCTTCCCCTCTGAGCAGAACCAAGCTTGCCAGTGTCACATGGGGGCTAGGGAGAGGGTGTTTGGGCTCTATGATTTGTTATCTCAGCAGTGCTCATTTTGTCACCAGTGTGTTAGAATGAGAAAACACGGCCACTGCTACTGACAGCCAAGCCTGCATCCTCTGCCCCCAAAGTAATATCAAATGACACTGAGAGCTTTGAGTTATTATCGTACTGCTTCTCTCAGTGCCTACAAACAGATGCTGCCATCAGGACCCATGCTGCTGACATGCATCAACACCTCCCAATTTTTGTGCTGACTAGGGACAAGGCTGCCCTTCTGAGACACTGATGGTTATGTCCAACACAAAAAGAGTGGCTAAGTCAAGCTGGCTGTGAGTACAGGACAGCAGCTAATTCTTTAGCAGTGCATGCAGCTTGGCTGAAAAGATAATGTTCACCTCTCTGCAAACCCATCATCTAACATTTAATTGTATTCTTTGCATGTTTCGGAGATGTAGCTGTCTTGGGTCACCAGTCCTGGCAACATGGCACCACTTCTTATAGGTAAAGAATCATAGTTTGATAGTTTCCTGGAGATACAACCTTGGCCTCAGTAGAAGCAGGAGATTGGTGTCAAAGTGTAGTGGTGTGGCCTTCAAAAGTAAGTTCTGTCCTGGATTACAAGTGCTTCATATTTAGTCAGAGCTTAAGGCCCTGGACGATTGCAAGGGTTGGTAGAAAGCACTGGACTCAACATCGAGATTCTGGAGGTTAGTTCTGACTCCTGCACTGACTTGCTATGCAACCTTGAGCAAGTCATTTCCCATGTCATCATCTTCAATATCCTCATTTAAAAATGTTACCGGGTACAGTGGCTCATGCCTGTAATCCAATTTGGAAGGCTGAAGTAGAAGGATTGCTTGAGCCCAGGAGTTCAAGACCAGCTTGGACAACAAAATGAGACCACTGTCTCTATTTAAAAAAAAAAAAAAACAGCAGAGCATGATGGCACACGCCTGCAGTCCTAGTTACTCAGGAGGCTGAGGTGGAAGTATTGTTTGAACCCACGAGTTTGAGGCTGCAGTGAGCTATGATTGAGCCACTACTCTCCAGCCTGGGTGACAGTGAGGCCCCGTATCTAAAACAAAATGAAAAAAAATGAGAGTACTGGGAGTATTAAGAGATTCAAATGAGATCACGGAGGTAAAGTTGCTTTGAAACACAGAAAGAGCGTAGCACCTGTGTAAAGCAAGCTTATTAACATTCCCAGAATATTGAAGGACAAAGATGTGCAGTCCAAGATTCTTGAAAGTGTGCATGGAGAAAAGCAAGTATCTTAGCCCATGTCTTTCCCATAAGCTTCAGGGGAGTGTGTTGACAGTAATTGGGGCACCAGGGTTTAGTAGAGCTAGATAGATAGTGTATTAGTCTGTTCTCATGCTGCTAATAGAGACATACCCAAGACTGGGTAATTTATAGGAAAGAGGTTTAATTGACTCACAGTTCCCCAGGGATGGGGAGGCCTCAGGAAACTTAGGATCATGATGGAAGGAGAAGCAAACAAGTCTTTGTTCACATGGCAGCAGCAAGGATAACTGCCAAGCAAATTGGGGAAAAGCCCCTAATAAAACCATTAGCTCTTCTGAGAACTCACTATCATGAGAACAGCAGCATGAGGTAACCGCCCCCATGATTCAGTTACCTCCCACCAGGTCCCTCCCGATGACATGTGGGGATTATGGGAACCACAATTCAACTTGAGATTGGGGGCAGGGGGGACACAGCCAAACCATATCAGATGGGAAAGGCAAGGGAAGTCAAAGTGGTGACGACTATTATGATAGCATGTGTCAAAAAAGAACAATTATTAGATGTGTATACATTCATATATACACCTATGCACAATGTATAGTAGTGTGTGTACATGTATATATAAATATATGTGCATGTCTCTATCACATCTGTAATGTGCCAAGTACTCTGCCAGCCCCTTACATATGCTGTCTCATTTAATTCTTACATTAACCCTGTTAAAATGGTATTATTATCATTCCTATTTTATACATGAAGAAACTAAGGCTTAGAGACATTTTCTCATGGTCACTTAGCTAACAAGGAGTCGAGCCAGTATTTGAACCCAGGTTTGGTTTAAATCCAGAGTCTGTCCCTATAACCACCAGGTACAAAACAGTGCTGGCCATAGAATCCTCTGGATGGATGAGCCCTGCTCATCCTGGGCTTTGTGCTGTAGGTTTAGAGCTCAGCCACTAGAGGGGGCTGCCTGTCTTGCTGTTAGCGAAAACGAATTGAATCGCTAGGGACTTGGAGGCCGCTGTTCTCTCCCTTGGATGGAAGACTTCTAGAAAAACCCAGAGCCTGACTCCAGCTGGTTCCTGGTCTCTCCCTCAACCTCTTTTAATTCACACTTGGTCCCAGGCCTCAAGGTGTCCCCAGTGATGGGGATAGCAATGCCTTTTTGTGACAGTTTACACACTTCTTTCCCCGTAGGCTGCAGGAGGCCAGGGTGAGCTGCCTGCCCTAAGGGACTTTCAGGGCTTCTCTGGGGGAATAAGGAGGAGGGAAGGAGGAGCCTAGTAGTTAAGAGCCAGGACTCTGTAGTCGCACTGTCCTGTTCTACCCCAGCTTCCCACTCATTGCCTGTGCTACTAACAGGTCACTTCACTTCTCTGAGTCCCAGTTTCTTATCTGTAAACATTAGGATGCCCCACCACCACCACCACCCAGTTCAGGATAAAGTGTGTGTGGTGCCAAGCACAGTGCCTGGGATAGAACGGGAGAGCTCAGCAATTGGTAGTTCCTCCCACTTTTCAGCCAGAGTGAGACATGCCCAGCCAGGGCCCATTCCACTCTGAGGCAGCACAGCACCGAGGGGCAGGAACAGAATTCCCTCATCCCCCTCTCACCCCTGGTAGCCCTGTGCCCACAGCCCAGGTGCTGTGAGAGCCTGCCACTGCCGGGCAGGAGGTCCCCAAACATTCCTCCCTCAGTGACACCTTTCAGAGGCCCTCAGTGTTTCCTGGCCCCTGGCCCAGAGTTCTTCATATCCTCTGACTCACTTCCCTGCAGCCAGAACTTAAATCTTTTCTCCCTTGCCCTCCCACAGATTTAATCCTTCAGCAAACCCTGTTGATTCCACCTCCTGAAAGCACAGGGCTCTGGTGTCAGGCAGCCCTGAACTCTAGTTCTGCCACTTACCATTAATGTAACCTGGAGCAATTGCTGTCATCTCTCAAATCTTGGATCGGTCATTTATTAATTACGTGACCTTAAGATTCCTTAACCTCTCTGAACCTCAGTTTCCTCATCCATAAAACAAGGAAAATAATAGTGCTTGAGTTTTAGGGTTGCCATAAGGATTCAATGAGGTAAAATGTGTAAAAAGCCTGACGCTTAGAAGGTGCCACAATTTACCAACTGTGTGATTTGGGGCAAGTTTTAAAAACCACTCTAAGCCTCAGTTTTCCCAACTGTACCTATCCTTCAAAGTTGTTGTATTAAAGGAGTTAATCCATGTAAGGTTCATAACAAGAATTCCAGAATTATCAGCTGTTCTAACTCTTATCCTCCTAGGTATCCTATTGTCTAGTCTTCTCTGGACAGGGAAAGCCCCACTCCCACACCTGTGGGTGTCACCACCTCCTACTCCCCCGCCCCCCTGCCACCCCGCACTGTGACTTTATGGCTCTCTAGTGGACAGACAGTTCATCTCCTCTCTTCTCCAGTCTCCTGTTGTAAACTGGTGACCTGACTTCACTGTTTTACTTGTCATGGCCTGGTGTTGGTTCCTGTATTTTTTACTTAATCACTGCTGACAAGGCTTGTAGCATCTTCCATGCAGGCACACAAACCCAGGCACAGAAACCCAGCTAACTCTTAGTTTTCTCATTAATAAGTGGGGATAATAATAAGACCTATCTCTAGGACTGTTGTGATTACAAGTACCACACAAGATGATGGGTGTAACGTCAGTAGCAAGTGCTGTGGCACCCGCTGTCAGAGCAGTCATTCCTTGTTGGCTTTCTGTATCTGGGTTTCTGTGTTTCCATGGAGGTTGTCACGAGCCTTGCCAGCCAGGGGATAAACCAAAAACACAGGAACCAACACCATGTTCCTGATAGGCCAAAACAGTGGATTCAGGTCTGCTAACAACCTTATTTGGGATGGGGATTGGCCACCATTTGGCAAAAGGGAAGTGGGGAGGAAAGGAGACAATGTATCTACCCACTAGATGGGTCACACAGGCACAGTTTTGAGGAGGGGGTGAGAGGTGAGGGTTTGTAACACCCACTGGGTAGGCAGAGGGCTTTCCGTGCTGAGGCAAAGGAGAATAGGCGACTATTTTAATGAGCATGTGCTGTGTGGGGAAGAGGTGTGACACAATAAAGAACTACAGTCAGGAGTTCAAGACCTGCCTGGCCAACATAATGAAACCCCATCTCTACTAAAAATACAAAAATTAACTGGGCGTCGTGGTGCACACCTGTAATTCCAGCTGTTCGGGAGGCTAAGGCAGGAGAATTGCTTGAGCCTGGGAGGCGGAGGTTGCAGTGAGCCAAGTGCCACTGCACTCCAGTCTGGGCAACAGAGTGAGACCCTGTCTCAAAAAACAAACAAACAAAAAACTATAGAGGTTGTAGTGAAAGGGTTAAGAGCAGAGAGCTGACCTTGACACTTGAGGGGAGTGGGCCTATGATTTGAGCCAGCATGCAGCAGAAAAGGCATTTGAACCCATGTTCATCTGCTTCCAAAGCCCATGCTCCTAATCATTACAACGTTAAGGGCTGGCACATAGTAAGTGCTCAATAAGTATTGTTTAATGAAGGCATTCATAGTGCTGCCTCTTTCTGAAAAGTTTTCTCCCTCCATTACTACTCATGCCCATCCTTCAAAGCCCAGCTCAAATGCAGCCTCACCCCAACAGATGTGTTCTCTCACTGCTGCAACAAGGTGGGAGAAACAGGAGGAAATCAGTGCTAGGATGGGGAAGTGCTGGGACACTAGGATGGGCCAGCCAAATGGAGCTGGAGGAAGGACTCTTGAGTTTTGCACAGAGATTTTTCTCCTGAGTTTGTGCACTGGAGTTGAAGTTGGCACAAGGATTGGAAACGCCCATAACAAAGTAACTCATACTGAGCTCTGATTAGTCAGAACAGTGAATTCCAATGACTTAGCAACCACGTATGGGGAAGAGGACTGGAAGCCATTTCAGGACAGGGGACGGAGAGGACAGCGAGACAAAATGTCTGCCCAGTAAACAACAGCAAGTGTGCAGTAAGGAGGGCGGGGTTGGAAAATGAGAAGAGCCCATTCTGAGTTACGAATTACTGCTCCAAGGGTTTTAGGATCTTTAAATCCCTGAGGATTTAGGGATTTGTAATACTATGCTATATAATACCTTAAAACCAAGGATATTGGGATTCCAAGGATTTTAAATCCCTATAACCTATGGTATAAGGATTCGAGCAATTTTTGAGCTGTGAAATGCTGGGTGCTTAGGACCCAAAACAAGGATTTTAAACAGAACACTGGACATTTTGAAGTACTAATTAATCTCCCTTCTACTTCAAATCAATCCTGGTTTAACCCTTGGAACAGTGGTTTCCAAATTGTGTTTTCCACAGTCTAGGGATCCTTGAAAGTGCCTCCCAGAAAGGGGTGGAGACAGCTACTTTACCGGAGAGAAGACACCAGCATAAGAATTCTGGCCCCCCCCCCCCATTATGGCTTCCACCAGGATAGCTCCATTTTTATTTGATTTATATATTGGGCTTCTGCATTCAATTCAAAAGAAAGGTTTTCCTGCTAAAGCACAAAAAATACGTTTACAAACCTCTGGCCTTGGAAAAAGGGAGCTAAAACCTGTGGGTTACCATTTGAATGTAGACAGTGGTCCAGGGAGCCACACTTCGCCTCTATTGTTGTTTTGTTTTTTTTTTTGGGGGGGCGGTTTCTTTCTTTCTTTTTTTTTTTTCATTTTGGAATAAACACTGAAAAGATGCTTTTACCGGTAAACCATCAAATGGTGCCAGGAAGATCAAGTGGTGATAACTGACAAATCAGTTATTAGTTGAGTAAATCGTCATTAGCTGACTCTGGCCTATAAGATCATTTCCTTTATAAAATCAGCAATAGCAGCTACTAAGACTACTATTATTATGACTACTACCATTTATTGAGGGTTTGTACTATGTGCCAGGGGGCATGCTAAGTACTTTACATATATCATTTAATCCTCACAATAACTCTGAAAGGAAGTATTATTAGCCCCATTTTACAGACGAGGAGACTGAGACTCAGAGTGGATAAGTAACTGGCCCAAGGTCATACTGCTAGCACATGGTAGATTCCACTTTACTTACAAACAGAAACAGAATGGACTAAAAGAATTAATGCAGTCAAAGGTCAACTGCCTGGAAGCCTTAATTAAAGAACAAGGTTAAATTTTGACCAATAGATGGCACCAGTGTGTGAGTTTGGTGGCTTACTCAAGGTTGTGTCCAATGCAGGGAAGTCCCAGCTAGGGCTTAGAACTGAAGCAGCCTGTCTCATGCTGAGGGAGAAGGAAAAGAAAGATGGTCATCGTTTTGCTCCTGAATGAAATGACATTACCCTTTTCCCTTTGTAGCTAAACCAGGAAGCCAGCAAGTTGGGGGAACAATGGTGGTTCCACCAAGAGCTACTTTCAGAAGATTTGAGAATCTTTTCTCTTTCAACATTTCCTGAGCACCTCCTTTGTGCCAGGCAGTGTTCTGTGCAATGAAGTCATATGGGAATATCAAATACAGCCCCAGGTTACTGTATAGGAAAGGAGGCAAATGCTATGGTAGGGGAGGCTCTGAATGAGTGGGGGCACCCAACCTGGTGCCTGGGATGTCTGGGGAGGCTTCCTACAGCAGGGGTGTCTGAGCTGGTTCTGTTAGATGAATGAGAGTTTCCTAGGCATGCGAAAGTGGAAAGGCATTCCAGACAGGGTTAAGGACACACACAGAGGTGTTAGAAAGCATGCCACATTCAAAGAGAGGCAGTGTAAACTTCAAGAGTTGAGAGATGAGTCTCAAGAGACAGGCAAAACCCAGACAACTGAAAGGCCTAGAATATCAAGTTAAGTACTTGATTTGTGAAGATATAGCACTGTGTGTGTGTGTGTGTGCGTGTGGTGTGAACAAATGTATTTTTCTGAGTAGAGAAGCCACAGGTTCTCAAGGGGATCTGTGACCAAAAAAAAAAAAAAAAAAAAAGATAAGCCCAAAAGTGTTGGCAAAGTCATGATGTGGTCTAATCTGGTTGTCAGTGTGGAAGATGAATCACAAAGGGACAGCTGGAGGCCAAAAAAAAAAAAAATTTAGTCGAAGAGTAATTGGAGCAAGGGTAAGCATGAGGGTCTGAGCTGTGGTAAATATAAAGGGAATTGAGGAAAAAAATTGCTAGGTCCTAGTAGCCCTCCTCCCCACATGCACACAGCCATCTCTGAGGCTCAAATGAGGCTGCACCTGTCACATTTCCCCTCTAACCTGCATCCCTACTCCCAACTTACAAGCTGCCCTTTGGGACCTTTTTGTTCCCTTTCCAAGCCATCCTTGCAGTTTAATCAAGTCTGATTTCACAAATTGATGGAGAGGGCCTGGCCCCATGCTGGGTCTCCAGCCCTACAACCCCATGAAGAAAAACTTGTCAACTGACCTCAGGTAGGAAAAGCAATGAATTGGCCTTGAGCTGGTCTCTGAACCTCTGCCCATGGCTTCACAATATGGGCAGAGTTCAGTTAAGAAATCAGCACAGTTCCAAGAAAAAGGAAAACACCATCCAGTTTATTTTTCTCCTGATTCATCTCATGCCAACACACAGACTTCAATGGACAGCAGGCAAAATGGGGAGGCATCCCCAGAGCAAGCCGATTCTCTACACACTGCCTTCCCTTCCTGTAAGACTCATCAAAAAGGCACCCCAACCTTGCATGGATCTGCTGTTGGTATTCCTTGGGGTGAAGCCAGAAGTCAGGCTTTCCACAGAGAGACGGGACTACATGGCCACCTGGGAAGGCTAGGGAGTCAAAGGGCCTGAGGAATGACTACTTCCCTCCACAAGGGCATTCCCTGCCCTGCTCTGCTTCCTGGGGGCTTCAGCAAGCCTTCCTTCTAGAGCTCCTAGAACCCTCCCATGGTCAACACAACAGCAGCCCAGACAATGAGATGCAAGAGGCCTGAGCTCACAGGCCATTCAGGTAAGCCAGGGTGAGCTGGGCAGCTAGATGACCCAATTTTCAGTCCAGAAAGCTCTATCTGCTGGACTAATACTTCCGGCTAACTGATGTCTGTGAAAACTTGCCAGACAAACTGAACCCCAATCAGACTCTGGCTGCCTCCATTTGGATAGGTTAGGGGTGAGGAAGGGGGATGAGCTGTGGCGCTGTAGGGTATGGACCCTGGTACCCTCACACACCCTTCTGGCCCCTTTTCATTGGCCTCCTACTTCTCTTCTTCATCCTCCTGCTCTTCATCTTCCTCTTCTTCTTCGCTGTCTGAGTCCTCGTATAGGTTGATGGTTGCCTGGACAGGAAAGTTCTGCAGTAAAATCTCCCCAGCACTGTACAGATAGTCGAAGGAGCGGGATTTAGGCCAGAAGAGCCTGTGGACAGAGAAGAAACATGGCCCCTAACAGGTGTCATATGTGCAGAGGGGCCAGTAGGGCCAAGAAAGAAGCTGGCCCCTAAACCCCTTCTCTTGGCTGCAACAATGAGGTCAGAGGGAAAGGAAGAAAGAAAGTTTTGTAACAGAACCTTCTGCATTGTTACAAAGTGGCCCCACGCAGGAAGGTAAACCCTTATGGACCTATAGTGGTTGGGTCGGGGGCCAGCCCCAGCATCTGTCACTTATGGCTCTGACTCCACCTGCTACCTACCCCAGAAAGCTTCTAGCCAAGAATTCTCCAGCCCTATGGCCCCATCTCCTTCCACTGAGGATTATTTCACTGACCCATCCATGGGGGATCATTCTTGGGCATCGTTAACAATGCCTCTAGAAAAGACAGCCTTGGCAAAGTCCCTTAACCTCTCTGGGCTCCAGTTTTCTCTCCTATGAAACAGCGATCATAGATAGCAATTCCTCCCCTCTCCTGCTTCACAAGACCTTTGTGAAGATTCAAAGAGCTAATGGATCTATGTCAAGTTTGGAGCTTCATGCCAGAAGCTTACCTGACAGGGTGATGGAACTTGGATTCAGCCTTGGTGACCTCAGCAGCCGTTGCCCCACCAGCAGCCTGTCCAAAGCAAAAGCTAGCATGTGGCTCAAAGTACATGGCTAGATAACTTCCTCCTCTGTACTAGAGGTCAGAAAGCTGCAGGTAAAATGATCTTGAAGAGACCTTAGACATCTCTGGGACCCAGCAACCCCCAATACCCACCCCTCAACAAGGGGTCTCTCTTGGTTCTGGTTGAAAAACAAGCAGACAGAGTCCTGCGGGTTGTTTGCTTCCCTGCCTCTGTTCCAGCACCTGTTTGGAGGCTCTCCAGGGGACAGTGTTCTACTGGAGCAGCAAAGATTCAGGGAGATCGGGTGGGTGGGAGAGCACTGGAGTAAGGTGCCAGGAGACGAGGCCTCAAGCACCAGCACTGCCACACACTGGCTGTGGGGCCTGCCCAGATCCCTTGCCCACTCTGAGCTTTGGTCTCCTCATCTTTCCAATTGCCACAGAAAGCTTGGATCTGCTCTCTGTTGGAATCAAATGTTGGCAAAACTGTGAGGATGCTATCTCAGATCTGCACCTTTGGACTGAGGTCAGGGGCTCTCTGGGAAGTGACCTGGTCACTGTTAATGCATGTGGCTGCATGTGAACACACGTCACAAGGGCTCGAACTCACCAAATCCACCAGCTTCCTCATCTGCCTTGGGGAGTCATTTGTGGAAGACAGCCAGGGCCTCCAGAGACAAGTTCCTCTGGGACAAAGAGGAGAGATCAATCCGTAGAGGAAGAGACTGAAAGGTGGGCTCCCTGAGATAACAAGAGACCTCCCAAAAGCTTGGCTCAGGTGCCATCTGCTCCAGGAAGCCTTTCCTAAGGCTCCTGAGCCCATTCCAGGACAGATGTCCCTCCTCTCGGCTTCAGCAATGTTATTATTGCTTTTATCATGCTGTTTTGTAATTGTCTATTTACTTGTCTTTGGGCTTCTTAAGCTCAAAGATATGCTCAATCGTATCTGAATCCTCAACACCTAGTACAATGTCTGGTACACAGTAGCTGTTTCAGTAAATGTTTGTTGAAGACTAAATGTTTGGAGTAATGAGTGGGGGCTAGATGGAAAATATCTTGCCTCCTACTTCCTGCTCCAAGATGTAGAACTCAGAGCTCTACCATCTTCCTGGGCTGAAGAAGAGGGCCAGAAATGTTCCTGGGTCCACTGCTTCCCCACTGGACTTGCAGAGGTAGGAAAAAAGCAAATGGAAATCTTATGGCGTGGTCAGGAAAAAGACAATGTCCCAGTCAAGGGCCTCTTTAGACTTTGGTCCTCTTTCCCCAAACTCCCCACCCCCACAGTCTAGATTGTGTTAAGCCCAGGTTTCATGGCAGTTCCCCATCCCCCTCAGGGGACTCAGCCACCTGGCCTATGAGGACCTGGCTGCTTCACCTTCAGCTTTGGCAACAGCTGTCCCCAAGTCCCCTCTTGCCACCCAGCGGGATTAGTGAGGTGAAAAGTCAGATGAGATATTCCAGCTAGAGTTGAGGAGGGAGGGCTATGAGGCCATTGCTTTTCCCCTTCACAGAGAACAGGGTGCCCTGGACATCTCATTTTCCTTCCTCTCTCAGGAAGCTCTCAAGCCTAAGTTCAGGTTGCCAAAGGCTAAGCTCAACTTACCTTTCACTCCCATTTACTTCTTGTCCAGAGGAGAGAAGGCAAGATGGGCTTAACAGGCCAGGGAGTGCCAGTGGGGCTTGTGCTAGGTCTGGAGCTAGGGCCAAAGCCAGGGCTGGAACAGGGGTGGCAGCAGCAGCACAGGCAGCAGAGTCCATTCTTAGGGGACCAAAGCCAGTGGGGTCTCCTACTTCCCAGAACCTTCTGCACTCTTTTGGCTTTTCCTGGGAGACCCTTTTATAAGCCCTGCCTGGTCTTATAAATTATTCAGGGAGGACAGGGGTGGGATGACTTGGGAGGGGGATAAAGATTTAGGGAAGGGGCTCAGGGAGGGAAAGCTGGGTTACCTGGGTGTGAAATCTCTCCCAGTTGAATAAACATGGTGTCAGTGGGAGGTGAGGGATTTGCTTTGCCTCCAAGTCAGAAAGAAAAACACAGAAGGGGCAAATCGCACACCATTTGTGTGAATTCCCCAGGGAGTAGCAAGGCCTGAGAGGGGAAGGAGAGGAGCTCATTAGCACTCTGAAACCACAGAGATGTCAGGGACAGAGGGCTGAATAGACAGGCCTTTAACTAAGCCAGTTCCTGGCAAGAAGAGACAGCTGACCCCTTTAAGGAGAGTGAGGGACTCACTTGTTATTTCAGCTCAACCTCAGATAGATTTGCCAGGTGGACCTGAATGTAGGGTGACTGCCATTAAGCATATCATCTGGGTTAGGGAAAAAAGGGGCATTCTGGGCAGAGCAGGCCCAGATGCTTGTTGGGTAAACCTTAAGTCTTCTTTCAATGCCCCTCAGCCCCTTACTGATCAGTTCATTTGTCAAAGTGCCCCCTCCAGCCTCAGCAGTAAGTGGTCCAGTGAAGGAGAGCAGGCAGGATTTCACAGGGCCTCTGGGTGAGATTCCAAACCTCAGAGCTTAGCTTCCAGTTCAGAAGCCAGGGTGCTGGGGAGAGGCAAAGTTCTGCCCGACTACAGAGCTGCCGAAGGACCAGCCCCAGCCCCAGGCCTCAGTTCCCTCATGTAAGAGATGAGGGTGCTGGCCCAGTGGTCTCATAGGACCATGCCAGCCTGAACACTCTCTGACAGGGGCTACATAAATGGGTACTGAACCCGGGCAAGCCCAGAGGCCTGAGCACAGTCCTCGGCCTTAGCCAGCCTTCTGGGCCTTTGCCAGAAAGCTTCTAGTTACAACTACTGGCAGGGACCTTATGCTTCAGAGGTCTCGAAAATATTCCTCCTGACCTCAGTGTCCAGCCCCAGCACAGATTTAGCTTCTTGGATGTTCATCACAGTCTGGTTTGTAATGGTCAAAAATTAGAAACAACTTCAATGTCCAATAATAGGAAACCAGTTACATTAATTAGGGCAAATCCTTGCAACTGAATGCCAAGCAGGTGCTCACAATCATGTTCTGGGAAGTATAATTTTTCAACACAGAAAATGGAAAAAAAAATCAGATGGTAAGATAGCATGACTAATTTAAGGGCTCCTCATTTCTCTGTTCACCTACCCCCCATCTTCACCCCACTTCCAATTCTAGTCCCACTATGTTCTTTTCAGCAAAGGAAAATTGAAAACAACTTTTAAAAGCTGGTTAGATAAATCATTGGGCAGTTACACAATTTCATATTAAAATTGGCATGGTAGAAGAATGAGGGAAAAGTTAACATATTGAAAGAGTGAAAACAAAATAAGTCTCTAAAATATTACTTAAAGGATGATCCCATTTTGGTAAGAAAAAAGATGTAGAATGGACAGCGTGCAGAGAAAAAATAAGACTGGTGAGAAGAAAGAGTGTTAGGGTTGTCATTTCTGGGAGTAACAGTGGGGTGGATTTTTACTTTATGTTTTTCTGAATTTTCTAAAAAGTTCCACAATGAACTGATATTATTTGAGTAATAAAAAGGAAAGGCACAAAAAATAAAAATAAACCAACAAAGAAATGTTTATCCATGGAGGAACGAAAGCTGGGGGAAATGACAGATATTTTCAAATATCTGAGGATTAGACTGCAATGAGATTACACTTGTTCTGGGTGACTTCAAAGGGCAGGGCTGAGGCCCATGGCTGGAAGCTACATGGAGACACATTTTGGCTCAATCAAAGGAAAACTTTCTAACAGCTCAGTCACCACCTAACCCAAGGGCCTGGCACGGTCCCGGCCCTCAATAAACAGAGGTTTATTATATGAGGTGAAATGAGTTCAGTGAAATGTGCTGCCTTGGACTTGAGAGAGCTCTCTGTCCCTGAATTTTCTAAGTGCAAGATAGATCCCAGGTCCTGAAGAGGGAAATCTTGTGGGGAAAGAGAGGGTTGCTGGGGAGCCAGAGCATCTATCAGTCTCTGAGAGTTCTTGCTAAATTTACCTTCATGAGCTAAGCGTTTCCTTGTACTGACTGCATCACTGGCTGAAAGGAGGAGTGTGGCTCAGAGAGGGAGCCAGGCTGAAAAGACTGGGCTGGAAGGAGATGGTGTGCAAAGGAGGAAGAAGCACAACACCTGTTGTCACACTCAAGGATCTTTTCCACCTGTAAGTGGCCTCCGAGAATCAGCAGAAGGAAGGAGGGAGAGGGCTAAGAGGCAGATATTCCTCCTGAGCTCGGGGCTCATGCCTGACCAGACTCAACCATGCCACCCATCATGCCACCTCCCACCTTGAACTTGTGTTCCTTCAGTCACCACCTTCACGTTAGGAGCTGTCCAGTCCCTTCACTCCCCTGAGCAGCAGGCCTCAGGGTTCCACTTACACCCAGCTCCCAGCATGCTCTCCTGGAGCCCAGGGAGCCTTCAGACCTGTTTCCATGGGTCTTTGTCCTCCCTACGCAATGGCTCTGTCTTGCTACCTCCTAGGAATTGCCTCAGCCTCATTTAGCTTGTGGGACATGAAGCCGCTGGCTCTTCTTGTTGGCTTTTCCCCGGCCTGTAAGATTTAAGGCCTGCAAGTGTTGCTAGGCAAAAGTTGGCTGTTCTCCTTTTCACTTAAAACAAAACAGGAGTAAACTGGTCAGCAGGGCAGCAGAAAAGGTATGGATCAACCAAGATGGAGACCTTCCTATCAGAGCAATTAAGATCTTACCTCTGTTCCCCTAACAGCCCTATAGTGCTTCTGGGTTCTGCCAGTGATTGCTTTTCCAGACCTTTCTGAGAGTACTGGGGCTAGCATTGCCTAGCTAACGGACAGACAGGAAAGGAAAGTGCCATGGACTCTGCCTCAAGCTTAGCGAAGGAGACAAGACCCGCAGAGAGAAGACAGACTCGATCAATCTCAGTTGACCCCAGCGCCCCTCAGTCATCCTTGAGCATGTTCCCTTGTCAAGGCCCCAGCTCCAGCCTCCACATTTCGCTTGGCCACATTCCAAACTTCCTTCAGCTCCTTACCACGTTCCTGCCCCTCCCCTCTCTCTGTACAGAATAACCTCTCCTTCTACTTCCCTGAGAAAACAGAGGCCTTCAAGCGTGAATTACCTCAGTGCCATGCCCCACTCCCCCCTCAAACTTGGCCTGCCTTTCCAACTTCCTTCCCCTCCAGCCCTCTCTTCTCAGGGGACAAGGTGCCCCTCTGGTTAAAGGCTAATCCCTTTGCCTGGGCCTTGGCCTCATCCACCTCCTTCCTGGGCCCTTCCTCCAGCCATTTGTTATGCTTCTTGTCTTCGGGAAAGTTCAGCTTCTCTACACCAGCTCTTTCTCTCCTGATTATAAAATGCCTGTCTCTGTTATCCCAAAAAACAAGAACTCCCCCTCCACTGTATGTTCTCTTGCTCCCCTAACTTGCTCTTTCTCTCTTGATCTCTTTCTCTCCCTCCCTTCTTTCCTCTCTCTATTTTCTTTCCCTCACTCTCAAATTTGTTGAAAGTAGTCTACATGCTAGACTTCCGCTTTTCCTGGCTCCCATTCACACCTCAACCAAGAGCAGCTTGGCTCCAGCCACATTATCTCAGTGAAAGGGCTCTGCCAAAGGTCACCAATGACCTCCTAATTGCCAAATTTGATCACTTCTTTGAACTCTGGGTGGCAAAAGACACTATTGGCCAAGTCCTCATTTCCGAAACTCTCCCCTCTTTTGGCCTCCATGATCACGCTTTCTTGGTTTTCCTCCTGCCTCTGGAACCATTCCTCATGGTCTCTTTTGCTGGCCTCTCTTCCTCTGCCCATTCCTTGAATCAGTAGTTCTTCAATTACAGTCCACAGAACAGGCTGGTATTATACAGCAATGTTTTCACAGCAAAATGAGAAAAACTTTACTAGGAAAGTTTTTCAATAAATACATTTTTTCAATTATAAAGGACTAGGCTGGGTGCTGTGGCTCACGCCTGTAATCCCAGCACTTTGGGAGGCTGAGGCGGGTGGATCACTTGAGGTCAGGAGTTCAAGACCAGCCTGGCCAACATGGCAAAACCCCATCTCTACTAAAAATACAAACATTAGCCAGGCGTGGTGGCACACACCTGTAATCCCAGCTACTCAGGAGGCTGAGTCAGGAGAATTGCTTGAACCCAGGAGGTGGAGGTTGCAGTGAGCCGAGATTGTGCCACTGCACTCCAGCCTGGAAAACAGAGCGAGACTCCGTCTCAAAATAATAATAATAATAATAATAATAATAATAATAATAATAATAATAAAGGACTCTCCTTCGTTCTGAGATTATGCTGTTCCTACTTTTTGGTAGTAAAATGTTCTTTGAAATTATGGCAATGATGGAAGTTACTTTATTTCTTTAATGTTTCTACTCTGGCAAAATAAAACATTAGTTTATCTATGTCAGTCCCATAAATGTTTATTGAATGAATGAAAGAATGAGAGTTATGTTTCCCACTGAAATTTTTCCAATGGGTATCTCAAACTTATTCCAAAACTGAACTGTTTTCTTGCCGGACAAATCTCCTTTGTACCTACCTTGGAAACCAGCATTATATTGACCCAGTTACTCAAGCTCAAAACTTCGGCTGCTGATTTTGGTCTTTACCATTTCTGACTTTTGTCTCCTCCATGTTCTCCACTCTTCCACTCTCCCAGTTGTTTCTTAAATTATGGCCTCATCTGTCCTCTCTCACCTGGATGCTCAACAGAGCTTCTTCATAGTTTTCCCTGTCTGTGAGGTAGCCTTTCCAATCCATTCTCCTCACAGCTGCCCCAGAGATTTTTCTAAAACACATAGCCAAGTATGGTCTTCCTCTCCTTAAAAACTTCCAGTGTCTATAGAAAATGTCCAAACTCCTTCGTGTGGCAGTTGAAGTCCTTTGACATCTGAGCTCAGCCTGCTCTCCGGTCTTCTGCCTCAGAAGGGCTTCCACACACCATCCATTGCAGCCTCCCTCAACTCTATCTCCATCCTGCAAACACGCCATTCACCTGTAATCTTTTCAGGGTTTAGGGCCTCTGGAGGGAAGGCTCAGGGTCATTCTTGGGACAGTGTATTTTTTTTCTTTCTTTTCTTTTCTTTTTTTTTTTTTTTGTTGTTGTTTTTTTTGTTTCTTTTTAGACAGGGTCTCACCCTGTCGCCCAGGCTAGAATGCAGTGGCACGATCACAGCTCACTGCAGCCTTGACTTCCTAGGCTCAAGCGATCCTTCCACCTCAGCTTCCCAAGTAGCTGGGACCACAGGTGTGTCCCAACACCCATGGCTATTTTTTTTCATACTCTATAACAATGTTTATATACAAATGCATTGTGTATCAAATGAATACACTGATACCAAATGCATGGACTGGGCCATGCTGTAAAATATATTTCTTACTGTGGGTCACAGTCAAAAAGTTTGATAGCACTAAGGAGATTAGCGCAGATGTTATTCTGTGATTCATTTAGTTAGTGCTGCTCATGTCATTGTCCTTTGCTCTCAAAATGGTTCTGGTCTCATTGCCGGGTGTAACAGAGGTCAGGAGACTGGATACTGCCCAAAGATTTCATGGAGGAGGAGGAGATTGAGTTGGACTGGGTTTAAGGAGGCTGAGAGAAGGTGGAAATGTAATTCTGGCAGAGAAAAGTGGCACAGAGGTGGATAATAAGAGTAGAGAACATTTGTTAAACATTTATACGCCAGGCATTATTCTAAGCACTCTGCGTGAATTAATTCAAGTCTCACAAACAACCCAGTGAGGAAGATACTATTAAAAGCTGCATTTTAAAGATGAGACTGGGGAACTTACCCAGGGTCACAGAGCTAAAAGTGACAAGATTGGGATTTGAACTCGGGGAGTCTCTGTGCTCCTAACCACTGCCCAGCCCTATCCTGCCACTGGGGAGCAGTGGGGAGAGTGGGCTGTCTTGGGAACAGTGAGAGCCTAGGCCAGCGGGCAACAGAGGGAGGAGAACGTTGAATGCCAGGTTGAAATTTCCAGCAACAAGTTCTGCGCTCCTCTCCAGAAAGGAGCTCTTCCTCTTTCCCTCTGGCCTCTGTCTTGCAAGCCGGAGCCCCTGGGGTTGAGGGCAGGAGGCCTAAACATCCAGTGAGGGTGCCCAGTGGAGGCCCGAAGTAATACAGGGTCTGCTCTGAAAGAGGAGCAAAGGAGAAGTTTCTCTCCCCAACCCAGGCCTGCCTCCAAATCATAAATAGCAAATGGTGCCTGGGGCCTCTGCCCTCAAGTCCAAATGTCCCAAATGTGCCAACTCTTATATGCAGTCCCTTGGGTTCCTGGGACGGGGGTCCCCTCTGGAGAACAGTTTGTTCCTGGGTCAGCTCTCTTCCTACACCCTCTGCTGCTTGGTCCACCATTTGAGCCAGGGCTGTGGCCCATGTGGTGCGGGCTCTCTTGGCAGAACCTCTCGCAGCTCCCCATTTGCTCCTCATTTGGACTGCAGAAGCCTAGAAAAACAAAGCTCTGAGGAAGAAGGTGGGCAGGAGGGAGGTGTTTGGAAACGTCACTCCCAGCTGGGCTCCTTTCCTTCTCCGTCCTGTCCTTCCATCCAGCTCCTCCCCTGGCTCCTTGGGCCAGCCTTTTCATCCTCTCTTCTCTGAGACAGCCCCCTTTCCCAGCCTGGCCTGAGACCTTGGGAAGATGAAGCGATGCTGAATTCTCAGTAGTGCGGTCTTTCCTCTTGTCCTTTTAGTCTTGGTGTCCTGATGATCCTGGCTAAGTAAGCAAACGATACTAGTAACTAGTGGCAGCTATCTTCCTGGGATGTGGATCCTGAGAAACTAACAAAAACAATGACAAGAAAAATAGCTCACATCTATTGACTGCTTACTGTGTGCCAGGCACCGTGCTAAGTGCTTTATTGTTTTATTATTGACTCCTCACAAAAATCTTATGAGGTAGTTACTATTATTGCTGCCATTTAAAGGTGAGCAGAGACTGGGCGCAGTGGCTCATGCCTGTAATCCCAGCACTTTGGGTGATCTGCCCGAGGTGGGCAGATCACCTGAGGTCAGGAGTTCAAGACCCTCCCGGTCAACATGGTGAAACACTGTCTCTACTAACAATACAAAAATTAGCTGGGTGTGGTGGCTTGGGGCACCTGTAATCCTGGTTACTCGGGAGGCTGAAGCAGGAGAATCGCTTGAACCCCAGGAGGTAGAGGTTGCAGTAAAATTAGATTGCACCACTACACTCCAGCCTGGGCAGATAGAGTGAAACTCCATCAAAAAAAAAAAGCCATAAAAGTAAAGGTCAGCAGAAAACTGAGGCATGGAGAGATTAAGCAATTTACCCAGGCTCAAGAAGCTATTGAGAGGTTTGTCTGCCACTCTAACTCAGGCCCTTCTTGTCTAATGCCTGTACTTTTGCAGTCGATCTTAACGTGGAAAAAGCTTGGGCGCTATAGCTAGACTTGGGTGTGGGGGAAAAATAATGGTTCCTACTTCACAGAGTTGCAGTGAAGACTGAAAGAAATAGTGCATGGATTTTGCTTAAAACCTGACATGTAGTTAGCACTCAGTAAATGGTGACTATTATGATTGTTCCTTTTGCCCCTCCATCATTGCATACATTGTGGCTATTCAGAGCACAGGCTTTAGAAGCAGGCCTAGGTTGGAAGCCTTCCTCAATCTTTTACCATGCAGGTGATGTTGGGTAAGTGAACCAATCTCTGAGCCTCAATTTCCTGGGGATGAAAACAATAGTACTCATCTCCCAGGACTGGAGTGAGGATGAAATGAAATACTGTATGGAAACTGGTGTTCCTTTTCTGTCCCACATACTTTCAGGTGTTTTTGCATACTGGGCCAGATTTGGCTTCCCAGAACATAGCTTCCATCCTGCTCAGACACCCGCAATGGCAGCTCATGAGTGATGGGAATAAGAGGCATTTACATGTTTTCCCTGTTCCTTCAAGCCTCACCTCTGACTCCACCCTGCTCTCCCCCTTACTTCCAGCAGGCTTGTTACTACAGTGTCCCTGCACATGACCATCTCCACCCCCCAAACCCCTGCCAAGACTAGAACACCACTCTTCCCCATGACACAAATTCTGCCCTCCCTTCCAGGTCCTCCTTGAATCCACACTGACTGCAGGAAGCCTCCAAGCCACGCTAACATCTGCGTCCCTCTGCAGGCCTCTCATTTGAGCTTTTCCCCCATGTAGGGGTGCCAGCCCTCTTTTCAGTCACTTTTTTGGATAAGAAGCAAGCCTTTCTATCGAGGTGCTGTGGCTTAATCTTGTCTCCTCGCTCCCATCAGCACCTGGCACAGGACTGGGGACATGGCAGGCGTTCATTTCATGTGAATGGAATGATGTTGACACAGGTAGTTGGTCTGAGAAGACTAATAGATTTAGTCTAGCAAGTAGCCTTGGGGCTCTACGGTAGGGTGGCAGACAGCTATGACAGGTGCATGGGCCAGGGTGGGATTCTCTGTTCATATTGGGGCCTTCTAAGACAGAGCACCCAAGATCCCAGGATACGAGTAGTTACAGAGGGTCGCTGTTGACTTGGCTGGGACAGCTCATGAACAAGGCAGGTCAGGAGTAGGAAAGGGCACAACAACAGCAGAGGTCCTTTGGGAAGGAACCTAGGAATCCTCTCCTCCTCTTCATGCCCAGCTGTCTCCTCTACTGACAGGACATTTCTAAGCATAATTAAAATTTCATCTCCACTCTTTCCCAGACCTCTTCCCTCCCTCTTCCAGCCTCAGCCTAGACCAGCAGCCCTAAAAATGTGGTCCAAAGACCCAGGGAGCCCCTAAAATTCAGGAGGTTCAGTCAAAACTACTTTCATGGGGCTGGGCATAGGAAGTATATATGGATATATAAAGCACTTCTGCATACTGAAGTGCAATTGTCATGAGGAAAAGCACTTGCACAATTGACTTGCAAGCTAAACTAGCGAATTTTTTATGGAACTCTTTTTTTTTTTTTTTTTTTTTTTCAGACAGAGTCTGGCTCTGTCATGCAGGCTGAAGTGCAGTGGTGCCATCATGGCTCACTGCAGCCTCGATCTCTCAGCCTCAAGCGATCTTCCCACCTCAGCCTCCCAAGTAGCTGGGACTATAGGCTTGCGCCACCATGCCCAGCTAATTGTTTTATTTTTTTAGCAGAGACACAGTGTCGCTATGTTGCCCAGGCTGGTCTCAAACTCCTGGGCTCAAGCATTCCACCTGCCTCAGCCTCCCAAAGTGCTGGGGAGCACTTTATTTTTTTTTTTACTTGAATGATTGACAGATAAATTGTGGTTATTCAAACTTGGGTGCTTGGCAAGTATTTTGTTAAAAATGGACAAAATGATCCTGTCACCTCAAGGAAAACAACTGTTACTATTTGTTGTCAATGATAAAAGTTACGCTTTCAAGTAAAAAGCACAATTTTGGAAAACCTGTATCAGCCACTGTGAGCTTGAGAGCTTCTCAATATCCTAAAGAGCTTTCTAATAAGATTAGTAGGGATACTAATGAATGTGATTTTTTAATATTGTAGAATCAAAAAGCGAGTCAGCAATGGGAAGATCTGCATAAGTGGGTGGACCGATATTTTCCAGATGACTAATGCATGATGTTACAAAATCATGCATGGATAACAGATCCATTCAAAGTGCAATTGATTTTTTTTTTTTGAGACAGAATCTCACTCTGTTGCCCAGACTGGAGCACAGTGGCACAATCTTGGCTCACTGCAACCTCCACCTCCCAGGTTCAAGCAATTTCCATGCCTCAACCTCCCAAGTAGCTGGGACTACAGGCATACACCACCAAGCCTGGCTAATTTTTGTATTTTTTCTACAGACAGTGTTTTGCCATATTGGCCAGGCTGGTTTTGAACTCCTTACCTCAAGTAATCCACCCACCTCAGCCTCCCAAAGTGCTGGGATTACAGGTGTGAGCCACGGTGCCTGGCTGACCAGTAGATTTTAATGTAACAGAGTACAAAAGGTTCACCGATACGGTTTAGTTTCAGATTCAACATTGCAAAGAAACATTAAGAAACAACCACTTGTGAAGTTTAGGTGTAGTTATCAAGAAGAATCCCCACACCATTTATTAGTTTTGTATTGCTGCCATAACAAATTACCACAAACTTAACAACTTAGTACGATGCCCATTTATCATCTCGCAGTTATATAGGTTAGAAATCCAGGTGTGTTCACCTGAGTTCCCTGCTTAGGGTCTCACAAGGCTGAGATGAAGTGGTTAGCTGAGCCGGGCTCTTATCTGGAGGCTCTGGGGAAAAGTCCCCTTCCAAGTTTACTCAGGTTGTTAGCAGAATCCAGGTCCTTCAGGGTGTGGGTCTGAGGCCCCCCTGACTTGCTGACTGTCATCCAGAGGCTGCTTATGGCTCCTAGAGGCTACCTACACTCCTTCTTACGCAGCTCTCTCCATTTGGAAACCATCAACGGCATAGTCAAGTTTGCATCTCTCTCACTTCCGACTTCCTTTTCCACCACTAGAAAACTTTTTTTTTTTTTTTTTTTTTTGAGACAGGGTCTCGCTCTGTGGCCCAGGTTGGAGTGCAGTGGTGCAATCTCGGCCCACTGCAACCTCCACCTCCCGGGCTCAAGTGATTCTCCTGCCTCAGGCTCCCAAGCAGCTGGGATTACAGGCACACACCACCACGCCCGGCTAATTTTTGCATTTTTAATAAAGTGGGTTTTGCCATGTTGCCCAGGGTAGTCTCAAACTCCTGAGCTCAGGTGATTCACCCACCTCGGCCTCCCAAAGTGCTAGGATTACAGGTGTGAGCCACCGCACCCGGCCACAAACCCTCTTTTAAAGGATTCCTGTGATTAGGTGAGTACAACCTTGATAATTTCCCTTTGCCATATAACTAACACAAACATGGGAGTGATATCTCATCAGAAACACTCCCAAAAGAGAAGAAATTTATAGGCATGTGAGGGACATTTGGGGGTCATTCTTAGAATTCTGCCTAAAAGGACTATTAAATACCCCCCTTCTCTACCTCCCTATCTTTGTGGGGCTGGATTTTCTTCACACACTTCAACCAAAAACCACATATTGCAACAGCTGGAGTGCAAGAGCAGATATGAGAATCCAGCTGCCTTGTGCTCAGCCAGACATTAAAGAGATTTGCAAATATTGAATATAATGCCACTTTCTTGCCATTTTTTTGTTTTGAAAACTATAATTGTCATAAATATATATTATTTATGTTATAATGTAATAGGTTTATAATTTTTATTTTAAAGTAATACATAAATAGTTAAAATGTAAGTTTTAATTATAAATATGTTCAATGTCAATAGATATAAC
Organism: Homo sapiens; assembly: GCF_000001405.40. NCBI lineage: Eukaryota > Metazoa > Chordata > Mammalia > Primates > Hominidae > Homo > Homo sapiens. The sequence goes on from NC_000023.11 coordinate 106,914,767, forward strand.
CCTTTGGAGGTTAGACAAATAAAAGCCCTTTGGAGTCCTCAATAATTTGTTAACTAATATCTTTTATTTGTTTATTTTTAAATTTGCATAGATATTAAGGTGCTGAATGACAAAATGTGGAGGGATGTATAAAATTCACTCTTTTGGGTGTGCAGCTCCATGAATTTTGACAAATGCATAGAATTATGTAACAACAATTAAGAGTTTCAACACCCCAAATAATTTCCTTATGCCACTCCATTGTAGTAAACCCCTTCCACTACCCCAACTCCTGGCAACCACTAATCTATTATCCATCCCTAAGTAGTGTCATTTCAAGAATGTCATATAAATAGAACATAACAGTAAGCAGCTTTTTGAGTCTGGCTTCTTTCATTCAGCATAATACATTTGAGCTTCACCCATGTAGCTGTGTGTATCAATAGTACATTCCTTTTGATTGTGAAGTAGTATTCCATTACACAGATGTACCAGTTTATTCGTTCACTAGTTGAAAGACATTTAGGTCATTTCCTAAATAAGAATGTAAAGTGGTCCTGAGACCAAAATGTTGAGACCCATTGACAGAATGTGCTCTTCCCAGAGCTCTCCTCAATTGGGATTTTTGTGGACCAGTGGAATTACAAAATTTTTTAAAATGAGGGAGAATCAACATATGGTTTTCAAACTTTTAATTTTGTTAATTAAGGGCATTGAAAAATACTACCACCTCTTATTTTACAAAAGAAACCTTAATACCAACTATTCAAAGAATAAGTCCGGAATTACAAGTAGTCTTTTAAATTGAATAAGCTTTAAATAATTTACAAATCTTGCTACATTGGCCTTAGTTTTCTCCTATTGGTGATCCTCTACCACTCCCTTCCTTTCTTCTTAAGTCTGTGCATTAGTGCTTAGGAAGCCCTTGCTCAACATTTCTCCTCCTAGATCTGCTTATCCATTGCCTCTCAAACCTTTATTCTCTCTTTCCTCCCAGACATGTCTTCATGAGCCCTTCTCCTGCCTCCCCTCCCAGAACTTCTCTTCTTCACCCACCTTTCTCTTACATAATCATTTTGTCTCTCCTTCCTCTTCTCCTGGACCCCTTTCTTCCCAGACCCATCTAGTGTTTCCCTTCTTACCACAATCTCTTCTCAGTCTGATTCCATCAATTCAATGGTGCACCTACTATGTATTAGACTAGAATAGTGATGAAAATAACAATTGAAAGCCAAACCCAATGTGCACAACAAACCCCCATGACATGTTTACCTATATAACAAACCTGCACATATACCCCTGAACCTGAAATAAAAGTTGAATTAAGAAAAAAAAAAAAAAGCCAAACCCTTCAGGCATTCACAGTCCTATGCAGGAGTAGCAACAACAAATACAACCCAAGACAATTGGTGGGGGGATAACAAGATGCTTTGGGAGCATAGAGGAGGAATATCCAACCAAGAGACCCCAGGAATCAGGGAAGCAACCGTTAAGCTGAGCCCTAAAGGATAAGGAGTTTTCCAGACAAAACCAGCTGAAGGTGGAGTAGGGCCAGGGTCCACAAAGAGTTCCAGGCAGAAGGAACAGGACTTGTAAAGGCCTAGAGGGAAGGGAGAGCATTGTAGGCTTGAGAAACTGAAAGGAAGCCAGTCGGGAGAGTGGGGAGTGAGGAGAGTAGTACAAAACCAGTTTGGAGAGCTAGGTAGGGGCCAAATCATACTACTATGTGGAGAATGGACTGTAGAAAGCCAAAAGGAGAAATAGGAAAATCAGAAGGGTATTGCATCCCGGTGAGAGATGATGCTAAGGGGAGTGGAAGTCGAAACCAGCAGATGGACAAAAAAGCTAAATTTTGGAGGTAGAATGGGAAAGATTTACAGGTCTGATACAATGAGGGTCAGAGAAAGTGGAATTAAGGCTAACTCTGAGGTTTCTGGCTTAAACAATTGGCTTTCTCAAAGGGAGAAGACTGAAGGAGGACTGATTTCAGTTCAAAGGGAAATCAAGGATACAATTTTGAGGCTGGGCATAGTGGCTCACACCTGTAATCCCAGCGCTTTGAGGGGCTGAAGCAGGAGGCTGGCTTGAGCCTAGGAGTTTGAGACTAACCTGTGCAATATAGTGAGACCCCATCTCTACAAAAAAATTATAAAAATTAGCTGGGCGTGGCGGCACATGCTTGTAGTCTCAGCTACTTGGAAGGCTAAGGCAGGAGGATCCCTTCAGTCCAGGAGTTCAAGGTTATTGTGAGCTGTGATCATGCCACTTGCATTCCAGTCCAGGCAACAGAGCAAGACCCTGGACATGTTGCATTTGAGACAACTTTCAGCTATCCAAATGGAGATGCCAGTATATAAAGGTCTGAAGCCCAGAGAAGTCTGGGCTGAAAATGATGATTTGGAAGTCGTCAGATGATAGAGGATAACTGAAACCACAGAGGATAAATGAGACTTCCCAGAATGGGAATGCAGAGTGAGGAACGAGGACTTAGGTCAGGCTCCTGAGAAGTGCCCATATTTAAGGGTCTGGCAGAGGCAGAGGTACCAATGAAGAAGTACCCAGAAAGATAAGAGGGAAACCAGAGGAGTGTTGTTATCACAGAGGCCAAGAGGAGAAAGTATTTCAAGGAAGACAAGGTTATCAAGGGCATTGAATGTTGCATAGAGGTCATGGAAATTAAGGACTAAAAAGTGGCCATTGGATTTGGTGACATGCGGTCATTGGTAACTGTGACAAGAACTTCTTTTGGTGGAACAGTGAGGGTGAAATGTCTCTAAGTCTCTCTCTGCCCTAGACCCTAACTCCTTCTCCCAGAGTCCATCCCTACACCCTCTTCCTTAGAGTCTCTTACTTCTCCTTCTAGACTCCTCTTTTCATAGCATCATTTCCTCCCTGCCCTTCAAGACCTTGCTTTCTACAGAGCTCTCTTTGATTTTCTTCCTCAAAGACCCTTTTTCTCTCTTCTCCTTTTCTCTTCCCCCAAACCACCTCTTCCCATACTCTTATTTCCCTCCCTTTATTCTCTCCCTACTCACTTGTCTCCTGAACTAAATGCTGCTTTTCTCAGACTGCTATTCTTTCCTGTTCTTTCAGCCCCCTCTCCATTCCCGCACCCATCTAAGCTCTTTGGATCTCAGCAGGGGTCTTGGCAGAAGGATTACTAAAGAACCTCCTAGGCTCAACACTGAGGAGTCATAGTATTTGGCATGATTCCACCAGGATCTGACAATGCCGACCTGAAGGAAACACAGTGTTAGAACCCAGTCCTTGAATGATTGCCAATCTGGAAACCACATCCTGCCAACACAGTCTCCTCATCCGCCCTGGCACCTGCCCCTAAGATTCTGCCTTTTCCTATCCTCAATTGCACAGTCACTATGAACTGATAAGGTGCCCCTCTACTACATTCTGCATTCAATCAGCATTTTCTACTTGTCAAAATGCATTCACATTCATTCACCCAGCCTTGGGAATTCGGCTGGGTGAAGCCTGGGAAAAGAAAATGGAGAGGCTTGCCTGAGGTCACATAGTTGGTTAGAGGATTAGCCTGGTATCCCTCCCACCCCTTCAGCCTTGCTTGCTTTCATGCCCAAAGACTCCCCAGGCCTGAGCTCAGGCATGGCTGCCCTTTTAGCGTGTCCCAGCCTGCCAAGAGGGAGTGCCCTGGAGAGACCCTTGCTCAGGAGCACTGCCAGGGGATCAGTGCCCCATTTGTACCTGCAAGGTAGGGATGGGCCGCCTTGGGAAGGAGGATGATTTCTGGTTTGCTTCACTGAGTTCACCCTAGGCAACAAATCCGACTGTTTGCTTTGATATGACTTGAAAAATAGAGTCAAGCATAATGACTATGAGGCAAGCTCTAGAGGTGGCCAGGTTTGGTACCCAGGCCTTGCTCTGTACTAGCACAGTGAGACCATGGATAGGAAACACCTCAGCACAGTGCCTGGCACCTAGCAAGTGTTCAATGAACCGTGGCCTTATCATTTGTACATGGGAATCCTTGGGAGGGAGTTGGTGTTGTACACTGCAAAGTTTGCCAAGCTAGATATCTACAGACCTAGATTCCAAGTCTAACTATTACTGCTCAACTTGGGATGTTGGGCAACTCTTTTCATCTCATTGGGCCGAGGTTTCCTCATCTGGAAATAGTAATGGCTGTCTTATTTTTGTAACATGTTGTATTGGCCTTTAAAACATGCACACTCTTTCACCTAGCAATTCTATTCTTAAGACTTTGTCAGTATTATGTGCAAAGATGCTGGGTTATAGTGAAAATGAAAATAACAAAACGTCTAGTAGTTTACGATTAAATAAATCATATTTTATATGATAGAATGCAGTGCAGCCATGACAGAATGATGTAGTTCTGTGTTTTAATTGACATGGAAATAGGTCCACGATATGTTATTTACAAATGATGTAAGGTTACATAAACTGTAGGTATAGTGTGATTCAATTTTATAAAACAAATCCCATCGATATCTTCTACAATACATCAAAATGTTAGCAATGATTATTTCTGGCTGGTGGCATTATGAGGACCTCTATTTTCTTCTTTATAATTCATTTTCTGAATTCTTTTCAATAGCATCTAGTATTTTTCTACTTAGAAAAAACTAGAAAGCTTTTTTGCGTTGGGAGAGTAAAGCCAGTCACTGCGCTCTACTACTCCACAGCATGTTTTTTTGTTTGTTTGTTTTGGTTTGGTTTTATTTCTGTTGTTGTTTGGGTTTTTGTTTGTTTGCTTTGCTTTTTTGAGATGGAGTCTCACTCTGTCACCCAGGCTGGAGTGCAGTGGTATGATCTCGGCTCATTGCAACCTCCGCCTCCTGGGTCCAAGTGATTCTCCTGCCTCAGCTTCCCGTGTAGCTGGGACTACAGGTGCGCACCACCACATCCAGCTAATTTTTGTATTTTTAGTAGAGACAAGGTTTAACCGCGTTGGCCAGGCTGTTTTCGAACTCCTGACCTCAGGTGATCCACCCGCCTCGGCCTCCCAAAGTGCTGGGATTACAGGCGTGAGCCACTGCACACGGCCTTCACAGCACTTTTGAGAGGCTTAAATGACATAGTGCATGGCACTGCCATGTGTGGTAAAAAGGAGAGCCCTGTCCTTATGCTGGCCTACTCAGTTCCACCTTGTAGGACCTGCTCTTTGAACTCAGAGTCTGAACCTACAGTACCCATGTTTGCCCTTGAGCCTTGGGACCAACCTTAGGGGTGGGGTAGGGCTGAGGGCCTGCCAGAGAATCAAGCTGAGTAGAAAAGTCTATGGAGCTGCAGGCCATGCAGGGCTGCTTGGGCACTGGCTCACCAGGGCTGTGTTTATGCAGCTTACTCCCTGCTGGGCTTCAGGGCTGCTAGCCAGGGACACCTAATTGGTGGGACAGAGCCCCCTCCTCTCACCACCCTCAAAGCTGGAATGTTCTGAATTCCTTCTTGGGCCAAATCCCCCTCCCCACAAGGCCTCTCCTGGGTTCACAGAGGTCACCACACAAAAGCCCAGCTGGAGTGGAGTTTTTGACAGAAAAAAAAAAACACACACAGAAAACCCACCAAACCTTTTTTTTTTTTTTTCTAAAGTGCCTCAATCTTTCCCAGCCTCCAGGGGTTTAATTCTGATCTGTAATAAGTCTCTGACCCACGGCTCAGATTTGCAGATGGATTTTGCAAAGCTGTGGTTAACGATTAGAAATCCTTTATCACCTCAGCCCGTGGCCCCTTGTACTTCGCTCCCCTCCCTCAGGATCCCTTTCTCCCTCTCCAGGGGCATCTCCCCCTCCAAGGCTCTGCAAAGAACTGCCCTGTAAGTATCTCCATCCTGATATAGTTGCTGCCTTTTAAATTCACCGAGGTGGGCACTCTTCCTTCCTAGTCACTATCCATTCACCCCATGGTGGAGCCAGGCTGGGCCACCTTGGGTTTCTGAGTGAAGGGTATGGGAGGGGAAACTCCGGTGGCATTTGGGTTGGTGGTATTTGTTCCCTCAAAGCTATCACAAAGGTTCAAATCTTTAAAACTTCAGGACCAGAGAAAGCACTCTCCAAATCAGATATTTTCTGGTTTGGGGGCTTAAAAGGACTGGGATAAAAATTGGAGGAAGGGAGCCACAGTTTACCCCTCTGCCTAAGTGTAGGGGACTGAGGAGTGGCAGAAGGGGCACTCCCTCACAGCCAGCTCCAGTGCCCTCCTTGGCATGAAGGCTCAGGGAGGTAGCAGAAGGTGGGTTCCTAAGTGAAGTCATAAAGTTTCCCCATGAGGTCCTTCAAGGACTCTCCCTCACTGGTCTGCAAGTCTGTCATTAGAAATTCCTTCTTTCGACTGAGGTATTACTCTCTTCAAGTGCCCTCTTTGAAAATGCAGTTGGAACCAAAACATTCACAGCACTTATGGCCGGGGAGATCGTAGGCGATTTTTGTTTTCTAAATTCTGCCTTTCTGTGTTTTCCAGTGTTCTAAAGTGAGAATGCTTTACTTTGATGATCAGGACAAAAATCAACTTCTTTTTCAAACAATAAGAAAATCTCTCAATCCAGTTGCAATTCTCTGAACTGCCATCAATCAATTGATGTAGAAGGAAAGATGAACTGCTCTAAGGACAAACTTTCAAGAAAGTAGGGCCTCAAGGGAATGGCTTTGCCACCTACTAGTGCCCTTGGCAGCTGGAAGTGAGTTTCAGAGAAGGGGGCAAGTGTCTCAGATTCTTATGAGGGGCAGTGAGATCAAGGGATATAGAAATGAGGCTGACTGACAGAAGAGGGCTGTGGTGGCCATCATCACCCCCAGAAGGCCACATCAGTTCCTTCCTTGAGCCTGGGAACCCCAAGTGCCCTGTCCCATGTAGTCTTAGGAGGGTACTGCCAAAGAAAGAGTACCATGCACAAGACTCTTGGAGCAAGAGATGGGGAGAATAGCAGGGAAAGTACCTAGGTGAGAAGGGGTTAAGTCAGGAGCTGCGGTCAATCTTGACCCTCCTAATCCTCTCCTGCAGCTCCAATCTCCCCACTAGGGAAGATTAAGTAAGGATCCTAAGTTAAACTTTCTTGCCCAGTCCTTGGGCCATGGAGTATGTTGGCCCTATGCCCAGAAGACAAATTCAGCTGACAAGGCCTAGAGTCCTCTGTACCTCCAACGCAGCCAGTACTTGACTTCTAGGAGGATCCCTCAAAGAGAGGCTTCTATTAAAACTGGCTGCTTCTAATAACAGCTCTTCAGTCTTCTATATTTGTCAAAGTGGCTTCCTGTCCCCATGCCTTTATTTGAGACTAAAAATCTTGGAGATGACAAACTAGGGCCTAGAGAAGCTATAGGACTTCCTCAGCAGGTTCTAGGCAGAACTGACACAACAAGAAGCTAGATCTTTTGATTCTAACACCAGGACCCTGTCTGCCCTCACCTCTACTGCTCATCAGACAAACAAAAACCTGGCTGAATCCAGCCTGTCTCACCACCCAACCATTCGCCATTTAGCTGGTCTTCCTAACTCTGGTGGAAAGCTGAACCCCCCCTCCATGGGGCCATTTCTATCACTTGAATAAGCTCCAATAACTTGTTCTTCCTCCTGCCTGGGCATGCTGCTATGCCAAGTCAGACTCTAGAGATTCCAAGCCTCAGTAATGGCATTTTCTTGACTCTGCCCTCTCCCTCACCCCAAAACACTTGCCTACTTACTACTACTTAGGACAGGCTCTGGGGAGAGGCTTTCCTCTTGGGGACACTGTTGATTCCCTTGGGAAACTCAAGCTTGACTCTTCAGCTGCCATCCCAGGAAGGCTGAAGCAGGAGCTGCTCCTCTGGGAAGCAGTAGGTCTTCCCCTTGAAAACCTCAAGGTATCTCACCAATTCTCACTGAAAGCTCAGATACAAATAGGAGGAAGAAAGGAAAAGTATTGAACCCAGCCTGGGTGAGGAGCAGGGAGGGCCCAAGGATGGTTTCAAGGCAAGGATGCATCCTCAAAGATGATTTGCAATTATCCAAGCAAATGGTGGATGGTAGAATAGCATGCTTACGGGCTTGGAGACAGAGAGAAAGGCAGTCAGAGAAATTCAAGTGCTTAGGTTTGGCTGGATCATATGTGTATGTATAGGAGCATAAAGCATGAGGTTGGAGGTTAATGGTGTGAGATGAGGCTGTGAAGAAAAGCCGGGGTGAAATAATGGAGGGCTTTCTTGGTTTCCTGGGCTAGCAAGTTTGAACTTCATCCTGAAATACTTAAGAGCTCTGAAGATTTTTTTTTTTTTTTTTTTTTGAGACAAAGTTTTGCTCTATCGCTCAGGCTGGAGTGCAGTGGCACAATCTCGGCTCACTGCAACCTCCACCTCCCGGTTCCAGCGATTCTCCTGCCTCAGCCTCCCTAGTAGCTGGGATTACAGGCACATGCCACCACGCCCAACTAATTTTTGTATTTTTCGTAGAGACGGGGTTTCACTATGTTGGCCAGGCTGGTCTCAAACTCCTGACCTCGTGATCTGCCCGCCTCGGCCTCCCAAAGTGCTGGGATTATAGGCGTAAGCCACCGCACCCGGCTGAGCTCCTGAAGATTTTTAAGCATGGCAAAGCGTGAGGTGAAAGTCACAATTTGATTTCAACTTTACAAAGATCTTTGACTACTGGGTAGGTAATTCATTATTGCAGGATTGGGGCAGAAGTGGAATTAGAGAGATCAATTTGAGGTGTCTATGAGATTTTCAAATAGACAAGAAACGATGGTTGCATAGTCTGAACTATGGTTTAGGGCAGTGGCGACAGAAAGAAGTAGATGGATTCACAGTCTATTTTTGAAGGCAGACCTGATGGTACATTATAATTAATTATATGTCAACAAGAGGTGAAAAAGCAAGGATGACTGGCTTGGGTTATTAACTCAGTGACAGCCCCACTGAGGTAAGGAACACTGCATGAGGAGCAGTTTGGGCATGGGGAGCAAAAAGGGCAGATGATTCCAGCTTTGCAAATGTTGAATTTGAGGCCATTAAAACATTCAGGTAGGGCCATTCCAAGTAATAGTTAACTACACAAATCTTGAGTTCAGGAGAGAAATCTGTGGCAGAGATATGAATTCAGGAGTCACTGGCATGGAGACAGAGAGGATGAGATAACCCATGAAGAATGTGAAGGATAAGAAGAGCCATCTAGAAGTCGAGATGAAACCCTGAGGAGGCTAGAGGGGCAGAGATGGATAGTTAGACTTAAAGAGTGAGCAGAAGAAGAGGAACTTATAAGGGAAAACTAGAAGAATCATTTTGAGAAGTAGTTAAAATGGAGTGGTGTTACAGAAAACAAGGGAGAAGATAGTTTTATGAAGGAGAGAGACAAGGTGAGATGACAGAGATATGATCATTGAATTTTGGATCAAGAAAAGAGTTGATAACTTTGGTGAGAATATTTTCAGTGGAGGGCTAATGGTGGAAGCCAGACTGCAGAGGGCTGAGCAGTGAGTGGGAGGGTGAAGAAGTGGAGACATCAATAATGAATGGCTTGTTTAAGGATCTTGGCTGCAAAGAGAATGATCAAGATAGGAGTAATAGCTGCACAGGGAGGAGGTAGAGTAGGGAGCTCAAAAAGTAGTAGTAAATGTTTGAAGCAGTCATCAGAAGGGTGCTTACCAGGGAGAAGTAGAAGGATTTCCAAGCAGCACTGAAGGCCTCAATGAGATACATAGTCATGATCAGGACAGGTACAATTGTGCCAAGGTTAGCAATAAGAAACCAATGTCAAGAAAGACTTGCTAATGAGTGACAGAGGTGAGATTCAAACTATGTTTCTCTCCCTTCATCAAATGTTTATCGGCTCCTGCTCTGCACTGCTTTGCATCAACACTGGCATTGGTGTTTCCAATGCTGATGAATCGTATTGACTATCAATCATGTGCCCAATGCTGTGGAAGCATGATAGACATTTAATATATATTTTTTCACCCTTAAATTGTTTAGAATTTGGTTGAGGAGACAAAATATTCCACAAATGCATATATATTATAAATATATATAATATACATTATATATATACATAGTGAAGCTCTGCTGTCTCTCTCTCCCCCCTTACCTCTTTCTTCCTCTGATCCCCCATCTCTCTCTTTCTTCTTTCCCAACGTTGGGCAGCACTTCAATGACCCTTACACTGAAGCGTTATTGACTCATTTGGAAAGTCCCTATATTTTAGTCATATGGAGCCCCTCAAACCTCTTTGCCAACTTCATTCATTTATTAAGAAGACAGTTTTTGAATTGCTGCTCTGGATAAAGCAGTATGTAAGGCACATGAGATACAGAGATACATAAGATATAGTCTTGCCCTCAAGTAGCTCACAGGCTAATAGGGAAGAATGAGGGTTTAAACAGGAAATTGCAACATAATGCAAAATGTACTATCTCTGCCTCAGTTTCTTCATCTATACAATAGGGATTATTAGTGCCTACCACAAAAAAACCTGTGACGACTAAATAAGTTAGCATGTAAAAAGTGCTTATAATGGTCCCATAAGAAACACTACATAAGTGTTGCTATTATTATTATTACTATGATGGAAGTAAACACAAGATACTGTAAGAATAGACAGGAGGGGTACTTGACCCAGGCTAGAGTAAGAGACATCTGTGCTGAATCCTAAAAGATGAGAAGGCACTAAACAGAGGAAGAAGAATACATAACACTCTGCATAGAATATTCTGTTCTATTTCTATTTGGGAGCAAAAGACCACATGGCATGATTGAAGAACTGGAAGTAATTTAATTCCACAATAGTACAGACTATGAGGAGGGAAATGGCAAGAGATGAAGCTTGAGAGGTCATGGGGTAAACCAAGCAAGTTTGGACTTTACTTTTTAGCAAATGGGGAGCCACTGGAATGCTTTATGTAGAGTAGTGACTCGATCAGATTAATGTGTTGAAAGATCACCTTGGCAATGATGTGGAGAATGAATTGGGAGAAAGACAAGTTAGAAAGCTGTTGCTATAATCCAGGTGAAAGAGAATGATGAGGTCGTGCATGGTGGCTCACACCTGTAATCCCAGCATTTTGGGAGGCTGAGGTGGGCGGATCACTTGCAGTCAGGAGTTGGAGATCAGCCTGGCCAGCATGGCAAAACCCTGTCTCTACTAAAAATACAAAATTAGCTGGGCGTGGTGGCGTGCACCTGTAGTCCCAGCTACTCAGGAAGCTGAGGCACAAGAATCACTTGAACCTGGGAGGTGGAGATTGCAGTGAGCTAAGATCACGCCACCCCACTCCAGGCTGGGCAACAAAAGCAAAATTCGGTCTCAAAAAAAGAATGGTGAAACTGAACTAGGGAAGTAGCAGTGGAAATGGAGAGAAAGGAACCATGGATTTGAGGTATATTCATAAGGTAGAACTGGTGGGACATAGGGACTATAGGATGCAGGAGGTAAGTAGAAGAAAGGTGCTAAAGATCACTTTCCGGATTTTGGTCTGGCACAAGTGGATGGATAGAGGTATCATTCAGTGAACACAGGGAACACAGGGAAGAACTGTTTGGGGAAAGCTGCATGGGGGATGTGATGAGTTCACTTTTGGACATGTCAAATTCGAGATGTCTATGAGATTTCCCTGTGGAGATTCTGACTAGGTGATTGCTCTGCCAGTCTTGAAGCTCAGAAGGGTCTATCCTGGAAATTCAGATTTGGGAGGGTCAGTGGATGGGTAGTAGATTAAGTTATGGGGGCAAGATGAGTTTGCTCAGGGACAGAGTGTTAATTGAGAAAAGGATGGACTTCTGAGGAATACTCACATTTAAGAGATGAGTAGGGAAAGAGAAATCTTGAAGAAGGCTAAAATGGAATAGCCAGATTGTGGTGGGTTGAAAAATTAGTGGGTTAGTTCGGGCACGGTGGCTCATGCCTGTAATCCTAGCACTTTGGGAGGCTGAGGCAGGTGGATCACTTGAGCTTAGGAGTTCAAGACCAGTGTGGGCAACATGGCAAAACCTGGTCTCTACAAAAAATACACACACACACACACAACTAGCCAGGTGTGGTGATGCGCTCCTGTAGTCCCAGCTACTTGTGGGGCTGAGGCAGGAGGATCACACACACACACACACACACACACACACACACACACACAACTAGCCAGGTGTGGTGATGCGCTCCTGTAGTCCCAGCTACTTGTGGGGCTGAGGCAGGAGGATCACACACACACACACACACACACACACACACACACACACAAACTAGCCAGGTGTGGTGATGCGCTCCTGTAGTCCCAGCTACTTGTGGGGCTGAGGCAGGAGGATCACTTGAGCCCAGGAGGTCGAGGCTGCAATGAGCCGAGATCATGCCACTGCACTCCAGCCTGGGTGCCAAAGTGAGAACCTGTCTCAAAAAGAAAGAAAGAAAAATTAGTGGATCAGAGGGTCTTGTAGAGAATGGGGAGGTGTGCCCTTGACCCTTAGTGTCCTGAATCTTGGCAACACCGAGGGCTCCTTGAACACGGCAAAATCTTATATGGCTCTGAGATTCCAAAGCATTGACTCAGATACCTGCCTCATGCAAAGCCCTATATTCTAGAGCAGTTTCCCTTTCCTCTGTGGCAGACTCTTGTCCCCCCTAACAGATGGCCCAGGGAATTTCAGGGCCCCCTCTCAGTCCTGGAACCCTTGTTCCAGAGTGCTCCCTCATCATCCAAGAGGCTGATGATGGGAGCATCTATTAGGAGACTGGACAGGAAATGTCTGGGCATGTTATACATGCAGGAGGCCTTAGACTAGGCTGCAGAGGGGGATTTGGGCATGGCTGGGAGGATCTGAACTCTCAGAGTATGGACAGAAGGCTTTGCTGCCCACCCCCATCTACCCTGGAGTAGATTTTCACCATGGGCAGAATGATCCAGGGCTAGGCCACTACTCTCTAGGCCCCTGGAGATTCAAGAGGCCTCTAACAAACTGGAGTCCAAGACTACATTCTAGGATCTGTTCCTCCTGATGTAGTCTGCAGTTTGGCCTCAGTCTGCAATTGAGGGGCCCTATGGCACTGTTGCTTGGCAATGTATTAAACAGCAGGCCTTGGAGACTAGCACTTGAGTTAACACAGCCACCACAACCACCACTGCCATCATCACCTTCCCGGAAAGCAGCCACCTGTCTGGCTCCTGGCTTTGTCCAGCTGCCAACCTAAGGCATGTGCCTACGCAGGAGGCGATGACATTTTGGCTCCACGTTCAAAGTTGTTTTTTTTTTCCTTTCTCATGTGTTATTTCTAAAGATAACAAAGGTCAAAAGGCATCCAGCGTTTTCTGGTTTCTCATAAGCTTCTGGTCAATATTTAATCTGGTTTATGGATTTTTTTTAGGTCTTCTAGATGCCTTCTTGAGGCTGCTTGTGGCCACCCACAGACACTTGTAAGGAGGAGAGAAGTCAGCCTGGCAGAGAGACTCTGAAATGAGGGATTAGAGGTGTTCAAGGAGCAAGAGCTTCAGCCTGAAGACAAGGGAGCAGTCCCTGAAGACGCTTCTACTGAGAGGTCTGCCATGGCCTCTCTTGGCCTCCAACTTGTGGGCTACATCCTAGGCCTTCTGGGGCTTTTGGGCACACTGGTTGCCATGCTGCTCCCCAGCTGGAAAACAAGTTCTTATGTCGGTGCCAGCATTGTGACAGCAGTTGGCTTCTCCAAGGGCCTCTGGATGGAATGTGCCACACACAGCACAGGCATCACCCAGTGTGACATCTATAGCACCCTTCTGGGCCTGCCCGCTGACATCCAGGCTGCCCAGGCCATGATGGTGACATCCAGTGCAATCTCCTCCCTGGCCTGCATTATCTCTGTGGTGGGCATGAGATGCACAGTCTTCTGCCAGGAATCCCGAGCCAAAGACAGAGTGGCGGTAGCAGGTGGAGTCTTTTTCATCCTTGGAGGCCTCCTGGGATTCATTCCTGTTGCCTGGAATCTTCATGGGATCCTACGGGACTTCTACTCACCACTGGTGCCTGACAGCATGAAATTTGAGATTGGAGAGGCTCTTTACTTGGGCATTATTTCTTCCCTGTTCTCCCTGATAGCTGGAATCATCCTCTGCTTTTCCTGCTCATCCCAGAGAAATCGCTCCAACTACTACGATGCCTACCAAGCCCAACCTCTTGCCACAAGGAGCTCTCCAAGGCCTGGTCAACCTCCCAAAGTCAAGAGTGAGTTCAATTCCTACAGCCTGACAGGGTATGTGTGAAGAACCAGGGGCCAGAGCTGGGGGGTGGCTGGGTCTGTGAAAAACAGTGGACAGCACCCCGAGGGCCACAGGTGAGGGACACTACCACTGGATCGTGTCAGAAGGTGCTGCTGAGGATAGACTGACTTTGGCCATTGGATTGAGCAAAGGCAGAAATGGGGGCTAGTGTAACAGCATGCAGGTTGAATTGCCAAGGATGCTCGCCATGCCAGCCTTTCTGTTTTCCTCACCTTGCTGCTCCCCTGCCCTAAGTCCCCAACCCTCAACTTGAAACCCCATTCCCTTAAGCCAGGACTCAGAGGATCCCTTTGCCCTCTGGTTTACCTGGGACTCCATCCCCAAACCCACTAATCACATCCCACTGACTGACCCTCTGTGATCAAAGACCCTCTCTCTGGCTGAGGTTGGCTCTTAGCTCATTGCTGGGGATGGGAAGGAGAAGCAGTGGCTTTTGTGGGCATTGCTCTAACCTACTTCTCAAGCTTCCCTCCAAAGAAACTGATTGGCCCTGGAACCTCCATCCCACTCTTGTTATGACTCCACAGTGTCCAGACTAATTTGTGCATGAACTGAAATAAAACCATCCTACGGTATCCAGGGAACAGAAAGCAGGATGCAGGATGGGAGGACAGGAAGGCAGCCTGGGACATTTAAAAAAATAAAAATGAAAAAAAAACCCAGAACCCATTTCTCAGGGCACTTTCCAGAATTCTCTCATATTTGTGGGCTGGGATCAAGCCTGCAGCTTGAGGAAAGCACAAGGAAAGGAAAGAAGATCTGGTGGAAAGCTCAGGTGGCAGCGGACTCTGACTCCACTGAGGAACTGCCTCAGAAGCTGCGATCACAACTTTGGCTGAAGCCCCTGCCTCACTCTAGGGCACCTGACCTGGCCTCTTGCCTAAACCACAAGGCTAAGGGCTATAGACAATGGTTTCCTTAGGAACAGTAAACCAGTTTTTCTAGGGATGGCCCTTGGCTGGGGGATGACAGTGTGGGAGCTGTGGGGTACTGAGGAAGACACCATTCCTTGACGGTGTCTAAGAAGCCAGGTGGATGTGTGTGGTGGCTCCAGTGGGTGTTTCTACTCTGCCAGTGAGAGGCAGCCCCCTAGAAACTCTTCAGGCGTAATGGAAAATCAGCTCAAATGAGATCAGGCCCCCCCAGGGTCCACCCACAGAGCACTACAGAGCCTCTGAAAGACCATAGCACCAAGCGAGCCCCTTCAGATTCCCCCACTGTCCATCGGAAGATGCTCCAGAGTGGCTAGAGGGCATCTAAGGGCTCCAGCATGGCATATCCATGCCCACGGTGCTGTGTCCATGATCTGAGTGATAGCTGCACTGCTGCCTGGGATTGCAGCTGAGGTGGGAGTGGAGAATGGTTCCCAGGAAGACAGTTCCACCTCTAAGGTCCGAAAATGTTCCCTTTACCCTGGAGTGGGAGTGAGGGGTCATACACCAAAGGTATTTTCCCTCACCAGTCTAGGCATGACTGGCTTCTGAAAAATTCCAGCACACCTCCTCGAACCTCATTGTCAGCAGAGAGGGCCCATCTGTTGTCTGTAACATGCCTTTCACATGTCCACCTTCTTGCCATGTTCCAGCTGCTCTCCCAACCTGGAAGGCCGTCTCCCCTTAGCCAAGTCCTCCTCAGGCTTGGAGAACTTCCTCAGCGTCACCTCCTTCATTGAGCCTTCTCTGATCACTCCATCCCTCTCCTACCCCTCCCTCCCCCAACCCTCAATGTATAAATTGCTTCTTGATGCTTAGCATTCACAATTTTTGATTGATCGTTATTTGTGTGTGTGTGTCCGATCTCACAAGTATATTGTAAACCCTTCGGTGGGTGGGGGCCATATCCTAGACCTCTCTGTATCCCCCAGACTATCTGTAACAGTGCCAGGCACACAGTAGGTGATCAATAAACACTTGTTGATTGAGTAACTGTGTTACTGATTAAAAGGGGCCCAGAACGGGCAAGTGAAACTCGAGGGATTTCGGCTAAGGGGAGGGGAGGGTGGAAACTGGCATTTCTTTCCACAGGGTAGATAGACAATTCTAGACCTTACTAGAAATAATTAGAAAGCATGACAATCTCCTCCCCAAGGCAACTCCAACCTCTTCAACTTGCCCAGGGCTCTTTCCTTTTCATAACAATTGTTTTCAGTTATTTACTAAACGATGATGTATTTATTCCTTCCATTCTCTGAACCACTATCATGAGGAAGGTAAAATGGATCTGATCATCTGCATTTGGCAGATGGGGAAACTAAAGCCCACACAAGTAAATAGATTTTCCCAGGGACACAAAGATAGTGTTAGTTCCCTCAGTCTCCTGACTCCCAAAATAGGACCCTGCTAATCCCACACTATTCACAGCCAATAGAAGAGCCTTCCAGAGGTCCCCAAGCTACCTGAGGAAAATAACTCACAGCCAGCCAGGTAACAAGGAGGGCACACAGGCTCTCCTGGTCGCCCATGAGGGCAATCTGGGAAATCATCAAGTGTACCACCTGGAACTGCCCTCTCCTGCTATGCTGGCCAGCCTGGGCCCAGCTAGCTGCTCTACCAGGGGGATGCCGGGCTTACATTGAGTAAAACACAATACCTCAGTTCCAATTCCCCTAACTCTGAAGGTGTGGCAGTTTGGGAGGCCAATGATTTGGCCCTGTTCTACACTCACTAGGAATTAACAAAGCCCCATTCATAAGGGTGTTCACTGTGGCAATACTGACAATAATGGGGCCCTACCTGATTCAGCTTAACCAGCCCCTGGATCTAGAGGGCCCCACCACATAGCCTGTTGTATCAGACACTACCCTTGCACTTCTGAAGTGAGCCTTCTTTGGTGCAGAGGCTAGAACATCAGCATCCAAGTCCATTTAGAGGGAATGGCAGCAGGCAGGGATAAGGGGAGAGAGAGAAGCTCCCTGGATAAAAGCTTAACAAGAAGTCATGTCTCTGGTCTGGCACCAGGAACCCCAGAGCCCTTGATTGGGGGCCACTGGAGGTTGGAAGATAAAACCACCTTGCTGGCTCTGCTATGCTGAGTGGGCAGCAGTCTGGTATGGGCTCTGATGAGCCACCATCTGGCTGCTAAAGCACTTGCAGATCCACTGATTTCACTGCATTCTCCACATACTCCAGTGAAGTGGGTCTTTTACAAGAGACAAAATGGAGGCCCAGAGATGTGAGTAATATCACTCAGGTCACAGTGTCAGAGTTTGAACATAAGCTTAGAAACTTCTCACAGCAACGTGAGCCCAGCATTCTGGTCTCAGAAGGTGTATGAGGACGTATTGCTCTTCAGACTCTTGCAGGCTTCGTGTCCCTGTCTGCCACTGGAATACAAGGGCCTTTGTTGGATATAGAGCACAGAGCTTCCCTTCATCTTAGAAGGAGGCTGGCCTGAGGGGTCCTCCTACCTTTGTTAATCTGGGAAGTTTCAGTGGAAGGAGTCAGAAGTTCATCCTCAACTAGAAAAGCCAGGGAAGACCTAACAAAGAGCAACTGTTCCCTCCAGCTGGTTGAGCAAGAAAGGCTTTGCTCTAAGTAGTTTCCTAGAAATATTCCCGGCTCCTGGGTCCAGGGCAAACACTTTTCAGCTCACCCCATTGCCTTCCCTCATAAAGTAATTTAGATTAGCCACAGAGCTAGGGGATAGTGAAGGCCACTATGTTTATGCTCCAGCCCCATGGCTCTGACCCTTGCACAAGGAGAGATGTTTCTGTCCTCTCTCATTCCTCTGATAGTAACATGACTCATATTTTCTTCCCCTTGGAGCCCTAGTGACCCACTGCTATGTGATCATTAATGGGCGAAGAAGGACTGAAACTGGCTTCTTAGTGGAAAGGCAAGCTCCAACTTTCGGAAAGACCTTTGTCCAGCCATTCAAACAGCTATCTGCTGGCCAGCCCACACTCACTGAACTCTTACTCTGTGTCAGGAAATGTGCAAAGGGCTTTGAGGGCGATGAGAGTGAACAAGGTAAAGTTTGTACCCTGTAGGAACTGACAGCTCATCTAGAGGAGATAAGACATGGACACCTAACTGTGGTACGAGGCAGCATATGGGCTGTCCTGTGAAAGACGTGACAAAAGTGATATAAGATAGGGGTCAAGGGCTGATAAAAATAGTCTTGTAAGTCCCCTTAAATTCCAATCCATATGAAATGAGGGCCTGGCACTACATGAGCTTTTGGGGAAAGCATGATGAAAACTGCTTCTTGCAATGGAAGGACTCCGGGAAATTGAGCAATCGGGTGTAGAGGCGGTGCTAAGGAGGTAGCAGAGATATGCTGTGCAGCTAATCTGGAATCCTTCTGAGTTTGCCTCACAGGACCCTTATGTGACTCTAAAAGAAGGAGTGACCCTGGGGCTCAGCTTCTGCTCCCTCATCTCCTTCCCTTGCACAAGACTTTGGAATTTGCTGGGGGCAGCACAATCAGTGCCCATTCAGGTAGCCAGGGGCCTTTTGTCTCTGGACCAGAGGAGAAATGCAGGTGTGGGAGAAGGGAGACAGGCAAGAGAAGAGCCTAGTGCTAAAGGAAGGTGATGAGGCCTTGCAGGGCCAACTCTGTTCCCTCCCACTCAGCCCTGGGCCCACGGACAGGGGATTCTTTCGTGCCTGCAGCAGCCCACTCTGGGACACAGAGGCCCAGGCCAGGAAGTGCATGTGCTTCTCCTCAGCTGGCTGAAGCCTGGCTTTCACCCAGACTGGTCTCCCTGCTCAAGCGGCTCCCGGCTTTGATGAGAAATTCTGTTATCTCAAGAGGGAAAAGAACCTCAAACAGGAAGTCTAGCAGGTTATCTCTCTCTTCTGCCCTAAGTGGTGGCTCACTATATGCTGTGATGTGATCACTGATAAAATATTAACAGGCTGTTATCAGGCACAGTAATGCAGAGGCTATAATCTGACCACTTCCTCCCACCCCACAGCCCACCACTTTCCTGGGAATTGCAGCTCAGGAATTTCTTAACTCTCACCTAAAATTCCCTGCTCTGGGCTTCATCACCCCCAAAGACAAGCAGCAGTCTTAGAGCTTGATAAAGCAGGAAGCCACCATGCAAGGGCACATCATCAGGTCCATTTTAGGAGAGAGCTGCTGCTTTCCCGTCCTCTCTGAAGTCCTATTCCTCCAGAATGGCAGCCTCACCACTTCACAGGTCACCTCCTCAGGAGTTTTGAAGAAGTTTCCATCTGAAAATTCTCATGACCTTGTGGAGATAACACTGAAAACGCTCACATGCTTTAAAAAAGATACTAGGCCGGGCGTGGTGGCTCATGCCTGTAATCCCAGAACTTTGGGAGGCCGAGGCGGGCGGATCACGAGGTCAGGAGATCGAGACCATCCTGGCTAACACGGTGAAACCCCGTCTCTACTAAAAATACAAAAAATTAGCCGGGCGAGGTGGCGGGCGCCTGTAGTCCCAGCTACTCGGGAGGCTGAGGCAGGAGAATGGCGTGAACCCGGGGGACGGAGTCTGCAGTGAGCCGAGATCGCGCCACTGCATTCCAGCCTGGGCGACAGTGAGATTCCGTCTCAAAAAAAAAAAAAAAAAAGATACTAGCGAGGTTAATGGGATGTGAAATGAGATGCCAAACGAGTGCGAATAGTGTGGTGGACAAGCCAGCATTTGAGTAGTAGCTCCTATTCTCCACCAGTGTTTTCAGAGTCTGTGATATTTGACCAAATTCTGTGTGGGCTGCTCAGGAGAAAAGCCAGTTAAACAAAAACTCATTTTTAGTAGAGATGGGGTTTCACGTGTCCCTTTGTAGGGACATGGATGAAATTGGAAATCATCATTCTCAGTAAACTACACAAGAACAAAAAACCAAACACCGCATATTCTCACTCATAGGTGGGAATTGAACAGTGAGATCACATGGACACAGGAAGGGGAACATCACACTCTGGGGACTGTTGTGGGGTGGGGGGAGGGGGGAGGGATAGCATTGGGAGATATACCTAATGCTAGATGACGAGTTAGTGGGTGTAGCGCACCAGCATGGCACATGTATACATATGTAACTAACCTGCACAATGTGCACATGTACCCTAAAACTTAAAAGTATAATAAAAAAAAATCAAGGAAAAGGCAGACAGGATGAGAAAGGGGGTGCCATCCTCCTGTTGGCAATTCCGGAGGTACCTTGTATGGTTAATTTTACTTCTCTGTGTGTAATAATAAACCAATATGTTCTTAAGTGTCACTTTCTCACTCCCCAAGAGACTTGTCCAACTCAGCACTGTCTGGAGAGGGGGATTCAAAGCAGCCAGTGAGAACACCCATGGGCAGAGGCCAGCAAGTCCAAGACCTCCCGCAGTGTAAGAATAGGATCTCGATAGCTGTTTGGATATCAGGAAAGCTGCCAAGTGACAGTTGTGAGTGAAAAACCCAGTCAAGGGGAAATGAATTTCCACGTTGTTTGGAGGGATATTCATTATATAAGTGAACAATTTCCTGATCATGAGGGCCGTTAAACATTGTGTGGGATTGTGAAACTGTCTTCCTTGGAAATTCCTGTTAGTGTGGGCTGGCTTTAGCATTTTCCTATTAAAAGGAAGAAGACAAGACTAATCATTTTCAAGATAGGCAGTATGGTGTAATAGGCAGTGAGTTTGGGCTCTGGAGTCAGATGAATCTGGGTTTGAATTTTGCCTCTGCACTCTAGCTGGGTGGCCTTGGGAAAGCCACTTCAATTCTCTACAATTCAGTTTCCTCATCTATAAAATGTGGATGAGAGCTGCCTCTCAGTGTGGTCATGGTATACAGTAGGTACTAACAAATGGGTAATAAATAAGTAGATTGGTGACCTAAAGGTAGGGTCAAAGCCACACCAAAATGTGTCTTTGGGGAATGGGGGCAGACAACAAAGTGTATTTTCTGCCACAGATCTGAATCCATGTTATCAAAGGAATAGTCTTTCCCAGGCCAAAACTTCTCAAGATTCTTCCCCAAAGTTCAAATATCTTGAAGACCTTGGATGGGTTTCCACTCATAAAATGTGGGAGGCCAGGGGAAAGGCAGACCTGAGAAGTTGGAGAGGGAAGGGATAATGGTGGCTGTCATCCACATCTGTGACCATGTGGATTGGAACAAATCCATGATTAACCAGGTCTCACTGCTAGAGAAATGGTCAATCCAAGGTAACTACACACTGTGGTTAACATTCCAAATTTAAGGACAATTGGAGAGATTTCAACAGCTACTTCATCCTAATTCATTAAGCAGGTTTAGCACAGCCCCTCTTGCTGGCATTTCCCAGCCCTTGGTTGATTGTGTTCCTTATGCTTCACACTGGATAATCCACTCTCTCAAACCCTCTTGGGTATTTCTGTATTCACTCCCCACCCAGTCTTATGACTTTGTTTACTCTTCCCTATACCTGGAAAACCCTCCCCACACATCTTCAGCTTTCCAATCCTTCCAGGTTTCCAGGGCCTATCTGGAAGATCAGACCTTCTGGAACACTTTCCTGAGCCTCTGTCTAAAGTCATCTTGCCTGCCTGAGGGCACAATGGACAGATATATGGAAGGTGTTTGGTATGTTGAAAGCACCCAAAACATTTGCACGGTTTTATCTAAAATTGGGTTGGGAATTTCTGGTGAATCACATCAAAACTTTGGGCTTAGGGATGGGGGCAAGTAACAAAATTTCTTCTGAAAGATTTTATTTTCTATTAGAAAATGAATGCCATTTATGTCTCACTTGGTAACTAAAGCTTTCACATACTAAGACTAAGTCAGCTCTTCTTTCAATTATCTAATTTATTATCCAAACATGTGCTCTAAGTTTTGATTCAGAAAGTGTAGTTCCTTAATGCCCCCCTTTGCCTAATAGAAGTCATGAGTTAGAGATGTCCATTTCACAAAGCGTAAGTCATTCTTTGAAGGAAATTACACTTGACTTAGCCTGAGCTCACACCTGGCATTCCTGAGCTTCACTCCAAATACAGAACTATAGAAAAGGGTTTGAATTCATATACAGAATTCTGAAAGACATTCTATCTGGAGTCTGCCTCTGGGAATGAAGAGCTTGCAATTAAGCCTCTGCCTCTGAATTGTTAGCCCAGATAATCTGCAATCACTAAACCTGGGCAAGCAAATTTTCTGTTCCCTGGGGCCACAAGGTACCTGGTCTAAGCCTCTACCTAAGCTGCCCATTAGTTCATCCAACAAGCACGTATCGACCTCCTAGTGCCCAGAACTTGTTTCCTACAAACTTGTTCTGTCTGTTCTTTCCTTGTGGATAGCTCCTTTCTTCTCTTGATACAAACTATCACCACTCAGAAAAAGTGAACAGACGCCTCCTCAGAATGTTTTCTTTCTCCTTTTAGTTCTCATTCTCAAGATCTGGTCTCTACAGACATCTCCTGGTTATGTTTTATAGTTCTCAGTATTTAAAAATTGCATGCCAGGGAGCCTCTTTTGATAAGATTCAGAATGTTTGTAGTAAAGAGTACCCACATTCCTGTTCTCCTTTGGTAGCCTTTCTACCTACCCATACCAAAGATCAGTTAAAGAGAAATACTAGGCCACTGCAGCTCACGCTAATTGTCCCTTATAACCTATAGCACTTATTATCTCAGTCTTTCATTTTCCAACTTGAATGTACAGGATTGCCATCTACCTCACTCATACTGTATTTATCCAACCCCTTCTATGAACAAGGCACTGTTTTAGGCCCCTGAGGGAGATGAAGACATGAACAAAACACAGTTCCCATCATTAACTAACTACCTCCTAGATCCCTGGTACTAGGATAAGCTCTAGGATACAGTGGTTGGCAAAAACAGGCATGGCCCTTCCCCTCATGAAACTTACTAGTGAGGGAGGCAGACGGGGAGCATGTGTATTGTGTTCACTACTGTATATCACAAGGCACATAGTCAGTACTCAATAAATATTTGTTGAGTGAAAGCAAATGACCATATATATCATGATACATTGTGAGGTGCTATGAATTGAGGAAAACGGGAAACAGTGATAGCATAATAGGGTAGATAGAGACAAAAGGCTGCCAGGGAATGCCTGTCTGATTAAGTGACACAACAAGACCTGAAGGATGGGGACTAGCCAGCTATATGCTAACACTGGAGATGGGAGCATTCTAGCGGAGGGAGCAGTATGGGTAAAGTATGCTTGGGGAGAGGGAATAGCAGGGTAAAGTCTCTGAGGTAAGTAAGAGCTCGACATGTGTCCATAGGAAGACTACAGTGAGCCAGGGGGAAAGTGGTATATGAAGAGGGGTTGCAAGAGACAAAGTATAAGTAGGCAGGGGCCTTGCAGGATACTGTAAGCAGTTTGGATTTTATTCTAAGTGTCAATGAGAAGTCATTTAAGGGCTTCAGGCAGGGGGGTCACATGATCTATTACTTTAAAAAAAAAATCACTGTCTATAGACAACTGTAGGAACAAGAGTAGAAGCAAGGACTCCAGCTAGGAGTTATAATAACCCATGGGAGATCATGGCAGTTTGGACTAAGGTAGCTGTAGTAAAAGTGAGGAGAGTCAAGACACACTTTGGAAGTAGAACTGACAGACTTGTTGACAGACTGGATGTAGGGAGTGAGAGAAGAGGAAAATTAGGGATAACTTCCAGGTTTCTAGCTTAAACAACTGGATGGGTGGAGGTGCCATTATCTAAGATGAGGAAAACTGGGAGAAAGGGAACAGCCCCAGGGTGTATCACTGCTTATTTTTAATGAGGCATGTTAAGTGTACATGTCAAGTAGGCAGCTGAATATTTGAATCTAGAGCTTTCTAATAGGGAAGACAGGACAAGGATGTTTGTGATAAAAGCCTTGAAAACTTAAATGTTCACAGAGAAATTTTTTGTCTAGCTGGGTTAATCAGAGAAGTTTGCAGGAAAAAGTTGGCATTTGAGCCAAAGGAAAGATGATGAGGGAAAGCATTGCAGCTAAAGGGAATGAAATTGCAAAGATGGAGATGGGAGAAATCTTAAAAGCATGTTCAGAAACTGGAAAATTGTTCAGTTTAGATGGAATGTGGCTTGTATCCGGAATGTTTCAAGATGACTCTAGAAAGGATGACTGAAGCCAGATCACAAAGGGCTTTGAGCACCATCCTAGGGAATTTGTATTGTACTCGGTGGGCAATTGGGAACACTAGCAAGTCTTTAAGCAGAGGCATGACCTGACGAAGTTGTTAAAAAACAAAATTTGGTGACACTGAGTAGGGCGGATCGAGGAGGGAGAACAGGAGGCAAGGGAGGCCATCTAAGAATTTATTTAGATAATCAAGGCATGAGGTAACAAGTTATTTAGGTAATAACCTAAATGCTTATCATGGCAATAGGAAGTTAAAGGGCAAATGTGGGAGACATTTCAAAGGGGAATTATGATTATGTTAACCTAACAGGAGAGCCAGGAGGAGGCACCTGCTTTTTTCTTCTCAATGTCTTTTGCCTCCACACTAGATCGTAACCTCTGGTAAGGCTGGGAGATATTTTTCAATCTTTCCACAGTGGGATTTAACACTATCAAGGAGATCTCATGCTGGTATGGCTTCTTAGTAAATAGGAAACAAAGAGGTGGCTCTGGTATTGAAGTGAATGGACTCACACAGACAGTGGTGCTGGAAAAAGCAGTGTGGGGTCAGGTCCACAAACCAGGGAATGGGCTGAGAGTAAGCACTAGGAAAGATGAGTTCAAATTTCCTACCTTCTTCCCTTTAAAGCCTCATTGCCTGCCCTCCTTCCTACTCAGTCCCCTCATTCACCCAACAAACACTCACACAGGCAGAACCTTCAATGCTCTGAATTTTTCCTTCCAGCAGACTCCCATCCATCTGTGTGAAATCTCACCCACTCACAGCCCCCATCTGATGAATAAGTCTCACTGAGAGAATGTCGGAATGTGCTACTCTTCCCTCGGTACTATTTACATTTAGACAACTGCGGCCTTGACTATCATAATCCAAATGTCTAACATGAAAATTAATCATATGGCAAGCTAGAGCTGGGGTGAGGTGGAAGGTAAGGGGGCAGGGGGTATCTTTAAGTACTCATTCTAATGATGAAGCCTGGATTTGGCCTCCCCTCATTCCCTGCAGTCTCACTTGGGCTATGTACTATGAGCCCCCTTTCGAAGGAGTTAAAATTAATTTGGAAAAGTGTTCTGAAGTAACTCTGTGGAGGAGAAACAGAATGAATATCCAAGACATTTCCTCTGGACTAGCTAATCCTTTTGCCACTGCTTGATCTCACCTTCCTTTGATTGTTTCTCCTCTACTTCCTACTTTTTACTGTTGGTATATTTTTATGTGTTCATTATTCAATGTCTTTTGAAAAGTACCCTGAACTCTTTGGAGAGTATGTGCTATGTAAACACAATAAAGAAATGAATACAATGTCTCCTTTTACAAGAGAATAAGTTTTACTATTTCTGATAGTACGAAGTTTACCCCTCACTCAGCACTAGCCTGAAGAGTAAGTAGGTATATTCTGAGGGACATCAGATTCCACTCTAAAGTACTTCCCTAACTACCTGAAATCCCATTAATTTGATGACAAATATATTTTTTAATTTGAGCCTTATAGGTTTTTCAAGAATCCCTTATTAAAATGCGAATACCAAAGCAGGCGAACAGATCATGATATAACCTTAGTCCCCTTTATATTAACCCACCACTTCTATCGAACACATTTTTCACATTCCAAATTTTTCCATGCCTTTGTTTATGCTTTTCTTCTTCCAGAGGTAATGCTAAATTTAATATAAATTAGAAATATAACATTACCTTATATTTTCACATAATCTCTCATTTGATATTCAAATCCAAGCCTACTTGATCTTTTTAAAAACAATTTATTTTTTTCCAATGTAAGAATAACAAGTTTAATATTGAAAATCTGAAAAAGGCAGGAAGATAGGAAGAAGAAAAATATCAACCATAGTCCTACCACCTAAAGAACACTCACTGACAGTGTGGCCATGCTCATTCTTTAAGCCTTAATTTAGGTCCCATTTCTGGTGTGGTGCCTTCCTTGAACTTCCTCCCCCAGATCTTCCATGTCATATCTGTACCACTCAGTTGTACATATCATACACTTTTGTGTATAATGTGATGTATGTCTTATGTTTCCAACGAGATTGTTACATCTTCGAAGGCTGCAAACATGAGTTGTACTTGTTAGCTTACCCCAAAATAATACCTGGTATACCGGACCCAATATCTGCTGATTGATCTAACCTAAATGAATACAAACCATTTCAGAAAAAGATATACAATAGACCACATATCCAGGTCATGAAAATTAAAGCTTTCAGGTCACCTAGCTTAGTGACTATTGCTTTTCTGACCCTAGACTCTTGAAAGCCTATTTAAACTGGCCTCTTTCTCCACACCAAAACTGATAAAAAGGAGACTGATTATGAGCCAGGATTTACACAGAGATTCTCTATATAAGGCATAAAGGTGAGGGTGAGAGAGAGAGAGAGAGAGAGAGAGAGAGAGAGAGAGAGACGTGAGGGAGGGAGAGAAAAGAGAACAGACAGAAGATAAGAGAAGAGAAGGGTATACAGTCTGGTGCTCAATCCAGTATGTGATTTGCCTCCAGCACCGTGTACAGGATCCCATCCACTTGTTCTGAGTCATACCCGATCTCACGAAGCTCCAAGTGAGGGAGGACAGAAGTAAGGAGATAGCTGACGTGGATACGTAGCCGCGTAAGCTTTGCCAAAGCCCTGTATGAAGGAGTGAGGGGGCAGGAGAAGAGATGACATGAAGTCATTAACCAACAGAATAAAATGAAGCCCCTTCAAAATGGAACCACATTTCTCAACAGTTATGTTTTCATTAGCTAGAAAGAAGAAAGCACAACGCCACCAAGCACAGGGAGACTGGCTGCAGCTTTCTAAGAAGTAATTACTCAATTCTTGGTGGCCTGTGAATTAAGGCTTCCTCCTTTGTCTACGGCCAGTAAGTGGGGGTCCTAAGGGATGCTTCCCATTAGCACTCACAAGCTGATAACTAAACCCTAGTAATTAACCTTTCTAGGTCATCTCCCTCTGGGGTCCGGTAGGAGACCTGAGCCTTCTGCAGCATTTCCAGGTGTGTCTCTGTTTCCTTCAGTTTCTCTTTTAACTCTTGCTTTTCCTCTTTGGTTCTTTCCAGCTCAGCTTTCAGAATCTGGAATTCAGCTTGGCGATAACCCATGTGTTTCTTGCTCCAGTACAAGCCTTCCGCCTCCTGGGTACTGTAGATCACCAATTCATGTTGGACTTTCTTGAATTCAGACTGCCAGTGATTCCTCTCCTGTTCCAGCTCCTCCACCTGCAGTCCAAGAAACAGAAATTCAATGACCCCACAAAAGAGCACGCCAAAAACCGTTCCTCATATGGTCATCCTGTGATTCCACTATACATATTCCTCTACTTATGGGCCTTTTCAATACCCTAAAATGGGCAGGAAGCCTACTACAGTTACTCTATCTGAAACACACCACAGAATAGTTCAGGGGCATATTTTATTTAAAGGCCTCAGAACATTAAATAATCAGGGCACCAATGTCCCGCTCCCTTGGTTACTATGGTCTCTTATTCCTAGTGGTGAGGTATTACCCTAACCTTTTGCTGGAACAAATTCCTTTCAGCCAAAACACGTTCCAATTTTTCTGTGGTTCTCTTCAATTCTTCCAGCTCTCTCTGGTTCTTCAACTTTGGTGTATTATGACCTTCGCTCTCCTCATAGCCTCTTGCTTTCTCCCCAATGGCTGCAGCAGGGATTGCAGCAGAGGCCACAGAATAAGGCACTGGGTTCCAGGATTCAACTGCTTTTCGTCTCTCAGCAAGCTCCTCTCTGTTAAAAGGGATCAGCTGAATGGGAGCTCCTGAATCTCTAACACCTTTGGCAACACCCACAACAGCTACAAAAGGTCCCTTGTTGACTTCTTCTTTGTTTATGGTTGTGCTACCTCTGTTAGATTCTTCTGCCACCAATCTTGGCATCTGATCTTCTAATTCTTCAGGAAGCAGGGACCCCTGGCGTTGGTCTTTGGCCCCTGGATACAGAATTGAAACCTCCCTATTCTGACCTGTATTCTTGCTTGCTTCTGGGTATTCTGGGAAAAGGTATGGTGGTGTACTTCTCTCAGAACTCGATTTATCATGGCTGTTCTCCCCTTCTGGGTAGGCAACAGGTGCTTCTACCCTCCTGTAAGGAGCAGGCATGGAATAATCTAGAGAAGGTGTTGTCATCTCATTCTGGAGCCTTCTTCGTTTCTCCACCGGTTCTTCACCTAGGATCCATTTGTACTTACTGCAAGAAGAGGAAATTAAATTGTAAGCTGTCAGAGTACAAGTTAAGTATTTTCTGATCCTATGGAGCCCCAACTCAAACTTCCCATATTCAGACTGACTCTAGATGTTACCCACAGACAAGTCCAGGTTAGGGATACAACTTTACCCACAAGCCTCAACCATTTCACTAGTGCGACTGGTATTAACGGAGAGGTGAAGTTGAAAGGTGTGACTGGGCAGCATCTGGATATAATAGGACTAGGTTGACCTTGGTAAGAATTCTAAAAATAAGATTGCGACCAGCCTGACTTAGAAGTATCCTAAAGATGCAAGTCAAGAGGGAAGACAAAGAAAAAACACATACCCCAAATCCCCTAACACAAGAATGGAATAAAAAGGCCATAAAAAGCCTAGAAGAGTATGCAGAGAACAGTGCCAACTCATTAATTTTACAGCATCACAAATGCCTTCCCGTATCAAAGACTTATGCACATTTTTTTATATTGCAGCAGAACCACACAATTCTTTCACCAGCCCACTGGATTGTGGCTATTGCCCATAGTTCACTTGTAAAAGTTAATTGAATCACAGGGGCCTAGTCAGAAACAAAGAAAGTGAATCAGCCAATTCAAGTCATTTTCCCCTTGTGACAAAGAATTCCCGTGCTCAAGCACAAGCAGACACTCCCTGAGTTGTGCAGGAAAGCCCATGATGATGACCTTAAATCATCTTCCATGTTTGGCTGCTGTATGCACTAGGGGTTGAAGAACTAATGAAACAACTGGCACCAGAGAAATCCATAGGCAATTTTTAATCATGCAGCAGGGTGGGAACCCCATTTTTATCCTTACAACTATTCTGTCCTCCTTCTGGATAACCAAGACATTTCAAGATAAAATCAACTTTCAAATTTTCAATGAGAAAGCATCAGACATATGATTTGCCACCTCATAGTACCTCAAGGTTGCCCATATTTCTCTGTATTTTTTGAGAACACCGGTAAGACAAACCAAACTGTAGTTTCTTATAGTGCCCATATGTTCTTCAGAAATACAACTGATCTGCCATCTTAATAGATCTTGTCGTGTTAGCCTTAGGTAAAAGCAAAAGGACTTAGGAGCTATGTAAGAATAACTGTATCCATCTTTGAACACGTATAAGGTCTACTACTGATGGCCCAGTCAGCTGTGGTACTGAAGAAGACAGTAAAACAATCAGTTGGCAGGTACAAAGGAAAAGTATATAATACTAAATAGCAACAACCAAGCCTTGTGAAAAGCAATTACAGTCATATTATCTGCCTTCTCTTCGTTTTCCCACCTCTAAGGGTTCTGTCCTTAACTATCTTCTCTTCTGACCCTGTATTTCTTCTCCTTTGTAATCTTATACAACCTCTTGGCTACAATCTCTGGGCAACAACTCCCATATTCTCCCAAACCCTGACCCCCAGTATTGAATTTCCAACTGCCTGTCACACATTTCTTCCTGGAGGTCCCACTGGTATCTCAAACTCAGTATGTATAAAACCAACCTTTCATTTTCACCTTCAAACCTGCTCCTTTTCCCTATGTTTCCTATTTGTGTTACAACAGCACCAAACTGTCACTAATATTTATACGGTAGGTTTATACATTATCAATACTCAAGTTCAAGCTCCCACTACCTTTCCTGGACTACTGCAATGGCTTCCTCCTGTCTCCAGTCTCCCCTTCTCTTACCTCCAGATCACTGTCCCAAGCTAATCTTCCTAAAGCATTGCTTTGATTATGCTACTCCTCTATTCAAAATCTTTATTTATTGCTCCCCACAACATAAAAGCTTAAATGTCTTAGCTCACTATTGAAGCTTTTCCATGCCAAAACATAGTAAACATTTACTGAGCACTTACTCTGTACCAGATCATGTAAGAAGTGCTTAACATGTATTGCCTCATCTAATTCTCCCAATAAACATGAGGCAGGTGGGATTATTATCTCCACTGTTTTAAGGGGATGCTCAGGAAGAAGTTAACTTTCTCAAGGTGGCTAGTAAGTATCAGAGCTGGGACAGAATTTGGCCCCAGCTTTATCTCTCATTACTCCCTTCACAAACATCAGTCAAACTGGATGCCTTTTGACTGGAGTGCCCTTCTTCTACCCAACACTGCATGCATAAATCCAACTCAAATGCTACTTCTGAATTCCTATAGCACTTCAAGCACTCTTATTAAAATGCATCACTTACTACTTTGTGTGTGTGTGTGTGTGTGTGTGTGTGTGTGTGTGTGTGTGTGTCCTAGGTACCTTACAAAAGCATAAAAGTATAAGTTCCTACACAGAAGGGAGCTTAATTAACCATGCTAGATGGGGAGGAGGGAACAAAACTTTCACATAAGAGGCAACCAAAAAAAGAACTATTATGTGAATGAGGGAAAATAACTAGATTTTACTTATTGGTTCTATACTTCTCCAGAAAGTCTGGCAAGTCCTTTTAGGAATCAATTCTCATACCAGACTTGTATTCACTCATTGAGTAGAGATTAATTATGGGTTTTATATACTAGAAATTCTCCAACTACACAGTTTCCTCTTATTTTCTTTCTGCCCTTTGTCATATTCCTCCATTGTCTGTCAATTCATGGTGTATTTTTGGTTTTCTCCTTTAAGTATTTTACATTTTCTGACATACACCATGTTTCTGCTCCTTCAAAATGCTTTCTCAGAGGCTTCTGTAATTAACCACTATCAGTTTTGTATTATTTCACTAACCAAGACAGAGAATGATACATTCAAATTAATATATTTCATTTTTTACTCACTCATTTCATAAATGTTTCCTACTATGTTTAAGGAACTATGATAGGCAAGAATAAGGACCAAAAATCACGGCCCTGTAATAGTGTATATATACTCCTTCCAGATGATGTATTTTTCAACATCTTTACTGGGATAGAAATCTATAAATTCACTTAAGGTATACAATTCAACAATTTTAGTATTCTCACAGAGTTGTGTAACCATCACCACAATCTAAGTTGTGAAAATATGCACCACCCCGCAAGAAACCTCCTACACATCAGCAGTTACTCCCCATACCCCCACTGGGACACTACTCTACTTTCTGTCTCTGTAGATTTGCCTATTCTAGGCATTTAATATAAATGGAATAATAAAACATATGGCTTTTTTAAACTCGCTTCTTTCACCTAAATGGAATAAAACATATGATTTTTAACTTGCTTCTTTCATTTAACACAATGTTTTCAAGTTTCATCCATGTTGTAGCACATAATCAGTATTTCATTCCTTTTCATAGCTAAATAATAGTCCATTGTATGAATAGGCCACATTTTATATCCATTCATCAGTTGATAGTTATTTAAATTGCATCCACTTTTTGGCTACCATAAATGATGCTGCTATGAACATTAGCATACAAGTTTTTATATAGATACGTTTTCCGTTTTCTTGGGTATAAACTTAGGTGTGGCATTACTGAGTCATATGGCATTCTGTTTAACATTTTGTGAAACTATTGGAATGTTTTCCAAAGCAGCTGTAACATTTTGCATTTATACCAGCAAGTGATCCTCCCACCTCAGCCTTCCAAGTAGCTGGAACTACAGGCATACACGCCCAGCTAATTTTTGTATTTTCTGTAGAGACAGGGTCTTCCTATGTTGCCCAGGCTGGTCTTGAACTGCTGGGCTCAAATGATCCTCCCGTCTCAGCCTCCCAAAGTGCTGGGATTACAGGTATGAGCCACCATGCCCAGCTTCTTTCTTCAATTTTAATATAAGCATCTAAAAATATAATTTTCCCTCTGAGTATTTCTTTAGCTTCAACCCATAGTTTCCATATGTTTTGTTTTAATTTTCATATTTTCAATATATTTTTACATTTCCAATGTGATTTTTTTTCTTCTACCCATTTATTTTGGAAATTAAGACGTGTCATTTAATTTCCATATATTTGTGCATTTTCCAAATTTCCTTAGGTTGTTGATTTCTAATTTAATTATATTGCGATTGGAGAACATCCTTTGTATGATTGTCAATATTTTTAAATTCACTGAGGTTTGTTTTACAACCTAACATACAGTCTGTCTATCCTGGAGAATATTTCACGTGCATTTGAGAAGAATACATACTATGTTGTTGCTGGGTGAAGTTTTCTGTATGTATGTCAGGTCTGGTTGGTTCAGAATGTTCTTCAAGTCTTCTAGTTCCTTGTTGATCTTCCTAGTTGTTGTATCCGTTATTGAAAGTAGGGCATTGAAGTCTCCAACTATTATTGTTGAATTGTCTATTTCTCTCTACAATTCTGTCTGTTTTTGCTTTGTGTATTTCTGGGGCTCTGTAGTTAGGTATATATATATATACCTGTAGTTAATCTATATATATATATTATATATATATATATATATAATATATATATATATAAAACACACTTTAGATGCAAAGATACAGATAGGTTGGAAGTAAAAGGATTGAAAAAGATTCAACATGCAAACATGGTTATACTAATATCAGACAAGATAGACTTTTAAATAAAAAATGTTACTGGATATAAAGAGGGACCTTTCATAATGATAAAGTCCATCAGGAAGATGTAATAAGTACACTCACATATGGACCTAACTACAGAGCCCCAGAAATACACAAAGCAAAAACAGACAGAACTGTAGAGAGAAACAGACAATTCAACAATAATAGTTGGAGACTTCAATGCCCTACTTT
Source organism: Homo sapiens (assembly GCF_000001405.40). Classification (NCBI taxonomy): domain Eukaryota; kingdom Metazoa; phylum Chordata; class Mammalia; order Primates; family Hominidae; genus Homo; species Homo sapiens. The sequence goes on from NC_000023.11 coordinate 106,947,904, forward strand.
CAATAATGGATACAACAACTAGATATATATAAAATCTGATATCTGTCTTTTGATTGGATTGCTTAATCCAGTCACATTTTCTGTTACTGATAAGATAAAATTTACATCTGCTATTTAGTTTTTTAATTTTCTACAAGTGTCACGCCTTCTTTGTTCCTTTGACCCATCTTTATTTTTCCTCTTTTTATATCATGTATTTTCTAGTATAACATTCACGAATCTAATAATACATTGTTATAATTATTACTTTATGCAATGTTACATCTTCCAAGGAAGCCAAGAGAAGAAAGCAGAGCAAGCACATATTTACAGAGTTTGTTTCATTAACCTTTTTATTTTCCATTTTTTAATTGTCATTTCAGACTGTAGATCTGAGTTACTATCTGGCGTCATTTCCTTACTCCAATGTAACTTTATTCCCATCCACCTCCTTTGTGCTATTTTTTGTCAAATATTTTACATTTGTATATGTTATAAGCACAACGATAAATCAATATATATATATGCAATTATATACAAATACATATTGCTTTATGTTATTTAAATTGGTTAAGAATAGAAAGAGGAAGAAATATTCTATTGTTTTGTGCTCTTTAATTAACTACACAGTTACTTTTATAAGCACTCTTTGCTTTTTCATGTGAATTCAGATTACTGTCTGATATTGCTTGCTTTCATCCTAAAAAAATCTCTCTAGTATTTCTTGTAAGGCAGGTCTGCTGGCAACAAATTCCTTCAGCTTTTATTTATCTGGCAATGTATTTAGTTCACCTTTATTTCCTAAAGGTAATTTTATTGTATTTAAGATACTTGGTTGTCAGTCTTTCATTCAGTCCTTTGAATACGTCATCACGCTGCCTTCTTGTTCCCATTTTTTTCTCATGAGAAGTCATCAACTTTAATTTTCTTGGGATTCTCTTGTACATGATGAATCATTTTCTCTTTGCTTTTGGCTTTCAATATTTGCACTATGATGTGTCTGGCAATGAATCTCCGTATTTATCCTATTTTGAGTTTGCTGAGCTTCCTAGATGTATACATTAATGTTTTTCATCAACTTTTGGGAAGTTTTTAGCCATGATTTCTTGAAATATTTTTTCTACTTCATTTTCTCTCTATTCTTCTATTATGCATATGTTGGTGCATTTCATGGCGTTCCACATTTCTCTGAAGCTCTGTTCATTTTTCTTTTCCACTGTTCTTCAAATTGCATAATCTATAACTTATCTATCTTCAAGTTTTTTTATTCTTTATTCTTCCAACTCTAATGTGCTGTTGAGTCCCTTTAAAATTTTTTTCATATCAGTTATTATACCTTGCACCTTCAGAATTTCCATTTGATTCTTTTTATAGGTTCTGTCCATTATTAATATTCTCTACTTTAATTCTTTAGACATGGTCTCCTTTAGTTCTTTGAATGTGTTTACAACAGCTGCATTGAAGTATTTGTCTGATAAATCCAATATCTGAATCTCTTCAAGAGCAGTTTCTATTGCTGTTCCTCCCCACCCTCTGCTCCCATGTAGAGGTCACACTTCCCTGTTTCTCTTCATGTTTCATAATTTTTGTTGACAACTGGACATTTTAGATAATATAGCAATTCTGGACACTGATCTCCCCTTCCCTATGACACTGATGTTGTTGTTTGCTTGGTTGTTTATTTAGTGACTTCGCTGAACTGACTCTATGCAGTCCATTTCCCCTGTATTATGCAGCCTCTGATGTACTTGTTCAGATTTTTTTTCTTGATTTTAATCTTTCACCTGGCAACCTAGTTCATACCTGGTTTGGCACAGGCCACTTATTAGTTAAAGGTTGTGCTTAAGTCCCTTCAGCTGGTTAGATTTTTACCCTTTTCCATTGAGTGTGTGCGAGACTTGGAGGTTACTACCAAAGTTCAAGAGTATGCTTCTGTCCCACATTCAGCCAGGTACTAATAGCTTAGATTTTCCCTCTTCAATCACCCTGGAGGTAGCATAGCATTGAACATGTACACAGTCTCCTAGATTGCCAAGGATGTATGTGATTTCATTTTTAAGCCTGGTTCCCAGGAGGTGCCCCTGGGTCAGAGTAACATCGTTCAGCCAGTGGTTGGTTAGAGGTTGTGCTTAAACCCCTAGTGCCAGTGAGGCTCCTCTTCTTTACTGTTTCATCTGTGTTCAGCTTGAGGACGGCTTTCAAGTCCACCTTAGGTCCTGCTCTGATTGCTTCTGAGTGGGTGTAGCCCTGTGCTTATACACAGCCTTTCTGACACCCAAGACTATGATCCGAAGAGGGCTCTTGACTGTATTTCCCTGATTCTCTCTGTTACCAAACTTATGATCGCTTGCACATTTTGCTTGCTGAAACTTGTCATGGAGTTATAATTGCCCTCATAATTGTTCTCCACCAAGATCTCCATTATTTTTGACAATGCCCCTTAGTCACAGAATTCTTCATGTTCTGCTCCACATAAAGTCAATTCCTTTAGGTAGAGCTGTGGCATTCCTCATCCTTAAGGCCTGCCTCTCTCTTTAAGCAGAATCTCTGGCACAGTGTGCAAGAACTAGAGACAACAACAGTAACATACTTCTCCCAGAGTAAAATCCCTTCTTTATGAATGGGTACTGGGGTAATTTTTGGCTTACTTCTTCCAGCATAGACTTCTGACCTATGAGCAAGCTCGGGTAGGAACAATAGGGGCATGGTATTACTAACTTGCTGTTCCTTTGTGAGTGCTCCCACCCTATAAGTGAGGGCTTTGTTGGGGAAGAGAAGGCTGGGAGAAGAGAGACCCAGTCTTCGTGGATCTGCCTGGAATAGAGCTTCTACAAAACAGAACTGGAGAGGAGATGAGAAAAGCCAGAGGCCTGCTCCTCCCAGGTAAAACCATAGCTCTAGACAATGAGCTAGGGGATGAGGGAGCCCCCATCTTCTAGACCACACCCACATGGATTAGAATTCCTTTGAGTAGTTTTCATAAAATAGAGCTTGGAGTGGGACAGCTTGTGGTTCAAATGCCACTGACTCTTGCTGTTCTTCCTGAGATTTAGAAGATTTCTTGAATATTTCTCCCTTTGCTGTGTGCCCCTAGGACACTATCCAGAAACACTGATTTTTTTTAAATATATTTTTTCAAGTTAAACAGTTATTTATTGGTGACAGAGTCCACTATGCTCCTCATTTCTCCATTCTGGAAGTTGCTTCCCTAGATCATATTTTTAAATGTTAATACTGGCCCCTGAATCAATCTTATTCATTTGCAAAATTGTTCATCTATTTCTACCCCTTGTTTGTTATTTCAAGTATTCCTTTAGACACAGTAGAATGTCTCTACTTCTCTCCCTCCACTGTTAACAGTGCAATTCAGAATTTGTTAACCTTTAAAAATATGAACTAATTAGCCTTTGACATATAGCTTACTCAAATCTAAATATCTAAATAAATTACAGCCACTAATTCTTGCCTTCATTCAAATGCTTACGGTTACTTTAGATCTTTCTTTTTTTTTGAGACAGGGTCTTGCTCTGTTGCCCAGACTAGAGCACAGTTGCGCAATCACAGCTGGCTCACTGCAGCCTATGCTCAAGCGATCCTCCCACCTCAGCCTCCAGAGTAGCTGGGACCACAGGCGCACGTCACCACACCTGGCTAATTTTTTATTATTTGTAGAGAAGAGGTCTCACTGTGTTGCCCAGGCTAGTCTCGAACTCCTGGGCTCAAGCAACCCTCCTGTCTCAGCCTCCCAAGTGCTGGTATAAGAGGCGTGAGGTACTGCACCCGGCCACTTTAAATCTTATTTTGTATCACTCATAAGAGAACTATACATATTTAGCCAGGCGCAGTGGCTCACACCTGTAATCCCAGCACTTTGGGAGGCCAAGGCGGGTGGATCACGAGGTCAGGAGTTTGAAACCAGCCTGACCAACATGGTGAAACCCTGTCTCTACTAAAAATACAAAAATTAGCCGGGCGTGGTGGCACGCGCCTGTAATCCCAGCTACTCAGGAGGCTGAGGCAGGATAATCGCTTGAACTCGGGAGGTGGAGGTTGCAGTGAGCCGAGATTGCGCCACTGCACTCCAGCCTGGGTGACAGAGCGAGACTCTGCCGCAAAAAAAAAAAAAAAAAAAAAAAAAAAAAAGGAAAGAAAACTATATGCACTTTATATGTAAATATTGGGGATACTTACATATCAAATTTTGACTACTCAAACCTCCTTCATCTTTGATCTTGTCACTACCCTAGAACAGGGCCTTTCATAAAGTAGGCACTCAAATACAGTCGTGCATTACTTAATGATGGGCATACGCTCTGAGAAATCCATTGTTAGACAATTTCCTCATCGTGCAAACATCATAGAGTATCCTTACACAAACCCAGATGGTATAGCCTACTATACACCTAGGCAATAGCCTATTGCTCCTAGGCTATAAACCTGTACAGCATGTGACTGTAGTGAATACTATAGGCAACTGTAACAAAATGGTAAGTATTTGCATATCAAATATATCTAAATATACAAAAGGTACAGTAAAAATACAGTATTGTAAGTTTATGGGATAACTGTTGTGTATGTGTTCTGTTATTGACCAAGATGTCATTATGCGGCACGATTATACATGTAGGATGAACAAATAGAAAGGGATTATTTCCTTTAACAGAAATAAGCTGTCTTCCCCAAAAAGGTTATACCTGCTTACATACTGGTGGAACCTATTCTTTATTGCAGGTCCTCTCCTCCCCTTGCTAGATTTGTGGGACTCACAAAGCTGTTTCCAGTGACACCTGTGGCGCCCCTGCTAAACTACCCACTAGAACTTAAAAGTTTTCTTGGATACTGTAGGCTTTATTTTATCTGGAGTTAGTAAGCTGAACTACATGACCCAAGGACCCTTATCAGCTTCCTATGCTGATAATAACAGAAGACCTTTGTAACTCTTGATTAAACCTTAATGTTTTATCAGAAATCCTATATATTTTACTAGACTCTTGAGTAACTCCATTTTCCCCCATTAAAAGGTAGTCTCAGCCCAATCAATGTGATTCCCTCGAAAAGTGTAACTTGAAATGACACAATCATCATTTACTGATCTTATGTAACATATATGACATTAGCAACAGCAACTATCACATACCTCTTATGTTTCTCTTTCTCTTGAAATAATTTTATTCTCAATAAATTAAAATTACATATGAATGGTCAATGTACTTTACCTGTCCTCTACAGCCAAAACCTCACTCTCGATATAGCAATCCATAAAGACTCATACAAAAATTCCAATAGAGACTGATGAAGTATGCCACCCAATGGAAGTTCTATTGTACTGCATTCATAAAATAAGTATATAAATTAGCATTTGTAATCCCCTTGAGGTTACCAAAAACCACTACAGGGTTATAAAAGAAACACTGGAAAAAAAGGAAAAGTGGTCATAGTAAGGAAGGGACAGTCTTCAAAAGCAAAGACACCTGACACTCCAGCAGCAATGGTGATATATGAGCATCTCCAGGAGACCAGGGTAAAAAGGTAACAATGTGCTTCAAAAACACTTAGCATTTACAGTGCACCCCTCCCAACCTAAAATGGGAGTTGGAAAAGTATGCATGGAAACGGTGTAATTAGGCTCAAGCTCCTGAGACTAAGGCTGGATTCTATTTCTTATCCCGTTGCTACAAAATTCAATCTTAGAAATTGCTTCTTAAATATGACTCAGATTCAACCATTACTTATTGAGTACCTACTATATTCCAAGGCACCGTTCTATTGGTTTTTTGTTTTTTTTTTAAGAGATGAGATTTCGCTGTGTTGTCCAGGCTGGTCTTGAACTCAGAAACACAGAGAAAAACAAACCAACCAACCAGGAGTCACTTTATCCTATTATGTATTCCACTGACTATTCTACAGTATGTTAAGGAGATATCCAAAGTGAAAATAGTCACTAAAAAGTTCACTTCCCGGCTGGGTGTGGTGGCTCATGCCTGTAATCCTGGCACTTTGGGAGGCCAAGGCGGGTGAATCACCTGAGGTCGGGAGTTCGAGACCAGCCTGACCAACATGGAGAAACTCCGTCTCTACTAAAAATACAAAATTAGCCAGGTGTGGTGGTGCATGCCTGTAATCCTAGCTACTCCAGAGGCTGAGGCAAGAGAATCGCTTGAACCCGGGACGGGGAGGTTGCAGTGAGCCAAGATCACGCCATTGGACTCCAGCCTGGGCAACAAGAGCGAAACATAATAGTCAGATTACTGATGAACATAGACATTTCTACTATTAGAGAGCAACCTTGTCCCTGCCCTATATGGCTTGGCCCTGCAAGAGTGAGAAGCAGAATAGAGAAGAGAAAGCAAGGAGTCATAATTAGGAGTACTGAGTTCAGTCCCATGGGAGTAAAGGGGCAGTCATATCCTTCAGTGCTTCAAATACTCCTGATATCTAAGAAAAAGAACAGTTATGCTTCTTCTTGTTATGAAGACACAAAATAACACTGATGAGGTGCTAGAAGGTGAACAAGTAAAGTCCAATGCTAAACTTATACTAATAATTTATTCTAGGAAACAACAAATGATAAAGCTTACCTAATGGCACAAATATCTAATAGTTATTTTTACATGTGGTCAACATGTGCTAGGCCTATGAGGCCCAAGAGAACTTCAATATCCATATACTGAAGAAAAGGAACAATGCTTATCATTATAACATTACCTTATTTGTGTAGTATTTTACACTTTTCAAATTTTGTCTATTATTTCACTTGCACAATTCCCAATATAATGTGAATACATGATACATAAAAAGAGTATCAGCAAATGATCACCTCAAAATTATAGACCTGATACAGCAGTTATAATACTGAAAAATTGGAGGTACATGCAACACACAATTCTATCAACTTAAAATTGTGTTTCTACTTCTGAATTCCATGCTAGGCCTTAGAAAAAACAGAAACAAGGTAAAACATACCAACTTACTCTACAGGAAAACAGACTCTAAAGCTTACTATTGACAAGAGATCATGCTTTTTAGTCACCTGGAAAACTGTAAAACACTGGAATCCAGAGGCTTAAGTTGAAGAGATGGTGATCTGCTTTCTTCTCCACCAGAAGGAAGCACACTAGGGCTATGAATTCCCTCATATCCAATTGTCTTGTTATTCAATCCAGCCATTTCTTGAACAGTAAGGATCTTTGGTGGATTACTGAATACCTATAAAAGACAGAAATGATTTGTAAAAGTCTCAAATTCAAACCAAATGCCAAAGGATGAGTCAATCCTTCTGATGCTAGGAAAGAATGCTTGGCCAAATAAAAAGAAACTGTTTCCTACACAAAACAAACAGTGTGCAGTAATGTACACTAGAACACTGAACCCAGGCATACTCAGTTATCAACCTTATCAGCAGGACACCAAACAGACCTCCCCCAACTTACTTAGTGGCTCCTAGAATTATCCCACCCCCAATATAAACCCAGGCCCCCTAATCACTGTCTAATTCTCTCTTGTGACCCAGTTTAAGGCTGAGTTTTCACTCCCCTGAGATGTATGATGAGGGTAGGGTGGTGGGAAAATGCACTGCAGCAAGTGTCTGTGCCAGTTTGGGAGAAATACATGCGACAGACTAACATATATTCATAGTACACACACACACACACACACACAGACATGCATCTGGATCTTGTGGGAGAGCCAGCTCATGAAGATAGTATGAATGATTAAGGTGAGGGAAAATATAGGGGAGGTAAACTGAATGAGAACAGGGCAGTCCTAGGAAATCTACCAATCTCTACATCAGACAATTAAACCAAGGCATTAGGGTATGAAACCTGATTATTCATATGCCTGGGTCTTGGCAGGATATCAGAAGAAGAATTAGTATTAAATTGCCTCTATCCTCACCAGTCTGACCTACCCTGATTGAGTGAGTGGAAGGTGAATCTAACATGCGACTAGCAGATCTCTCTTGGAAAGAGGGTCAAGAGGGAAATCATGCAGAAAGGCAAGGTTGGGAGGGAAAGATATACGGGTGCTATGGTGGCTGTCAGGAAAGGAGTGTCCCTGAAAGGACGGCCAACCTTACTGCACCCTTCAGCGTCCGGAGCTGGGCAACCATGTCCGAGAGACAGTGCTCCTGAAAATTCAAAACAGCAGAATTTTTATAAAGCCAGCCAGCCTGAAAGCAGGGATAGGGGAGGAGTACAAACAACCACCCCTTCTTCCCAAGAGGAAGGAGGAAGGGATCACCCCTGAATCCTAGAAGAAAAGAGACAGGAAAAGCAGACACTTAACAGGAGAAGCCTGTATGAGGATGAAACACAACCCTGAATATTCTGTGACATTGAATGTGATATTCATACTGTCCAGAGTCAGTACTGAATCCAAATCTGGAAGATAAACGATTCGACTCTTCTACTTTTGGTGATCTAAACATCAGTGACAGCAGAGCAAAGCAAAACCAAAAGATTCAATGAAAAGAAGACCACCAGAAGAAATGGTTTGTTATTTCTATGCAGCTTTCAAGATTGCTGCTTCCTTCAACTTATATTTTCTGTTGGGGAAAATGTTGTGTGAGAACAATAAGGGTGTGCACTGCCTCTCACCTGGTGGTTCTCATTTTCCATAGGCATCTTCTTCTTCTCCTCAACAGTTTGTTCTCTAGGAGAAGATAAAAGTGCTATTTAGTTCACTCATGAAACTTCTCAGTTTGAAATGGACTGCCAATTGTAGATTTAGGTTATAATGTTCCTTCCAAATTACAAATACTGTGAGCCTCATTGAGTAACTGAGGGTGCCTTTCTGAACTAGGCTACTGAAGTGAGATTTCAAGTGCCCCACCAGAGAGAGAGAGAGAGAGGAGAGAGAAAGACTAAAGACAATCACTAGTTGAGACATTCAGGAGATGATTAGAAGGAATAAAGAACTGGGAGAGCAGAGAGGTGAGGAGGGAAATTATTTAAGAACCAAAAAAATTCTCTCTTCTCAAAACTCCCGTCCTGTAAGGAAGTGTCAGGCTACTCTACCCTATGGTAGAGAACCCCATCTCATGTATACTCAACTGTTTCTTAGCTTTGCTCAAGCACAGGTCTTCATCAGTGAGTTCTTGTTCCTCTGGAACAGAGCATCTCCTGCAGTACAGAGAATAAATCATCCTTTGGAAAAAAACTGGGTCCTTCACTTTTACCTTTTAATTTCCTTATAACTATGCAGGTTAACAACTCTCTAACATTACAGAGTTCAGATCCCATTCAAATTATAAAACCTTGTTATATGTAAAGCATGAGAAAGAGAATTTTAGGAGTAAAAACTGAAAGGAGTACTAGAAAATACATTCAGTGGTCAAAAGTAATCCTAGAAACAAACAAAATTTAACAATAATTGGCAGCTATATTATACTCAGTTTATAAAGGGGCAAAGTGGGCTGCAAGGTTATGTCTCCTGTACTAAAAGATAAAGTATTCAAAAACGAGACTTCTAAGTACTCAGTTCCATATTCTAATTACACAATCTCATTTACTCTCCATGGAAAGATACTTGGGCATATCTAGAGACTATGAGGAAATGCTTATATTTATAGACCTAATCTTTGTTCATTTAACTTCTTCAATTTTAGACATTTTTCCCCTAAAATGCATACCCATTTTAGCACCTTTCTATCAGTATTTATCCTGCCAGAAGAATTTTAAGAAAGTCACAGCTGAATTGAAGCACACTGACTTATTATTATGAACCTATATGACTACTGAGTCAAATTTTTAAAAACTTTTAAAGTTAATGCCTAAAGATATGCCAGACACTATTTAGATGTTGGATGCTGCAAGAAACATATGGTATATTAGGAAGACAAACACACAAACAGCGCTGAATATACAATAGGTACAGGTACTACTGTATAACACTGATTCCAAATACGAAGCATATAAAGAACATCATCGACTTGACCTGGAATGTAAAGTCCTTTGTCTCGAAGAGTTTACGATCTCTTGAAGAGCCAAAGCTCTTCAAAGATACATATGTGAAAAACATCCAAAAAGTACAAAACAATATGTGAACAAATGTCAAGAATCAAATACCAGAGGAAATCAGAGTAAAATCACTGTAAACTATGGTCAACAGGAAAAGCATCACACAAAACACTTGCTGCCCAGATGGATGTGATTAGGATAGACAAATGGAATGCAGAAAGTCATTGCAAGCAAGAGGAATGACACTATCAAAGTCATGGACATGAGAGTAAGCATGGCATGTGTAGGGAATAGTGAAGCCACAGCCCTGGCTCAAGTACAAAGTTTGTGTTAAGATACCACGAAATGTAAGGCTAGATAGGTAAGCTGGGGTCAGTCAGCACAGGGCCTTGAATGCCAGGCTGAAGGGTGTGAACCTGAGATGAAAAATGTTTTAGACTATAGAGATAAATCAGGAGTTACCTTGAGCATAAGATTGAGTCCTGGAACCTTACCTGTACTTTGGATGGGAATTATAATAACAAAACCATCTTGCAGGTAACATGGATGGATCAATCTTCCCAGGAAGCTTTCTCCATTTAAGACACTCATCACACTGAACCCATGTCTGGTCAGGAACCTTCCTGAATGAAGGAAAATGGAAGTGTGACTGTGTATATCTTAGCTCTGTGCTTTGTCTTACATTAGAAAGGTGCAGCCAAAAAAAGAAAGAACCTAATTTCATATATGAAATATGTTGGGAATGTTATCATCTTGGTGCCCAAATGTATATATTTTTAACTTCACAGATAAAATGATAGAACTATAGCAAATATGGATATGAAAAATAGTAACAAGTATTAACATGGTGAGCTACTTTTATAGAGGTCAATAATATTTATCTTGTAACCAAAAACCACTTGTACCCCAAAAGCTATTGAAACATTTTTTAAATAATACTTATCCTGGTGGCTCTTGTTCCAAGCAAACAATAGGGTAATTTTAACTCTAAAATTTATTAACTTGGAAAAATTCTGTTTATTACTATATTACCAAGAAATAAAACCCATAGAATCATTTTGTTTCCTTCTGTCCAATCATGTAACAGGCTTAAAATCCATTTATGACAGCCATGGAAGCATTGCCATTAAAACATCTCCCTCATTTCCCTACAGAGACTCCTTATTCCTTTTCATTTCCCTCTCAAGAAAAACCCTTTGCTTATAATACTTCAATCAAAATTTTACTAGGTTGATATTCCCAAAGTTAATCTTAAAAAGTAATATAAATTTGATTAAATTTCATAACTAGAAATGGTGGTTCCAGACAGCAATGGGGTTAAATTAAGATAAAACTCTTCCAGAGTTCAACTCTTAAAATGCATACCCACTCTGATTCCCCTCAGTTACCTACACTTTAGAGTGAATTTGTTTCTCTGAGAAAGTGGTCCTTATATGACAGAAGTACTCAGTACCTAAGGTGTAAAAGACAGGCTACAGTGAGAATGAAGGCGGCTGGAGAAAAGACACACAAAGCAAGAAGAGGGGCACCTCAGCCAATTTCACTAACATGTAATTTAGCCTAGGATGAGATTTATGCATGTTATATTTATACTTCTTTTATACTAGATATTTCAACAGAGTGGTGCGGTTCTTTTATGTCTTAGTTCAATAATTTTCTTAACATCTTAAATTGTGCTTTTTATTTTCTTCTTGTTGTTGTTGTTTTTTCCTTTTAGACAGGGTCTCACTCTGTCTCCCAGGCTGGAGTGCAGTGGCACAATTTCAGTTCACTACAACCTCTGCCTCCTGGGCTCAAGTAATCCTCCCACCTCAGCCTCCCAGGTAGCTATGGGACTACAGGCATGCGCCACCACACCCGGCTAATGTTTGTACTTTTGGTAGAGATGGGGTTTCACCATGTTGCCGAGGCTGGTCTCAAACTCCTGAGATCAAACAATCCACCTGCCTCAGCCTCCCAAAGTGCTGGGATTACAGGCATGAGCCACCGTGCCTGGCTTTAAATTGTGCTTTTTTCTAAATATAAAAGTAATATAAGCTCATTATTAAAAACTAGAAAATAGAGAAATATATACAGAAAATAAAAGGCACTCATAATTCTACCACTGAAATACAATGCCCTCTTCTTTTTTTGAAACTCTGTTTGAACAAAGAAAGTTTGTACACATTTTTGGATCTACAGCTTCCTATTCCCTAGCTCCAGGCTGTTCCAGCCTTGCAACCTCTAAGCTCTAAGCTCAGGCCTGACCTCTGGTGTCTATATATTTCTAGACAGCCACTGTTTTAGAGCCAGAGTCAATAAAAAGCAGCTTCAGCAGTAGTGGGAGGGGAGAAGAAAGGTCCTATTAGCTTCGGTTCTACATGCATATGCATAGGAGAGTCTCTTGCAGAGTGCCAGTATTACTCTCTCAGGGATAGGCATGCTTAGAGGCAGCAACCCTCTGTTTCGGGTTCCATGCAGATCATGGTAGATCCTTCAATCCAGGCAGACAGGAGAGGCTTTTAGCCCATGCTTTCAGGAAATTGGTAGCTGAGATGGCTTTACTACATTCCCTTCATTGCATCCCTCCAGAAGAGAGCAGCAGTTAAGAACTTAGGTTTAGGGGACCTGATTACCTATATTTGAACCTTAGTTCTACCACTTGCTGCTTGTCTAACCTTAGGCAAGTTACTTAAGTTCTTGGTGTATCAGTCTCTACATCTGTAAAGAAGTAATAATAATATCTAACAGGTAGGGTTGTTGTGATGATTAAATAAACCACTGCATGTAAAGAACTTAGAACAGTGCCTGACATATAAGTAAGCGTTCAATAATTACCATTATTACAGTTCTGCCTCCAGCACACACACTCTCTAGCAGTATGTGAACATCTGTTTCATTGCATTAATCACTGCTAATTTGAAAGGCAAAAAATGGCATCTCATCTTAGTTTGTACTTCTTTGAAAACTATGGAGGACAGCCATAAGCTGAGATCTTCAGAATAAGAAGAGGGTGATATACATACAGCCATTAGGTTGCATTAGAAATAAAATTTTATATCATACATTTGCCTAATAATTTCCATTAAAATAATAGGTACCTACTCCAAAAAGAACTTTTACCACTCTAATGTTTGTCTTGATGGTGGTGTAACTGACTGTGTATGTGTTGGCACACATTCGATCCTCTGTATTATGCTCCTTACCTGACTTGTCTGTCTTAGAGTCAATAAATTCTACCTTTTCTTTAACATACTGGGTTCTCTATTCCTACTCTCAAGTACTGGTACAATCCCAGCAATATTCACTAGGAATATAAAAAAAAGGGGAAGTTTACTAACATGTCTGAACACCTACTATATGCCAGTCACTGTGCTAAAAATGTATGTCACCTAAGTTAATATATTCAGACAGGTGAAGTAACTTACTTACCCAAGCTCATCCAACTATTAAAAAGCAGATCCAGATTTTCAACCCAGGAACGTTTGATTTAAATAGCCATCATCTTCTACTATATCACACTACCAGTACTAAACTCTTCACATTTATGATCCAGACCGTAAATGTGTTAAAGCAGAATGAAGAGGTTTAGAGAATGAAGCAATTAGTACCTGTGAGTTCCTATTTTTAGTCAATTAAACTTCCTGATGTGAAAAGCACCATCTTACTGAGAGGTGAGGCCAGTTGGACTTCCTGGGTCGAGTGGGGACTTGGGGAACTTTCCTGTCTTACAAGAGGATTGTAAAACGCACCAATCAGTGCTCTGTAAAACGCACCAATCAGTGCTCTGTAAAACGCACCTATCAGCAGGATTCTAAAAGTAGCCAATCACAGAGAGGATTGAAAAAAGGGCACTCTGATAGGACAGAAATGGAACACGGGAGGGAACAATAAGGGAATAAAAGCTGTCCACCCCAGCAAGCAGTGGCAACCCACTCAGGTCCCCTTCCAAGCTGTGGAAGCTTTGTCCTTTCGCTGTTCACAATAAACCTTGCTACCACTCACTCTTTGGGTCGGTGCCATCTTTAAGAGCTGTAACACTCACCACGAAGGTCTGCAGCTTCATTCTTGAAGTCAGTGACACCACGAACCCACCAGCAGGAACCAAATCCAGACACATTACCCTTGTTCCTTCCATTTGATCTATGGATATTACCCCTAATACATTCATATTCTGTATGTATTACTTACGGTATTGGCCTGGCTACAGTTGAGGTCTCAAAATTATCTTGAGATGTTTTTTCCTTCCAGTAAGCATTGAGCTTCTGGGCAAGGGCATTTATTGTTAGCCTGAAAGAAAATGCAAGAAGTATGTCAAAGTTTAGCACTTGTTGAGCAATTCTTTGATCTTTGAGAAGTTCCCATTTAACAGACACCAATAATTTAGAGTATCTGGCATATTTTTGAACATCTACACTTTAAGAAACCAAGATGGGAATCCATTGCCTTTGCAAGCTACATGTCAAAATGACAAAGTTGTAACACTGAACAGTCACTTTGGTTGAAAAGGTGAAATGGTCACAAGTGCTAAAAAGTAGAGTTCTATAAATTTTCAGGGCTTGTTGAATCATGGAGTGTATGGGTAACTTGACATTAGAGACTATGACAGAGGACCAAACTGCAGAGATAGGATAGAGCCAAATATTGATAAGTTGATGGGGAGTTATTTGATTGTCAGATGACTACAGGTAGATAATTCAGAACAAGGTAAAAATCAGATGATCAAATACTATACCCTATCTATTATAAATCAATCAAATATTAACTCTAATATGTCTATATAGTCCCTCTTCATCCAAATGCTGATCATAGTAGCATTATGGTGCCCATGAACAAGCACTCCAACATTCTACCACATAGCCGTTACTGGAGGCTGTATCTGAGTTCCAGCCCTTGCTCTTTATTTCTCTCCCTAAAGGAACAACAGTAGACTCAGGGTCAACAAAAATGTAATTTGTAAAAATCAAAACCTGAATTTTACTTTTAAAAACTTCCAACTTTCGAATTACTAATTCCTATTTAATTCCATAACCCGAGATTACAACCTAATGTAGAGCTACACACAACTGGAAAACTGTACACTTAGAATTCAGAATTTTTTAAATATCTTGGCCCCCTGGATCATTCCCCAAGGTTTTTGCAGAGCTCTTCTCTTGTTAAGAGAAACTCTTCCTTATCTCTACCTTATTCATATTAAATTAGATTCTCACTAAATGGAAAAGATTAAAGTAATCATATATGAGCTCCCCTATAAACTCTTATTCCCCTTCAACCTATTTATGTTCCTACTCTATGTCTATATCCTTCCCTCAAGTCACAGATGAAGAACTATTCCTCATTTCCTCTTAAAAATCTACTTAAAATCTACTTTAAAAAGAAGTAGATTAGATGGGCATATGGGAAGATGGCAGAATAAGAAGCATGTGGAAGCTGTCTCCTTACATATACAACAACTGCAGTAGCAAAAGCTGCATGATGTAACTATTTTGAAACTCTGGAGTCTATTGGAAAGTTTGCAACTTCCAGGAGAAGGCTTGGATGGTAAATTGTGGTTAATTTTGGTCAATTTCAGTTCTTAGCTCAGTAATAGCTACCCATTCCCCACTCCCAGCCCTGTGGCAAGCAACCCTCCATGTGTTCCAAGAGCAACTTGTAGGAGCCAGTGTGGGCAAAAAGGACACTGTCCTCCAAATATTGCAATTCTATCCTCTGATCACTGCTTGCTGCTTCTGATCACAGATGTGAAGACAAAAAGGCAAGAGACCATTGTTGTTGAACCTCCCCCATTGTTTCAACCCTCTACTCCTCCAGTTGAAGTGACATCCAGAGGATTCAAAGTCCTGGCATCTCTTTTTCCTCCTCTATTTCTCTATTTTCCCCCTTTTGTGAGCCAGACATAAAGACAAGGACATTCAAAAGCAATTGCACATATGGGGAAAATTAGAAAGCCACTGTGAATGCCCAGAAAAAAATGCAAGCTGAGAAAAGAAGTGAAAAGACTTTAAACTTACTTCTCAGGTCAATCCTTGGCACAGAGAAAGCCTACAACATAACAAAAACAACAACAACAACAAAAAAAAACCCAGCAAACCCTAGGAAAGGAGAATTTTGTTTCCAGAGTTACCACATTATTAGATTCAAATGTTCAGTTTACAACAAAAAGTCACAAGGCATACAAACAAACAAGACAGGGCGGCCCACTCAAAGGAAAAAAATAGAAACCACCCCTGAAAAAGAACTGATAATAGATCAACTCGACAAAGATTTTAAAACGGTCTTAAAGATACTCAAAAAACTATATGAAGATGAGCAGAAAGTCAAGAAAACAATGCATAAGCAAAATAGAAAATCAACAAAGAGATAACAAACCTAAAAAGAAATCCAAAACAAAGTCTGGAGCTGAAAAGTCTAAAAACTGAAATGAAAAATCCACCGCAGGAATTCAAAGGCAGATCTGATCAGACAGAAAAAAGAATCAGTGAACTTGAAGATAAAAAATGGAAATTATCAAGTATTAAGAGCAGAAAGAATAGACTGAAGAAAAGTGAACAAAAACTAAGGGACCCATAGGACACCATAAGTGGTCCAACATATGCATTAGCAGAGTCCCAGAAAGAGAAGAGAGAAAGGAACAGAAAGAATACTTGAATAAATAATTGCCAAAAACTTCTCAAATTTGATGAAAGACACGAATATAAACATCCAACCTTAACTCCAAGTAGGATGAACTCAGAGAGACTCAGACCCAGACACACTGTAATCAAACCATGAAAGTCAAAGACAAAGAGAGAATCTTAAAAACACCAAGAGAGAAACAACATATTACATTCAAGGAATCCTTGAAGTTTGTAACTCCACTTTTTATTTTCTATATAATGTAAGAGAATACATTTAAAAGAAAAAAATTGGCCAGGTGCAGTGGCTCATGCCTGTAATCCCAGCACTTTGAGAGGCTGAGGCAGGTGGATCACCTGAGGCCAGGAGTTCGAGACTAGCCTGACCAACATGGTGAAACGCTGTCTCTACTAAAAATACAAAAGTAGCTGGGCATGGTGGTGCATGCCTGTAATCCCAGCTACGTGGGAGGCTGAGGCAGGAGAATAGCTTGAACCGGGAAGGGGAGGTTGTAGTGAGCCAAGATGGTGCCATTGCACTCCAGCCTGGGCAACAAGAGCAAAACTCCATGTCAAAAAAAAAAAAAAAAGAAAGAAAAGATAAAAATTTTGAGTCTGCAAGCCAGTATTATTGTAATTCAGTTTGTAACTCCTCATTTTGTTTTCTACGCAATTTAAAAGGCTAATCCATTACAAATTACTTATGATTTTGGACACACAATGTACAAAGATGTAATTCTGTGATAACAACTGAAAGGAATGGTGATGGAGCTGTTAAAGGAGCAAAACTTTTGTAAGGAATTGAAGTTAAGGTAGTATACATCCAAATTAGAGTGTCATAACTTAAAAGATATTAAATGTAATTCCCATGATAAGCACAAACAAAATAGCTATAGAATATACACAAAACGAAATGAGAAAGGAATTTAAATGTTTCACTATAAAAAAAATCACCTAAACACAAAAGACGGCAATGTAGGAAATGAGGGGCAAAGAAAGCTACAAGGGACACAGAAAACAAACAGCAAAATGACAGAAGTAAGTCTCTCCTTATCAGTAATTACTTTAATGTAAATGGATTAAATCCAGATTCACAAAGATACGATATAATGAAAAAGAATGTAGCGGATGCTACCTGGAAGAGGGGTACTACTATAACAAATACCTAAAAATATGGAAGTGGCTTTAGAATTGGCAATTGGCAGAGGTTGCAAAAATTTTGAGAAGCTTGACAGAAAAAAACCTACATTGCCTTCAACAGACATTAGTAGAAATATATATGTTAATAAATGCTTTCACTAATGAGGGCTCAGAAAGAAGTGAAAAGTACGGTAGAGAAAACACAAATTACCTTAGAGAATACCCAAATCATTGTAAACAAGAGTATTGGTAGAAATATGGATGTTAAAGGTATTGCTAGTGAAGGCTCAGAAGGAAGTGACGAACATGTTATTGGAAAACTTGAGAGAAGATGATCTTTGTTACACAGTGGCAGAAAGCTTAGCAGAACTGTCCTACAGTTATGTGGAAAACAGAACTTGCAAATGATGAAATTGGAAATTTAGCTGAGGAGATCTTCAGGAAAAGTGTTAAAGGTGTGGCCTGGTGTCTTCTTGCTGCTTATGTAAAATGCAAGAGGAGAGAGACAAATTGACGAATGAACTGTTAAACAAAAAGAAACCAGGACTTGATTACTTGGGAAATTCTCAGCCCATCCAGATTGCAAAATATGCTAAAATTTAGAGATTCACTGTCAGGAAAGTATGCTCTAGAGAAAAAGCTGAGGCTGGGGCTGAACAATCTTTTGATAATATCTCAGAAAATCAAAAGGTCAGAGCATTCAGTCACACAAACTACTCTTTGAAAAGATAAAGTGAGCGTTTCCAAGATGGCTGAATAGGAACAGCCCCAGTCTACAGCTCCCAGTGAGATCGACGCAGAAGACAGGTAATTTCTGCATTTCCAACTGAGGTACCTGGTTCATCTCATTGGGACTGGTTGAAGAGTGGGTGCAGACCATGGAGGGCAAGCCAAAGCAGGGCGGGGCATCACCTCACGGGGAAACGCAAGAGGTCAGGGGATTTCCCTTTCCTAGCCAAGGGAAGCCGTGAGTGACTGTACCTGGAGGAGTGGTACACTTCTGCCCAAATACTGCACTTTTCCCTCGGTCTTTGCAACCAGCAGACCAGGAGGTCCCCTCCTGTGTCTGGCTTGGTGGATGCCACGCCCACAGAGCCTTGCTCACTGCTAGCGCAGCAGTCTGAAATCGACCTGGAACACGGGAGCTTGGCAGAGGGAGGGGCATCTGCCATTGCTGAGGCTTGAGTAGGTGGTTCTATGTTCACAGTGTATACAAAGCAGCAGGGAAGCTCAAACTGGGCGGAGCTCACCACAGCTCAGCAAGGCCTACTGCCTCTCTAGATTCCACCTCTGGGGGCAGGGCATATCTGAACAAAAGGCAGCAGACAGCTTCTGCAGACAGAAATGTCCCTGCCTGACAGCTCTGAAGACAGAAGTGGTTCTCCAAGCACAGCGTTCAAGTTCTGATAACGGACAGACTGCCTCCTCAAGTAAGTCCCTGACCCCCGTGTAGCCTGACTGGGAGACACCTCCCAGTAGGGGCCAACAGACATCTCATACAGGCAGGTGCCCCTCTGGGACAAAGCTTCCAGAGGAAGGATCAGGCAGCAATATTTGTTCTGCAGCCTCCACTCGTGAGATACCCAGGCAAACAGCGTCTGGAGTGGACCTCCAGCAAACTCCAACAGACCTGCAGCTGAGGGGCCTGTCTGTTAGAAGGAAAACTAACAAACAGAAAGGCATAGCATCAACATCAACAAAAAGGACATCCACACCAAAACCCCATCCGTAGGTAGGTCCCCAACATCAAAGACCAAAGGTAGATAAAACCACAAAGATGGGGAGAAACCAGAGCAGAAAGGCTGAAAATTCCAAAAACCAGAACACCTCTTCTCCTCCAAAGGAACACAACTCCTTGCCAGCAAGGGAACAAAACTGGATGGAGAATGAGTTTGACAAGTTGACAGAAGTAGGCTTCAGAAGGTGGGTAATAACAAACTACTCTGAGCTAAAGGAAATGTTCTGACCCATAGTAAGGAAGCTAAAAACCTAGAAAAAAGGTTAGACGAATGGCTAATTAGAACAACCAGTGTAGAGAAGAGCTTTAATGACCTGATAGAGCTAAAAACCACAGTATGAGAACTTCGTGAAGCATACACAAGCTTCAATAGCAGATTTGATGAAGCGGAAGAAAGGAAATCAGTGATTGAAGATAAAATTAATGAAATAAAGTGAGAAGACAAGATTAGAGAAAAAAGAGTGAAAAGAAACAAACAAAGCCTCCAAGAAATATGGGACTATGTGAAAAGACCAAATCCACGTTTGACTGGTGATCCTGAAAGTGACAGGAAAATGGAACCAAGTTAGAAAACACTCTTCAGGATATTATCCAGGAGAACTTCCCCAACCTAGAAAGACAGGCCAACATTCAAATTCAGGAAATACAGAGAACACCACAAAGATACTCCTCGAGAAGAGCAACCCCAAGACACACAATGGTCAGATTCACCAAGGTTGAAATGAAGGAAAAACTGTTAAGAGCAGCCAGAGAGAAAGGGCGGGATACCCACAAAGGGAAGCCCATCAGACTAACAGTGGATCTCTGTGCAGAAACCCTATAAGCCAGAAGAGAGTAGGGGCCAATATTCAACATTCTTAAAGAAAAGAATTTTCAAACGAGAATTTCATATACAGCCAAACTAAGCTTCATAAGTGAAGGAGAAATAAAATCCTTTACAGACAAGCAAATGATGAGAGATTACGTCACCACCAGGCCTGCCTTACAAGAGCTCCTGAAGGAAGCACTAAACATGGATAGGAACAACTGGTACCAGCCACTGCAAAAACATGCCAAATTATAAACACCATTGACACTATGAAGAAACTGCATCAATTAACAGGTGAAATAACCAGCTAGCATCATAATGACAGGATCAAATTCACACATAACAATATTAACCTTAAATGTAAATGGGCTAAATGCCAAATTAAAAGACAAAGACTGGCAAACTGGATAAAGAGTCAAGACCCACTGGTGTGCTGTATTCAGGAGACCCATCTCACATGCAAAGACACACACAGGCTCAAAATAGAGGAATGTAGGAAGATCTACCAAGGAAATGGAAAGCAAAAAAAAAAAAAAAAAAAAAAAAGCAGGGGTTGCAATCTTGGTCTCTGATAAAACAGACCTTAAACCAACAAAGATCAAAAGAGACAAAGAAGGCCATTACATAATGGTAAAGGGATCAATTCAACAAGAAGAGCTAACTACCCTAAATATATATGCACCCAATACAAGAACACCCAGATTCATAAAGCAAGTTTTTGGAGACCTACAAAGAGACTTAGACTCCCACACAATAATAATGGGAGACTTTAACACCCCTCCATTGTCAACGTTAGACAGATCAACAAGACAGAAAATTAACAAGGATATCCAGGACTTGAACTCAGCTCTGGACCAAGCAGACCTAATAGACATCTACAGAACTCTCCACCACGAATCAACAGAATATACATTCTTCTCAGTACCACATAGCACTCATTCTAAAATTGACCAAGTAATTGGAAGTAAAACACTCATCAAATGTAAAATAAAACACAAAAAACTCTCTCAGACCACAGTGCAATCAAATTATAACTCAGGATTAAGAATCCCACTCAAAATCACACAACTACATGGAAACTGAACAACCTGCTCCTGAATGACTGGTGGGTAAATAATGAAATGAAAGCAGAAATAAAGATGGTCTTTGAAACCAATGAGAACAAAGACACAACGTACCAGAATCTCTGGGACACATTTAAAGCTGTCTGTAGAGGGAAATTTATAGCACTAAATGCCCACAAGAGAAAACAGGAGAGATCTAAAATCAACACCTTAACATCACAATTAAAAGAACTAGAGAAGCAAGAGCAAACAAATTCAAAAGCTAGCAGAAGGCAAGAAATAACTAAGATCAGAGCAGAAATGAAGGAGATAGAGACACAAAAATCCCTTCAAAAATTCAATGAATCTCAGAAGCTGATTTTTCGAAAAGAGCAACGAAATAGACAGACTGCTAGCAAGATTAATAAAGAATAAAAGGGAGAAGGATCAAATAGACACAATAAAAAATGATAAAGGGGATATCACCACCAATCCCACAGAAATACAAACTACCATCAGAGAATACTATAAACACCTCTACGCAAATAAACTAGAAAATCTAGAAGAAATGGATAAATTCCTCGACACATACACCCTCCTAAGTGTAAAGCAGGAAGAAGCTGAATCTCTGAATAGACCAGTAACAGGCTCTGAAATTGAGGCAATAATTAATAGCCTACCAACCAAAAAAAGTCCAGGACCAGATGGATTCACAGCTGAATTCTACCAGAGATACAAAGAGAAGCTGGTACCATTCCTTCTGAAACTATTCCAATCAATAGAAAAAGAGGGAATCCTCCCTAACTCATTTTATGAGGCCAGCATCATCCTGATACCAAAGCCTGGCAGAGACACAACAAAAAAAGAAAATTTTAGGCCAATATCCCTGATGAACATCGATGTGAAAATCCTCAATAAAACACTGGCAAACCGAATCCAGCAGCACATCAAAAAGCTTATCCTCCACAATCAAGTTGGCTTCATCCCTGGGATGCAAGGCTGGTTCAACATACACAAATCAATAAACATAATCCATCACATAAACAGAACCAATGACAAAAACGACATGATTATCTCAATAGATGCAGAAAAAGCCTTCGACAAAATTCAACAGCCTTCCATGCTAAAACTCTCAAAAAACTAGGTATTGATGGAACCTATCTCAAAATAATAGGAGCTATTTATGACAAACCCACAGCCAATATCATACCGAATGGGCAAAAACTGGAAGCATTCCCTTTGAAAACTGGCATAAGGATGCCCTCTCCCACCACTCCTATTCAACATGGTATTGGAAGTTCTGGCCAGGGCAATCAGGCAAGAGAAAGCAATAAACGGTATTCAAATAGGAAGAGAGGAAGTCAAATTGTCTCTGTTTACAGATGACATGACTGTATACTTAGAAAACCCCATTGTCTCAGCCCAAAATCTCCTTGAGCTGATAAGCAACTTCAGCAGTCTCAGAATACAAAATCAATGCGCAAAAATCACAAGCATTCCTATACACCAATAATAGAAAAACAGAGCCAAATCATGAATGAACTGCCCTTCACAGTTGCTACTAAGAGAATAAAATACCTAGGAATATAACTTACAATGGATGTGAAGGACCTCTTCAAGAACTACAAACCACTGCTCAAGGAAATAAGAGAGGGCACAAACGAATGGAAAAACACTCCATGCTCATGGATAGGAAGAACAAATATTGTGAAAATGGCCTTAGTGCCCAAAGTAATTTATAGATTCAATGCTATCCCCATCAAGCTACCACTGACTTTCTTCACAGAATTGGAAAAACCTACTTTAAACTTCATATGGAAGCAAAAAAGAGCCCGCATAGCCAAGACAGTCCTGGGCAAGAAGAACAAAGCTGGAGGCATCACACTACCAGACTTCAAACTTTACTACAAGGCTACAGTAACCAAAACAGCATGGTACTGGTACCAAAACAGATATACAGATTAAAGGAACAGAACGGAGGCCTCAGAAATAATACCACACATTTACCACCATCTGATCTTTGACAAACCTGACACACACAAGCAATAGGGAAAAGATTCGATATTTAATAAATGGTGTTAGGAAAACTGGCTAGCCATATGCAGAAAACTGAAACTGGACCACTTCCTTACACCTTATACAAAAATCAACTCAAGATGGATCAAAGACTTAAATGTAAGACCTAGGACCATAAAAATCCTAGAAGAAAACCTAGGCAATACCATTCAGGACATAGGCATGGGCAAAGACTTCATGTCTAAAACACCAAAAGCAATGGCAACAAAAGCCAACATTGACAAATGGGATGTAATTAAACTAAAGAGCTTCTGCACAGCAAAAGAAACTATCATCAGAATGAACAAGCAACCTACAGAATGGGAGAAAAATTTTGTAAACTATCCATCTGACAAACGGCTAATATCCAGAATCTACAAAGAACTTAAACAAATTTACAATGAAAAAGCAAACAACCCCATCAAAAAATGGGCAAAGCATATGAACAGACACTTCTCAAAAGAAGACATTTATGCAGCCAACAGACATATGAAAAAAATGCTCATCATCACTGGTCATTAGAGAAATGCAAATCAAAACCATAATGAGATACCATCTCACGCCAGTTAGAATGGCGACCATTAAAAAGTCAGGAAACAACAGATGCTGGAGAGGTTATGGAAAAATAGGAACCCTTTGACACTGTTGGTGGGAGTGTAAATTAGTTCAACCATTGTGGAAGACAGTGTGGCGATTCCTCAAGAATCTAGAACTAGAAATACCATTTGACCCAGCAATCCCATTACTGGGTATATACCCAAAGGATTATAAATCATTCTACTATAAAGACACATGCACACGTATGTTTATTGTGGCACTATTCACAATAGCAAAGACTTGGAACCAACCCAAATGTCCAACAATGATAGACTGGATTAAGAAAATGTGGCACATATACACATGGAATACTATGCAGTCATAAAAAAGGATGAGTTCATGTCCTTTGCAGGGACATGGATGAAGCTGGAAACCATCATTCTCAGCAAACTATCACAAGATCAGAAAACCAAACACCGCATGTTCTCACTCATAAGTGGGAGTTGAACAATGAGAACACATGGACACAGGGAGGGGAACATCACACACTGAGGCCTGTAGGGGGTGGGAAGCTAGGGGAGGGATAACATTAGGAGAAATACCTAATGTAGGTGAAGGGTTGATGGGTGCAGCAAACCACCATGGCACGTGTATACCTACATAACAAAATTGCACGTTCTGCACATGTAACCCAGAATTTAAAGTATAATAATAAAAAAAAGATAAAGCCTGTGACTCACAGATCTCCATAGCCATCTCAGCTGGAGCCAAAAAATAGATATAGGATTCCCTAGGAAAGACCTGCCAAGAGCCTCTTGTTGGATGACATGAATATACATGACACGCATGGGAGACTCACAAGGTTCTTAAGAATGGCACGCTAGCATGAAAGCTAGCTTGAGGCCGGGCACAGTAGCTCACACCTGAAATCCCAGCACTTTGGGAGACCGAGGCAGGCAGATCACCTGAGGTCGGGAGTTCAAGACCAGACTGACCAACATGGAGAAACCCCGTCTCTACTAAAAATACAAAATTAGCCGGGCGTGGTGGCGCATGCCTGTAATCCCAGCTACTCGGGAGGCTGAGGCAGGACAATCGCTTGAACCCCAGATGGGGAGGTTGCGGTTGCCATTGCACTCCAGCCTGGGCAACAAGAGCAAAACTCCATCTCAAAAACAAACAAACAAACAAAAAATCAAAACAAAAAGCTAGCTTGAATTGAAAGGGATGGAGAGAATCCTGTTTGACCCTCAAAATTCTACAGTCAGGAAACAGGCTGATGAAACTACTCAGCTGCCAACACATGCTACCCTTCAGGAAAAAGGAAAGACAGCTTTGAGGGTGGAGCCCTAAGTCCAGAGGGCAAAGCCTCAAGACTAGAGGATGAAGGCCTTGACATTTAATGGAATGTGCCTGGCTAGATTTTGAAAATGCCTGTGACCTGTGACCCCTTTTTTCCTTTTAGTTTCTCCCCCATTCAAACAAGAATATATATAATTAGTATCCTATGCTTGTCCCACCACTGTACTTTAACAGCAAAATACAAAAAAGAAAATACATATCCACAGATGTAGAGGAGTTTTGCCCTAAGATGTGCCATACTCAGAGTATTGCCCTTATGTGATTTAGATAATGAGATTTGAGACTTTTGAGCTGATGACATTTACATGAAATTTTTGACTCTGCATTGATGCTGTAATGGGTAGGGACTTTTGGAAACGTTGGGACGGGGTGAATATATTTTGCATATGAGATGTAAGTGGAATCTGAGAGAACAAAGGGCAGACTGTGATAGACATAATAATGTTTACACAGCAAGTGGGAATTTAGGTTACTCATCAAGTTGACCTTAAGATAGGAAGAATATCCTGAATTATCCAATGTAATCACAAGGGACCTTAAAAGTAGAAGAGTGCAGCAGAAGAGTCAGAATCAGAGAAGATGTGATGACAAAAGCAAGGTCATCAGAGTGATGCAATATGAGGACTCAACCTGTCACTACTAGCTTTGAAGGTGATGGAAGAGGGCCATGGGCAAGAAATGCTGGCAGCCTCTATAAGCTGGAAAAGACAGGAAAATGGATTATTCCCTAGAGCCTCCAGAAAGGAATGCAGCCCTGCCAACACCTCGATTATAGCCCAGTAAGATCTGTGTAGGACATCCAACCTACAGCACGCTACGACAGTAAATTAGTATTGTTTTCAGCCACTAAGTTATGTGGTAATTTGTTATGACAGCAATAGAAGACAATTTCTGTGGTTTATAGACAGAAGTTGAGTATCACTGTATTTCCCTCAAAGATGTAAAATACCTCATGGCTCTCCTATGAATTCATTATGTGTAGCTTAGTATGTAATTTAGGAATGATGGTTCTAGGACAGAGGTCAGCAAACTGGAGCCAAATCCAGCCCACTGCCTGTTTTTGTAAACAAAATTTTATTAGACATACCCATGCCAATTCCTTTACTTATTGTCTATGGCTGCTTTCATACTACAGCAAAATCAAGTAGTTGTGACCCTTTCTGGCCCTTTTCAGAAAAAGTTTACCAACTGCTGCTCTGGGGTATGGCTCTACTCTACTCATTTAACTTGATTTGCCTTCACTCTAGCTATATCCTGTTATCTCCTCTCTCCATATTCTTACCATTCTGAGTTCCTGTCACTACCTTAGCTCATGCTACAATTCCATCCTAGAATTCCCTTTCCTCTCTTCCACATCTTATATCATGTGAGACATATCTCAAGTCATACTTTCTACCCAAAACCTTCCCCATCTCCTATATCAAGGCATTTTCCCCATAACATACTACTTAGGTTTTGGTTGATTAAAGAGCTTTTTTATTGCTCGCCAAATTACTTCATATATGTTACAATCTGTTTATACAAATGACTGTAAGCTCCACAACTGTTAAAAGTGGTATTACAGATGATTTATTTGTAGACATTCCAGCAGTATGATGGCTGGTATCTCTTTTATCATTTGCAGGTTTTGATATCTATAATACTCATAGGATGAGTTTGTTATAGCAGACAACCTTCTCTAATCCCTCTCTTAAATTCCTTTTTTTAATTTAAATACCTTTTCATTTTATATAAAATAAATTGAATAAAAAAGGGCAATGGTGCCAGAATTGGCATGAGTTATGCAAATTTGTTATCCTCAAAAGACTGTACGCAGAATAGTATACTAGTTCCCTGTTTTTAATAAAGTGTGTAGCAGATGTTATGCTAAGTAAGTCAGAAATCCTGTGTGTTCAACTGAATAAATCTACTGTCTACAGACTATCTCTATCTGATCCACTGCAATCACCTCATCATACCAAAACTAGACATCAAAAACCAAAGATCTAATGCCTGTAAAATTTTAAAGGTAGACTTGGGGGGTTGGTGGCAAAGATGATATAGAAAGATGTTAAATAATTTTTAATATCTAACATTTGAATTTCACAAATCTTAATTATTTAGGTAGTCATCAGCAATTCACTATTCCTTTCACTCAATTGAAACATAATAACTTGACTCGGAGACTTCTGTCAAACTAATGTCATTCCTAAGCTTTCACTTAGAGTTAAGTCCTGGTCAAAGATTTCCATTATGGGCCAGATTTACATTTAAATGACCATTTTACTTAGACTGAGGGCAGGTAGTTGTCATAACCACTGAGTAGCCCAAGTAACCATGAACCAATTACCCTGAAATTAATTTGGAGTTGCCATTCAAATAGTTATCTCTCTCAAACACTAAACCTAAAATTCTTGTGGTTACAGACAAATTAAGGTACAAGACTTGACTTTATTACAGTTTGGGCACAAAACAAAAGAGATTTGGGAAATTTCTTTTCTCCCACTCTAAGAAAAATATTTGCTACTGAGACTTCAAGGAAAATGACCGCAAATGTCCTCATGCCTTCTTTCTCCATACTCCCAGAATACCTCTTACCCTTTTTTGCCCTTACAGATACTTCCCTCTGCTTAGAATGTCCTTCCTCTATTGTCCACCTAGAAAACTTTTCCTTCATATTTAATATCAAATATAATCTGCTTTGTGAAGCCTTCCCTGACTCCCTTAAGCATATTTAAAGTTCTCCCCACTTTGCACATACCCCCTATTAAAGCAATTATTTTATAAGTATTTAAGTTTCTTATTTGCATACATATTTGTTCATAGGTATCAAAGAGTCTTATTTTTCATCCTTAGTACCTGGCACATAGAAGCTGTCTCATAATACTTAATGAAATAAAGACCCATCTCCCTCTCGACATTTTTTAAACAAACTATTCTAACCTGGCTTTAAAAACTCCTTTCGAAAAATATCCCTACTGGTTCAGCCATAATGTCGAGTTCCTTTCAGATTCTTACCTGTTTGCCTGCCCTATTAAATCTAGATGCTTTAATGAAAGCACATGTCTTTCCTGCTGTTCCATCACTTTGCTCTAAATCTGTTCACTGGCTTCAAGAAAAATTTTTGGAACAAATTTCAAACTGCTTTTTTTTATCCAATGTATTCCATAACTTCAGATCCATTCATCTGTTTCCATTAAGATCAATTCCAAAGCTTTTCATTTCCCCAGAAATCTTTTACCAAATTACTCCTATGCTCTTTGCATAATTTCTAAAGGTAAGGTTTATCTCAACGAGACTCCATATATCATTCAGCAAACTTTAATTTAAAAATGAAAGCATTTTATCTCTAATCTTGGAAAACAAATTTGAAGTAATTCTCAGTTAACTTATTTAGCTGCTTTTTAGAGATGGTTTTAGAGGCTTTAGAGAACAGAATCATATCTGAACAAACTAACGGAAGCACCTCAGGTTGGGAGTGACTCACCGGTACTCCTTGGTATACTCAAAGTCTTGTTTGTTGTAGGCAGGTTTTAGGAAATTGCACTCAATGACTCCAATTACTCCTACACCTTCTCCACGAGTTGGCTTAGAAGAAAATATTAATTTCAACACTTACATTACTGTTGGCTGCCTGGAGGCATTTCCTTTTGATTCCAAACAATAATAGAAAGGTTACATAACCTTCATGGGCAAGAAAAGACCATCAAGATCTAGAGAAACACTTAGAATGTACATCAACAGACTGCAAGCATTAAACTGAACTAGAAATTCTGACAAATTCTAGGGCAGAGATTTTCAAAATATGATCCATAGATCCCTAGGAGTCTTCTGCAATTAGTAGCCATCTCTACTTCACCCACACTACCTCCACTTTTATCTGCTTTATATTCCAGGACTGCCATAAGACTGCATTTGAATAAAGAATTACCGTGCTAAAAAACCAAGGTTATATACTACTGTTCTAAGGAACTGAAACAAATATTCATCTGAAAACAATTTTAAGGGTTCTGTGTGATCCTATATTAAAATAAACAATTTTCCCACATACATAGGCCACCAAACAACTACTAAAGAGTCACACTTACAGCAATTATTAATTACAAGTTGACGCAAGAGTTTTATAGATTTAAATCATATTCTAATTCTTTAATGGAAGAAACTAAGTAAAGGTGTAATTGGACTGGAACACAAACACGAGTTGTCTAAAGGTGCTATAACAAGGGAAAACAAAATAGGCTGAAAACGAGCTATCCTGGGCTTTATATAACTGTCTTACTATGTTGAAGCAGTTCATCATTTTTTGTGCTTTAGCAATCTTATCTGTAAAATAGGAATAAAAGGGATACTTGTAGACATTACTACTTTAAATAATCATTAAGACATTAAAGATGATGGTAAAATTTGTATAGAGTGGTTTAAAAAATATTTTCACATAATTTATCCCATTTAAATCTCTCAACCCTGTAAGCTGTGAGGCAGGCAAAGCAGGTATGCTTATTATTGTTGTTTCCACTTTACATAAAGGTCAGGAAATTGAGCTTCAGATAAATTAAACAATTTATCCAAGGTTACACAGCTTGTAAATGGAAAATTCAGGACCCAAATCCTGGTCTTCAACCACCATATTTTATATGCCTTCCACTATGCCTTATTGTCTCTCCAAGAAAATGGAGTTACCTAAAACACAAATAAGCTGACACACATGGTAAGCTTGCTGGTATTCTAATTCTGCCTCTTATTGACAGCTACTTAGAAAATGCATTCAGTAAAGTTGTTGGGTTGATTAACAGCTGAAGAATGAGAGTTAGAAAGAGATTTCAACACAAGACAGCTCACTGGTAACACAATTCCAGGATCAGAATTCAATAAGCATCATAAGATGGGAGTAAAAGCCATTAATGAGCCTATCCCCTTTGCAAATTTTAAATTCTCTTCCTACTCTTTTCAGCCTCCTATGACAAAGAAATATTAACTACTCACCTTCACCTGGCACCCCACCTTCTCAAAAGATTTTATGAGTCGGTTGTTATGATACATCATTATTCCAAACTGGTTACTATTCTTGCAAGAGAACCCAAAGGTGATTCTCACCTGCTTATTCTGAGAAGAACATCGTTAAGGAGACAAACATACCAGGGGCTTCAACGACAAAATTTTACACCATATTATAGCAAAAACCATCAAATACCAAGGGACATAAATTGGTACAACCTTTTTGCGGGCATTTAAACATCTGTTGCAATAGCTTTAAGAATATTCTTAATATTTGACCAAGTAATTCTCTTTTTAAGAATTTATCCCACAGAAACAGTCAGGGAGGCCCACAAACGTTAAGGAATTACAGAGGTTTTTCAATTTGTTATAAAAGCAGAGAAACAGAAATAATTTAAATGTTCAACAATAAAGAAATGATTAAATAAATGTTGATATAGCCATATGCATCTCTTTTAAAATTATGTCCTTGAAATATTTGAGAATATCAGGAAACGCTCAGATTATAAAAACATCACACACACACACGCACACACACACACACACACACATGCATAGAAAGACTGTAAGAAAAGATACCTAAATACCATCAGTGATTTAAAAATTGACAAATAATCATAAAACATTTCTTAGCCCTTGCTAGTTGCTCAGTTTGCTGCTAGGGCACATAGGTTCTGATAAGAGCTGTAAATGGTCCAATACAAATCTGTACAATTATATCCAATAAGGTAAATCCTTCTTACCATACCAAACACAATGAAAGCAAAAGCAAAGGTAAAGAACAATGAATAGTCCTGTAGTGATATATTTCATGGGAAGAAGTTAACAAGCTTGGATAAATGAAATGAAGACAACTGATTATTATAAGTAAAACATGAATAATGATGAGTTTTTAACAAGTCCTACTTAATTTAAAAACCAAGGTAAGTAAGTGAGAAAGATAAAGGGGAGATAGAGAAACTGAGATTTTCATTAAAACAAATACTAAGAAACCTTCATGTCTAAATGAGTTGAATGAAAATTTACTTTTGTTACTTATTCAAAAAATGATCTCCATGCCCCCTCTAAAAGACAAGCTACTTGCATCAAAACCCTATAACAAATGGGTCACATATGATACAAAGACATGACTCAAGTGGGTGCATAACACAGTAATGTTTGGCTCAGAATATATAATGTTCTGGGCTCTAGCAGTTCATATAAAACCTCAAATAAGACCTATTCTAACGCAAAAACAAAACAAGACAAAACTCCTGCAAGCAAACAAACCAAAATCCTATGCCATAAAATTATCTTTGTAAAGATAAAGACTGTCAAATTTTTCTTTCTGTTGTGCACTTTTAAAATTCTAAATTATGGAGTGAGGGTACAGTGGGGTAGGAGACACCAAATTAGCATAAGGAGAGAGAACAAAGATGAAAGAAGTGGCCTTTGATAATTGAGAAGTAAGTAAGTTAGTATCAATGATCTTGTTCCTCAGTGACCTTGGGGGAAATTTTATTAGGACTTTCATTTTACTCATGTCTACAGTAAATCTGTTTAGTCCAAACTATAATATCGGAAGGTAATTTGGTTTAATGGGAAGGGAGTCTGAGAAGAGTCGAGGTAACATATAGAATGCATGCATAGAAGTTTCCCTGATAGAAACCCACAAAAGAAAAAAGCTAGAGACAGGTATGTGTTATATCCTAACACAGTAGTTGGCAAGCACTTCTTTAGACTGGCTCTGTTAAACCTATGGCACCAACATCCTAGTCTACATATGGTGAGATTATAACTAATTCACCTATAGAAGCAAACAATGCTAGCTCTGGCTTTATTAAATTGATTTGTTTATGCTTTAAGAAAACATTCCTAGTAGCCAAGATATGTGTTCTCAAAAAGGAGAAAAAAGAGACCAACGATTTCTCATTTTTGGTCAGGGAAAGACAAAGCATGCTAGATAATGCCTTTGATAAAGCAAATAGAGTGTAAACATGTTTCTCGGGCCAAGAGTGGTGCTTAGTTACTAGAAAATAAATTAAAAGGACAATTTTTCATAACCTTGCAAGTTTTCAGCCTTTCAAAGATGTTTTCTGCCCCAAAAGCCATCAACAAAGTTGTACCTAATTTCCATAGTTCATCTTAAGATTTTTTTCTAGTTTCTGAAATCCATTCTCAATGCTATGCAAGGGAGAGGTAGAAGTAAAAACAAGTAATGGCTCCTCTGAGTGGCTACCATTATGAAAAGTACCAGGAATTTATGTCAAACCTAAGAAGATTTACTTCACTCTAGAAAATCACCTTTTAATTTCCACCCTCCTAATTTCAATCAATGTAAGTCTGGACCTGTTCCAACAAAAAATTGCAGTGCATCTACAAGATTAAGACGTTCTAGTCAGTATTTTGCTAATTTCAATCAATTTAATATATATCAAAATCCAGTACAAACCAAATAATGTGTATTATTCCTTATAGCAGAGGTTCTCAAACCTGGCTGCTCATTAGAATCAGCTGAGGATTTTAAAATAAATAAATAATTCTTATTTTTTTTAAAAAAGGTTTCAGACACTACTGAACCAGAATCTCCAAAGTCTCAAGATTCTATTATTTCAACAGTTTCCAGGTGATTTCTGATAAAAATGGTACACAGATTGGCATTTAAGAAAGACTTCCTCAGAGTACACTGTAATAGAATGTGTACTATGACATACACTTTTTAATTTGAAAGGGAAAGTTTTTGTTTTTCTGTGTCAACCTGAAAACTTAATCCTGAAATAAAGAGGTCAACTTCATGTAGTGGTACACTTGTAAGGATACTGTGAAGGTAGGTTTATATGTATCATATTCTACATTGGCCAGGCTCTTGGCAATCATCTGGGTAGTCACCTTCTTTTGACGCAGAAAAATTTTCATGCGTGGCTTCATGTATAGAATACCACAAAATGCCTACGGAACAGAATGGTGAAGGGAAAGTTATTATGTGATATTGCCAATTCTGCTGACATCCCCATAAAACACTGCTACCAACTGATATCTATGCTGGGCAAAGATTTGGCTCAGTTTCTATACCTTATTACACTATGTAAACTACCACACTAAAGTACTGCTGACTATATTATCTAAACGGTCTCAATGGAGACAATAAAAAGGAATACTAGCACATGGCTGGAACGTTGTTATCTTTGTATAACTAAAAGAAGATCTTGTTCTATAATATTTTCAGGTTACAGGAAATCTTACCTCTCATTGTTGAAAAACCATTCTTACTTACCCTTAAAGAATATTCTGTTTCTGGTAGCTCAGAGGTAACACCGCCAGTCATTTTTTCTTCTGTGTCAAAGTCTGATACCAGGATGTCATATTGATCTGTATCAAAGTCCAACTCAGATTTTCCATTTTTATTTCTGGGGAAAAGAGACAAGTACCAATCTAACAAAAACTGGCTCCAGAGGACAAAAAAATGCACTAGGAGCCCAAAAGAAAAAAAAACAATATGAGCCAAAACTCAGGTATCTGTTTCTTTCCCTGACTACCAGTGCAAAGGAACTACAAACTACTTGGGTAGAGGATCAGACAATACTTAAGGGTATTCCCATTCTAAACAAATCTACTCTTTCATAGAGGTGATGATGCCACATTCATAAGGAAAAAAGAATGTGGAATGTCTATGATCTGATAAATCAAATGGATGTCAGCTATCCTCAAAGTGGGATCTTGAAATAGACACAAGCTTTCTGGGTATTGTTAGTAAGTCACTCAACATCATTTTCCCCAACTGAATAAACAGATGAATCAAAACCCACTTCTACCAACTTCAGACTAATAAGACACTAAGATCTCCCCAGATCTAATCTTATTTCTTAAAAGGAAAAAAGATTGTTACAAAAGCAGCATATATTTAACTAGTCCTCTAGGATACCATTTATAGAATTATCATTTAAACATAATGGTACTAACATTCCTTTCATAAGGACCTTTCTTGTTCCCATAATCTTTTTGGGCCACTTGGTTTTGATCCATTCCAAGACCCTGAGCTATATCACTAACCACTGCCAGGGAAAAAACGTTAAGACCCATCTTTATTCTTGGAAAAAACTCAAATGACAGGTTTTAGTAAAAATGTATATATCAGAACAGTACTTCCCAAAATTTGTTCTGTGGAACAGTAATCTCACAAGATACTCTTAAAAAGAAATAAATACATAAAAGTTCTATGATCAAATAAAATTGAGAAATCATTCTTAGCCCTCAGAGTCAACTCGAGCTCTAGTGATAACTCTGCTTCATACTTCAGGCTCTATAAGCTCAGAGCTGCTGTGTTGAAATTGTAGCTCCTTTTACAGGGCT
Source organism: Homo sapiens (assembly GCF_000001405.40). NCBI lineage: Eukaryota > Metazoa > Chordata > Mammalia > Primates > Hominidae > Homo > Homo sapiens. Next base: position 106,982,421 of record NC_000023.11, read on the forward strand.
GCACCAGAGCCATTATGGTCTGTTGTCTGCATCATGCCCATGTCAATGTATAATAGCTTATTATGGATTTTCCAGGATAATTCTGATTCTCACTACCCCACCTGACCCCAATGCATATGCCCTGAGGAGATTCTCTATCCTCCTTGTCCCTCACATTCCCCATCTAAGGAAAAAAGGTCTGTAGAAACATTTTCTTAGAGACAGGGTCTTTCTCTGCTGCCCAGGCTAGAGTGCAGTGGCATGATCATAGCTCACTGTCGCCTCCAACTTCTGGGCTCAAGCGATTCTCCCATCTCAGCCTCCCAAAGGGCTGGGATTAGAGGTGTGAGCCACCACCCAACCTGAAGAAATACTTTTTAAAAATTGATTGGGAAATACTTCATACTATATTGCTCTTTTACATATTTTCAACGCACATTAGTATATTAAAGGACTCCAGGACTCTCAGAAGTCCTACAATAAAGCAACACAGTAAACTTTAAGTCAGCTTTTCCCAAATTTGTTTGACCATGTAATCCTTTATTTATACAGGTTGAATATCCCTTAACTGAAATGCTTGGGACCAGAAGTGTTTTGGATCCTTTTGGATTTTGAAATATTTGCATTATACTTACTGGTTGAGCACCCCTAATCCAAAAATCCAAAATCCAAAATGCTCCAATGATCATTTCCTTTGAGTTGTCATGTCTGTGCTCAAAATGTTTTGGATTTTGTAGCACTTCCGATTTTAGATTTTTGGATTAGGGAAAGTCAACCTGTATACCACCTAGTACCATATACATAACTGGGAAACGACATACAAAGAAAAAGTTCTGTTTAAGATATGTAAATCACTGGAAATACCTCAAAAAATTCTTTGTAATACAAACTATATTACTTGAGGTTTTCTCAGTAGGACACAGGGAAGATCTAAATTACCAATGTGTGAGTCACACTTCTTTTAATTGTTAAGTACAGTACTCTCTATATAAACTAGCATTGTTTTTATTTGTTTTACCCAGGTAAATGAGACAAAATACTTCACCTAAGGAGAAAAGGAAGAATACATTTATCCGATAATCTTTTCTATTAAACATATCAGTAATACCTCTATTTTATATTAAAGGTTTTTAGGGTTATTTTTTAGTGTTTAGGTGTTAATCCATTCTTAAATGTATTCCATTAGACATGCTAAGATTAAACAAATGAAATAGCATAAAGTATTTCTAGATTTTTATTAGTTTTGAAGACATGATCTTAACCTAGTCTCATTATAGTTCATATTTATCTGCTTCAAAGATTTTTTCTACTTCTTTTTTTTTTTTTTAAAGAGACAGGGTCTCATTTTGTTGCCCAGGCTGGTCTCAAATTCCTGGCCTCAAGTGATCCTCCTGCCTTGGCCTCCCAAAGTACTGGAATTACAGGTGTGAGCCACCACACCTGGCCAGATTTTTCTACTTCTAACCCAGCTACTGTGAAAGCACTAACACAGAACTCCTTATTTTTTAAAGATCTTATTGTGCTTTGTTTACTCTAATTTTTTTTCTCATACTTCATTGTCATTGTCTAATAGGTAAAATAACTATCAATTACCAAACTTAAAAAAATGCCTATTGGCCAGGCACGGTGGCTCATGCCAGTAATAGAGGCTGGGGTGGGTGGATCACTTGAGGTCAGGAGTACAAGATCAGCCCGGCCAACATGGCAAAACCCCGTCTCTAGAAAAAAATATAAAAATTAGCCAGACATGGTGGCGCACACCTGTAATCCCAGCTACTCGAGAGGCTGAGGCATGAGAATCACTTGAACCCAGGAGGTGAAGGTTACAGTGAACCAAGTTTGCACCACTGCACTCCAGCCTGGGCAAGAGAGACTCTGTCTCAAAAAAAAAAAATGTCCATGAATATGAAATAGATATTTATAAAGGATTCTGAGGAGCTTAGAATATGCTAAACTGTCTTAATTATCTGTGGCAATAGCCTCAGGATATGTGTGTTTCCACCTTAAACATGCCACATTTTACCAACAAAAACCACTAACTCAAACAACTCTGTTTTTCTTTTTTCTTTTTTTTTTTTTTTTTTTTTTGAGACAGAGTCTCACTCTGTCACCAGGCTGGAGTGCAGAGGCGCGATCTCTGCTCACTGCAACCTCCACCTCCTGGGTTCAAGCGATTCTCCTGCCTCAGCCTCCCAAGTAGCTGGGACTACAGGCACACACCACCATGCCCAGCTAATTTTTGTATTTTTTTTTTAATAGAGACGGGGTTTCACCATGTTGGCCAGGTGAGAGGTCTCGATCTCTCAACCTCATGATCTGCCCACCTCGGCCTCCCAAAGTGCTGGAATTACAAGCATGAGCCACCGCACCCGGCCAGAACTCTTGTTTTTCTAAGACAAAGTTACATAAAAGTATGCAATGAGATATATATTAAAATTTATCTACTTTGCTCTAAATTACTCTAAAAAGAGTTATTAAAAGGTGCTAGGCCAAGCACAGTGGCTCACACTTGTAATCCCAATAATTTGGGAGGCTAAGGAGGGAATATCACTTGAAGCCAGGTGTTCGAGACCAGCCTGGGCAACATAATGAGACCCTGTCTTTTTATAAAAATTTTAAAAGTTAAAATTAAATAAAAATGTGTTTCATCATACTACCTTTGTTTATTAGAATCTATCACCCTTGGAATACTATACCTGCGGATGTTCCAAATGAGAACACGAGTGCCTTTTTTGCCTGGGATGGCATCAAACTGGGCCAGCAGGTCATTTTCACGGTTGAAAATGGAATAGTTCAAGATGGCTTCTAGGCTGGGCAATGAATCCTCGGTAATAATCATTTTTTGTAAAATCAAATATAGTCAAAGAAAAAATAATATCTTAGGATGCTATTGAGAAGGAAGATCTGCCCTTTGGATTGCATATTTAGACAAAACTATAGACATACAGCATGCATATTACTGCTATAGAAGGAGGAAAGGTGAAAAATGGAGAAAGGTTGTAGAGACAAGCTCCAAAATCAGTTGCCCATGCAGAATATAGCTTCAAAGATATCATGTAAACAAAGTCTTATATTTAAAAGATCAAAGGCTTAATTTTTTAACTTCTTTGGAAGCAATAAGTTAAAACCTTATTGCTATACTGTTCCAGTCAAGAGAACCAGGTGTCTAACAGAAGTAACAGCTGTGCAGATATAGGGAAATGAGCTATTCTGCTATTATATAAGCTGATAAATAGTATGTTTCTAGGCCTATTAATGCAAATGTAGCTATCCTTAGGGGAAAAAAAAAAAAAGGAAGGCCTTCGGAGCTTTACCATGGGGTGGTGGTAGAGCAGAGATACACTATATAGATCAAACTGCCTAACAATGAAAATTTCAATATAGCAAAAACATTTCTAAGCTTATGTCAATGTTCTACTTGTTTTTTAAATGTTTAATAGAGAAAAATCCCAGTTAAATTTAAGACATTTGAATACCTCTTTTAAAACTTCTGACAGTTGGATTTGACCTGAAGTTGGAATCTAATCAAACACTCAGATTAGACTAATTTTTAACCAACATTCTCCATTTCCAGAAAGGATATTGTTTTGCTGGTTGAATGGAACAATTGGTACAATAACTGCCTGGGCCTGGACACATTCCAGATAGGTCTGTGATAGAAGTCCAACAGTGAGAGTACCCCCATTCTTGGTGAAGACAAGGGCGTCCTTTCCTAGCCGCATGGAGCCTGACTTGAAACCATTACCAAAGACCCCAATGGGACACTGGCTCTTCTTTATTACTTTATCTGTAAAGCCAAAGCTGCAATTACACAAGAAAAAACAAATCAGAAAAAAAGAAATCAGAAAGGTAAAAAGCATCCTAAGATAGGTGACAGGCAGAATATTTGGCCTACAAATAAATAACACTTGTAAAAAGTCCTTCCTTTTTTATTCCTTTTGGTATTTATGGGCAAAACTATTAAGTTAAAAACATAGGAAATTACTATGGGGTAATGGGACTAATTTTCCTGTGTGGTTTGTGTATACATAAATAGTTCCATTACGTTAGAGTCACACTTTATAAATGTAAAAAAGGGCCCCTTTTCACCAGCTAACGTAGCTGGAGAAGGCCTTGGGCAGCTGCCTTTCTTGTCTAGATAAAACAGCTCTGATTGCTGTAGAAGTAAAGTTAGGGTAAGGTGAAAAATGTAGTTATCTAGAGAGGGTAGCAAAAGTTCCAGATATTGTCATTGGTCAGAGGTACTAGATTAGGCATCTCCTAACCTGTTTATATCATCCTCTAGAAATCTGAAAGTCAGGGATCATGTATCTTGACAATTTCAACTCTCCACTCAAAGGATAACCCTTCCAATTCTTAGTCTCTGTTCCATCTGCTGGGACAGTTCATTGGAATGTGGCCAAAGGATAAAAATAGGTAGTTCTGCCTCTGAATATCAGCAAACAGTTGCAGTATAAAGTCTCTCTTGCTCCATTAAGGACCTTTCACTTAGGCGCCTCAACAATCTCTGTAGCCCCTTTTGATCAGCTTAATCTGGAAGCCAGAACCTTTCCCTTCCTTGTATTTTCCATTCAGGTACACACCAAAATAACAGAACTTTAAAAATTAAAAATAAAATGATTATATATCTTCCCTCACCATCAATAAAACTAATTGTAAGGATTGTTTCTCAGGATGAGAAGGAGAAATGAATAGAGTTTGGCAAATGAGTACAAACTTATAGTTAGATAGAAGAAAAAAGTTCTAATGTTCCATAGCAGACCAGGGTGACTATAATTAGCAATAATACATCACATATTTCAAAGTAGCTAGAAAAGAGGAGTTCCAATGTTACCAACATATAAATTATCAAGGTGATGGAAACCCCAAACACCCTCACTTGATCATTACACATTGTATGCATGTATAAAGTACTCACATGTACCCCATAAATATGTAAAATATTAGGTATCAATAAAAGAAAAAATCATACTAAAAAGGATTGTTTCTCTCCAGATTGACTAATTTTACAATGTTGTGCACTATCATTCATTCAATAAATATTTAAACTAAGCACCTACAATGTGCCAAGCATTGGGCTAAGCACTAGAGACCATTTTTAATAAGAGACATGATTCTTGCCTTCAGAGTTTATAGTCTAAGGAAGGACTTCATATATTACAGATTAGGTGCTTCTCAACATCAATAAAATAGATACTCTGGTCAGACCATGACTGAGCAGGCTGATCTTTAACAATTTTACTCTTTTGAGCATGGAGAGCGGAGGTATCTGATTTCTACTTCCTGAAGATTGCGGTTTTGTGTTTACTCACTAAGAAAGGGAACCACCTTTTAATTTTCTGTTTCAAAGCATTATACAATAATACCATATGTCCTCCTAGAGTAGATACTTTATAGGAGCTGTGTGTATCCTACAAATAAATCTAGTGACAGAAAAAGGTAATTTCCATGGCAGCAGTCCTTTGGGAAAAAAAAAAAGAAAAAGAACTTCAGTTTGTGTTGCCTATGGGCCTTAGTATTCCAGGATACAGACTTATAATAGTAAGATTCAGGCATTCCCATTTTTCTTGTGGAAGAATTGGCTTTTAAAAAAAATGGGTTTGTTATGAGGATTAAATTATATACTGTATGCAAAATACATTAAGTATAAAGTAGTATTCAAACATTAATTTTAAACTAACTCTAGAAGTCATTCTGATAGTTGTCATGTGCTATCCCCTACTCCTACTTCAGACCTAAGGTCACATCTAAAGCTCAGGGCTCTTCATAAATAGTAATCTTACACATCACTTCAAATGAATTTGTATCGTTAACCGGACTTCAACTTTCTCTTATACCACAAAAGCTTCAATTAGGTGATCAAGGGAAAGTGGTGAAAATAGGGAGATTACAACTCCCTTAATTTTTTAGCCTCTTCCACCATCTATCACCTCTTTTCCCCTTTGAAAGTATAAACCCTCACTGTGTTAATTTGAGGAGACCAAATTATGATACAAGGTTGAGAAGATAAGTAGTAGTGCCAGGCCAGAACCAGAATGGAAAAGGATAAGAATAACGAGAAGAGAGGAGCTATAAACTCTGGATTTTTGTTGTTGTTACTGTGTTTCACTTAACTCTTCCCGTGTGCTCTTTTATTCCACCTAAGTTCTCATGTTCGGCATTCTATTTAAATGCAAACTGGCAGAATCAATGTCAGGTACCAATCAAATAACTACCTAACACAAAAGCCCTCACCACACATAATAATAGAATTGTAATAATGAATTTGATAGTTTGCTATAGCTCAGTAATAATTTTCCACAGAGATAACTTGGTTTAGGTGGTTTCTATTTGCTAAGTCAGTCCTGCTCTATCCTCTCGTGTGAGAGACAACACTGTTTACACATCAAGGTGGCTTGGATACCAGCACTTTTAGTGGAATCCAAAAATACAGCAGCTTGCTCTGGAGTATCTTAAAATGTCAAGAATCCAGAATCCAGAGAGGTAAATTTAAATTGGGACTCTGCCATGACACGTGTTTACCTATGTAACAAACCTTCACGTGTACCTCCAAACCAAAAATAAAAGTTAAGAAAAATAATAAATAAGTAAAGACTCTGACCAATGAAACAAACCTTGGCAAAATCCATGGGTGCACAAAGGCAGGCACTGCTATTTCCTAGGTATACTTGTGATTTAATATGTAATATAAAAGAATGAAAGAGTGCTAAGCAGACTGTTATTCTCCAGCTATTGTTTTAGAAGAATACACCTGCTAGGAAGTGCACTTCTGAGCACAGGTAGCAAATACCTTCTGTGGTTCTGTGGCTGTTTTTAGTCTTTGAACTTTGAAAGAGGTTTTCCACCTTGCTGAAAAAGGCAGCTGAATATACAGACTAACTGATCCACACACTAGCCCCAGAAGCTAAAGATAATTAGTTGTGGACCTTAAAGGAATTTAATAATAGGTTTTTCCTTTTTAATTTGATTTTCATGAAAGTCTATGTTTATGGAAGAAACTGTTGCTACAGTTACACAACTATTTTATCAGCCTGAAAATAGAGTTGCATAAAGAGTTGGAAAGTGTGGACAGTGTAACAACAAATGTTAGAGGTCAAATAGAACTTCTGTAGGCTTAATAAATTTGTATAATTACTTCTATTATTTTTTCCAAATACAAAAGTAATATGCCTTCAAGTAGAAAACAGCACCAGGCACGGTGGCTCATGCCTGTAATCCCAGCACTTTGGGAGGCCGAGGCAGGCGGATCACTTCAGTTAGGGAGTTCAAGACCAGCTGACCAACATGGTGAAACCCCGTCTCTACTAAAAATACAAAATTAGCCAGGCATGGTGGCGCATGCCTGTAATCCCAGCTACTCGGGAGGCTGAGGTAGGAGAATCACTTGAATCCGGGAGGCGGAGGTTGCAGTGAGCCAAGATCACACCATTGCACTCCAGCCTGGGCAACAAGAGTGAAACTCCATCCAAAAAAAAAAAAAAAACCCAGAAAACATAGAATCCTTCGGGCCAGGCGTGGTGGCTCATGCCTGTAATCCCAGCATTTTGGGAGCCCGAGGCAGGTGAATCACAAGGTCAAGGGATGGAGACCATCCTGGCTGCCAACATGGTAAAACCCCGTCTCTACTAAAACTACAAAAATTAGCTGGGTATGGTGGCGCACACCTGTAGTCCCAGCTACTCGGGAGGCTGAGGCAGGAAAATTGCTTGAACCCAGGAGGCGGAGGTTGCAGTGAGCCGAGATCGCGCCACTGCACTCCAGCCTGGCGACAGAGCAAAACTCCATCTAATAAAAAAAAAAATAGAATCCTTTGCTGGAAGTTAGGATTGGACTAAAAAATCTCTTTTATTTTTATTTATTTATTTATTTATTTTTGAGACAAGGTCTCCCTCTGTTGCCCAAGCTGGATTACAATGGCACAATCTCAGCTCACTGCAACCTCCGCTTCCTGGGTTCAAGCAATCCTCCCACTTCAGCCTCCCGAGTAGCAGGGACTACAGGTGCATGCCAAAATGTTCAGCTAATTTTTGTATTTTTTTGTAAGGATGGGGTCCCCCTGTGTTGCCCAGGCAGGCATCAAACTCCTGGACTCAGGCAATCTGCCTGCCTTGGCCTTTGGAAGTGCTAGAATTATAGGCATGAGCCACCATGCTTGGCCTTAAATGATCTCTTTTAAATAAATGGTATCTTCACCGGGCACGGTGGCTCATGCCTGTAATCTCAGCACTTTGGGAGGCCAAGGCGGGCTGATCACTTCGGGTCAGGAGTTCAAGACCAGCCTGGCCAACATGGTGAAACCCCGTCTCTACTAAAAATACAAAAATTAGCTGGGCGTGATTGTACCTGCCTGTAATCCCAGCTACTTGGGAGGCTGAGGCAGGAGAGTTGCGTGAACCCAGGAGGGGCAGGTTGCAATGAGCTGAGATCATGCCATTGCACTCCAGCCTGAGGGACAAGAGTGAAACTCCATCTCAAAAAAATTTTTTTTTAATTAAAAAAAAAGGTATCTTCTAGCTGATTCAAGTTTGTTTCAAGATACAATCACAAATAAAATTCAGTACATATATTACATTAAGGACTCATTAAAATAATTTTCTAAAATTATTTTTTAAATAGGAGGAACAATTGCCCAGCTCAAATCAGTGGTAAACATATTTGGTATGATAGGGAAAATTCTATAGCTAAGAAAGTTTCTACCTATTTTGCTCCTTGGGGAGGGAATAAAAAATTTGAATGGGTGATACTCATCCTTCATATTTCAATTTGAATGTCATTTCTTCAGGGGAGCCTTTTTTAATTCCCTAGACTAGATTAGATCCCTGTTATACGTTCTCAAAGAAACTGTGCTCTACCTTCATAGCACTTACCACTGGGTGGAATAGCCTATTTAGTTATATTACTAGTCAATTTTGTTCTTTCTCATTAAGCTGTCAGCCAAGAATCATGTCTATCTGGTTCACCACTTTATCTCCAGTGCCTTGCACACAGGTGCTCAATAAAAATTTGTTGAATGAATAAATGAATGAATCTGGAACAAAAATTGTGGCAATTATTTTGAAACCATTCTTCTCCTCCCTTCTACCTTATAACTCTAACCAAGTTTCACAGATGTAGTCCCACAGACAAAACGGAAGATCAGATGTGCTGGGCCCACTACTCAACACCCACGTCAATGGGATAAGGTATGATGGGAAGGAGTCATTAAGAAGATAAGCAATTTTGGATGGGTGCGGTGGTTCACACCTGTGATCCCAGCACTTTGGGAGGCTGAGGTGGGCAGATCACTTGAGGTCAGGAGTTCGAGACCAGCCTGGACAACATGGCAAAACCCTGTCTCTACTAAAAATACAAAAAAATTAGCCGGGCATGGTGGCACACCCCTATAATCCCAGCTACTCGGGAGGCTGAGGTACGAGAATCATTTGAAACCAGGAGGCTGAGGTTGCAGTGAGCTGAGATCATGCCACTGCACTCCAGCCTGGGTGATGGAGTGAGACTCTGTCTCAAAAAATAAGAAGACAAGTAATTTTACGGGGAAAACAACCAACTAGTACATACAGAATTGAACATATAAATGCTTTGGTTCCATCCCATCTAAAATTGTATTTTTCTTAATATATAATATTAACTTCAGGATATAAAACTGATGTTATAAGTTAAAGGATTGGGCCAACTTTCTACCTTCACTAACATACTGGTCACAATTCTTGTTTCACTTTTAGAGGTTTTCCTCAAATAGTCTTCTAATTAGGAGGGTCTGAGACACAAGGTATACAGACTGCTGAGTGGTAAAACGCAACCATTTACTTTGCCCAAATTTCATTTTTGTTTCTTTGATGAATCAAAGGGATTTCCCTACAAACAGAGTAATTGATTTAGAATACCTACAAGGGTAACTACAACCACATGAATTTGTTTTCCATTTTTATAGTTTGGAGCCCTTTCCCTCCTCCACAGCATTCCACCATTGTTACTCGTGCTTCACACACTCTAGTTCAGGAAGCCACAGGGAGAGTAATCAACCTCATCTGCTAAAAGGAAGAGAGAAGGAAGGAGTTGAAGGAATACTCATATTCCACTGAGTGATATGCGGAGATGATATAGTATAAATTTACGTTCTCAACTACAAATGTTTTAAAGTGATTAAATGAACTGACAGTGGCAATAGAAATCTAGCACAAGCTTTAACAGTTAGAAAGGAGAATTTCCTAAGTTTGTGATTCTACTGCAAAACCTTTAAAGAATATATGTCTGAATGCCTTCTATTTACCTTGCATGGGGTTTGATTATACCCAGGTACCTTCGTGGTTCTAATCAATAAATCACCCCAACTCCAATACTTCTGATTTAAGAGTGAGTTTAGGTTAATATAAATTGGAGGTCTCGGACCAGTGAAGGCCTCTGGGTCTTTATATTTGCTGTTCTCTTTGTGTGAATTGTCATCCCTTGCTCCCTGCCCCTTTATTTAGCTGGTTAAACTGTACTCACCCTTAGATCTCAGCTTAAATATCATTTTGTCTAGGATACTTTTCCTAACCTCTGGGATCAGATTGGGCTCCCCTGATGACTTGTCTCAAACATTCTGTACCTTCTTATTATGCTTATAGCTTTTTATTACTTATTTAATTTGTCTGAGTTGCCAGCTAGGCTGAAAGCTCTGTGAGGGAAGGAACAGTATTTGTTTCATAACCAGTGCCCTGGCACATAAGAGATGCTTAATAAATATTTGTTGAATGAACAAAAGGAAAGCAAAATATTAATGAAAATTATGAAGCCTTAAATAGGGTTCATGAGCTTAAGACAAGAAAAAGACAATGAAGACATTTTTACCTGAGCATTCGGTGTAGTTTATGAGGTGTCATCCCACATCCATCATCGGTAAAGGTCAAACAAGATTTATTCTTGACCTCCTCAACATCTATAAAGACCGTCCTGGCAGATACATCTGGATCTACAGCATTATCTGCAAAAGGTAGAAATCTGCGATATTAGATCCCCTTTTCCAATATTGTATCAAAATCTCTAGTTCAGTGACGCCAAGACATAAGAAATGTCCTTTATTTCCTTCATTTGGATGTTTGAGAAGGTATCAGGGAGCATTAACGGTAGTGCACTTACTAAATTATAGAGAACAAAAGAGATGATGCCAGATTGAGTTCTAAAGCTGATTTCCAGATTTCATACGAGCGATATGCAATCTGCCTTTCCACCTTCGAACTTCAGGGTCTTTGGAAAAAAGTATTAATAACTACTCCCATATACAAAGCATTTTGCTCCATTTTTGTCTTATTACTTCTTGCCTTTTAGCCCCTTTACTGTTTGTATACACATACAGTAAAGAGTGGCTATGGAGAAAAGCTGAAGGAGCAACTTTGGTAAAAGATGATGCATATTACACACATTACAGTTTATTTGTGATCATTTTATTTTCTTCTTTCTTACATCACCTCCTCTGTTAAAGAACACAGAGAGTACTGCCATTCCTGTTTATAGCCTAAGAGGCACTGAAAGGGTTAGAGTTTAAAATCAAAAGACTTAATGGTCTGCCTAGATCTCAGTGATGGTAGCAAGCATACTTAGAGGGAGTGATTTTTGCTTAGGTATTTTGTAATAGTTTTAAAGGTAAGGCTGTCCATCCTTTCAGGAAATGGAGAACATAGAATTAAAGTAGAAAAAATACATAGGTTCACGATTCCTCCTGATTTATGTCTTCACAATGAGTTAATTATTTAAGACTCCAAAGACATCAAATATTGCCATAGTCTAACAATTGTGTCACGTCCACAACCCCAGGGGGGTGCCACTGTCTAGTTGCCGCATGTTTTTGCCACAGGCACCAGTTTACATAATTGTCAATCACTGACAAATGTGGCTCACTGGCCACAATTGAGGGGCAGTTTATACAATCTGTTGGATAGGTTCCTTAATCGTTCCTGTCTCTACTAAGCTCTTTGAGCAAGACAGAGTCCTTCCCTTCCACCCTCTTCCCTTTCCCTGGTATCCTATACTGCTTTAGTGATACCAAAAAGCTAAGCTAAGACAGCCAGGTCAGGTCCTGGCCATATACTTGTTCTATTACTACTGATCAAATTATATCATTTTTTCCCAGGAACACCCCTTACAATCCAGAGAAGTATTACAAATATGCAAAACACCCATTTTTTATAACACAATTAATGATATCAGTTACAGCCACTTGGATATGTGGAATGTTCATCAAATAAAACAAAACACAGATTAATTTCAAGGGTCACAATGGTATTGCCAGAGTCATTGATAAAACTGTCACTGACTGTAAGCAGAAAACGTCTTAACAGTAGTACAGCATCACCAATAGTCCCAGAAGGGGATTAAGAGGCCTGGTATAGTCAATCTTTTTTTTTTCTTTTTTTTCATTTAGAAGGCCCTAAGGGAAAGTTTATTTCATATGAGTGGCAGCCACTTTTTTGTGTTTTTATTTTTTTAATTCACATAATAGTTGTACATATTTATAGAATACAATGTGATGTTTTGATACACTTATACAATGTGTAATGATCAAATCAGGATAATTAGCATATTCATTACCTCAAACATTTATCATTTCTTTTGTTGGGAACATTCAAAATCTATTCTTCTAGCTATTTGAAAATATACAGTTAATTGTTATTAATTATAGCCATCCTACAGTGCTATAAAACATTAGAACTTATTTCTTTTATCTTAGTTGTAATTTTGTAGCCATTAACCCACCTCTAGCTATCCCCCCTCCCACCCTTCCCAGCCTTTAGTAACTACTATTCCACTCTCTACTTCTAAGCTTATTGCAGTAACCTCCTAACTACTCTTATAAATCCTTATCTCTCTCTTTCAATGTTATACACTGCTGCAAGATTAACTTTCCTGAAGCACAGCTCTGTTCATGACATTCCTCTGCTCAGAAAACTTCAGGCTAAAAAGCCAAACACTGGAGCCTCCCGGTCACACCCTGATCCCAGACGACCTTTTTAACCTCATTCCCTACTTGGTATTTCCAGTAAAAAGACCTGTGTTTGCATCCTGGATCTGCTACTTAGTACTTGTTTAGTTTCCACATAGAAGTTAGAACATTCCACATAGTTTGCCTTCTGTGCCTGGCTTATTTCATTTAACATAATGTCCTTCAAGTTTATCCATGTTGCTGCAAATGACAGTATTTCCTTCTCTTTATGGCTGAATAGTATTCCATTGTGTCTATATACCACATTTTCTTTATCCATTCTTCTGTTGATGGATGATATAGTCAATCTTTAAGGACCAGGTTGGGGGCCTAGGGCCTATATAATGTGGCAAGACAAGTGGGCTAAGTTTTGGCAGGAGTTACAAGTCTGTCCTACAATGGCAGCTTTATCAGAAATGCAGTTCTTTACTTTGTAAGAGGCAGCAGTATTTTTCTTTAACTGACTAAAGGATTCAGCATTACACAGCTGCCTACACTGTTTCAAGAACCTTTACTCGCCAAGCAGGCCATGAATTGTGTTGGGACTGATCAGACACTCCTGCTGGCAGACAACCAAAGGCACTGTGACTGATGATACAACTTGTCAATCAACTGGACATCATTTATACACTGAAAACTTTGGACATAGAGGTATTCTTTTCTAACAATTTGTGAACATTCACGATTCAAACATGTAACACCTATCAATTGCAACTACATGTTTACCCAACGGTGCATTCAACGAATCAGCTCAAAGGCCTCTCACAAAATCATCTCAATTCTTTTCCTCTTTACTGCAAGTTTTGCCCAAACTTTACTAGGTACTTTTTTTTTTTTTTTTTTTTTTACAGGAACACACCAAATAGTTTTAACACAGGCACTTCAGGAGTTACAATGTAGCTGCCAGGAGCAGCTCAACATTTTATCTCCTTGGCTGGAAGCTCATGGAATACAAGGGGGAGGGGGCATGCAAGAGGCCAGGGTCAGCTGGAGCAGTAGGGAAAGAGAGATCAGTAGAGAGGCACCAGCAAGCACGGTTTTGTACTTACTTTCAGTTTTACATGGCCCTTCATTCGGTCTCAGCAAATGAAATTACAATAATAATAAGGCTGGCCTCAATAAATGAACTTATGATAACAAGGCACCGATCTGGAGGCTGGTTTCAATCCTACCTCTGGCTGCTTAACCCTCCAAAAATTTACCAATACATGGCAAGTGCTATTGGATCCCAGAAAATCTATCTTCTCCCCTAACCCGGCCCATCCAGCCAATGAACAGGTAGCACAATGAAAGAACCCTTACTCCTCTCTCCCTGCCCACCACTTAGGTGAGAAGTGTGCTATCAGATGCTGGAGTGTCTTCATTCCCTAACCTGGCCACACAAGCCCATGTGCTACCAGATCACAAGGAGTTTTCTCTCTCCTAACTTGGCTCGTGCTATCCCTTCGTGGGAGGACCCCATCTCTACCTTCCCCCTGCTCTCGTTATCTCATCAGAATCTAGGAGGCAATGAGAAACTATTCCATGACAGCCTCCCAGGAGAGATAAGATGGCAAATGGGAGATGGCTTTGAGGTAGTGCTTCACAAGCCTCTCATCCTTTTCTGTTTCATAGCATCATAAGGCTCCCATCCTCCCCTGTTCCAGAAGGATGGCCTATAGGTGGCTACATGAAAGATTGCCAAGGGTGGAGCTACTGTCCTACATAAATCCTAGAGGTATCTAAAAGTATTCCTGCCTAAAGGTAAGGTCATCACCTTTTGTCACAAGCCTATTCTTCCTTTGTTACAAACACACACAAGGTTAGCATTGAATAGACCACAAATTTGAAATTTAAGTAATTTTCTTATCCCTCCCTCTCCTTTACCCTATGCATCCCTAGACGTTCTCATATCCTATTTACTCTATTTCCATTGTCAGTCTCTTACAGAGTTTATTTCCTCTCATCTGGATTATTGCAATAACCTCCTGTCATATAAATCCGTATCTCTCTCCTTCAATTGTATACACTGCTGCAAGACTGACTTTCCTGAAGCACAGCTCTGATCATGACATTCCCCTGCTCAGAAAACTTCAGGCTAAAAAGCCAGATATTGGAGCCTCCCAATCACATCCTGATCCCAGATGACCTTTTTAACCTCATCCTTACTTAGTATCTGGCGTAAAAAGGCCTGTGTTTGAGTCCTGGATCTGCTACTTAGTATATATGTAACCTTGGAAAAGTCAACTAAATTTTCTGAACCTCTTTTTCTTCATCTGCAGGATGAAAATAAATGTTTACCTCAAATGGTAATGTTAAAAAGTTATTTGTGAAAGCTGCTTGTAAACTTTTTAAGTACCTATCGTTTTTACTATTTGTGAACCCCATGCTCTAATTAAACTCCACTCAATATTCTTCATGCCTTTGTTCAAGCAGTTGTTCCTTTTGCCTGGAATTCCTCCCCGCCCATATCCACATGTCCCAATCCTTCAAATCTCAGCTTAAATGTCACCTCCTCCACAAAGCCTTTCCTAACCTTCCTCTTCCTGATAAACTGGAAGCCATTCCTCCTTCCTCTGAACTCCCACAGCACTTGTTTTTATCTTTGTTTATATATCGATTTCCATTTTGTTGTTAGACAAAGCATAAACCTTCTGTACATGTTTTATCTCCCCTACTAGAAGAGTGAATCTGTGTTGTATTCATTTTTGTGCCTACCACAGTGGCCTTGCGCACAGTGGGTGCTCAATAAATATTTACCAAATGAATGATTCACTAGAAAATTAATGCTTAAGTGGAGAAAATGATTGAAGGAAAACCTAAAATGAAAGCTTTGGATTGCCAGTTAACACTTTGCTCTCTCTTTTCCCTATTATTAATATTTTCACAAATAGTTGTTATTTGGTCTTAAAATCTATGTTTGTATACATGTATGCATGCATGTGTGTGCATAATACATACACATACTCGCGCTCATACTGGACGTCTTAGATCCGGCTTAGGTTCTTTAAGGTAATGCTTATGGCCAAAATCACAAATATCCAAAATTACAAATTGGAAACTCATTAAATCACCTGGAAAGTACAGTAAGCACAGCACAGGTATATCACGTTCTGCACCGTGCCAACCATGAGAGAACAATACATTTCGCTTTCCCATCC
Source organism: Homo sapiens (assembly GCF_000001405.40). Lineage (NCBI taxonomy): Eukaryota > Metazoa > Chordata > Mammalia > Primates > Hominidae > Homo > Homo sapiens. The sequence goes on from NC_000023.11 coordinate 106,998,498, forward strand.
CCCACTATGTAAATCACTACTTTTTGCTCCCTTGTAGTCTTTCTTGTAAATTACATACTTAACTTGGATTGTATTCCATTCTGCAGAGGTTCAGTGCACAGCCCCAAGGCACAGTACCAAACCTCAAAGATACAGTCCCTCTGCTCTAGGGTTCCAAACGTATCAATTCCACTTTTTGCCTTTCACCTTCTAATTAAATTACACATATTGTAAAGCATTCCGTGTTATGGTTAATCATCAAAGGTCTCTATCATTCTTATCACCCTTCCAAGTAAGTCCCCTGCTACCCATTGACTTCTTACCCAAGATAACTCTCATGGCATGGCCACAGCGACTGCTTAAGTAGAGACCGGGGTTCATTTGGGGAGCTTTGAAAACATTTTCAAGAGTTTGTTCTGTGCAACCTTGCCCATAAACACTTCTTCCTTCTTTCGATTTTCAAAGCATGTATAATGCGCCCTGTATGCTGCTGCGTTTTGTGCAGGACTGCGTTTCTTCTTTGCTTTCCACACAGTAGCACACTACTGCAAAAACTGGTGTAATTGGCTTGAAGGGATCAACTGAAAACACTTTAAAAGCAAACACCGGTGGAGCGAGAGGTTAAGTCCTCAATATTCATTCCAGCGGTGTGAGGGCGCTCGTGGACCACGGACCCAGCCCTCCGCAGTAGCAGGGAGCCAAATGCACTCGTGTCATCTCTTAAGAGATGTCCCATCATTCCTAACTTTTCTTGTCTCAAAAGTTAAGGAACTCCGCTTTCCAGACCTTTCCCCAGGACCCGCCTCGGTCCTCTACGCCCCTTTGCTAGCTAGGCATCCTCCGTCGGTCGCCAGCCCCTGCGGACCCAGCTGCCTCAGGGCCCGAGGTTTTTATGCATCTCCTTTTGATTACTAACTAAGCTATCCTAAAGTGCCCGAACGTCACGAGCGCGAGAGAAAAACCACACTGGTGTCTTTAACGCTTCAGACACACCTCGTTTCCTCCGTTTTATGAGCGGAACCTAGTTCCTGGCGAGAGAGCCATCCCCCTCCTCCGCCTGCGGAGCCGGGGCCGGTTCCGAGGCCCCCACCCCAGCCCCGGCCCGCCCCGCGCGGCTCTGCGCATTCCTCTCGCGTCCGCGGCACCACGCTGGCACCACTGCCTCGGGCGAACACGGCCGGGCCCGCCCTCGCCACTCACCTAGCAGCTCCGCGATGGCACTGAAGGGTCGCGTGTGGCTGCTGGAGTTGCTCTGGAGGTAGCGGGGGCTCATCTGGGGGCGAGAGAAGGTCCCGACCCGCGTGAGGCCTCGGCCCGCCGGGCCCTCCCCGCGCGCCCCCCGCAGCCCAGGGGCCCGCGCGCGCGTCCGCCCCCTCGGGCCCCGGACCTACCGTGCTCAGGCGGATCCCGAAGGCCTGCGGGCCGCCGCCGGGCCGGGCCAGCCCGCAGCCCGGCGCGCCAGGGCCGGCGGGGGCCCCTCGGTACAGGAGCATTTTTTTGGCCGCCACGGTACCCGTCTGCTGCCGCCGGACCCCTGGCCCGGCGGTCCGGGACTAGCCCTCGCTCACTTCCACTCGCAGCTGGCGGCGACCGTCCGGGACCGGCCCTCCCTCGCTCCCACTCGCAGCTGGCGGAGGCGGAGCGCGCTCCAGCCACCTGTCCCGGGCGGGAGGGGTGAGGCCGGCTGAGGCAAGCGGCGGCTCCGCCCTGTCAGCACCTCTACCGACCCGGCGACTGCCCGGGCTGCCTCTGGGCCGTACAGAAATATGGCGACCTCCTGACAGCCGCTCCTTGATCCCCGCCCCTAATTAATTATTGGCGTATGCCATAGGCCAGGCCGCCGAGCGGGAAAGCGCGGGGGGCGGGGGTGGCGCGTGGGGAGGGGCGTGAATGAAGCAAGAGGAGGGAGAGCATGTATGGGATTTCTGGAACCTAGTCCCGCTTAGGCTGCATGACTAACAGGCAAGATAAGACAAGTCTTTCAAGTTCTAAAGACTACAGTGTTGCTATCTGGGAAGATAGCAAGCTCGCCTGATGGGAAAACATTCTACCTACTCTGCCTCAAATGCCTCCAGAAGCACCCAGAACTTTCTGGAAGGCAATTAGCAAACTATCTCCAAAGTCTTGCTAGCATGCAGGGACGGTGTTTCTAAAAGGAGAAATTGGATTCACTTAAATACCGCCAAGTAGGGGATTGGTCGAGTTATGAAGTATGCATAAAATGAAATACCATCCAGTTCTTGAAGGCCATGTTTGTAGATAAGTATGTGTTGATGTAGAAAAATATTCATGAAGGAATGAAGAAAACAAGGAGTTACAACATATTGTGGAACGCATGATGCCTTTTCTATTGGAAAAACAAATATATATGTATACATATATACATATATATATATGCATGCATACACACATATACACATACATACATACATATATATATACACACACACACACACAACGAAAACCACTTGATATACACCAAGATGATATCTCTGGGTCTGGAACTAGACACTTTTTCCTTTTTTCTTACCTGTGTTTTCTAATATACTATAAATATACACTGATAATAGAAAAACAGATTCATTAAAAACATATGTAATGTTCTATGGCATGAATGAACTATAATTTATTTGACCATTCCTTTATGGTAATTTAGGTTGTCCTCTTTTTTTAATTTTGACAATACAAAAAATGCTCCTTCACACACTCGTGTACAGGTCATTAATTTCTGATACTGTTATCTCCACAGAATGAATTCCAAAAGATGAGACTGCTGCATCTAATAGCATGTGCATGGTTTAATCTTAATAAATACTGTAAGATAGGCAATTTGCCCTCCCAGCAACAATCAGTGCTCTTTTGTCATGTTCATAGCACTAGATGGTCCCAATCTTTTAACTTTTTGATAGTCTTTTCAATAAAAAATAGTATCTCCTTATTGTTTTAATTTGCATTTTCCTGACTACCAGTAAGGCTGAATATCTTTTCAAATGTTTAGTATACATTTGCATCTCCTCTTCTACAAATGCCTGTTTATGTCCTTTGAGCATCATTTTTTACCCCCATTGGGTGCTTTACATTTGTCTGTTTTTTAGTTATCTTTTCTTCAATTTTTTAAAATACACAAAAGTACAGAAAACAATATAATGAATCCCATGTACTTATTACTCAGATGCAGTAATTATCAAGACTGCCACACCTGCTGCAATGGACTGAACATTTGTGCCCCGCCAAAATTTGTATGTTGAAATCCTAACTCCCAATATGATGGTATTAGGTATTGGGATTAGGAGTTGGGGCCTTTGCCAAGTAATTAGGTCATAAGGGTGGAACCCTCATGATGGGATTAGTGCCTCATAAAAAGGACCCCAGAAAGCTCTCTCATCCTCTTTCTTCCATGAGGACTCAAGAAAGGGTCTGAATTCTGCAACCCAGAAGAGAGACCGTACCAGAACCTGATCATCTGCTGTTAATACGCAACCTAGTCTATGGTACTTTGTTAACAGCAGCCAGATCTGACTAAGGCACTTGTTTTCTATATCCCTTTTCTTCTTTTTCTTTTTCTTTTCTTTTTTTTTTTTTTCCATTTCTGTAAGCTGTGAGCATTTCAGGGCAAATCTCAAACATCATGCCATTTTATTTTACATACTTCAGTGTTCTTTAGAAACATGGACATTTTCTAACAAACATAACCACCATGCCACTTTTATACCAAACAAAATTTATACTAATTCTTTGTTGTCTTCTAATACCCAGACTTTTTTTTTTTTTTTTTTTTTTTTGAGACAGGGCCTTGCTGTGTCACCCAGGCTTTAGTGCAGTGGTACGATCTTGGCTCACTGCAGCCTTGACCTCCTGGGACCAAGCAATCCTCCCAACTCAGCTTCCTGAGTAGCTGGGGCTACAGGCACATGCCATCACACCCAGGTCATTTTTTTACTTTTTATATTTTCTAGAGACGAGGTTTTGCCACGTTGCCCAGGCTGGTCTCAAGCTCCTGGGCTCATGCAATCTACCTGATTTGGCCTCCCAAAGTGCTGGGATTACAGGCGCAAGCCACTTTGCTTGGCCCAGTCCATATTCAGATTTCCCCCAATTGTCTCGGAAATGTCTGCTTACAGTTGGTTTGTTTAAATCTAGACTCCAAGTGCACACATTGCACGTGGTTATGTGTCTTAAATCCATTTCAATCTAAAAGTCTCCCCTCTCTTTTTTTTTTATTCATGTTATTGATTTTTTTTTTTTTTTTTTTTGTAGAGATGGGTTCTCCCCATGTTGCCCAGGCTGCTCTTGGACTCCTGGGCTCAAGTGATCCTCCCACCTCGGCCTCCCAAAGTGCTGGGATTACACGTGTGAGCCATCATGCCCAACCCCTTGAGTTGTTGAAGAAACCAAGACAGTTGGACTGTTGAATGCCCTACATTTTCATTTGTCTGTTTGCTTCTTCATGTTACTTAACTTGCTCCTCTTGTTACAGGAAAAAGTGTAACTTAACTATAAACCATAAATTGTCTCTAGAGTCTTAGAGTCTAGTACAATGTTTTCTAAATAGGAATGCTCATAGATGGTGCTGTATAGTTCCCATTGCATCACATCAGGGAATACATACTGTGCAACACTTAGACATGTTCAGATTCATTGGTGACTTCAGGGAGAGGCAGCCTGAAGCTTCCACTATAAATTTCTCCACCATCCTTTTACTTCATGGTTTCATTGTCTGAAAAAAATATGTTATTAGGACTGCAAAATTATGATAGTCAATCTCATAATTTCTTCTAATTTATTAACTGGATCATTCTGTATAGAACTTACCTTCATCAACCATGGCTATTTGGCTAATCTGAAATACAATTTATATAGGAAGGACATGATAAATGCTTAACTCTTTACTTTTAATTGGCAATTTTTAATGTAAAGAGATGATGCCTGTGATGGATACTGTGATGCGTCAGCCCACCTCTCATTTCAATAAAAGACTTGTTGGCTGAGCTGCTGGGAGAAATGTTGACAGACTGCCTTCAGCTGTTAGCCCTTCAGGGATTGCTTCAGGTAATCTCTGCCTTACCCAAGGTCACAGACTTTTCTGGGACAGCCTACAGTAACTGACCAAAGAGGGGGTATAAAGACCTGACTGTCTCAACCCAATTTGGGACAATTGGGAAGGGTCATTCTAACTCCAATTCTCTCTGTGGGGTTGGCTCTCTGCTATTGAGCCTGCATTGTAGCTCAGTGTTCCCCTCTGCCCACACCTACTTCATTGCACAGATCCTAATCTAAGAATACCTCTTAATAAGCACCCTGCACACAAAGCTCTTCCTTGGAATCTGCCTCCTGGGGAACTCAAACTGTAACACTTGAAATTGGGAGTGATCCAAGAAAGTCGGGACTATGATGATATTTGGTAAAAGGCAAAAGATTTATACGATCCGAAGAGAAACCAGAGCATTTGGATGATATTTGGGAGCTAAATCACTTACTGCCCAGTTGGCAATGAGGACCATACCACAGAGTGGATGGAGCACAGATAGCCCCCTGCCACAAGGCAGCAGTCCTATTATTGTTAAAACTTCCACCAGGTGTGAATTGGGATGGTAAAAGGGAACGTATAATCTTCTGTGATGTTTCAAGTGTTTGAGAAATATGGAGGAAGTAGTAGCTATAAAACCAATGGAAGGCCAAGGTAGGAGGATCACTTGAGCCCAGGAGTTCAAGGCTGCAGTGAGTTATGATCATGCCACTGTACTCCAGCCTGGGCAACAGAGCGAGCCCCTGACTCTGAAACAAAACAAAACAACAACAAAAAGAACCAATGGAATTTAGTGGTTATTGAGGTCTAAAAAGGAGTAAATTCCCAATGGAGAAATAGACACACATTTGCTATGTCAAAATCGGGATGCTGCCCGGGAAAGAATGAGACCCTGACACATGGTTTGGGGCTATCTAGATTGATGCTACCAAAATCTTGAATCCTTAGATTTCCCTGAACCAGCTGAGCCCATAGAACTGGTGCAATTTCCCTATTGGTAGTACCCACGCCCGCCCCATCCTCTTGCTTGCAGACATGCAAAGCTTCTCCCCAACAAGACAACATGTGCTTTCCCCTCCCCTCCTTGCCATTAGGCCTATAACAAGGGCTAAGGCACAGCATGGACATGTGAGGCCTGATCAGGGAGAAGAGCGATTATACGTCAAAAAGCTGCAAGATACCCAGCGTGGATTGGCAGGAACTGGAAGGGTTCACATGGAATTGAATTCTGAGACTGCTTGATCAAGAGAGCTAGTCTATAAGGTGGGATAACAGGCAGTTTATCAATTTTGGAGCACTACTCTGGAATATAGGATTTAACACTCTGGCAAGGACCACATGAGGTAGAATAGTCTCACAATTAGATGACTCCTTGAAGTACAGAAAAAGTGATGACCCATGCTAAGTGAGGTTGAAATGCCAGCATTGCTGTGACAATAGTAGAAGAAAGGATTAAAAGATTCAGAAGTGAGCCTACTGTAGTGGATAGATCAAACAAGCCTGGAAAACTCAAACAGAAAAACCCAGGATACACCATTTATCAAGGTGATAAGGAATGTGCTAACAAGAGGGGCACCAGCACCACTGAGAAATTCACTGGTGGCTCTCCTCTGTAGGTTAGGCTTGATGGTGGAGAGACCCTTACAACTACGCTCATCATAGCAGGGCTCTGAAATGATAGAGACCATATGGCTGAGTTCACTATCTAAAGTCAGGTAGGGGCATGATCATAATGAGTGGCAAGATTGAAGGAGCAGCCAGAAAAGACTGAAGTACAGTTACGGAAATGGTAAATAGAACATGGCCTCCCTAGGGGAAAAACAGATAGGCAGGGATAGTAGGTGTCTATTCTGGAGAAGTTTAAACCAGAACCCTTACGTCTGGATCAAGCATTCATAGTCTTCCTTGCAGAGTGGCCCACTGCCATTTCTTCCTCCCTAAGCACAGCACAACATGAAAGCTTTGCTCAGCCCTCACTCTTGTTTGACTCAAGACTCTTCACCTCTAGAAATGCCCATTTACTGCCTTCGAAAAGATGTGCTTGCATGGCCTGTCTTGCTTGCTGTCGGGCATGGTGTATCGGCGTGTTTACTATTATACTTGTGCGATTTGGTGTTTAAACAAAAGCTTTGTACCCTCCTGATTGGCAAGTGAGGTCAGAGCCCCCCTCTCGGCTCCTCTCCAGCTCCCCACAACAGAGGCAATTCTGAGGGGCCAAGGCAGCTGCTGAAAGTCCAGGGTTTGGCCTTCCCAAGGCCCTGCTGCCACTGCCCAGCAATAAACAGAAGCAGCAAACAAATCCATACAAATCCCATTGCTGTGGCTCCACAGGGCCCTAAGAAGGCCATAATGCAAAGTTCCTCATGCTTCACTACCAAACAGGGCTTTAGCAGCAGCTGGCACATCTGTGAGGGAGGATCCAATGAACAGAACCTGGCAGTTGGTTCAGCATGGGGGCCCATGGTGAAAACCTGAGTTTTCTGCAAAATGAGGAGCAGGGAAATGCTTCAGCAGGGTGTGGCGGAGCCCTCTGAGAATCCTTAGCATGCTTCTGCCTTGGGGCAGAGCTTTGGACCTCTAGGCCAACCTCCACTCCCCCTGATCCAGGGCCTTGGGTCTGAAGCACTGAGCTGTCTGTATTACTGTTTTTATTTCAAGCTGTCCCTTCTCCTAGGCCAGACTGAGTTCCCTTAGCTACATTCCCATCACTTGTGGAGGAGCCCTGGAGTAGCTGCAGAGGCACTTGGAATTTCCTCCTGGTCGGTTAACCCTGTAACAAGTAGCTCCAATTGTTTGACACATGCATGTAATCGTTACCATGCAGACTGTTCCAGCATGTGTGTGTGGGGGGGTGGGGGGGCAGGGGTGGAGGGTGTTTCTCCTAACACCTTTTGACCCATTGTCTAAGGTCACTTGTCCCAAGTTCCTGGATGGGTGTGATGGAGAAAGAGCCTAAGACTTATCAGAGTGGGAGATCAGACAGGTGTGGTAGAAAAATTGAGTCACAAGGCATGGATTCCCGTCCAGACTCCTCCACTGGAATGGCCTGTGACCTTGGGGAAGTGTCACAGGCCACGTTCCCAGGGAAGCAGGCTCTGAGAGCTTCATGGGTAGGAGCTTTATTGGGGAGCACTGTCAGGATCAACACCTGTGAGGAATGCAGAAAGCGGAACTGGGCAGAGGAGGAAGTGGGACCGGGATGCAACCACAACAAAGGCCTCAGGGGATCCCAGGAAAAGCTCAGAGTTCTCCAGAATTGTGGCAAGGGGCTAGGCATTTATGCTCCTCCATCAAGCAGTCATGGGATGCAAGCCATCACCTGGGAAGGATACACGACCTTCAACATGGCGGCTCTCTTCAGTCAAGGGCCATTCCCAGAGACGGGCACAACTGTGCACTGTTGGCCACCAGTGCACCCTACAGCTGGGAAATGATGCTTCAGTGCTAAAGGGGAGGGGTGGAGGTGGGCAGTGCCAGGCATTCAGTTCAGCAAGTTGCATCCCCTCTCTGGGTCCCAGTTTGTCACCTGTAAGTTAAGTGACAAGGGTGAACTCTAGGATCCCTTCCAGTTCCAGGGCTCTATGAATCCACTAGCCATCCCCTCTGCTCCACTACCACCCCCTTCCTAATAAGCTATCCCCAGTTTTGCATCCCACCCCATCTTACATGTTTGCAGTGGCTTCTCATTGATTATGACACAGTCCAAATTCGTGAGGTGACTTGCAAATTCGTGAGGTGACCCTCTACAATCTAGCCCAATGCTTCCCTACAGCCTCCTTCCTCGTTACTTATTCTCCACAGTGAACATTGTGTTTCCATCACACTCTCCTCTCCTTTTCTCTGCTCTTTCAATAAGGATGTGTCTTTTATGCATTCATGAACAGGGTATAATGGAAAGAGTTTGGAGCCAGACCTGGGCTGGAATCCAAGTCCAGCTCTCATAAGCTGTGTGAAATTAGGCAGGTCACTTAAGCTCTCTGAGCCTATTTCCTCCTCTTCTGATGATCATTTCAAGAAGCAAATGAGATAATGTAGGTGAAGTGCCTAGCACAAACCTTAGTAGAGCTCAATAAATGTGAGTTCTCTTCCCTCCTCCCTTTGTTGAAATGGCTGAACCTAAACAACATCATCCAATGATTAGTTTCAAAAACATTTTAGAAGAATAAATGTTGTATGTAATTTGGTACCTTTCTTGCTAATCCTTCACTCAAGAAAAATCAAGTCACTCTGATTTCTTAGTCTGGCACCAGATAAATTCCCAGTCTATGCTCAAACTGCTCCCTGGACTGCAACTGTCAGTGTCCAAGGCCTCTCGGCCCTAGTCATAAGAACATGAGAACATAGACACCTTTTTATTTCCTTTGCCAAGAAGCATCAGCCAGCATCACCTAGGAACTTGTTGAAAATGTACATTCTCAGCCACCATCACCCTAGACCTGTGATCACAAACTCTGGGGATGGGCCCAGTAATCTGCATGTTATCCTGGGTGATTGTGATGCTCACTGGGGTTTGAGAACCTCCACTGCTCTAGGGCTTGGGGCTCATCTTGGGCCATGTGCCCCAGGGTTCCCTCCACCACCCTCTCCCCACCCAAGAAGAGGGAGGCATGACAGCAGAAGCTGGAGAACTCCAGAAGAAGTCGAGCTTTTGTCAGGAGGCCTTGGGGTAGCCGGTGCTCTTTGACAACTGTAGGAGCCTCAGGAACAGGTTGTGGAGCTCCACCCATAGCCCCGCCTCCCAGAACTAGACCCTCCTCCAGGTCACATGGTACAGTCCCCACCTCTGCACTAGGCCTCGCAAGACCAGAGACCCCTGACCTTTATGCCTATTCTGCACAGCCCCTAAAGCACTGGTTCTCAAAGTATGGGCCCTAGACCAACAGCTTCCCACCATCTTCCCACCTGGGAAGATGTTAGAAACACAAATTCTCAGGCCCCACCCCAGACCTACTATAGGTGATTCTGATAAAGGCTCAAGTTTGAGAACCACTGGCCTAGACTTTGCAAATGAGTTTAACTTAGTTTGCTTTTTAGGCCAGATGCTGTGGCTCTTGCCTGTAATCCCAGCACTTTGAGAGGCCGAGATGGGCGGATCACAAGGTCAGGAGATCGAGACCATCCTGGCTAACATGGTGAAACCCCATCTCTACTAAAAATACGAAAAACAAATTAGCCAGGCATGGTGGCGGGCACCTGTGGTCCCAGCTACTCAGGAGGCTGAGGCAGGAGAATGGCATGAACCCAGGAGGCGGAGCTTGTAGTGAGCCGAGATTGTGCCACTGCACTCCAGCCTGGGCAACAGAGCGAGACTCCATCTCAAAAAAAAAAAGAAAAGAAAAGAAAAGAAAAGAAAAATACCCGAGTGTGGTGGCATGCACCTGTAGTCCCAGCTACTCCAGAGGTTGAGGTGGGAGGACTGCTTCAGCCCAGGAGGTCGAGGCTGCAGTGAGCCGTGATCACCACTGCACTCCAGCCTGAGCAACAGAGCGAGACTCTGTCTCTTAAAAAATGCTTTTAAAACCTTCCCATTCTCTGGCTACTTCTTTACTACACAGGAGATAAAAAGTAAGACAAAGACTTGCTGATGAGAGGATCTAGAAAGCCATGCTTCCTAATTAGGAGAAACTCCCTTTCCACTCTTCTGTTTGGATTTGTCTGTTCTGTCCATTCATTTTAAACGGGACCTGTGGCTGGTCCTACTTGATTTGTACTTGGTACTTATTTCTCCAATAGCTTGTTGCCACTGGTAAAAGCCTTGGCACACAACACAGAACACTTGGACTGTAATACAAACAAGCATTTCGAACAGAGATTTAAACCACTTTCATGACAGCCACTGACATGGCATGTTTTACAGCTGATATCAGTTCCAGTTGTGAAGACTCAGGGATTTCAGAAAATGAAGAAAATAAGGGGCACAAGTGGGGAGGCCTATTCCCCAGCTGGCAGACAAATTAGAGATCGAAACAGATCCAGGGAGCTCAATTAGTCAGGCTTTTTTATAGTGAAGGGGACAAGGGACGGGGCTTGGGCATGATTCAGCTGAGGAGCCCTCGCTGAGGAAGGAGAGGAGTGGGACATGGCAGGGCTGGCTGAGGGCATGGATAGGAGACACCGGGGCCTTAAGAGAGCTCTGTGGGTGAAGCCCGGGAGGGCAGAGCAGAGCCAGGGTCTCAGGACTAAAGTCTGAAAGTGTGGCCTGATAAAGGACTTCCCTCCCCAGCCAGAGTGATGGCTGCATGAGAGCCAAGTGGGCAAAGTTGTGTCCTGAAAACAGAAGCAAGCCTGGGGGAGAGGTCAGAGCTCACCCTGTGTACCTGCCAGTCTGAGGGAGAGCAAAGTGCTAGAGTCTCCTTCACTTCCCTCTCAGCACCCTTGCGCCCCAACCAGGTCTGTGTGCGCCGCTTCCCTTTTCCCACTTGGAAGGAAACTATCACAGAGGCCAAGATGAACCCCTGGGACTCCACACCACTGTCCAGCTCAATGCCAAGCATAAGGCCATCCTAAAGAAAGCCGCTCGCCTGCTTGAGTTTTGTTTGTTTAAAAGGAACTCTCCCTGTCTTTCTCTTCCTGGAGTCTCCTCAGGGGCTCGAGTGGACCTGCCATAGGACACGGGCCTTGGCTTGGCACAGAGCATGTGGGCTCAATGGTTTCCGTCTTCCCCTCTTGACAAATCTGGGCGGCCTGCTTCCTGGTTCTTACCTGAGAAAGATGTCAGAGCATCTCACGGGGAAGAAAAGGGAAGCCCCAGCTACCATGAGGGATGACGGGACAGGCAGGGGAGACCTATGATAGACAGAAGGGAGCTGCAGACCAGGCAGGCATTCTGTTAGCTCACTACAAGCTGCTGTCCCTGGGAGTCCTTCCTCTTGGTGCCAGCTGGCCACAGGTGCCAGCCTTCTGCAGTGAGTCAAGGAGATATGTTCTCTGGGTGCGCAGTGTTCAGAGGGAAGAAGGCACTTGTCTCACCTATGCACAAAGGACTAGATGAGTAGCTTGTTAGCTCATCCAGGTAGGGCTTATCCCAAGTGCAAGTGCACGTGTGTTTTGGTGGGGGTAGGGGACATTTAAATGGTATGATACATAGATTGTATGAATTTGCCAAAGTCATCAAATGGTATACTTAAAATTTATGCATTTCATTGTGTGAATATTTTTACCTAAGAAAAGAAATGTAAACAAACATTGATCTCCAGTGATATGAAGACTAAAGTGTTTCAAGGGAAATGTCCTCATGTCTGCAACTTACTCTGAAATGCATCAGAAAATTAGATGAGCAAATCAAAACCACAATGAGATACCATCTCACACCAGTTAGAATGGCGATCATTAAAAATTCAGGAAACAACAGGTGCTGGAGAGGATGTGGAGAAATAAGAACACTTTTACACTGTTGGTGGGACTGTAAACTAGTTCAACCATTGTGGAAGACAGTGTGGCGATTCCTCAGGGATCTAGAACTAGAAATACCATTTGACCCAGCCATCCCATTACTGGGTATATACCCAAAGGATTATAAATCACGCTGCTATAAAGACACATGCACACGTATGTTTATTGTGGCCCTATTCACAATAGCAAAGACTTGGAACCAACCCGAATGTCCATCAATGATAGACTGGATTAAGAAAATGTGGCACATATACACCATGAATACTATGCAGCCATAAAAAAGGATGAGTTCATGTCCTTTGTAGGGACATGGATGAAGCTGGAAACCATCATTCTCAGCAAACTATCGCAAGGACAGAAAACCAAACACCGCATGTTCTCACTCATAGGTGGGAATTGAACAGTGAGAACACTTGGACACAAGAAGGGGAACATCACACACTGGGGCCTGTCATGGGGTGGAGGGAGAGGGGAGGGATAGCATTAGGAGATATACCTAATGTAAATGACGAGTTAATGGGTGCAGCACACCAACATGGCACATGTATACATATGTAACAAACCTGCACATTGTGCACGTGTACCCTGGAACTTAAAGTATAATAATAATAATAATAATAATAATAATAATAATAATAATAATAAAAGAAAATTAGATGAGCTGTTGGATGGATAGAAGAATAGATAAATTCATAATAAAGCAAATACTGTAAATTTTAGCATCTAGTTGGTGTCTATATAAATGTTTGGTATATAGTTATTTCAACACTTTGTAAGTTTGAAAATTTTCCATAATGAAATATTGGCAAAAATAATATTGTATTTGTCAGGTAGGTGTGGAAATTAGTATCATTCTTAAAGAGCTAAGTATGCAGGGGTGTTAGATCTTATTATAGCTACTCTTAATTTACTAATCTGACCTCCAGAAAAAAAAAACTTGGAAAATGACAGAGTACTGTAAACTCAACAAATAGTGGTCCTAATTTCTACCACTGTGCTAAATGTGGAATATTTTCTAGAGCAGATTGGCATAGCCTCTGGTATAAGGTATGTAGCCATTAATTCAGCGACTGTTGTTTTTCATACTATTTGAAAAAGAGGGTCAGAAAAAGTTCACATTCTTATGGGACAGACAAGAATATATATTAGTCATTTTGCTACATGGCTATGTTAACTCTGGTCCTCTGCCATAATACAGAAGAGATCTGAATATCTCAATATCCCACAGAACATCACCTGGATTCACTATATCACAGAAATCATGCTAATTAGACCAGATGAGCAAGAAGTAGCTTGCACATTGGTGGCCTTGGCAATGCACACTCACTCACAACATGGGAGATAAACCCTATGAAGATTGAGGGGCCTGGCATATAAACATATTTTTTTAGGTCGCCGTTGTTTAGGGGCACGCAGAGCAATCCCATCCATGATAAAAAAAAAAAAAACAAATTATTGCACCTTGCACCTCTCACAACAAGGAAGGAAAGTGCAACATCTGGAAGGCCTCGTTGAGTTCTGGGAGCAGTATATTCCTTACTTGTTAATACTGCTCTGACCCATACACTGAATGATGTCAGACAGCATATACTGACTGACAGTTTTGAGTGGGAATCAAAGAAGTGCTCTGCAGCAGATTTATGCTACAGTGTAAGTAGCCATGCTTCTTGGGCCATATGACCAGAATACCCTATGGTATTAAAGGTAGTAGTGGTAGGGGAAGATGCTATGTGGAGTTTATTGCAAACTGCATGGGATAATCACAATGCAGTCTGCAAGGTCATGCCCTCTTCAGAGAAGTACATGCCTTTGAAAAAAATTCTCTGATATGTTTTTGGGTCATAGTATAAATGTGGCAAAGTGATGATATGACATTATGTAAACATGTGGCCACAACTACTCATCATGAGCTGGGTTTCATCAAACGCACCAAATCTGAAAGTGAAGTGGGCCTAGCAATAAGCTACTATAAGGAAGTGGTAAATTCAGCACAAGCAGGACCAAAGGACGCAAGCAGCCAAATGAGCAGGTGGCTGAGTCCCCCATGTCATCCATCACAATTTCACCAGTATCTCTTCCTAAGCTCATGCTTATGATATATGGGGGCATCCCTCATGACCAGCTGACAAAGGAGGAAAAGCCTGCATTTGGTTCATGGATGGATTTCCATGGTGCATGGCTGTAAGCCAAAAATGAATGACAGCCACATTACAGCCCCACTGATGATGACCTTGAAAGAAGATGATGACAGATAACTCTAAAGGCCACTCTAGCTGAGACTGTCCTTTGAGCTTGCATCACAGATTGAATTCTCCTTCCATCCACTCCTGCTTCCTTCCTCTCTCTTCAGTAGGTGTTGAACCAAAGGTTTCTTCTTAATGAATCATTATGTTCATTAACACCATCTCAGAGTGCTTCCTACTGCAATAGTGCCAGTTTTTCTTTTACTTCTCAATTTGTAAAATCTCTTTGTATATTAGGAATGTTATTAGATGTAGTAGAGATATTTTCTATTAGTCTTTTGACTCTTTGTTTATAGTTTCGTTTGCAAAACAATTCATTTTTTTGTAACTGAATCTGTTAACCTTTCCCTATATCTACCAAAAGATTATGACTTTGGCCGAACATGGTGGCACATGCCCGTAATCCCAGCACTTTGGGAGGCCGAGGCTGGTGGAATACTTGGGCTCAGAAGTTCAAGACCAGCTTAGGTAACATGGTGAGACCCCCATCTCTACAAAAGATACAAAAAAAAAAAGGATAATGACTTTGATGTATAGGCATTAACCTGAAAAGAACCATAGTATACTGTTAAAAGAAAGTTGTAGAATAATATATTTAGCAGCACTTATCAAACTCTTCTGGTTATAGGACTCACTCAATTTCTTCTTTGAAAACTCAGATTCAATAAGCATAGGGTGGGGCCCAGGAATCTATATTTTGTTTTTTTGTTGTTTTGTTTTGTTTTGTTTTTGAGATAGAGTTTCTCTCCTGTCGCCCAGGCTGGAGTGCAATGGCGCAATCTCGGCTCACTGCAACCTCCGCCTCTGGGTTCAAGTGATTCTCCTGCCTTAGCCTCCCAAGTAGCTGGGATTACAGGTGCCTGCCACCACGCCCGGCTAGTTTTTGTATTTTTAGTAGAGATGGCATTTCACCATGTTGGCCAGACTGGTCACGAACTGCTGACCTCAGGTGATCCACCTGCCTCGGCCTCCCAAGGTGCTGGGATTAGAGGCATGAGCCACTTGGCCCAGCCAGGAATCTATATTTTAACAACCACTCAAGACAATTATATGATCAGATAAATTCGACCACAAAATATCACTCCATTTTTGTAATTTAAAAAAGGGGAGAAGGAACTCTCTATTTGTGTATGTGCATGTGTATTTGTACATACTACAGAGGAAAGTGTGTAAGAATACACATCAGATTAATATTGCTTTCCTTAGGTGGGTGGAACCAGAAGAAATTAAAAGATTATGTATTTTTATCCTTTTGTTATTTTTATTACAATGGGCATGAATTACTATAACTTTTTTTTAATCTAGTAAATTTTAAAAGCCATTTGAAACTGTCTTTTTTTTCTTTTACAAGAATCAAATAAAGGCCAGGTGCGGTGGCTCACACCTGTAATCCCAGAACTTTTGGAGGCCGAGGCGGTTGAATCACCTGAGGTCAGGAGTTCGAGACCAGCCTGACCAACATGGAGAAACCCCGTCTCTACTAAAAATACAAAATTAGCTGGGCATGGTGGTGCATGCCTGTAATCCCAGCTACTTGGGAGGCTGAGGCAAGAGAATCGCTTGAACCTGGGAGGTGGAGGTTACAGTGAGCCGAGATCACGCCATTGCACTCCAGCCTGGGCAACAAGAGCAAAACTCAATCTCGAAATAATAATAATAATAAAACAAAAAAGAAAAAGAAGCTTTCAGGAGAACTGTCTTGATTCTTGGCTAAGCCTTCTCTACCAGCTCCACCACAGCATCAGGAATTCTCCCTGTATCAAGGGTGCTACACCTGGCCAGTGGTCAATGAGTTTTACACCCATGTGACTGTGAAATAGTTAACAGAGTTTCTACGTTGTTAAAATTTTGGTTCACACCAAAAATAGTTTATACAGGTTGTGTAACAGCTGCTGTTGCAATTATGTCTAATGGAAGGTTTTGATTCACACCAAAAACACTTACATGTGTTTTGAGTGGCTAAAACTTCTGGTTTCCTAGGAACTAACTACACAAGTCTCCTCTAGGGACTCTGAAATCATCCTTCTTACTCTTGCCTGGTTCACTGCCTTGGAAACATTCAAAACAGATTGCTGATCTTCTAGGCACTGGGATTATAAGACTTGCTTGTACCTTTTATTTAGAAAAAAATGTTTTTCTGATTATACAAGTAATTACAAGCTCACTGTAGAAAATTGTAAAAATATAGAAAAGTATAAAAACAAACAGAAGAAGAATCACTCATAACCCTACCACTCAGAAGCAACCACTCTTATGCTTTTGACATATTACCTTCCAGTTTTGTTTCCATGCACTTTTTACATAGTTGAGCTCATCCTAGACATATAATTTAATATATCGCTTTTATCATGCAATGTAATAATATAAGCAAGTTTTTATAAACCATGCTTTTATTACATTCCACTTTATATAGATGCACTCTGATTTACTTTATTATTCCCCTTTTATTCACACTTAAGTTATTTCTTTGGTAAAAGAAACATTGAAGCTTTTATCTTTGGGAATAAAACTATCTGAATTGGAAACCATCTCCCATTTCTAATGCTGGTGATAACGTTGCCTAACAGTTGTACTCCAAAAAGGTACTCACCAATTTTCACCTTGTGATCATCATAGTGAATTCCAGGATATCTTAAGCCCACCAACTAAGAGGTGGCTCTCCTGAAAATATAGAACAAGGAAACAAGTGAAATCATAGCTCCAGTGACAGGGAGGACAGTCATGTTATCCTAAAACCCCAATATACCAAACTTCCAGAACAGTGACAAAAATGGTATCCATTATATTTAGCCAAAACTCCTATGTATCTATTTCTATGTTGTGCTTTGTTCTTACCTGAAGTCAAAAACCTTTTCCACTTTGTTTGTTCTGGCAGAACTCTTTTAAAGGGAGAAGGGCCAGAAGACACCTTGTCTAGCAGAGCTGTGTGTTGCCATAAGAAAAATTACACTAAAACAGAAATGGTGTTTTTGAAAATCACACTGGCAATTTATTTAGGGCTAAAGACTCGTGAAGTTTAGAAGGACATATACTTTGTCATTCTAACTTTACACCACTTCAAACCTTTCTCCAAAATAAGACCATAGTTGCTTTAAAATACTCAAGAAAAAAAGGTGTGGCTCTATGAAGAAGTAGGTGAGACAAAGATTAGTAAAATGTTGTAATTTTTGAAACTAGGTGATGGATATGGATTCTACTATTCTCTCCACCCTTGGGTATGCTGAAAATTTCCATAATAGAGAGAGAGAGAGAGAGAGAGAGAGAGAGAGAGAGAGAGAGAGAGAGAGAGAGAGAGAAATGTATAAGGCATCTAAAAATTAAAAGTAAAAAAAAAAAATGAGCATAAGACCCCATATGAATTGTAACATTTCACCTTGTTTGGGCCAGAATTTTCTTACCTGAAACTTACTTTCTAAAATAACTAGGAAACCACATAACAAGTTTTAAAGGACACATTTGGTTATGTCGTTTCTTGCTTATAATAATTTAGCTGTCTGTAACAAAATCCTATCAGTCCCTAAATAATTGATGAACTGATATTGCATTGGCTTAGAAGTTGTACTTCAATTAATGATTACTACCTTTCACATCTTCCCTAAGGAAAAGGTAGATGAACATGACTGACTTCACAGTTTTTGAGAAACCATCTCACCACCATCTATTGCACACAGAAAGGCAGATATTCCTGCAGCGTGGACAAAGCATGGCCTTTCTGTAGTCTGTGGTGCGTGGTCTCCATTTGATGCTGGCTCCCTCAGCAGAACCAGTTATTCTACCCAGTTTTCCCAAGTCTCTCTCCCAGCATCCGGCACATGATATTATGATATATCTCTCTACTGGTCTTTCTTCCCCTCTACAATGCCAATTATTTCAAAGTCAAGGCTATGTCTTATTCTATTTTTGTTTTTATATTAGTTGGTACAGTGTCTGGAAAGTGCTAAGGAACATAAATGTATAATAAATGAACAAAGGAATAAATATACACAAGTACTGGAACTGGAGTATGCAAAAATAAGGTTAAGATCTGGCTTATATTTCTTAGTTGTTACAGTCTTAAGAAAGTTTCTTAACCTAAGTGACTCTCAGCTATGAAATGGGAATTACAACGCCAAACTTTCCTACTTCACAGTGTTATTTCCAGATTCAAAATCAACTTGAAATAGTGCATATGAAAATATTTTGGAGGCCGGATGCGGTGGCTCACGCCTGTAATCCCAGCACTTTGGGAGGCAGAGGCAGGGCGGATCACGAGGTCAGGAGTGCGAGACCAGCCTGGCCAATATGGTGAAACCCCATCTCTACTAAAAATACAAAAATTAGCCAGGCGTGGTGGCACATGCCTGTAATCCCAGCTACTCAGGAGGCTGAGGCAGGAGAATCGCTTGAACCTGGGAGGCGGAGGTTGCAGTGAGCTGATATGGCGCCACTGCACTCCAGCCTGGGGGACAGAATGAGACTCCACCTCATAAAAAAAAAAAAAGAAAGTATGAAACAAAAAGGAGGGAAGGTCACCTGTGTTGTGTTAAGGAGAAAGGCAGCATAGTGTGGTGTTTATGGCCCCTCTCATTGAGTTGCTGTGAGAATAAAATGAGGTGATATATGTAAAATACTTGGAAAAATACCTGGGACAGAGTAACCTTTCCAAAATGGTAGTAGGCCTGATTATTCTCTTGTATGTGAAAGAGTTCAATTAGCTGGGGGTGATAGGATTATATGGGAGCCAGCAATATGGACCAGATGTCCTTTAAAATTTAAAATGACCAGTTGACCTCCATGATGTCTTGGTGGGCAATTTGGAATCCTTGTCTAAATAACATTAAACTGACATAGTCTGTGTGAGTTTATATGACTGGCTCATGCCCTCACTGGGCCTGAGAGTGGCCCATCCGTGTATGTGTATGCATATGTGTGTATGTGTATATAAATAGATATGTATGTGTATATGTGTGTGTATATATGTGTGTGTGTGCAAGTATCTGTGTATATTTGTGTGTGTTTCTATGAAGGCATTGTGATGGGTCTGAGTATGTCCCCAATTGAAGTGCACATATCTCTGTGTTTGTCTCTGTATACATGTGTATCTTAGCCTGTTCAGGCTGCATTAACAAAATACTTTAGACTGGGTAATTTATAAACAACAGAAATTTATCTTTCACAGTTCTGTAGGCTGGGAAGTCTAAGATCAGGGCACTAGTAGATTGAGCGTCTGCTAACGACCTGCTCCTCATAGATGGCACCTTCTATGTGTCCTCACATGGTAGAAGGACAAAGGGACTAATAACCTCCCACAGGCCTCTTTTATAAGAGTACCAATCTAATTCATGAGAGCTCCACCCTCATGACCTAATCACCTCCCAAAGGCCCCACCGCCTAATTCCATCACCTTGGTGATTAGGTTTTCTCTTAGCCTGTTCAGTGTTACTATAATAGAATACCTGAGACTAAGTAGTTTGTAAAGCAAAGAGGTTTATTTGCATCTGGTGAGGGCCTCAGGCTGCTTCAACTCATGAAGGAAAGAAGGGGAAGCTGGTTTATGCAAAGAGATCATATGGCAAGAGAGGAAGCAAGATGGAGGGGAGGTGTCAGTCTCTTTTTTTTTCTGAGACAGTCTTGCTCTGTCATCCAGGCTGAAGTGCAATGGCATGATCTTGCTGCAACCTCTGCCTTCTAGGTTCAAGCAATTATCTCACCTCAGGCTCCCCATTAGCTGGGATTACAGGCACCTGCCATCATGCCCAGGTGCCAGGCTCTTTTTAACAAACAGCTCTTGAGGGAAGGAAAAGACCCAGAACTTGGTCACTACCCCCATCCTAAGGCATTAATCTATTCATGAGGCATCACTCCCATGGCCTAAACACCTCCTACCAGGTCCCATGATACGGTTTGGATCTGTGTCCCCCTCAAATCTCACTTTCAGTTGTAATTCTCAGTATTGGAGGTGGGGCCTGGGGAAAGTGATTGGATCACCTTCTAATGGTTTAACACCATCCCCCTGGGTGCTGTTCTCACAATAATGAGTGACTTCTCACCAGATCTGGTCATTTAAAAGCATGTAGCACTTCCCCGTCTCTCCTGCCTGCTATGGCTGTGTAAGACACGTCTGCTTCCCTTTTATCTTCCACCATGATTGAAAGTTTCCTGAGGCCTCCTCAGAAACCATCATGCTTCCTGTACAGCCTGTAGAACCATGAGCCAATTAAACAGCTTTTCTTTATAAATTACCCAGTGTTGTGTATTTCTTTAGAGCAGTGTGAGAATGGACTAATACACTCCACCACTCAACATTGCCACATTGGGGATCAAATTTCAACATGAGGTTTAGAGAGGACAAACATCCAAAACATAGCATTCTTCCCCTGGCCCCACAAAACTCAAGTTCTTCTCACATGCAACATACAATCACTTTATCCAAGAATCCCAAAAGTCTTAACTAGTTTTAGCATAGACTCAAAAGTTCAAAGTCTTATCTGAGACTCAAGTTAAGTTCCTTCCAGCTATGAGCCTGCAAAATAAAAAACAAATTATTTACTTCCAAGATTCAATGGTTTTAAGGGCATTGGGTAAACATGCTCATTTCCCACAGGGAGAAATTGGCCAAAAGAAAGGGGTAACAGGCCCCAGACAATTCCAAAACCCAGCAAGGCAGACATTAAACCTTAAAGCTCCAAATAATCTCCTTTAACTCCATGTCCCACATCCTGGGCATGCTGGTGGGAGGGGTAGACTTCCAAGGCCTCAGGCTGCCCCCGTCCCATGACTTTGCTGGACACAGCCCATGTGGCCACTCTCTTAGGGTTGGAATCTAATGCCAGCAACTTTTCCAGGCTGAGGTGGTATGCTGCCAGTTGTTTTACCATTCTAGAGTCCAGACAGAAGCCCCACCCCTGCAGCTCCACAGGGCCTTTACCCAATGGGGACTCTTGGTGGTAGCTCCACTCCTGGGACAGGTTTCTGCCTGGGCACCCAGGTTTTCCAATACATCCTCTAAAATCTTGGTGGAGGCAGTCACATCTCCATAGCTCTTTCATTCTGTGGACCCGCAGAATTAACTCCATGTTGACATCACCAAGGCTTATGGCTTGTGCCCTCCATAATGGTAGCACAAGTATCTGGGGTCATTGGGGCCATCTGAGCCACGGCTGCTCCTGCCAGAGTGGCCCAGATTTTGGGGTCATTTTTTACATACTCTTGACTATTAGCACCTGGATCCCTTTTAGTTTTGCTAATCTCCTTACTAAAGGGTGTCTCAGCTGCACCCTTCAGCTGTACCAAATGGCCACTGACTATCTTAAGTTCAGTCTCGCATATCCTCCTTTGAGTCTGCCTTATCATCATGCTGATTCCCTCAGTAATAATTTGAATAAATCTTTGTATATGCACACTACTTTTTTTTTTTTTTAAGCATTGAGCTGGGCATGGTGGCTCACACCGGTAATCCCAGCACTTTGGGAGGCCAAGGTGGGTGGATCACCTGAGGTCAGGAGCTCGAGAGTGGCCTGACCAACATGGTGAAACCCCTTCTCTACTAAAAATACAAAAAAATTAGCCGGGCATGGTGGCATGCCCCTGTAATCCCAGCTACTCAGGAGGCTGAGGCAGGAGAATCACTTGAACTCAGGAGGTGGAGATTGCAGTGAGCCCAGATTGCGCCACTGCACTCCAGCCTGGGCGATAGAGTGAGACTACGTCCAAAAAAAAAAATTGATTAGATAATACTGGGTATGTAGATTAACTTGACCTGTCTGGAACATGAATATATGAACATCTGTTCTACAAGTACATGACTTTAGTCACTTATTATGACATGTTAAATGACAGAAAATAACTATAGATTTAGTAACTGGTCTCCATTGAAAAATTTGTAAGGTACTCAGTTTTATAATTTTTTTTTAAGAGACAGGATCTTGCACTATTGCCCATACTGGGTGGTGCAATCATAGCTCACTCTAGCCTTGAACTCCTGGGCTCAAGCAATCCTTCTGCCTCAGCCTGTCCAGTAGCTGAGACTATAGGCACACACCACCATGCCTTGCTGATTTTTAAAATGTTTATGTTTTGTAGAGACAGAGGTTTCACTATGTTGCCCAGGCTGGTCTTGAACTCCTGGCTTCAAGAAATCCTCCCACCTGGGTTCCTAATTTATAGAGACAGAAAGTACATTATTGGTTGATTAGGAGTTGGTGGTCACATGGGAAGAAAAGTGAAGTGACTGCTAATGGATATAGGGTTACTTTTAGGGAGGATGAAAATTTTCTAAAATTACATTGTGGTGATAGTTTCTCAACCCAGTAAATATATTAAAAACATTGGCATGTACATTTTAAATGGGTTAATTTTTTAATGTGAAATACACCTCCAAAAACTTAAAAAACAAATTTGCATGACTTTGACATGATCCTGAGGCTAATGGAACAACTCATATCCAATATGATGTGACTACACATATATCTGTTAAAATAAAATAAATATTCTCTTCTGGTTTATAAGAGAAGGCAACTTACTATATTAATTCAGTGTTTGTCCTCCCATCTATGTGTAATTAGTATTTAAAAATACAAAGCACAGCTAAACAGATAGTTAAGTGAAACAGACCCTATTTGGGTCCTGAAAGGTTGCTTGCCCTAATGAGCCGGGTGCTCCTTGGGAATAAATAGGCACTCGAATCTCCCCTATGCCATACTTTAAAGGGCATGTAAGTTCAAGTACAAATAGTCATCAGCAATTTTTCAGAGCTATTTTTGCTTTTTCCTACAGAGGGGGAAATGGAGCCCAATAATATATGCTATTTATAAGCACTCTTTTTTTTCCTCTAATGGACATTGCTATGTTTTCTGCTTTTGTACTCTATGTTTCCCCCACTTCACTATCTTACTCTGTCACCTTTCTCTAATCTTTTCACAATCATGTTATGTTATAATAGCACCTTACAACAACCTTGGGCCCAGATTTGTGCACCTTGGTTCCTCTTAGCTACTTTTCAAGCACACAGTGAACTGCTGCAATCAAGAGGTTTTGATTTATTTTTTCTACCTCCTTTGCCATATGTTTAATGCTAGTTTGTTTGTATCATTAATCTTGTAATTAAAGTCTTCCTTGGCTGGGCACAGTGACTCACACCTATAATCCCAGCACTTTCGTAGGCCGAGGTGGGGAGATTGCTTGAGCCCAGGAGTTTGAGATCAGCCTGGGCAACAAAATGAGACCTCCATTTCTACATTTTTTTTTAAATTAGCCAGGCATGGGGTGTGAAATGTTACTGTCACGATAAGCCTTTTATATAGCCTATAGTCCCAGTTACTTGGTAGGCTGAGATGGGAGGATCGATTGAGCCCATGAGATCAAGGCTCCAGTGAGCCATGTTCGCACCACTGCACTTGAGCCTGGGCAACAAAGGGAGACTTTGTCAAAAGAAATAAATAAATAAAATAAACAAAATCCCCCAAAACCCTCCTTAGTTGAATTCACAGCCTCTGCACCTACCTGAGCAGTATGTTCTTTCTGACAACTTGAAAGTGATTTTCCTTGATCTGTAAGTCTTGTATCATTCCTAAACCTTGATCCTCAAAAATTGCTTTTAGGTCCACCAGCTGGGAGTTGGAAGGGCAGATACTGTGGTATCTTCCCAGGACAACTTAAAGGCTAGAGCCTCCAAGGGGAAGGACCACTTTCAAGCTATATGTTCATTTCTTTTGATAGTAACTGGGTTGTAATACTGGCTAAAATGTGTTCAGCATAATAACAATAGCCACCAATATGTGACAGGTTCCCCATGGGCAGCCCTTGTTCTTGCTACAGGTCCACCAGGGCATCCCCTAAATGAATGTAATCCAGGGAAAGAGTTTGTATTATGCATCTTTATGAAATTTGATAGTTGTCAAACACCCTTGTTTTTTAATATTCTTCTCATCCATTAGCAATCCTTCTTCTTCTTCATGCAAACTGTTTCTCAAGATTATCCCAATTATCCAGAGATACTCAACTTTTACCTTTATCTTGGCACCCCATTTAGCAAAAGAAAGCCTAGTGATCAGCAAGGAAGCAACAATCTTAGACGCCATGCCTCATGATAATTTTTCCCTCACCCTACTGGCTTTTCAAAGTACTTTATCCAAAAAAGATTATTCTCATATATCTTACACATCATTTTATTGAAATGTTACTGTAGTGATAAGCCTTTTATATACATTTAGAATATTCATATGTTCAGTTTTAGTAGAGACTGCCAAAAGTTTTTCCAAAGTGATTGTATCAATTTAAATTTTTACCAAGAATATATGAGAGTTCCTTTTGCTCCATATCCTCATAATTTGCTAGTGTTAGTTTAATGTCCACATGGATGTGTAGTGGTTTATCATTGTGGCTTTAATTTGAACATACTGATGATTAATGACATGGCCCAGTTTTTAATATGTTTTTTGGCCATTTGTATATCTTTTTTTATTAAGTGCCTCTTCAAGTCTTTTGCCCTTTTTTTTTTTTTTTTTGAGACGAAGTCTCGCTCTGTCACGCTCTGTCATCCAGGCTGGAGTGCAATGGCGAGATCTCAGCTCATGGCAACCTCCGCTGCTCGGGTTCAAGCAATTCTCCTGTCTCAGCCTCCTGAGTAGCTGGGACTATAGGCGCCTGCCACGATGCCTGGCTAATTTTTGTATTTTTGGTAGAGACAGGGTTTCACCAAATTGGTCAGGCTGGCCTCGAACTCCTGACATCAGGTGATCTGCCTGCCTTGGCCTCCCAAAATGCTAGGATTACAAGCGTGAGCCACCACGCCTGGCTTCTGTCTTTTTCTTACTGATTTGTAGTTCTTTATTTTGTATAGTATATGAGTACTTTGTCAGCAATATATTTTTCAAACATTTCCTACTCTGTGGCTTGCTTTTTCACTCTTTTTGTTGTTGTTGTTGTTTTGTTTTGTTTTTGTTGAGACAAAGTCTTGCCCTGTCGCCCAGGCTGGAGTGCAGTGGTACAATCTTGGGCCACTGCAACCTTCACCTCCTGGGTTCAAGTGATACTCCTGCCTCAGCCTCCCGAGTTGCTGGGATTACAGGCATGCGTCACCAGGTCCAGCTAATTTTGTATTTTTAGTAGAGACAAGGTTTCGCCATGTTGGCCAGGCTGGTCTCAAACTTCTGGCCTCAAGTGATCCGCCTGCCTTGGCCTCCCAAAGTGCTGCTGGGATTACAGACGTGAGCCACTGCGCCTGGCCAGCCTTTTCACTCTCTTAATGGTACAATTTGATGATCAGAAGTTCTTAATTTTAATATATTCCAATTTAATATTTCCCTTTAATGGTTAGTGTTATTTTTGCCTCCCATTTAAAAATATTTGTTATTCCAAAAATCATAAATATGCTTTATTATGTTATGCTCTAGAAGCTTTACTGTTTTGCCTCTCACATTTAGATCTACAATCCACCTTGAAATCATTTTTGTATAGGTGTGAGGTTGTGGCTGAGATTCATTTCTTCCTTCATTCCTTCTATAGACCTAGAACAATTAATTTAAAAGAATTCCTTTTCCCACTGCTCTGCAGTGTTATCTTTGTCACAAATCAAATGTCATATGTGTGTGGACCTATTTCTGGACTGTGTTCTGTTCTATTAGTCTATTTGTCTGTCCTTTTGAAAAGGCCACAGTCTTTATTAATGTAGTTTTATAAGTATTGCTATCTGTGTTAATCTTCCCTTTGTTCTTCTACTTTAGGATTGTCTTGGCTATTCTTGGCTCTTTGCATCACTTTCTAAATTTTAGAGTGAGCGTGTCAATTTCCACTCCCTGAAGAAAGAATGTGCTGAGATTTTAATTGGACTATATTATGTTTATAAATCAATTTGGGCAGAACTCACATCTTTGCAATATTGAGTTCTTCAAGAACTTAGTAAATTCCTCCATTTATTTACATCTGCTTCAATTTCTCTCACTAATATTTTGTAGGTTCTTGTGTAGAGGTCTTGTTAATCTAATTCCTAGGTATTTTATGTTATTCTAAATAGTATTTTTAAAATTTTTTCATTTACAATTACTTGTTGCTAGTCTATTGAAATAAAATTGATCTTTTACATAATGACTTTCTATTTAGTAAAATGGCCAAATTCACTTATTATAGTTTTTATCTGTAGATTATTTTGTCTTTCTATATACATACTCATGCCGTCAATACAGTTTTCCATGAATATGTGTGCCTGTGTATATGTATGTAATACAAATGTCCACTGGGAGACTGCAGCAAAGAGATGTCTCTCATGTGATATAAACTAATTTATCCACTGTAGTTATCACTGAGCAGTCACCCTGTTCTTTTCTCCTTTTCTGAATCCCATTTGTCTACAACTGCTGCCTGACGAGCTACTCAGAAAAGCATGACCACTGATACCACCTATAGTGTCAAGTAAACTGTCTCTGCATGCTTCAAAAATGCTCGCTCTTTAGGGTATCAAATCAGTACTGAGTCCCAAGAATAGGCAAAAAGGGCTTTTCCTATTCTGTATTACACTGTGTTGACTTAGATCTAAAGCTAACCCACTTACGCCCAGAATTTCAGAGCCTTTCTTGAATGTTCCCTGCCATTTCTGGTTTGTTCATCCTTCTCTAACCACAAGGGGTCACTCAGTACACAGGGCTGGGAACACATCCTATATTATCACCTCTGTTCTCTTTCTTCATCTCTTTTGGTTCCTCTCCCCAGAATAAACAAACAAACAAACAAACACTTCTCATAGTTTATCAATGGTAACAAATGGATATTAGTATGTGGAGAGTGGAGGGTAGACAGGGAGCTCATTACACTAGCTGCAGCCAACACAAGAGTTCCCATTATACTTTAGCCATAGTAAAATATTCGTAGTCTTTTGATTTAATTGATCCTTCCTTAAAATGGTGTGTGTGTTGGGTGGGGTTGCAGTCGCAAATACAGACATACCTTGCAGATATTGTGGGTTCAGTGCCAGAGCACCACAGTAAAGTGAATGTTGCAATAAAGTAAGTGACAAAAATTTTTTGGTTTCCTAGTGCATATAAAAGTTATGCTTACACTATACTGTAGTGTATTCAGTGTGCAATACCATTATGTCTAAAAAAAACCAATGTACATATCTGAATTAAAAACACTTTATTGGGCCGGGTGTGCTGGCTCACACCTGTAATCCCAGCACTTTGACAGGACGAGGCGGGCAGATCACCTGAGGTCAGGAGTTCAAGACCAGCCTAGCCAACATGGTGAAACCCCATCTCCACTAAAAATACAAAAATTAGGGCATGGTGGTGGGCGCCTGTAATCCCAGCTACTTGGGAGCCTGAAGCAGGAGAATTGCTTGAACCCGTGAGGTAGAGGTTGCAGTGAGCCAAGACTGTGCCATCGCACTCCAGCCTGGGCAGCAAGAGTGAAACTCCATCTCAAAAAAAAAAAAAAACTTTATTGCTAAAAAATGCTAACAATCATCTGAGCCTTCAGCTAGTCATTATCTTTTTGCTGGTGGAGGGTCTTACCTCAATGTTGATGGCTGCTGACTGATCAAAGTGGTAGTTGCTGAAGGCTGGGATGGCTGTGGCAATTTCTTAACATAAGATAAGAAATGAGTTTGCCACATTGATCGACTCTTCCTATCAGGAGAGATGTCTCTGTAGCACACAATGCCATTTGATATCATTTTACCTACAGTAAAACTTTCAAAATTGGAGTCAGTCCTTTCAAACCCTGCCACTGCTTTATCAAATAAGTTTATGTAATATTCTAAATCCATTGTTTTCTTTTCAACAATGTTCACAGCATCTTCATCAGAAGTAAATTCCATTTCAAGGAACTATTTTCTTTGCTCATCCATAAGAAACAACCCTTTGTTTATTCAAATTTTACCATAAGATTGAAGCTATTCAGTCACATCTTCAGGTTCCACTTCTAATTCTAGTTCTCTTGCTATTTCCACCATATCAGCAGTTATTTCCTCCAATGAAGTCATGAACTTCTCAAAGTTGTCCATGAGGGCTGGAATCGACTTCTTCCAAACTCCTGTTAATATTGATATTTTGACCTTGTTCCATAAATCACAAATGTTCTTAATGGCATCTAGAATGGTGAATCCTTTCCAGGTTTTCAACTTCCAGAAGGTTTTCAATTTTCAACTTTGCCCAGATCTATCAGAGGAATCACTGTCTATGGCAGCTATATCCTTATGAAATGTATTTCTTAAAAAAACAGAAATTGAAAGTCAAAATTACTCCTGCAGAATGGATGCTGTGTTAGCAGGCATGAAAACAACATTGATTTCCTTGTACATCTCCATCAGAGCTCTTAGGTGACCAGGTGCACTGTCAATGAGCAGTCATATTTTTAAAGGAATCTTTTTTCTGAGCAATAGGTCTCAATAGTAGGTTTAAAATATTCAGTAAACCATGCTATAAACAGATGTGCTGTCATCTAGGCTTTGTTGTTCCATTTATAGAGCACAAGCAGAGATTTAACATAATTCTTGGGGCCCTAGGATTTTTAGAATGGTAAATGAGCATTGGTATCAACTTAAAGTCACCAGCTGCACTGGCCCCTAAGAAAAGAGTCAGTCTGTCTTTTGAAGCTTTGAAGCCAGGCATTGAATTCTCTCTAGCTATGAAAATGCTAGATGGCATTTTCTTCCAATAGAAGGCTTTTTTCCTGCTACATTGAAAATATGTTGTTTAGTCACTTTCATCAATGATTTTAGCAAGCTCTTCTGGAAAACTTGCTGCAGTTTCTACATCAGCACTTGCTACCTCACCTTACACTTTTATGTTATAGAGAAAGCCTTGTTTCTTAAACCTTATAAATGAACCTCTGCTAGTTTCAAACATTTCCTCCGATGCTTTCTACCTTTCTCAGACTTCATAGAATTAAAGAGAGTTAGGGCATTGCTCTGGATTAGGCTTTGGCTTAAGGGAATGTTGTGGTTGGTGTGATCTTCTATTCAGACAACTCAAACTTTCTCTATATTAGCAATAAAGCTGTTTAGCTTTCTTATCATTTGTGTGTTTACTGGAGTAGCACTTTTACTATTCTGTAAGAACTTTTCCTTTGCATTCACAACTTGGCTAACTGTTTAGCATAAGAGGCCTAGCTTTCAGCCTATCTCAGCTTTTGACATATCTTCCTCACTAAGCTTAATCATTTCTAGCTTTTTATTTAAAGCAAGAGATATGTGACTCTTCCTTTCACTTGAATACTTAGAGGCCATTGTAGAGTTATTAGTTACCCTAATTTCAATATTGTTGTGTCTCAGGATATAGGGAAGCCCAAGGAGAGGGAGAGAGATGGAGGAACACCAGTCAGTGGGGCAGTCAGAACACACACATTTGTGGATTAAGTTTGCCATCTTATATGGGCATAGTTTGTGGTGCCCCAAAACAACTAAGATAGTAACATCAAAGATCACTGACCACAGATCACCATAACAGATATAATAATAATGAAAAAGTTTGAAATATTGTGAGAATTACCAAAATGTGACACGGAGACACAAAGTAAGCACATGCCATTGGGAAAATGGTACCGATAGACACTGGGTTGCCACAAACCTTCAATTTATAAAAAACAAAATATCTGCAAAGTGCAACAAAGTGAAGTGCAATGAAACAAGGTATGCCAGTATGTAGAAACTAGGGCCAGGCACCACGGCTCATGCCTGTAATCCCAGCACTTTGGGAGGCCGAAGCAGGCGGATTGCTTGAGCCCAGGAGACCAGCCTGGGCAACATGGCAAAACCTCATCTCTACAAAAAATACAAAAATTACCTGGTTATGGTGGTGCATGCCTGTAGTCCCAGCTACTAGGGAGGCTGAGGTGGGAGGATCACCTGATCCTAGGAGGTTGAGGCTGCACTGCAGCTTGGGTGACAGAGCAAGATTCTGTCTCAAAACACACACACACACACACACACACACACACACATGAAACTAGGATAATAGAAGGAGGCTATTTGAATGTAACTGTAAACACAGATTGGGACTCCTAGCGTAATGACTTACAGTTATTTTTGGATGCTAGAATGATGCGGGCTTTTCTTGATCCCATACTCCATCCACATGGATTTAAAGCCCTTCCCATCTTCAATGAAAGAACTAAATGGAATAAATAGATAACAAACAATCTAGGTGAGAGACTGAAGCAAAGAAAATGTAGGAGCTCAGAAGAAGAGAGAGGCTTAACAGCAGGAGAGGCCTGTAGAAAAATGAAGAGATGACTCCAAGAGGGAAGTGGTTCCCTAGGAGAAAGGTGACTACATGGATGGCTCCAGGAATTAATACAACGGTTCAACATGTAGGCCAGGTGCGGTGGCTCACACCTGTAGTCCCAACACTTTGCATTGCCAAGGCAGGAAGACTGCTTGAGCCCAGGAGTTTAAGACCAGCCTGGGCAACATAGCGAGAAAAAATTAGCTGGACATGGTGGCTCACAGCTGTAGTCCCAGCTACTCAGGAGGCTCAGGTGGAAGGATCACTTGAGCCTGGGAGGTTGGGACTGCAGTGAGCCATGATCGCGCCACTGCACTCCAGCCTGGGTGACAGAACAAGATTCTGTCTCAAAAAAAAAAAAAATTCAACACACATACATCTGTTAGCAGGATGAGCTACATAGTGTGGAAAAGCTACTTCCAGTTCTGAAAAGAGATCCCTTTCTTGCACATTCTTCTGGGCTCAGGGCAAGTGACTAATTGGCTAAGAGTAAGATTTATCTTTTTGGAAATGTATTTTATTGTGTTCCATTTGGGTATTCAAAACAGTAAAGAAGTTACACCTACCAACTCTGAGTGTTTGGCTTTGAATGGCTTCCAGGGAAGTTGCTGTGTTGGCAGTTTTCTTCATTGGATGCAGAGAATAGAAGTTTCACATTTTGATGCCCTTAGCCATCTTTAGCCCCAAATTAGGTCCTGTGTCTACAGTTATTTCCCTACCCAAATGGCTAATACCACGTTGTAAAACTCTCAAAACCATGGGACTAGTATTTTTGAGGTATAATTAGTTGTTTCTATTGCCCTTACCCAGGTTATAATGTAACATACCTTTAATCAGTACTCATTTATGCTATTCTTCAAGCAAAATATATATTCCTCTGGAAATATCTTACAAAATTTATCCTAGGAGGCCCTGGGTCTTTCCATTAATCAGCCGCTTTAGCTTGCATTCTGTCCATTGTCCATTCCTCTGGGTCTCACTCCTAGTTGGAAGATTGACAGGTTGTTAGGACCAGAGTTGATCACCACCATAGACCCATTCCCTGGAGACCAGCCCCAATTTCTGCTATTTCTCATTCAGAAAAGTATGCTATACTTTGGGAGCTAGATGGCCCTGAACCCTTCATCCAAGATACTTTCAATAGCCTTAGATATGCCTTGTGAAAAACAGCATCACTGTCTTAATCTTAAACCCAAGGCTGTAGAAAATATTGTACTGAATCATAAAATTAATATATGAGTGCTATTGCTAGTAGCACCTATCAGCATTGGTAAGTATACAGATAAGCAGTACATAAGAAAAGGCACACTATAAACATATTCTCTGTAAGAGCCCTTTTAAAGCCAAGAATGATATTTTGTGAATAGGATATTGAATCTCACCTGCAGACAGACTTATACTGGCAATAACTACATACATATATCCTCTCTTCTTAATTGTCCTGATAAACCACAATCCTAATGTAAAAAGAATGGTAAATACAAGTTTTGGGGAGGTCAAAAATGTTAGGATGGAAGCCTAAACAGGTCATCACTGCCTGAAATACCTATCTGTAGGCTTTTTTTTTTTTTTTTTTTTTGAGACGGAGTCTCACTCTTGCCCAGGCTGGAGTGCAGTGGTGTGATCTCGGCTCACTGCAACCTCCACCTCCCAGGTTCAAGTGATTCTCCTGTCTCAGCCTCCCAAATAGCTGGATTACAGGCACCCACCACCATGTCTGGCTAATTTTTTTTGTATTTTTAGTAGAGACAGGGTTTCACCATGTTGGCCAGGCTGGTCTCAAACTCCTGACCTCGAGTATTGGGATTACAGGCATGAGCCACCATGTCTGGCCATACAGGCCTTTTCTGGCTAATCCCTAAAGGGGTAGAATGACCTGGCTATCTGGTCATTGAAATACCCCATTTTAAATCTAGTAACTCCAAGTCAGTTCATAAAGGGGTTTCAGAAATCTGTAATGCCCATTGAACCTCAAGAACATCCTTAATTAATATAATTGCTGAACAGAGACAGTTGATAAGAACAAAAATCTTTTGAAAATCTGTGATCATCTCCAGTCGTGGCATAATATGCCCTATGTAATCCAGGACTGGTAGAATTGGCATTTGCCAATGAATACCTTCAGGCTTGCATTTTGCAAAGGGTTCCATATTAAGAGCAGTTATCATTAATTCTCCTCCAAATTCCTGGCAAATATAATTATACCATTTAAATAAACTAACATCACCAGGTAATTCCAATTACCAATCACTTTTTCCATCAACTGCTGGAATATAGTAGTTCCTTCACAAAGATAACTTGGAGCAGCCTTTCGGACTGATAAATTCCCACAAGACAGATGAAAGCTTCCTTTTAATTGCTCACTTCATCCATAGGAATTTAATAATATTTACACCTCCAGTCCAACAAATATTAACTCATTACAATATACATGGTAGTTGATATTTCCTTTTACAAATGAGGAAACTGAGACACGGAGAGATTAAATGACTAACCCAAGCACACACACTAGTTACTGGTGGAGCTGAGATGTGAACCCAAATATTGAGTCTTCACTCTTAATGTCTACTTTTCAATCTTACTAGATAGTTTCTTAAATGAGTAAAGATTCCCGCAACTGCGTCTCATGCTTGTCACCTTGAATACACCCACCCCATTGACAGAGGGAGAAAAGTTTACTCTTGGCTTAGAATTTCCTCCTCAATCTCACCATCCTCTCTTCAGGTGTTAGTGAGTTCTCCTAACTAAAACTGTCTGCATTTAACCTAGGGGACCAGGGAGTGTTCTTATCCAGGATAGAAATATGGGTTGGGGCAATGGGACAATGCCAAAAGAGAGTTGTAAAAAACCATCATTACACTCAAGCCAAAATAGGAAAGGGTAAAAATCTATACATCATTATCATAGCCATTGGCATATAGGCCCTGCCAAGTCCACCAATATTGGCCATCTGGTTTGCAAATACAGTGGAATTGATAAAAGAACCATTGAGAAGTTTGAGAAGGCAGTACCTGAGCTGGGAAAGAGATCCCTCAAATAAGCCTGGGCCTTGAATAAATCGTTAAGTTAAACATGAACGTGATGGCATCACCAATATCTTTCTATGGACATTCAACACCTTCAAATCCTATGTGCTCATCATTAATGTCTCAGGACACAAATGTTTTCTTCTAAAACATTTACACATACACTTAAGCCTGATGGAATTGGCTAACATAAAATAATTGTTTGTTTTAAAAAATGAATTCCACCGAGACACTCTACAACCGGGAAATATATGACAAAATTGTTAAAGAACCCAGCCCTTACTTTTCAAAAATGGCTACAACCCAAACAGTAGTATTTGCTCTAATTTCTAATTGAAATGGGAAAAATATGCTGGAGTCAAGCTCTAAAATAACTTCATCAAATGGATGGGAATTAATATATAAGGATGACATTGCTTGAAATACACTGCATGAAGCTTTGGATTCCATCCTGAAGGAGGAAACATCTAAAACTGTCTAACTTAGCTACAAAAGTTTAAGTGTAAGACTAGCTAATGATAACAATGCATCATAAAAACTTTAGATGAAAAGAAATATTTTGTGGATCATTTATTTTGTGGAAATTTGTAACAGACTATGTCAGTTTCCTACCCAAAAATTACTAGTCCCATCCCTTGCTGGCAGAGGTATCATTAATTACATACAAGCCAAAATACCAAGCAATCCTTATTTATTTATTTATTTATTTTGAGATGGACTTTCACTCTTCTCGCCCAGGCAGGAGTGCAGTAGCACGATCTCGGCTCACTGCAACTTCCGCCTCCCAGGTTCAAGCGATTCTCATGCCTCAGCCTCCCGAGTAGCTGGGATTACAGGAGCCCACCACCACACCCGGCTAACTAAGTGTCAGCCATTCTGAATATTTTGTTGATGAATACTGGATTTTTAAAATTTCTTTAATTTTTTTTGAGTTTTGTCTAGGGGTGTTGTTAAATTATGTGAAGACACAGAGAGAAGACAGCCATCTACAAGCCAAGAAGAGAGGCCTCAGAAGAAAACAATCCTATGGACACCTTGATCTGACTTCTTGCCCAGGAATGTGAGAAAATAAATTTCTGTAATGTAAGCCACCCAGTCTGTGGTACTTTGTTACAGCAGCCCTAGCAAACTAATAAATTGCCCACTAAAGCATCATAACTGATAAAGAATGTAGTTATCAGTTTATAAGATTGACACTCTAAAAATGGAAACAACCTGACCAAAAGCTACCACAGATTTTTTGGAACAATTTAAACAAAGTTAATATAAAGCAAAACAAGACAAAAACAAATAAGACCAAGTGTTGGGGTTCCACCTTAAATGACTGTAAAACAGGACAAAACGTACAAAATAATTTTTTCTTTTTTCTTTTTCTTTTTTTCTTTTTTTAGATGGATTCTCGCTCTGTTGCCCAGGCTAGAGTACAGTGGCGTGATCTCTGCTCACTACAACCTCCGCCTCCCAGGTTCAAGTGATTCTCCAGCCTCAGCCTCCTGAGTAGCGGGGATTATGGGCATGTGCCACCACGCCCAAATAATTTTTTTATTTTTTAGCAGAGACGGGGATTTCGCCATATTGGCCCGGCTGGTCTTGAACTCCTGACCTCAGGTGATCTGCCCACCTCGGCCTCCCAGAGTGTAGGGATTATAGGCATGAGCCACGGTGCCTGGCCCAAAATAATGGTTTTCATACATTGAACAATAGGCAGTGCAGGACAGCTATCTTCAAGAAAAGGGGAAAAAAAAGAGGTTAAGTCCTAAAATTTCCCAGCTTACTGCCTGGTAATATCCCTGAATTGAGGGTACAGAAAATTCAAAGAGATGGAGACACCTAGAATTTGAAAGGCACAGTACTGGACATGAGAGAGTTGAAGTTTGGGGGTTGCGGGAGAAGGAAGGGAGAGAGAGAGAGAGAAAATGGAGGAGGGAGCGGCAAAGCATGAACACTGGAGATCTGTGGAAAGTTTTCCTTAAATCTTTAGCTGAGTACTGATTATACATGTGAGGAAAATACCTGAGGCTGGGATGGAGAGGTGGTGGTGTACGATGGAAAGGAGTAGGAGGAGCAATCCTCAGAGCTCAGTTGGGGTGAGGAATAATTTGTACTCACACTAGCCAGAGTGGAAAACATAATTCCAGGGCACCAGGAGCCACAAAGGTATTACCTCAGTAGTGGGGACAAACTAGCTCTAGACTAAAAGCTGCTCTGATCTTACCCTAACAAAGTTTAAAAGCAAGCCTCAATAGTATCCCATGATTTTCCAAGTAATTTAACAACACCCCTAAACAAAACTCAAAATAAAATAAAATAATTTTAAAAATCCGTTTCTCATCAACGAAATATTCAGAATGGCTGACACTTAATTAAAAAAATTACTTGGCATGCAAATAAGCATGAAAATGCAACCCATAATGAGGATAAAAGTGAATCAATAGAAAGACACACTAAGGAAACATATGATAGAATTACTGGGCACCGACATTGAAACAGCTATTATAACTATACTCCATATATTCAAAAAAGTAGGGGAAAGTGTGAACATGTTAAAAGACATGGAAGACCCAAAGTGCACTTTATCAGAAAAATACAATTTCTGAGATGAAAAATACCTTATATGGGAGTAACAGCAGATTAGATATTGCAGAAGAAAGATTGGTTACTTTGAAGACATAGCAAAAGAAAAAAACATAATACAGAGAAGAAAGACTAAAAAATTGATAGGGCATCATTAAGTTCTGTGGGACAACTTAAAGAAGTCTAATACATGTGTAAATAGAGTTCAAGAAAGGAAGAGAAAACTATTTGAAGAAACAATGGCAGAAACTATATGATAAAAATCTGTAAGGCCACAAATCCTAAAAGCTCAATGAATCTCAAGCACAAGAAATATAAAGAACAATACACCAAGGCATATCTTAAACTGCTTAAAACCAGTGATACAGGGAAAATATTAAAAGCAATCAGAGAATACATTACATTCAGAGACACATTACTTTCACAAGAATAAAGATAAGAATGACAGTAGATTTCTCATTGAAAACAATGAATGCTAGAAGAGGGAGGATAAATATATTTAAAGTAGGGAGAAAAATACACTCTCAACTTAGGCAAAATATCTTTCAAAACCAGAATAAATTAAAAATGTTAACAGACACTTCTCAAAAGAAGACATTTATGCAGCCAAAAAACACATGAAGAAATGCTCATCATCACTGGCCATCAGAGAAATGCAAATCAAAACCACTATGAGATATCATCTCACACCAGTTAGAATGGCAATCATTAAAAAGTCAGGAAACAACAGGTGCTGGAGAGGATGTGGAGAAATAGGAACACTTTTACACTGTTGGTGGGACTGTAAACTAGTTCAACCATTGTGGAAGTCAGTGTGGCGATTCCTCAGGGATCTAGAACTAGAAATACCATTTGACCCAGCCATCCCATTACTGGGTATATACCCAAAGGACTATAAATCATGCTGCTATAAAGACACATGCACACGTATGTTTATTGCGGCACTATTCACAATAGCAAAGACTTGGAACCAACCCAAATGTCCAACAATGATAGACTGGATTAAGAAAATGTGGCACATATACACCATGGAATACTATGCAGCCATAAAAAATGATGAGTTCATGTCCTTTGTAGGGACATGGATGAAATTGGAAACCATCATTCTCAGTAAACTATCGCAAGAACAAAAAACCAAACACCGCATATTCTCACTCATAGGTGGGAATTGAACAATGAGATCACATGGACACAGGAAGGGGAATATCACACTCTGGGGACTGTGGTGGGGTTGGGGGAGGGGGGAGGGATAGCATTGGGAGATATACCTAATGCTAGATGACACGTTAGTGGGTGCAGCGCACCAGCATGGCACATGTATACATATGTAACTAACCTGCACAATGTGCACATGTACCCTAAAACTTAGAGTATAATAAAAAAAAAAATTAAAAAAAAAATGTTCACAGACATACAGGAGCTCAAAGAGTATGTCATCAGTCAACCAAAAGTTCAAGAAAGATTTTGCTTCCATCAGATGGGAGCAAAATGGCAGAGTAGGCACCTCCCAATACCTGCCTATTCACAGAAACATTTAAAAAAAATGCAGAGCTGTCAGAATCAACTTTCCCAGAACTCTGGAAATCAGTCAAATGTTTACAGCAACCAAGCAAACACCGAATCAAGAAAAAGATAACTTTAAAATGCAAGGAAACACTTTTGGTGTTTTTAATTGCCCTTGTCCTGCTCCCTTCCCTACTCTACAGAGGTCTTGAAGACAGCAGCTTATGGTTCTATGCACATGCCAAAGACAGGACCATGCTCAGAAAAGACCTGACAAGACCTTGTTTTCAACACTGGCTGATCTATAGGCTCAGTGTAAGTGAAGTGAAGGCTGAGGCAGAATTATAAGTCGCCTAGCTAAGTTTTAAAGAGGGGTCCAGCACAGAACCAATCTATTATGACTGGGGAAGGTTTATTTTTGGTTTTTGATTTTTTTTTTAATTCCTGGCAGTCAAGAAAACCTCAGTCAAAAACACATGGAATACAACCAAAGCCTTCAATAATCAAGATTAACAAACCCTGGGGAAGAGGGAGAGAATCTGATTTCCAGAGCTACCACATTATGATATTTGAATGTCCAGTTTTCGACAACAACAACAAAAAACCCACAAAACATACAAAGAAACAGGAAAGTATGGCCCATTCAAAGAAGAAAATAAATAAACAGAAATTGTCCTCGAGGAAGCCCAGACATTGGACTTTGTCTTAGGCCTTTGGTGCTGCTAAAAAAAAAAAAAAAAAAAAAAAAAAAAAAAAAATCCTACTACAGACTGGGTAATTTATAAACAGAAATTTATTTATCACATGTTTAGCGGCTGGGATGCCGAGATCAAGATACCAGCAGATTTGGTGTCTGGTGAGGGCCTGGTATCTTCTTCTTGTTCCATACTCCAGAAGGGAGGAAAGCTATGTCCTGACATGGCAGAAGGGCAGAAAAGAATGAATGAACTCTCCCAAAGCCTTTTATATTGGCCTTAATCCCACCCATGAGGGCTTTGCCGTCATGAGTTAATGACCTCTTAAAGGCCCCACTTAATACTATCACTTTGGCAATTAAGTGTCAACATATGAATTTGGGGGAGATACCATTATTCAAACTATAGGAGGCTTACTAGACAAATATTTTATTTTTTTAATTGACAAAATTGTCTTTATGATGTATTACATGATGCTTTAAAATATGTAAACATTACAGTTTGTCTAACTTGAACTAAGTAACATATGTGTTACCTTACATACCTATCATTTTTGTTGTTGTGAGAACACTTAAAATCTACTCTCTTAGCAAGAGACAAAGGAGATGAACAGATACTTTCCAAAAGAAGACATTCATGCATCCAGCAAGCATACAAAAAGTGTTCAACATCTCTAATCAATAGAGAAATGCAAATCAAAACCACAATGAGATATCATCTCATACCAGTCAGAATGGCTATTAAAAAGTCAAAAAATAACAGATGCTGACAAGGTTGTGGAGAAAAGGGAATGCTTATGCACTGCTGGTGGGAATGTAAATTAGTGCAGCCATTGTGGAAAGCAGTTTGGTGATTTCTTGAGGAACTTAAAACAGAATTATTATTTGACCCAGCAATCCCATTATTGGGTATACATCCAAAGGAATATAAATTGTTCTACCATAAAGACACAGGAACGTGTATGTTTGTTGCAGCACTATTCACAATAGCAAAGACATGGAATCAACCTAAATTCCCATCAATGGTAGACTGGATAAAGAAAATGTACTGGCCAGGCATGGTGTCTCATGCCTGTAATTCTAGCACTTTGGGAGGCCGAGGCAGGTGGATCACCTGAGGTCAAGAGTTTGAGACCAGCCTGGCCAACATGGTGAAACTCCGTCTCTACTAAAAATACAAAAATTAGCCAAATGTGGTGGCATGCGCCTGTAGTCCCAGCTACTCGGGAGGCTGAGGCAGGAGAATCACTTGAACCTGGGAGGCAGAGGTTGCAGTGAGCCAAGATCGTGCCATTGTACTCCAGCCTTGGTGACAAGAGTGAAATTCTGTCAAAAAAAAAAAAAGAAAGAGAAAAGCAAAAGAAAGAAAGAAAGAAAGAGAAAGAAAGAAAGAAAAAGAAAGAAAGAAAGAAAGAAAGAAAGAAAGAAAGAAAGAAAGAAAGAAAGAAAGAAAGAAAGAAAGAAAGAAAGATGGTACATATACACCATGGGATATTATACAGCCATAAAAAAGAATGAGATCATATCCTTTGAAGCAACACGGATGGAGCTGGAGGCCATCATCATTCTAAGAGAACTAATGCAGGAACAGAAAACCAAATATTTCATGTTCTCACATATAAGTGGGAGCTAAACATTGAGAACATATGGACACAAAGAGGGAAACAATGGACTCCGGGGCCTACTTGAAGGTGGAGGGTGGGAGCAGGGTGAGGATCCAAAAACTACCTATTGCGTACTAAGCTTATTACCTTGGCAATGAAATGATTTGTACACCAAACCCCCATGACATGCAATTTACCTGTATAGCAAACCAGCACATGTATGCCGGAACCTAAAGTAAAACTATTAAAAAATATATAAATAAATAAATATATATTCAATATAACAATTATAAATATACTGTGAAAAAATACACAAGAATGTATTTTTAATGAGGCAACAGATAACAATATAACATGGATTTTAAGTAATAGTTAGAAAAGTATTTTTAGTTTAAAATTTAAAAAATAGAAATTAAATAGCACACTTCTAAAACGATAGGTCAAATAAAAAATCTACAAGAGGAATGAGAAAATACCTTGAGGTGAACACAAATGAAAACACAACATAATAAAACTTATGTGATGCAGTAAAAACAGTGCTTAGAGGAAATTTAAATGGCTATAAACACCTACATTAAAAATGTAAAAAACAGCTGGTCATGGTGGCTCACACCTGTAATCTCAGCACTTTGAGAGGCTAAGGTGGGAGGATCACTTAAGGCCAGGAGCTTGAGTCTAGCCTGGGAAACACAGTGAAATCCCATCTCTTAAAAAAATATAGAAAAATTATCCAGATGTGGTGGCGCATGCCTGTAGTCCTAGCTACTCAGGAGGCTGAGGTGGGAGGATTGCTTGAGTCCAGGAGTTTGAGGCTGCAGTGAGCTAGGATCACGCCACTGCACTGTATAGCCTGGGCAACAGAGCAAGACCCTGTCTCTTAAAAAAGAAGAAGGAGAAAAAGAAAGATAAATATTAAATCCATAACCCAACTTTACAGCTTAAGAAAGTAGGAAAAGAAGAGCAAACTAAATCCAAAACCAGCAGAAGGAAGGAAAAAATAAAGATTAGACATGGATAAATGAAATAAAAAGAACAGAAAAAACAATAGAGAAAATCAACAAGACCAAAATTAGTTCTTTAAAAAGATGAAAAAAATTGACAAATCTTTAGCTAGACTGACTAAGAAAAGAGAAAAGACAAATTACTAATATCAGAAATTAAAGTGGAGATATTACTACCAAATTTATAGAAATAAAAGTACCATAGCTGAATAGTATAAACAACTGTATAGCAACAAATATGATCACCTACATAAATGGACAAATTTCTGGAAACATAAACTGCCAAACTGACTTAAGAAGAAATAGAAAATCTGAATAGCAATGTAATAGGTAAAGAGATTGTATCAGTAATCAAAAATCTCCCAAAAAAGAAAAATCAAGAGCTAGATGACTTTACTGGTGAATTATGTTAACACAAAACATG
Organism: Homo sapiens; assembly: GCF_000001405.40. Taxonomy (NCBI): domain Eukaryota; kingdom Metazoa; phylum Chordata; class Mammalia; order Primates; family Hominidae; genus Homo; species Homo sapiens. The sequence goes on from NC_000023.11 coordinate 107,040,160, forward strand.
TAAAGAATTAATACCAATCCTTCTCAAACATTTCCAAAATATTGGAGAAGAAGAAACATTCCCAACTCATTCTATGATGCCAGCAGTATCCTATTACCAAAGCCAGAAAAAGACACCACAGTAAATGAAAACTACAGACCAATATCCCTTATAAATTTGCATGTGAATATCTCAAGAAAATACTGGCAAACTGAGCAGTATATTAAAAGGATTATACATCAAGACCAAATGGGATTTATCGCAGGAATGCAAAGGTCATTCAACATAAGAAAATCAACCAATACAATAAATTACATTAATAGAAAGACGGAAAAAACCCACATGATCATCTCACTTGATGCAGAAAAGTCATTCATGATAAAAACACTCAGTAAACTAGGAATAAAAGGAAACTTCCTCAACATGATAAAGGGCATTATGAAAAGCCTGCAGCTAACATCATACTCAATGGTGAAAAACTGAAAGTTTTTCCCCTATGATCAGGTACAAGACTAGGCTGCTTGTTTTTGCCATATTTATTTATTTATTTATTTATTTTTAGACACAGTCTAGCTCTGTCGCTCAGGCTGGAGTGCAGTTGCGTGATCTCAGGCTTACTGCAACCTCTACCTCCTGGGTTCAAGCGATTCTCCCACCTCAGCCTCACCAGTGGCTGGGATTACAGACACGTATCATCAAGCACCACACACTACGCCTGGCTAAGTTTTGTATTTTTAGTAGATATGGGGTTTTGCCATGTTGACCAGGCTGGTCTCGAACTCCTGACCTCAGGTGATCTGCCCCCTTCGGCCTCCCAAACTGCTGGGATTACAGGCGTGAGCCACTGCATCTGGCTGGCATATTCTTAAAAAGTTAAATATATACCTATCATATGATCCAGCCATTCCACCCCTTAGGTACCTAGACAGTAGTACCTAAGTACTGTTTAAGTTACAGTAATAAATAATCATGTGGTAGTAACATAAGGATAGACATCTGTCTAAGTACCTAAGGGATGGAATGCTATGTACAGCACTGGGCAAGCCATGCTTCGCATATCACCTGGGCCAGGCACATAACTGCTAATGTTTCTATAAGTCTTTCAGGAAAATTTCAGCTTTAAAATAATATGACTCAGATTTGTGTAATCTGTACACAAAATACATAGTACCCAGTTAGTCAACTGGATATTGGAAGGCAACTGGCATTCTCTGACAAACTCATTTTTCCAACCTTTCGAACTTTCCAGGATGTTCTCCAACTTTAGGGTATCATAACTTTCAGCTGTATGTAACAGAAAAGTGGAAATACATTACCTTAAATAATAAAGATAACTTATTATTCCTTGTAACCAAAAAGTCCAGAGTTAGGTGAGGTTTCAAGTGAGGCCCAATTCAACGGCTCAGTGATGTCACCAAAGACCTAACATCTTTTCATCTTTATTTGCTGCCTTCATTGATATCCACTTCACTTTAAGGCTGCTATCTATTCCCTCCAAACTGACTTCTGGAGGCTTTGTTTCCTCATTCACATCCAAAAGAAAGTCAACACTTCCTCCTTTTCACCAAGGGAGTTTTTATACTGAAGCCTCCAGCAACTGTCTCCTTAGACCAAATTAGCTTAAGTCAATATAGAACTGAATCTGGGCATGGAATCATTTCCCCTAAAACACATGGTCTGTGTTGGGTAACAAGGGATAGCTACCTGAGTGAAAATCAGGATATTATTACCAAAAGGATAGAGAGATGGACGCTAGGTAGATAAAAACAGTAAATGTTCACTACAATTGGGAAAAATACAGATGGGATTTTATGGTCAGTATTTGTACATAAGCTCATCCCCCACCTTTAGTAGGCCAGCTTACTTTGTGGGATCCTTGTACCTCTTTATCCAGTGGTTTTCCTTTTGAGGGATTACAAGAGGACACAGATTTTCTTTTTCCTTGAACTTTTCATCATTTGTACCAGTCTCTATAGTCACTTCAGTTGTTTAAGGGCTTCTCTTTTTATTGGCTTAGAAGCTTAGCATTTTCCTTCTCTCTTTTCCACATCATGTGCAACATGGGAAGGAGTAAGAAGTGTCTGTCCTTGGGTGGAAAGCTAGAACTTTAGCAGCGTGTCTCTAGGACAGCCTCTGCCTTCACTAGCTTGAGGTGGGTCTGATCTTCATTATTAATTGCTCCTCTTTTTGGTTGTCTTCGACAGGTATTTCCAGCCTTAAATTTAGTGGATATCTTTTTTTTTTTTCCCATACTCTCCTAAGTAGGAAGGAGTGTACTCTGTGCATCCCTGTGGCTCTTAATGCTTTCAAACGCCAGCTCATGAGTCTTCAAACTTTTGGTCTTTCTAACTGATGCTTTGCTTCCCTGGAGAAAACTAATTACTTTATTATTATTTTTTTCATCATTGTCCTTCTTGTTTCTACATCTGGTATATGCCACTCTTGCTGCAGCTCAGTAGCATGTCCCAGTCCAAGTGTATTAGTCTGTTTTCATGCTGCTGATAAAGACACATCTGAGACTGAGCAATTTACAAAAGAAAGAGGTTTAATGGACTCACAGTTCCACGTGGCTGGGGAGGCCTCACAATCACAGCAGAAGATGAAAGGCACGTCTCACATGGTGGCAGATAAGAGAAGAGAACTTGTGCAGGGAAACTCCCCTTTATAAAACCACCAGATCTCGTGAGACTTATTCACTATCATGAGAACAGCAGGGGAAAGACCCGCCCCATGATTCAATTACCTCCCACAGGGTCCCTTCCATGACACGTAGGAATTGTGAGAGTTACAATTCAAGATGAGATTTGTGTAGGGACACAGTCAAACCATATCACCAAGTTTCTATGTTTTTCCCTTGTGCTGGTATAGAGCTCTCTTGAAAACACCCTCAGTTCACTACTAATGGTCCACAAGAGGTTAAATTGTTTTCCCCACCAACTGTTCAACAACTGTGCCTTTTTTTTTTTTTTGAGATGGAGTTTCCCTCTTGTCAGCCAGGCTGGAGTGCAATGGTGTGATCTCGGCTCACTGCAACCTCTACCTCCCGGGTTAAAGTCATTCTCCTGCCTCAGCCTCCTGAGTAGCTGGGATTACAGGCACACACCACATGTAATTTTTGTATTTTTTAGTAGAGATGGGGTTTTGCCATGTTGGCCAGGCTGGTCTTGAACTCCTGACCTCAGGTGATCCACCTACCTCGGCCTCCCAAAGTGCTGGGATTATAGGCAAGAGCCACCACACCCGGTCCAACTGGGCAATTTTTTCATGTGAAATGGCTAGGGTTTAAGCTGTAGAGGTGTTTTTACACCCAAGAAATCTGGGCACATGCAAGAACATCTGTCCTTTTCTTTCTAGGCAAAGACTCAGTCTTTTAAAAATCTTAGAGTCCTGAAGAGGAGCCCTAAAAATTACTTACCATGTACTCCACTTTCTCCCTTTCCTTTTCTGGTATTTCCTAAGGCTTGCAAAATAATACCCTCAGGAAATGCTAGTAAGACCACATACACATACTCTTCCTTCCTGAATAATTATCAGGCACTATATATTTGCTGACAAAATAAATGCATGAATTAGTGAAAATACAGTAGTTATATACCAAATGAAAAATCAAATTATGAGACATATATAATATTATTCCTTCTCTGTAAAATGTAACATATATTTGAATAAGCCTACCTACATAGAAAAGTCTGGAATTATACATAAAAATGAATGTATAAAATAGTTTACCTTTAAGACTGGGATGAAAATTTTTAAAACTTAGTTACTTTTGACAATGATTTTTAATTGTTTCCTTCCTTCTTTTCTCTACTTATTTCCCTTCTTTATTCTTTCATTTATTTATTTTTTTCTTTGCATCACAATCATATATTCTTTAATACACTTTTTATTTTGGAATATTTTTAGATTTACAGGAAAGCTGCAAAGATAGTACATGGTTTCAGCTTCTCTTTATGTTATCATCTTACATTACTATGGTACACTTGTTTAAAGTAAGAAACCAACATTGGTACATTATTAACTAAATTCCAAACTTCAGTCACATTTGACGAATTTTTCCATTAATTTCCTTTTTTCCTTTCCAGGATCCAATCCAATTGCATTTAGTTGTCATGTCTCCTTAGTCTGCTCTGTCCTGTGACAGTTTCTTTCCTTGTTTTTTTTATGAACTTGATAGTTTCAGGGTGTACTAGGCAGGAATATTGAAGAATACCTCTTAATTTGTGTTTATTGGCTATTTTTTAAAATTAGACCGGGTTTGAGTTTTTGGGAGAAATATGATATAATCGATGTGTCCTCTTTGCATCATACTGGGGTACATGTTAACAACATGACTTATCCCTACTGATGTTCACTTTGATCACTTGGTTAAGGTGGTATTTGCTGTTTCTCCACATTCAAGTTACTGTTTCTCCCTTTCCAGCACGTATTAGTTTAATAATAAAACAACTAATAACATGTTTTTATTTATTTTTTATTTTTATTTATTTTTTGAGACGGAGTCTCATTCTGTCGCCCAGGCTGGAGTGCAGGGGTGTGATCTCGGCTCACTGCAACCTCCGCCTCCTGGGTTCAAGTGATTCTCATGTCTCAGCCTCCTGAGTAGCTGAGACTACAGGCGTGTGCCACAGTGCCCGGCTAATTTTTGTATTTTTAGTACAGACAGGGTTTCATCATGTTGGCCAGGCTGGTCTCAAACTCCCAACCTCAAGTGATCCTTCTGCCTCAGCCTCTCAAATGCTGGGATTACAGACGTGAGCCACTGCACCCAGCCACTCATATTTTTTAAAGTAGAAAAATTATGCCAAGGACCAGATGACTCCCTGCAGATCAGTGGCTTCTTTGAAAAGATCAAAAATATTCTTTTTTTTCCCCCCAGAGAATAGAGGAATATGACCTACTGGAAATTTCTTTTTTGTTTATTTTCCTGACAAATTCCACTCATATCCTTTCCATCCTTCTTTTCAGGAATATAGGACTTAGTTTTTTAAAGCAGTCTGAGTGGTAATGGAAAGAGAAAGTTTCCACTTTGTTTTCCAGAAATCCAGAAAGGCATGACTTGAACTTGATTCTTTGAAGTAGCTTGAAGTATTTTAGGAGAAGCTTAGAGTACAGCTGCACTGACTGCACCTCCACATTCAGGGTTTGGTATCATAGAACATCTTTCTGTTACCTTCACAACTGAAATGACATATCAAGACCTCATTCTGGTCGAAGTTTAAAAATTTAAATAATTAATGCCTTTGTGAAGAAATTCTCCTGCTTTCCTAAAGGAATGTAGAAAAGTGGCATCGTTGCTCAGGTACTGCGAATCTTTCACTTCAATTTTGAAGAAAATGATTTTTTTTTTTTTTTTTTGCCACAGAATACTCTATAGTAGTTAAAAGTTTAAGCTTGTTCTGGATACATTATTTACTATCTTTGTAGGCCCCTTAGTCTTTCTGAGACCTCGATTCCTCATCTGTAAAAATTAGAATAATTAAAACTACTCCCTACCTCATACTATGAGGACTATTGTCTTTCTGTTAAATTGACTCTTTTTAAAATTTTTATAGAGATGGGGTCTTCCTATGTTGCTTCGAACTCCTGGGCTCAAGTGATCTTCCCACCTCAGCCTCCCAAAGTGCTGGGATTTCAGGCGTGAGCCACTGTACCCGGCAGACCCTTTTATCACTATGAAATGTGCTCGTGTTCCCTATCTCCGGTAATACTTCTTGACTGAAAGACTACTTTGTCTGACATTAGTATAACCATGACAGCTTTACTGTTGTTGTTGTTGTTGTTAGAGTTTGTATGGTATATTTTTCCATTTTTGTACTTTCAATCTGTATCTTCATACATAAAATGTGTCTCTTGTAAATGGTATATAGTTGGGTCTTGATTTTTTCCAGTCAGACAATCTTTGTATTTCATTGGAGTATTTTGTTTATTTGTATTAATGTGACTAATGATATACAGCCATGCATTGCTTAACGACAGGGACACATTCTGAGAATGGTATTGTGCAAACATTATAGAGTGTACTTACACAAACCTAGATACTATAGCCTACTATATACACCTAGGTTATATAAAATAGCCTATCACTTCTAGGCTACAAATCTCTACAGCATGCTACTGTTAACACCAGCATCACCTTAAACACATGAGTAATGCATTGCACTATGACATTATATGGCTATGACATCACTAGATTATGGGAATTTTTCAGCTCCATTATGATATTATGGGACCACCATCATATTTGCAGTCCCTTTTTGACTGAAATATTGTTATGCAATTCATGACTGTGGCTGCATTTAAGCTCACTATTTTGCTATTGTTGTCTAGTTGTTTAATCTGTCAGTTGTTTCCTTGTTCCTCTTATGCTACCTTATTTTGGATTAATTCAGTTTTTCATTATTACAACTTCATTTTGAGTCCTCCATTAACATTTTGTTTATACCTTTCCAATGTTTTTAGTGGTTATTCTAGAGCAATAGTTCTTAAACAGGAGTGATTTTGTTACCCAGGGAAATTTGACCATGTCTAGAGATATTTTTGGCTGTCACATTTTGGGGAAGGTGCTACTGGCATCTAGTGGGTAGGGGCCAGGGATACCATTAAACAGCTTAAAATACAAAGATTAGCCATACACAACAAAGAATTATCCAGCCCCAAAAGTCAAAAGTGACAAGGTTAAGAAACCCTGCTCTAGAAACCCTTCATCCTTAATTTATTACAATCTTCCTTACTTAGTACCTTAGCACTTCATAATGCAAAAAATTAAACAAGAGTAAAGGTCCATTTATCTGCTCCCATCATTTCTACTATTATCATATATTTTACTTCTACATGTAACTCCACAAGGCATTGTTATTATTGTTACTTTAAATAATACATAATCTTTTATGTTTATGTACATGTATACCCTTTCTGATGCTATTCATTTCTTCCTGGAGTGCTGTTCTTTAATGTAGTATCCTTTTCCTTCAGTCTGAAGGAAAAAGTATTTCTTACAGTGCAGTTTTGATGGCAATGAATTCTTTCAACTTTCGTTTGTCCAAAAAAATCTTTATTTAATCTTTATTTTTAAAGGATTTTCACTGGACACATAATTATAGATCAGCAATTTTATCTTAGAGTATTTTAAAGATGTGATTATACTATATTCTGACATCCATGTATTGTGCTGTTTTGGAGTTTGTTGTTAGTCTTATGTTCATTTCTTTAAGGTCATTTGCCTTTCCCCACACTCCTCTGGCTTTGTTTTGCTTGTTTTTTTTTTTTTTTTGGGACAGGGCCTCATTCTGTTGCACAGGCTGGAGTACAGTGGCATGATTATGGCTCACTGCAGCCTTGACCTCTCAGGCTCAAGCAATCCTCCCACCTCCGCCTCCCACAGGTGTGCAGCACCACACCTGGCTCATTTTAAAATTTTTTTATAGAGACAGAGTCCCCTTATATTGCCCAGGCTGGTCTTAAACTCCTGGGCTCAAGTGATCCTCCTACCTCAGCCTCCTGAAGTGTTGGGATTACAGGCATGAACCACTTCATCCAGCTCTGGCTGCTTTTAAGTTTTTCTCTTTATCCTTCATTCAGAAGTTGAACTATAATGTGCCTAAGTATGGTTTTCCTGTTTTTATCCTACTTGGGGTTTACTGAGATTACTGGATCTGTGGGTTGATGTCTGTCATTACTTTTGAGAAATTATCAGCCATTATCACTTTGAATAGTTTTTTTTTTCTGCCTCATTCTCTTGCTCTTTTCCTTCTGAGATTTTAATTACACTAATATTATACTGGCTGACAATCTCCTACATAACTCTCGTGTTGTTTTCTCTTCTTTCCATTATTTTTTCTCCATGTACTTCAATTGAATAGTTTCTATTGCACTGTCTTTGAGTTCACTACTCTTCTGCTGTGTTCAGTCTACTAATAAACCCATTCAAGGAATTAAAGTGAAATACACAAACATAAAATTAATAAAGTGTAAAATTCAGTGGCATTTAGTACCTTCAGTGTTGTCCAACTACCACCTCTAGTTCCAAAAAATTTTAATCACCCCTAAAGTAAACCCTATATCCATTAAGTACTCACTCCCTATTCCCTTCTACCCATAGACCCCAACAACCACCAATCAGCTTTCTGTCTCTATGGATTTATCTATACTGGCTATGTCATATAAGTGGAATAAAAAATGTGACCTTTTGTGCCTGGCTTCTTTCATTCAGCATGTTGTTGGGGTATAGCTGTGCTGCATCACGTATCAGTACATTCAACATCTGGATCACTAGTGGGTCTACTTATACTGACTGTTTTCATTTTGATTATAGGTCACATTTTCCTGTTTCTTCATATGTCTCATAATCTTTTGATATGCTTGTTTTGCAGGAGACAAGTCTATGCAAACCTTTCCCAAAGTCCGAGGAAGCTGAGAGGCTGAAGAAAGAGGCTGACAAATCCAGTTTCTTAGATCCAGTTTCTTAGAAAGAAACATTTAACAGCGACTTAGGAACAGAAGCCATGTCTGTCTCAGGTGGTGATGAGACAAGATGGTGGATTCCTGTGCCATTACCCCCTAGACCCAGAGTTTATATACAACAGGGGAGGGGGTGGTTCAGAAGGGTTATGTAGGACAACTGAAGTATGATAACATCAAAGTTGTTTGACCTAAGGACAGGATTTATGGTAAGAACCTGCTCTTACACAAGGAACAATAGATAAACTGGAAATCTTGGAGGCCTTCCTGGAATAGGGGTTAATCAGAAGCCAGCATGGTGGATTAGCTTCCACGATGGAGTTGGTTTAGCCTCCACAATAATGAAAATTGTGCAAAAGTGATATAGATTCTGATATCAACGATTTTTTTTCCTTTTAGAGAGGGAAGGCTCTTTTGTCAGGAAAATGGGTGAGGAGTAATCACTTCAAACCAATTAGAAATTGAGCTAGGTTGGCACAGGGTTGTGGGTTTAGTTCCACTCTGTCCTAACTAAAATTCTTGAGGGCAAAATCTGAAAATAGATTCTTCCCTTTTGGGAGACAATCTTTTCTATACCCAGACTTTGTCTCCTATAAATCATGAGATTGCAAGAGATTTATCTCGGACTTTCCAGCCCATCCTCTGAGGCTCCAGTGCCGCTCCAGTGCTCAAGAAAAGTCAGTGGGGAAAAACCAAGGTGAGACCTGACTTCAAGTTTGAGGGTTCTCCAAATTCTGATCTTTCATGTCAGCTCATGAGGCTGTCAAAAGTTCTACTACTTTTATCTCCTGAGCAGAGTCTCTCTGCCTATGGCAAAAAACAATTATCAGCCCATACCCAGACTTGGCAGATGCCCATGGAAGGAAAGTGGTCATTAATCTCCACTCACATAGAAAGAACTCTCTCTCTCTCTCTCTCTCTCTCTCTATATATATATATATATACACACACACACATATACATATATACATATATTGTTGTTATAGTAGGAGGGAGGTATGTTCCTATCTTCTATATCCTGCAGGGTTGCACTCCATTACATCAAGTAGAAATGGGCTTATGAGAATTATATTGATTAATTTTATTAATTCATTCAATTAATATTTATTGTTCACCTATGTGTCAAGTACTGTTCTAAGCACTACAGTTGTTTCAATATTCTTATCTTTAGCAGCCATGTGAATAGTTGCATCATTTAGGGAGGTGTTAACATTGGGAATGGAACCAGTTTTTGAATAGGAAGTGTATCAAGAGTTCTGTTTTGGATGAGCTCAGTTTGACATGCATATTAGACATCTAAGTGGAAGTATCATGTAGGAAGCTAGATATACAAGTAGAATTCAGGGGAGTCTCAATCTGAATGAATTTGAATGTCATCAATTAGTACAGATAGAGAAGTATTCTGTAGTACTGAGCCCTGGGAAAACCCAACATTAAAGATGAGAGAAGACAAATCAGCCAGCAAAGGAAAGAATGAAAGAGCAGCCAGTGAGGGAGGAAGGAAACCAAGACTAAGGTTTAACAGTAGCCAGGTGAAGAAAACATTTCAAGGAGGGAGTGATCAACTGTGTTGAATGCTGCTGAGAGGTTAAGTGGGGACAAAAAGATGGCCATGACATCTTTTGGCAACTGGTGGCCTTAAAGAGTTATTTCAGTAAACGGGTAGGGCCAAAAGCCTGACTAAACTGAATTAAGGAGGAAAATTGGAGATAAAGAGGTTATACGAGGACAGGTGCCTGGATAGCCTCAGCCAACCTAGTTCTTCCCACTCCTTCCTCTTAGTTGAAGTGTCTGAAAAAATCTGAGCTATGACCTTGTTTTGCAACATTTGTGCTCAGTGGGACAAGTGGCATCCAGAATATATAAATCCAGAGCAGAGCAGTTTCGGGGTCACTCAGCTGTTGTGCAATGTAGGGTACGTGCAGATAAGACTCCAATCACCTTGGGCACTTCCCTGAGCCTTTGAGAGACCGGCTCACTCTGGATCCTAGGCTTCTGTTTATCCTTGCTGCCTATCTTTGAGTAATAAGGCAGCTTTTCTTGACTTGTACAAGTGTCCTGTCTTACTAAACTCACGCAGGTGGTAGAGATACTGGGGGTCCTTTTGCTCCTCGCAGCTGTTTTCATGTTATTGGAACTGCTGTTGCAACTGGGTCTACTCTAAGCCCCCGCCAGTCTTGTGAACCTTTACAGAGGTATAAACAACTCTGGATAAATTTTACTATTAAAGGGAGTATAGAAATGGGATGTCAGCTGGGAGGACATCAAGGGAGGGTTTTTGTAAAAATGATGAGATTGTACGATACATAAAACATGTTAGCATAGCAATGGTAAGTAAATTGTTATGCTTACTATTATTATCTCACTACAAGAATCATTTGAACTTTTCAAACAGCAGTCTATATAATGTTAGGACTTTTAGGATTCATATTCTGATTCTTTATAAGCTTAGGCCAAAAAGGAAAGTTAAGTTCTCAGAGAGAAAGTCAAAATCTTGTGAGCATACTTGTGACTGATGACCCTACTCACTATGGACAAGCTTATTCCACCAGAGAACAGAAGACATCCACGGTTGCTCAGGTATTATAGGAGAAATAATTTTTGGCATGTTAGTTTCTCACTATAATTGTTTGAAGAGGGAAAGACTGTAAGAATTAGCTAATGTGTCAAGTATATCTTCTCATTCACGAATTCAACAATTGTTTATTAAGCAACTATATGACACTATTCTAGATGCTTGAAACATGGCAATTAAAAAAATATTTTTACTCTCTTGGAGGTCATATCCTTTTTTTTTTTTTTTTTGAGACAGAGTCTCGTTCTTTACCCAGGATGGAGTGCAGTGGCGTCATCTCGCTCACTGCAGCCTCCACCTCCCGGGTTCAAGCGATTTCCGGCTAATTTTTGTATTTTTAGTAGAGACAGGGTTTCACCATGTTGGCCAGGCTGGTCTCGAACTCCTGACCTCAAGTGATCCGTATGCCTCGGCCTCCCAAAGTGCTGGGATTACAGGTGTGAGCCACTGCGTCTGGCCTCTTGGGGGTCATATGTTAATAGGGGAACAGATAATCAAGTATGAAAATAATTGGTAAGATAATTTCACATAATGTTGAGTGGTATGAAGGATGTACACAGGGTCATGAGATAGAAAGTGACTGAGAGGAGAGTTGGTGAAATTCTTTATAAATAAGGTAGCCAAAGAAAGCTTTTCTAAGGGAAGTGACATTTGGCCTGATGAAGGAGGCAGCCACGTGTACATATGGGGTTGTGGGTTGGCGGAGGGGGGGCAACTTTCTAGGCAAAGGGAACAAAGATGCTAAGGTAAGGAGAAGCTTGACTTCTTAGAAAAGAATGCCAATATGTCTGCTGTATGTGTAAGGGCAGAGTAGTATGAGAAGAGGTCAGAGAGGTGGTCAATAGCCAGATCTGTTATAGGGCTTTGTAGACTATGATAAGAAGTTTGCTTTTTTAAAAAATGTGGACAATGCACATAACATAAAACATACCATCTAGACTTATTTTAATTATTTTTTGCAGTTGCAAGATTTAATAGAGTGAAAACAGGGCTCCCATACAAAGGGAGGGGACCCAAAGAGGGTAGCCGTTGCTGGCTCGAATGCCTGGGTTTATATCCCGATCATTGTCCCTCTTGCTGTGCTCTCAGGCGATAGATGACTGGCTATTTCTTTACCTCCTGTTTTTGCTTAATTAGCATTTTAGTGAGCTCTCTGATTGGTCGGGTGTGAGCTAAGTTGCAAGCCCCGTGTTTAAAGGTGGACGCGGTCACCTTCCCAGCTAGGCTTAGGGATTCTTAGTCGGCCTAGGAAATCCAGCTAGTCCTGTCTCTCAGTACCCCCTCTCAACAGGAAAACCCAAGTGCTGCTGGGGAGGTTGACTGACGACCGCTCTACCTGCTTCCTGCTGAAATGGGGCATGGTAGGGGTTGTGCAGTTGAGATTTCCTCAGGAGGGGTGCCTTTGATGTCATTAACATCGGAACAAGGGCTAGCAGGCTGGTCCAGGGGTCCGTGGTAGATTTTAGTCATGGACTGCATCTGGGGCTCCATTTGAAGAACCATTTGTAGCTTTACAGCTTCAATTCTGGAAGAGACAAACTTAACAAGGAGGTTAAAGATACAGGGTCCAAAGAGGAGTAACAATATTAGAGCTGCTAGAGGTCCTAAGAAGGGGAGAACCCAGGGCATCCATTGGCTGAGGAGGCCCCAGTGTTCGGTGTTTTGAAGCTCCTCTGCTCTACATTGTATTCGATCTCGAATTTCTTTAACTTTCTCAGTGACAATTCTGGATTGATTAACATAATAACAGCATTCTTCTCCTAAAAATAAACAGGTTCCCCCTCTTTTGGCGGTTAGCAAGTCTAAAGCTCTTCGATTTTGAAGGACTACTGCTGCTAGGGAGTTAAGTTGATCTTGCAAGGTGACCAGGGAGTCAGTGACCTGTTCCATGTCACCATTTATTTCTTGAGATAGTTTGTAGTAGAACTGAGTAGAGGTTGTGATACTGCCAATGCCAGTACCTAGTCTGCCTAGCACTCCTGCTCTGATAACAAAAGGAAGAATGGGTACTCTTTTGTTGTGGGGCTTAGGTACGACATGATTGTATAAATCTTGTTCAGTGTAGATGGTCATAGGGGGCACTAAGAATGAGAGGAAGCACATAGATTCTGAAGAGCCATTCAAACAATGATAGGCTGAGGTACCACAGACAAAAAATATTCCTGAGGGTAGGCAGACTATTCGTGTGGGAGGTGTTACCCACCTGATGCATTGGGAGCTGGTTGTGTCTATAGTATTGCTAAATTTTACACAGGTGAGGTTTGAGGTATGGGTTATTTCCAGATTGGAAACAAGAGGTCCTACTAAAACGGAAGTGGTGTTTATTTCTGTGCTGAAGTTGTTCCATTGTTCAGGAACAGGGATTGAAATGTATGGCCTGAAGTGCAGGGGGAGGCACATCCAACAGTTAGTAGGGTTTTGGGCTGAGACCTCATGGAGCCGAGTGAGGGTGGTATTAAATAGGCTCACCAGGCGAGTATGGGTACGGAGGGTTTCATGTAGTTTTGAGAGAACTAGTCCTTTGTAGGGGCTAGGGGTGCTATGTCCCCGGGTCAGTTGGGAGATTGCTTCCTTTACTTGTTTTTCTCTTGCCTGACCTTGAATTCCACCCCCATCAGACATACTGGTATGGGTGAAGTAAGTCCAACAGACAGTGGCTCCAAGTCCTCCAGGACAACTAGGATTAATCATTTTCCCTGTCCAATAATGAGTATTTGCATGCATGCAAAGAGTGGCAGAGTTATAGCAGTTGCGGGGCATATGGGTGTGGGCAGTGAAGGTGGAGTTTCCCTTAGATAAACTCCTATATGATGGGGCATCAATATTTCCAGGAAGCCGCGTTCTTCATAGAAACTCTTGGTAAGGGGAGCTACTGGTTGTACAGCAGCATGGAGGGGGTGCAGTGAGAGCGAAAGGGGGTAAGAGAACAGTAAAGAGAAAAATATGATAAGGGAGGGCCATGGGGATTTATGATTTGTTACTTTCCTCACAGTTGTCTGATAGTCACAAGTCTCCTTTAGCAGTGAGCATGCCGTTCACATCATGAGATTCCACACAGTAAGATCTCTTCCCTGTATTATTTTAACTGCTTCAGATACTAAGACTCCTACTGCTGCCACTACCCATAAACAATGAGGCCAATCCTTTGCCACTACATCAATTTCCTTACTCAGGTACGCCATGGGTTGCAAGCTCATCCTTCGGACCTGTGTAAGGACTCCTAGAGCTATTCCTGTTTTTTTCTGTGACATATAAAGAAAAGTCTGCCCCACTGGCAAGCTTAACACTGGGGCTTGGGTTAGGGCCTTCTTTAGGGCCTGGAAAGCTGCTTCTGCTTCAGGTGCCCATCTTACTAAATGGTATTGGCTTTCTGAGTTTCCTTAATTAGTGTATATAATGGTCTGGCTATTTCGCCGTACCTGGGAATCTGTATTTGGCAGAAACCTGTTATGCCAAGGAACCCTCTTACTTGCTTTAGGGTTTTGGGATGAGGATAAGCCAGTGTAGGCTGGATACGTTCTTCACTGAGGGCCCTGGTGCCTTTGGATAATTTTAGACCTAAGTATTTAACCTGCTGTGAGCAGAGCTGAGCCTTTGGTTTGGAAACCTTGTAGCCACAGGTAGCGAGGAAATTTAAGAGCACTTGGGTGGCTTGATGGCACAAGGTTTCTGAACGGGTGGCTAAAAGCAACCATCTAGACAATTTTAAAGTGCACAATACAGTGGACATTAAGTACATTCACAATGTTGTGCAACCATCACCTCTATCTCACTCCAGAATACTGCCAGCATGCCAAAATGAAACTGGGTAACCATTAAGCAGTAACTCCCCATTCTCTTTCCCCCAACCCCTGGAAACCACTAATATTTCCATCTCTGTTGTATTTGCCTATTCTGGATATTTCATAAATTGAACCATACAATATGTGACTTTTTGTGTCTGGCTTATTCCATAGCATAACGTTTTTGAGGTACAAACATTGTAGCATGTATCAGTACTCAATTCCTTTTCATGGCTGAGTAATATTCCATTGTGTGGCTATATAACACATTTTGTTTCTCCATTCATCAGTTGATGGATATTTGAGTTGTTTTCACCATTTGTCTATTGTGAATAGTGTTACAACAAACGCTAGAGTACAAGTTTTATTTTTTTATTATTTTTTTTTGAGACGGAGTCTTGCTCTGTCACCCAGGCTGGGGTGCAGTGGCACGATCTTGGCTCACTGCAAGCTCCGCCTCCCAGGTTCACGCCATTCTCCTGCCTCAGCCTCCCGAGTAGCTGGGACTACAGGCGCCCGCCACCACGCCCAGCTAATTTTTTGTATTTTTAGTAAAGACAGGGTTTCATCGTGTTACTCAGGATGGTCTCTATCTCCTGACCTCGTGATCTGCCCGCCTTGGCCTCCCAAAGTGCTGGGATTACAGGCGTGAGCCACTGCGCCTGGCCAAGTTTTATTTGAATGACTCATTATTTAATGAACCACATCATAATTCTATGGTTAACTTTTTGAACAGCCAATCTGTTTTCCATAGCAGCTGCCTTCCAGCCATGTATGAGGGTTTGAATTCCTCAAAGTTCTTGTCAACACTTACTTTCCTTCTTAGAAATGTATTCTTATACTCATCCTTGTGGTGTGTAGTGGTATCTCATTGTGGTTTTGATTTGCAATTCCCTAATGACTAGTCAAATCTAAGAACACAAAGATTTATCCCTATGTTTTCATCTAAGAGTTTTATGGTTTTAGCCCTTATATTTAGGTTACCACAACTAACATCATACACAATGGTGAAAGACTAAAATCTTTTCCCCTATGATCAGGTGGAAGACCACTGAGTATCATGTTAGCTGTGGGCTTTTCATAAATGTTCTTTATCATGTTGAAGAAGTTCCCTTCTATTCCTAGTTTGCTGAGTGTTTTTATCACGAAAGGGTATTAGATTTTGCCAAATGACTTTTCTGCATTAAATGAGATGATCATGTGTTTTTTTCCTTTCTATCAATGTAACTTATTACATTGATTGATTTTCTTATGTGAATGACCCTTGCATTTCTGGGATAAATCACATATGGTCATGATGTATAATGCTTTTAATACGCTGTTCAGTGTGATTTGCCAGTATTTTCTTGAGGACTTTTGTATCTGTATTCGTAAGGGACATTGGCCTGTAGTTTTCATTTCTTGTGTATTTTTCTGGCTTTGATGGCAGTGTAATACTAGCCTCATAGAATGTGTTAGGAAGTCTTTCCTTCCTTTCCATTTCTTTGAAGAGTTTGAGAAAGATTGGTGTTAATTCTTCTTTAAATGCTTCTAGAATTTACCAGTAGAAATTTCTGTTCCTGGGCTTTTCTTTGTTAGGTTTTTGATTACTGATTCAATCTCTTGTTATAAGTCTATTCAGATTTTTTCTTTGTGCGTCAATTTTGGTAGTTGTGTGTTTCTAGGAATTTGTCCATTTCATCCAGGTAATCTGATTTATGGTGTATAATTATTCATAGTATTCTCTTATAATCCTTTTTATTTTTGTAAGGCTGACAGTAATATTCCCATTTTAATTTCTTAAATAAATTGAATCTTCTTTTTCTTAACCACTATAGGTAATGGTTTGCCAATTTTGGTGATCTTCTCAAATAATCTTTTTTTTTTTTCATTTTAATGGTTATATTGGTTTCCTAGTCCCTATTTCATTTATCTTAACTATTATCTTTTTTTTTTTGGGGGGGGCGACAGGGTCTCACCTTGTCACCCAGACTGGAGTGCAGTGGTACAAGCATGGATCGCTGCAGCGATCATGTGATTCTCCCACCTCAGCCCCCTAAGTAGCTGGGACTATAGGCATAAGCCACAATGCCCAGCTAATTTTTAAATTTTTTTGTAGAGACGAGGTCTCACTACATTACCCAGGCAGGTCTCAAACTCCTGGGCTCAAGCAATCCTCCCACCTTGGCCTCTCAGAGTACTGGGATTACAGACATGAGCCACTGTGCCCAACCCTTAGCTATAATCTTTACTATTTCCTTCCTTCTACTAGTTTTCAGTTTACTTTGATTTCATTTTTATAGTTCCTTAAGGTGTAAAGCTGGGTTATTGATCTGAGATCGTTCTTTATTTAAAAAAAATAGATGTTTGCACTTTAAAAATATGCATTTGAGCACCACTTTTGCTGCATCCCATAATTTTTGGTATGTTGTGTTTTTGTTTTCATTTGTCTCTTTTTGTTATATTAGTTGTTTAAGCATCTTTCATTTAATTTTAACTCATTTGTGGATTTTCCAGTTTTACTTCTGTTCTTCATTTCTACTTTCATTCCATTGGATTTGGAGAAGACACTTCATATTGTTTCAATCTTTTACAATTTATTGAGACTTGATTTGTGGCCTAACGTACAATCTGTCCTAGAGAATAGTCTTCCATGCGCACTGGAGAATAATGTGAATTCTGTTGTTCTTGGGTGTTCTATAGATTGTCTGTTAGGTTTAAGTGATTTTAAATGTTTAAGTACTCTATTTACTTCAAAAGCACAGGCAACAAAAGCAAACAAATGGGATTATATTAAACTAAAAAACTTCTGCATAGCAAAGGAAACAATCAACAGAGCAAAAAGAACCTACAGAAGGAGAAAATATTTGCAAACTACTCACCCAACAGGGGATTAATACTCAGACTATACAAGGAACTCAACATCTCAACAGCAACAAAAAAAACTGTGATTTTAAAATGGGCCAGTGATCTGAGCAGGCATTTCTCAAAAGAAAACATACAAATTGCCAACAAATACATGAAGAAATACTCAACATCACTAATCATCAGGAAAATGCAAATCAAAACCACACTGAGGCCAGGCGTGGTGGCTCATGCCTGTAATCCCAGCACTTAGGGAGGCCGAGGCGGGTGGATCACTTGAGGTCAGGAGTTCAAGACAAACCTGGCCAACATGGTGAAACCCTGTCTCTACTAAAAATACAAAATTTGCCAGGCGTGGTGGCACACACCTGTAATCCCAGCTACTTGGGAGGCTGAGGCAGGAGAATCACTTGAACCTGGGAGGCGGAGGTTGCAGTGAGCAGAGATTGCGCCATTGCACTCCAGCCTGGGCAACAAGAGCAAAACTCCGTCTCAAAAAAAAAAAAAAAAAAAAAAAATGATCTTTGATAGCAACAAGGACACTTTGTCTATTGTAATAATCTAACACTTACTGAGTTCATACCAGGCACTATTCAAAACACCTTACATGTATTAATTCTCACAACCACCCTGTGAGGTAATAGTATTATTGCTCTCATTTCAAAAATGAGAAAACGACTGTTTAGTGAGTTTAACTTACTCAGGTTCACACAGGTAGTAAATAGTGGCCAGATTTGGTTATAGAGCTAGTAAATGGTAAAGACAGTGTATGGTAGAGCCATACACTGGGAATATGGCATTAGATCACATGCCCTTAACCATTATACTGTTCCGTAAGTGGAGGAAGCTACAGTGTAGGCACAAAGGTAAGTAGGTGGTAGATTTGTATTGAAAGAATAAGGGCCTCGTGTCAGGCTGCTATAACAAAGTACCACAGACTGAGTAGCTTATAAACAGAAATTTCTCCCAATTTGGAGGCTGTACATCTGAGATCAGGGTACCCTCATGGTCAGGTTCCGGTGAGGACCCTCTTCCAGGTTGCAGACTACTGAAATCTCCCTGTATCCTCACATGGCAGAGAGACAGCACTCTTGGGTCTCTTTTTTTTGTTTCTGATCCCCTTACCTACCAGATGGGATCTAAACTCCCACAGTGCTTTGCATCTTTCTTTATGGTACTCATCACTTTATGTTACAGCTTACAAACAGGTTTCTTACCTCCCCTATAAGCTGAGAGATTCTTGAAGGTAGTGACTCATATATTTATTGTTTAACCTAGTACCCCAATGGCATCTTAGAGAATGTCTTATAAGTAGTAATGATACATATGTTTTTCTTAAGGGCATTAACCCCATCCTGAGGCCTCGCCCTTCTGACTTAATTATCTCTCAAAGGCCCCAATTCCTCAAACCATCACATTGGGGTTTAGGATTTTAACATATTAATTTTGAGGAGTCACATTCAGTCTATAACAATGAGGAGGTTCTCAATGAGAACACATGGACACAGGTAGGGGAACAACACACACTGGGGCCTGTGGGGTGGGGTGGGCGGAAGGGGAGGGAGAGCATCAGGATAAATAGCTAATGCATGTGGGGGTTAATACCTAGGTGATGGGCTGATAAGTGCAGCAAACCACCATGGCACATGTTTACCTATGTAACAAACCTGCACGTCCTGCATATGTATCCTGGAACTTTGAATTAAATTAAATTAAATTAAACAAACAATGAGGAAGTTCTCATTTGACTGCCAACATGATATTTTATTGCACGGTTGTACCATAATTTTAAACCAATCAGTCCCCTATTGATGAAATTTTGTTTCCAGGTTTTTGCTATTACGATGCAATGAATATTCTTGTGCCTATCTCTTTGAACACATGTAAGTATTTCTATATAATAGAGATCAAAATGTGGATTTTCTAAATCTACATACTTAAAATTTTAATAGATAATGCCAAATGCCCTCCCCAAAGGTTATACTTACTTATACTCCCATCCAAAGCCTACAAGAGTGTCTATTTTCCGTACCCTTAGCAACATTTAGTGTTATCAGTTTTTATATCTGACATTCTGACAGGTTAAAAAATGACAACTCAACATCTAGTGCCCAGATCTTGGTTTCTAAAAGTCATTTCCCAATAAAAGGAAGTAGGGATCCATGCAGAAATGATTAATTCCAGTGCTAGGGTAGGGAAAAAACAAGATGAGCCTGGAACATCTTGTGGTACCAGAAAACAAGGAAGTGGGCAAAAATTGGGGACATGTCTAAGAACAGAGGGGCCAACCTGAAGGAGCTCCTAATGGCCAAAGGTAGAAGAATTTGAGCAACAAAACAATGACAATATTAGGCTATAAGCCATAGAGTAAAATAAACATCCATGCTGATATAAATACATGAGAAAATAAGCAGGAGATGGGACATCTTCCTTACAGAATTTCAATATAGAGTGAAAAAAAAAAAAGAAAATCACTGCTGCTGTCTGAATGTGCCTTCTCAAATTCATATGCTGAAACTTAATCATCAATGTGATCAATGTGATAGTATTAAGTGGTGGGTCTCTAGGAGATGATTAAGTCATGAGGGTGGAGCCCTCATGATTGGGATCAATGATGTTATAAAAAGGGATTTGCCCTTTTTACCCTGTACCTCCGCCATAAAAGGGAGCAGCGTTCTTCCCCTCTGGAGGATGTAGCAACAAAGTATCATCTTGGAAGGGGAGAATAGCCTTCACCAGACACTGAACCTGCCAACACCTTGATCTTGGACTTCTAGTTTCCAGAACTGTGAGAAATAAGTATCTGTTCTTTAAAAATTACCCTGCCTCCATTTTTTTTTATTGTTGTTATAGTAGCACAAACAGACTAAGACAATCCCCACTAGGTAAACACTACCGTAATAATTGCTGCTGTCAAGAACCATTGATGAATGCTAAAAGTAGTGGGCAAAAGTATGATGGGAAACAGAATATTTGAACAGCCTCAGTGCATCTTCCAGAAGGTATTTAGTAATTGTAAAGAGGAAAACTGTAACTTTACAGTAAAGAAATCCAGCAAACACCCCTTTAAGCAAGTGATCAAGGTTAACATCACCAGTATTAAAAATTATCATCAAATATGTCCTGATACAATGCACTAAAAAGGGCTAAAAATCACTTTTGTGGCATTCTCACCAAAAACACAAAACATGAAAAAACATCAGACAGACCCTCATTAGGGACATTATACAATATAACTGACCAGTATAGTACTCTTCAAAATTGTCATGGTCATCAAAGACAGACTGAGAACTGTCACAAATAGGAACAGAATAAGGAGATAACAAAATGCAATGTGGCATCCTGGATTTGATCCTGGATCAGGAAAGGACATTAATGGGACAACTGGCAAAATTAAAATAAGGTCTAATAGTTAATAGTGTTGTATCAATATTAGTTTCCTGATTTTGATAACTGTACTATAGTTAAGTAAGATGTTAGCATTAGGGGAAGTTGAGTGAGGATATATGACAACTCTCTTATTATTTTTACAACTTTTCTATAAATCTAAAATGCTTTTTGAAAATGAGAGCCCACTGTCTTAATCTGCATTACTACTCTGAGCATTTGTCTTAGTTTATTGGTCATTTATATTTTCTTTTCAACAAATTTCCTTTTCCCACTTTTTTATTGGATTTTTTTATGTATACTAAAAAGTTATATACATTGTACACTAAGAAATTAGCTCCTTGTATGGGATAAATATATTTTCCAGCTTGTCCTTTGATTTTTTAAAATGGTGGGCTTATATGTATATGTGTATACGAATTTTTTCCTTTCTTTTTTTTAGAGACAGTGTCTTGCTATGTTGCCCAGTCTGCTCTTGAACTCCTAGCATCAAGTGATCCTCCTGCCTTGGCCTCCGAAAGTGTCGAGGTTACTCGCATGAGCCACCGTGCCTGGCCTACGAATGTTTCTAACTGATGATTTCTGCTGACCTGTGGGCAGAAAATAAGGAATGGTAGCAAAGTGGCTTTAAGTTTTCAACTGTAATCAAAAGGCCACAGAATAAAAAACTACTTAACAGAAATGACCGTCTCTCCAAGTTTTTCTTTCCTCCATAAAAATAACATTTATTTAAAAAAATTACACACAGTAAAATTCATCCTTTTTAGTGTACAAGCCTATGGGTTTTGACAAATGCATATACTTATGTAACTACAATAAAGACACGGAAAATTTCAATTATTAAGACAAATTCCTCATGCTACCACTTTGTAGTCAAGGAGCATTCCAACCTTAACCCCTGACATCCACTGAAGTTTTTTCTCCATCCCTATTGTTTTGCTTTTTGAGAAAATAATATGAATGGAATCAAACAGTAAGCAGCCTTTTGAGTTTGGCTTCTTTTACTTAGTAAAATGCATTTAAGATTCATCCAAGTGGTTGCATGTGTATTTCATTAGTTTATTGCTGAGTAGGATTCCATTGCATGGATATACTACGGTTTATCTATGCACCAGTTGAAGGATATCCTTCATTTTTATGTTCCTCAATTGCAGTGGTCTGTAGGTCTAGTAAAAAGCAGAGGTGAAATTTTCTACCTAACAGGAAGCACTTCCTTCTAAAAAGTCCAGCTTAGAAGTATGCCCCTGGTAACATGTATCAGAGGCTATATCAGGATAATTTATTCCTTGTCACTTAACTATGTCTGAAATTAGAGTGTTAATCCTAAGTGAGCAGTATATCAAAGGAATAGGAGTTTGTCCTGAGTATAGTCAGATGATATCCCCAGAGTAGGCCTGACAAATATTCTGGAAGCCATGCCATTGGCAGAATATTTTTTAAAAAATTTTTTAGTTAAAAAAAAAAATGAAAAAAGTAAAAATCACCCCAAAATCACACCACTTTAAAAATTTTACAAAGTGAAAGTCCTCCTTCAGCCTATTCAATCCCACTTCCAAAGGTTTATAACTTTCTATGTCTATTTCCCAGCTTTTTCTTAAATTTATTCAGAAATATCTATATACATACATACTATACATAAATGAATGCTTTTGCATAAAAATGTATTCATACTATACATATTTCTGCATCTTGTTTATTAACTTAATACACAACCTTGGACATGAGTATAGGTCATAATATATTCATAGATACACTTCACTATTTTAATGGCTGCATAGTATTGTACTAAATAGATGTACCATAAGTTATTTACCCATTTTCCTATTGATGGACACCCCTACTTTTGTGAGTTTTATTGAGATATAATTCATACACCACACAATTCACCCATTTAACGTGTACAATTCCTGGTTTTTAGTATATTCAGAGTTGTGAAATCACCACCACGACCAATTTTAGAACACTTTCATCAACCTCTAAAGAAACTTCATACACTTCAACTGTTACCCCCAGCCCTTCCCATTCCCCCCAACTCTGTGCTAGCCCTAAGCAACCACTAATCCACTTTCTATCTCTATATATTTGCCAATTCTGGACACTTCATATAAATAGTATCATATAATATGTAGTCTTTTGTGACTGGCTTCTTGCACTGAGCATATTCTGAGTTCTTCCATGTTGTAGTATGTGTCAGAAGTGTTCACCACTCTTCTACTTTTTGAAAAAGTTTGTGAAGAATTTGTATTAATTTTTCATTAAAAGTTTTGTAGAATTCATTTAAGAAGCTATTTCAGCCTGGGCTCTTCTTTGTGGGTATCTTTTCAAAAACTCATTTAACCTATTTACTTGATATAGGTTTATTCAAGTTTTCTACTTCTGAGTTGGTTTTGGTAGTTTGTGTCTTCCTAGGAATTTGTCCACTTCATTGATAATTTATTGACATAAAATTATTCATAATATGCCTTCATAATCTTTTTTATTTCTACAAGTTCAGTTGAAATGTTCCCTCCTTCATTTCTGATTTTAGTAATTTGATTCTCCTTTTTTCCTGGTCAGTCTAGCAGAAGGTGTGTCAGTTTTACTGATCTTTTTATAGAATCAACTTTTGGTTGCATTGATTTTTCTCTACTTTTCTTCACTCTATTTCATTTATTCTCATCTAATCTTTTATATTTCCTTCTTTCTCCTGGCTCTAGGTTTAGTTTGCTCTTCTTTTTCCAGGGTCTTAAGGTGTAAAGTGAGGTTAGTGCTATGGTCTTTCTTTTCTTTTTTTTTTTTTTTTTGAGATGGAGTCTCGCTCTGCTGCCCAGGCTGGAGTGCAGTGGTGCAATCTTGGCTCACTGCAAGCTCTGCCTCCCAGGTTCACGCCATTCTCCTGCCTCAGCCTCCCGAGTAGCTGGGACTACAGGTGCCCACGACCACGCCTGGCTAATTTTTTGTATTTTTAGTAGAGACAGGGTTTCACCATGTTACCCAGAATGGTCTCGATCTCCTGACCCCATGATCTCCACCCGCCCCGGCCTCCCAAAGTGCTGGGATTACAGGCGTAAGCCACTGTGCCTGGTCTTTTTTCTTCTTAAGTACAGGCATTTGTACCTATAGATTTCCCTGTAAACACTGCTTTAGCTGCATCTTGTAAGTTTTGGTTTGTTGTGTCTTCATTATCACTCATCTCAAAGGGTTTTGTAATTTCCCTTATGATTTTTTTCTTTGACACATTTTTTTTTTTTTTTGGTAATGACAGGGTCTTGCTGTGTTGCCCAGGCTGGTCTTGAATTCCTGGTCTCAAGGGATCCAAGGAATCCTCCCACTTCGGCCTACCAAAGTGCTGAGATTTCAGGCGTGAGCTACTGCACCCAGCCAGTCACTTACAAGTGTGTCTGATTTCCACATATTTGTGAGTTTCCCAACTTTTCATTGTTTTCTAACTTCATCCCATGTGGTCAGAGGGCATGCTTTGCATGATTTCAGTCTACTTATATTTATTAAGGCTTGTTTTATGCTTTAACTTATGACCTATTTTGGAGATGTTTCATATGCACTCGAGAAGAATATGTATTCTGATGTTGGGTGGAAAGTTCTATAGATGTCTTTTAGGTCAATTTGCCTTATAATGTTGTTCAAGTCTTCTATTTCCTGGTTTATCTTCTGTCTAGGTGCTCTATTATTGAAAAAGGGGTATTGAATATTCCAACTCTTTTTATGGACTTATCTGTTTCTCCTTTCCTTTCAGTTTTTGCTTCATGTATTTTGGGCTCTACTGTTAGATGCATATATATTTATAGTTGTTACATCTTCCTGATGTATTGACCCTTTTATCATTGTAACATTTTACTCTTTATCTCCAGTAACATTTTTTTAAGTCTATTTTGTCTGGTATTAGAATAGCCACTCCAGCTTTCTTATGGCTGTTGTCTGTGTGATATATTTGTTTTCCATCCTTTTACCTTTAATCTCTTTCTATCTTCTAAAGTGTGTCTCAAATAGATGGCATGAAGTGGAATCAGACTTGTTTCTGACATCTCTGCCTTTTATAGTATTGCTTAATCCATGCACATTGTTATTTTGATATAGGAAGACTTATGACTGCCATTTTATTGTTTTTGATATGCCTCAAGCTTTTTGCTTCTCCATTCCTTCTTTTGCATTATTTCATAATGTGATATTTACATTTAATAATATTTTTGATTTTTTAAAAGTTATTTCCTCAGTGGTTGCTCTAGGGCTTACCATACACATCTTAACTAAACAGAATAGGCTTCAGATAAACACTAACTTAATTCCAATGTAACAACCCTATTCCTATATAAACCCATCCCCCGCTTTGTGGTATTATTGTTATATATGTTATTCCTATACATTACAAACCCAACACACATTATTATAATTACTTAATATAATTTTACATCTTTAAAAGAAGCTGAGAGAAGAGTAAGTATATGTTTATAGTTTTTTTATATTAAACTTATTTCCTATTTCACGTTCTCTCCATTTGTTCCTGTGGATTTGTCTTACCATCTGGAGTCAGTTCTTTAGTACAAGACAGTTTTGCTTCCACTCAGCTTCTTCAACCTGTTATCGGCAAATATATTATATTTTATACGTTATAGGCCAAACGATGCAACTATATACATATTGTTTTATACAACTGTGTTTTACATTAGTTAAGAGAAAAAAGAAAAATGCATAGATTGTTTCTGATAATTACATAATTATTTTTGCCTGTGCTCTTTTTCTGCATGTGTGTAGATTCAGATTACTGTCTGTGGTCACTTGCTTTCAGGCTGAAGAACTTCCTTTTGTATTTCCAGCAAGTCAGGTCTGCCAGCAACAAATTCTCTTGGTTTTTGATTATGTGAGATGTTTTATTTCACGTTCATTTTTGAAAAATAGTTTTATTGTATATAGGATTATTGGTTGACAGTTATTTTCTTTGAACACTTTGAATGTGTTATTCCACTGCCACTGCCATTGTTTCTGAGGGGAAGTCAACTACTAATTTTATTTGGGTTCCTTGGTAAGTGATGGCTCATTTTTCTCGTATTGCTGTTAAGATTTTCTTTTCGTTTTTGGGTTTTAGCATTTTTCTTATGATGTATCTGTCTGTAATTTCTTTTTCTTCTGGGATGTATAGGTTAATGTCTCTCATCAAATCGGGGGTATTTATAGCCATTATTTCTTAGAATATTTTTCTGCTCCTTCATTTCTTTTCCTTTTTTCCTGTACTCCCATTAGAAATATGTAGGAATGCTTAATGGTGTCACACAGGTTCTATACTCTTGTTCAATTTTATTCATTGTTTTCCTTTCTGTTCTTCAGCCTGGATAATATCTCAGTTCATCTTCACAACCCAGTGAGGTAAGTAGCATTATTATCCTCACTTTATAGATGAAAAATGTGAGGCTCAGATTAAGTGACTTGCCAAGGTCATAGAATGTTAAGTGTGGCTGTACAGGTCTGACTCCAGTTTGTACTACTTCCTCTCTGTATATTGTTTTTTTATTTTCCAGCAACCATAAACAAACAACTGGGGGATTTGTGACTGGCATCCTCTTTTCTAGAGAACGCTTTATTTCCATTTCCGTTTGGCATTCTTTGCTTGTATGTTCCTCTTCTAAAATTCATATGCCTAATATTTAACATATATTAGACACTTAATCAATGTTTATTGCTATGAATTCAATGATACTCAATGGTTGCTAGCTTAAATGGCTGTGAGAACACCAACATTTTGATCTAAAATATTTCACTAGAAAAATATATAGCTTTTTGAAGACTGATAACTTGTGGAGGAAGCATTCATTAAATAAGTCAACTGACTTATGAAACTACCTACTATTACTGCTGATAGTTCTGACTTAATAGCATTTGTTGATGCTTAGGCCTGGGGGTCCTACTCTTTTATTTACTAGGTGGATGAAATATGGCAAATGGGCTCTAGTAAAGAAATATTTCAACATTTAATTAGTTTTTTATTTCTGTGTATACGAAGCAGTCTAAGAAAGAATGTTATCTCTAGAGACAAATATTGAGGACCCCAGAAAAATTATAAAGATTTTTAAAAATCCTTAGGAATAATCCGTTGTAATTCATCCTGAGAAAATAATACTCTTTGCACTTTACCCTTCATACTCAGCATATCATCTGTCCTATATAGTCTTCAATTATATAATAGAAAATGTTTTCTACCAGTTCTCTCCAAAAGCTGAAATTACTTTTTTCCCCTCCCTCAGTTAGTTTTTCCTCTTCAACTCCAAACAAACTGGTGTCTATACATAAATCCTAGATCCAAGATTCCAATTCAAGAAAGACCATCCAGGACCCACAATTTATATATATTCTAGCTACCACTAATTTCTGTAGTGCTACCTGTAGCACATGATATGAGAGAAGTCGCTTGGAGATTTGACCGTTGCTTTTTGTTCTTTCCAAACTCTATCACCAATATTTTCCCATGTAGTTTGTATCCATTTACTAGATGCAATGCTTGCCATGCTATCTCCTTATCTAAAAGAGAAAGAAAAAATTTCAATTTACATAGGACTTAATAATTCAATTCTATTCCAGGTTTAGTTTAGATTATTTTGCCTTGGAGTTAAATGTAAGCTATAAGGCCATATAGTCATTTGATTTGATCATTTTTTCTATAATCTCCCATTTGCATTATTAAGCAAAATTAAATTAATGGCAAAAATAATAACAATAAAAACTCAAAATCGGTGTTTGAGGGTGTCTCCTAATTCAAAGAAACAAGTAGAGAAACAAAGACATAGGCAGCGTGCTAAAGAAGTCTAAGCTATTAGTAATTATACACAAGTCTCTATCTTAGGTAACAGATTATAGGTATTATTAGAATCAATCATTTTCAAAATGAGTAACACAAAAGAAGTTATCATGTTATCAAGGGCACTTTGCCACTTTTTTTTCAGTGGGAGAGTGGTTCTGGGCCACCTTATTGGGATAAATAAGTATAAGAACACTTGTAGGCATATTGAAGGTTGAAATGTGAGAATATATACTACATGCCAGGAGTATTCAACTTATGGGTCTAAGAGCCTGGATGTAAGAAATAAGGAAGGGATGATTTGTGGCCAGGAGTTTGTGGAATCCTAAGTAGACAAGTAGACTAAACCAATTTTGTTTCATATATATAAGTACTACAAATTTTTTTAAGTGTATAGCTTTCAAGATTAGTAAAACAGCTACACATTTTAAAGTACTTGCTTTAAAAAGCCTTTTTATTATGTATTTTTTCAACTAATACATCGTATTATGTGGGGCACCCATAAACGGTTTTTTAAATTTAAAAGGGGTTCTTACACTTGAAAAGACTGAAAACCACTGGTATAGCGGATTTAAAAACCTTCAGTATGATAGGAAAGATGATACAAGACTGTATGAAAACAATGGAGGGGAGTTTGGCAGTATTCATGTGTAAAACCACTTGCCCACATATAGATTAATAGGCTATTTAGAAATGACGATACTTTAGGGACAATGAAAGGTACAGATCCTACAAAGCCTTCCCCCAAAACAACATATTATCTGGTCTGTCATAGAAACTGAAATTTGCATATTATTCTTCCAGTTGGATTAGAAGCTATGCATTAATTAATATGCAAATAATATTTAGAAGACTGTATCATCATCTACTAATTATGAATTAGTAATAAATTAGTATATTAGCTTGCTCTCACTTAGTCCTAAAGGAACAGCGCATAAGCCAAGTACATGTGTTCTGATCAGAATACTAATACATTAATTAATGAGTAATCTAATTATAACTTGGACTAGAAATACTATTGTCAGTGAAGGGAGTACAGATTTTGGTAGGGTAAGAAGGAAGTACCAAGACTGGGAAAAACTGAGGACACTGGGGTAGTGTGGCCATGCACTGTCAATGGAGGAGAGGAAACAGAAAGAAACACTGAAAACATATTTTTCGTTCATTGTCTTGTTCTCACATGCTGTGGAGAAATCAAAGGACTATATCTAAATTAGAGAGGTTATAGGTAATCTCTAGCGAACTGAGGGGCAACTGAGTAATCATCTGGATGAAACTACTTACTGGGAAAGGTGATAAAAGCCTGGCCCCTCATTCGTCCAGTCATCATTCGGAATTGAATTGGAGGTCCTTTTTTCTCCTGGAACCGAGCGAACAATGACACAAGATCTCTTTCAGTCACCCGAGGGCTAAGGTTCTTCAGGTATAATACCTAAAACAAATTGAGGATCAACCAAAATATCATATAAAGGAGGTAAGGCACTCTTTGTTTTTTTCTTTTTGAGACAAAGTCTCACTCTGTCACCCAGGCTGGAGTGCAGTGGCGCAATCTCTGCTCACTGCAACCTTGGCCTCCCAGGCTCAAGTGATTCTCATGCCTCAGCCTCCCGAGTAGCTGGGATTACAGTCATGTGCCACCACACCTGGCTAATTTTTGTATTTTTAGTAGACGTGGGGTTTCACCATGTTGTCCAGGCTGGTCTTGAACTCCCAAACTCAGGTGATCCACCCGCCTTGGCCTCCCAAAATGCTGGGATTACAGGCGTGAGACACCATGCTCAGCCGTAAGAAAACTCTTTCATTATGATTAGAATTAGTTTCACATAAAAATGGTGGATTGAACACATTCATTTAATTTCATTCCATCCAGAAAACTCTCTAAAACTATAGGCACTTAAAAAAAAAAAAAAAAAAACACAAATCAACAAGGTCAGGAGGAACAAGAAAAGGAGACAACAGCAATAATAATCTGGAAGATGAAAAATAATTGGATGAGCAGGAACCAACTCAGCACACTGAAGAAAGCTGAATTTTAAACTGGTAGTGGAGAGAGCCAAGAACACACCTGTCACCACTTAAGAATCCTTAAATAGTTCAGGAACTGATAATTTCACTTACCTTCAGAAATAAATGTGAAGGGATGGGGTTAAAATAAGGCAAATCAGTTGAAGGCTGTCTAAAAGCCAATATGATTTTTAAATACCCTCCCTCACAATATGCTATGGGGTAAAAGATAACTTGCCAATCCTGGTAGAAAACTTGAGGCTCATTGTCAGAAGATGGGGAATGCCATACATGGCTGAAGATGTGAACACTGTTTCTGAAAGCAAGGAAACTAAGAGAATACTAAATGTTGAGGTCCTCCCAGTCCTTTTCTGCCATTTGGCTCCTAGAACGCTGGTAGTACCCTCGTAAGAAAGATTTTGGAAGTCTTCTCTGGGAAAACTGGTAAGTCCTAGGAGGAAAGATATAAAAATACTGACTTGGGATGAGGAATTTCTCTAACAAATGACCCAGCCAGACCACTTTAAAGTGAAGCTCAAAGTCAACAAGTGCCATTTGTGTGCTCAGAGATTCCAATCTGCTTTTTAGTTCCTACTTATAAAGTTGGGCATGGATTATCAGGCATCTTAGGAACTCCTCTAATGTGAAAGAGAGAACACAACAAACATAAAGAAAAGAAAGGAAATAGGAAAAAACTTCAACAAACCATAACTAATATCCTCAGGAAAATAAGAGAAATTATTCTACCTATTAGGCGGCACGGGAGGGTAGGTGCGGTGGCTCACTCCTGTAATCCCAGTGCTTTGGGAGGCTGAGATGAGAGGATCGCTTGAGTCCAGGAGTTTGAGATCAGTCTGGGCAACACAGTGAGACCCTGTCTCTGCAAAAGAGACAGGGTGGCATGTGCTACTTGTGAGCAAACAGCATGCACCACCACAACTGGCCAATTTTACAAGTCCCAGCTATTTGGGAGGCTGAGGCAGGAGGATTACTGGAGCTCAGGAGTTTGAGGCTGTAGTGAACTATGATCACACTACACCACCACACTCCAGCCTGGGCAACAGAGTGAGACCCTGTCTCAAAAAAAAAAAAAAATTCAACAGAACAAAAATGAGCTCTTATATGTGATTGAACGTAAGATGTTATCAGCTTAAAACAGATTGTTTTACCATGCCCTATACCTATAAAAGATAAACAGAGAAAAATGGGAAAGATATCAAAGTATATCACTACAAAAAAAAAAAAAAACCCAATGAACCACAAAGGAAGACGGCAGAGAGGGAGAGACAAAAGAGCTACAACAGAGACAGAAAACAATTAACAAATGGCAATAGTAAGTCCTTTGCTAGCAATAATTACATTAAATATTAATAAACTCCCCAAGAGACAGAGTACCTGAATGGATAAACAAA
This sequence comes from Homo sapiens, assembly GCF_000001405.40. NCBI lineage: Eukaryota > Metazoa > Chordata > Mammalia > Primates > Hominidae > Homo > Homo sapiens. The sequence continues at coordinate 107,071,387 of NC_000023.11, forward strand.
ATCCAACTATATGCTAGCTATTCTATGAGGCCAGGATTACCCTGAGACCAACCTAGACAAAAACATTATAAGAAAAATACAGACCAATATCCTTAATAAACAGATGTAAAAATCCTCAACAAAATATTACCAAACCAAATTCAACAGCACATTAAAAAGCTCATACACCTTGACTAAGGGAGATTTATCCCTGGGATGCAAGGATGATTCAACATACAAAAATTGATCAATGTAATACAACACATTAACAGAACAAAATATAAAAATTACATGATTATCTCAACAGTTGCAGACAAAGCATTTGACAAAATTCAACACTGTTTCATGATGAAGACACTCAACTACTAATAGAAGGAATTTACCTCAACATAATAAAGGCCATATATGTAAAGTCCACAGCTATAATATTCAGTATTAAAAAACTGAAAGCTTTTCCTCTAAGATCAGGAACAAGGCATGGATACCTACTCTCACTTCTATTCAACATAGTACTGGAAGTTCTAGCCATAGCAAATAGGCAAGAAACAGAAATAAAATGCATCCAAATCAGAAAGAAAGAAGTAAAATTATCTCTGTTCACAGTTGAAATGATCATCCATGTAGAAAACGCTAAAGACTCAACAACAACAAAAAATTAGACATCAGTAGAATGGGGAAAAGCTGAAAGCTTTTCCTCTAAGAACTGGCAAAAGACAACAATGCTCACTCTCACCACTCTTATTCAACACAGTAGTGAAAGTCTTAGCCAGAGCAATTAGACAAAGGAAAGACATAAAAGGCATCCAAAGCAAAAAGGAGGAAGTCAAATTGTCCCTGTTTGCAGACAACATGATCTTATATAGAGAAAAACCTAAAAAAAAACCTGAAAGAGTCTACCAAAAAGCCCTTAGAACAGATACACAAATTCCATACAGTTGCAGGATACAAAATCAACACACAAAAATCAGTAGCGTTTCTACACACGAACAGCAAACTAGCTGAAAAAGAAATCAAGAAAGCAATCTCATTTACAATAGCTACAAAAAGCAAAATAAAATACCTAGAAATAAATTAACCAAGGAGGTAAAAGGCCTCTACAAGAAAAACTACAAAACACTGATGAAAGAAAAGTTTAGAGGATACAAACAGAAAGATATTCCATGCTCATGGACTGAAAGAACATTGTTAAAATGACCATACTATCCAAAGCAACCTACAGAATTAATGCAATCCCTATCAAAATACCAATGACACTCTTCATAGAAAAAGAAAAAAAATCTTAAAATTTTTATGAAACCACAAAAGACTCTGAAGCCACAGCAATCCTGAACAAAAATAACAAAGCTGGAGGAACTGCACTACCAGACTTCAAAATGTACTACAAAACTGTAGTAACCAAAACAGCATGGTACTGACATAAAAAGAGACACATGTAACTGTGGAACAGAATAGGGAACTCAGAAACTGACCCATGTATCTACAGCCAACTAATATTTTAATAAAGACACCAAGAACATCAGTTGGGAAAAGACAGTCTCGTCAATAAGTGGTGCTGAGAAAACTGGATACCTATATGCATGAAGAATGAAACCAGACCCCCATCTCTCATCCTATACAAAAATCAACTCAAAACAGATCAAAGACCTAAACGTAAGACCGGAAACTAAAAAACTACTAGGAAAAAACATAGGGGAAACATTTCAGGACACTGGTCTGGGAAAAGATTTCATGAATAAGACCTCAAAAGCACAGGCAACGAAAGCAAAAATAAACAAACGGGATTATATTAAACTAAAATCTTCTGCACATCAAAGGAAACAACAGAGTGAAAAGACGAACTACAGAATGGGAGAAAATATTTGCAAACTACTCACCCAACAGGGGATTAATATCCAGACTATACAAGGAATTCAACATCTTAACAGCATCAAAACAAACAACCTGATTTAAAAATGGGCAAATGATCTAAACAGCTATTTCTCTAAAGAAGACATACAAATTGCCAACAAATATATGAAAAAATACTCAACATCACTAATCATCAGGAAAATGCAAATCAAAACCACAATGAGGCATCATCTCATTCCAGTTAGGATGGCTACTACTGGAAAGACAAAAGTTAACAAATGCTGGTGAGGATGTGGAGAAAAGCAAATTATTACAGACTGTTGGTGGGACTGTAAACTTTTACAGCCACTATGGGAAACAGTACGGAGGTTCCTCAACAAACTACAAATAGAACTACCATACGATCCAGCAATCCCACTACTGAGAATTTATCCAAAGGAAAGGAAATCAGTATATTGAAAAGACAATGGCATTCTCATATTTATTGCAGCACTATTCACAACAGCCAAGATATGAAGTTAACCTAGGTGCCCAACGATGTGGTATATATACACAGTGGAATACTATTCAGCCATAAAAATATTGAAATCCTGTTATTCAGAGCAATGTGGATGGAACTAGAGAATATTATGTTTAGTGAAATAAACCAGGCACAGAAAGTTAAACACTGCAGGTTTTTACTTATATGTGGGAGCTAAAAAGAATTGATTTCATAGAAGTAAAAAGTAGAACAGAGGATACTAGAGGCTGTGAAGGGTAGGAGGAAGGAAAGGATAGGGAGAGACTTGTTAAAGATGTAAAATTACAGTTTGATAAGAGGAATAGGTGCTAGTGTTCTATACCATTGTAGAATGGTTATAGTTAACAATAATATATTATATAGTATCAAATAGCTAGAAGAAGGATATTGAATTATCCCAACATGAAGAAATGATAAATACTTAAGATAGTAGATAAGCTAATTACCTTGATCTGTTCACTATATATTATATGTATCGAAACATCAGTATGTACCCCATAAATATGTATAATTTATTATATGTCAATTAAAAAACTTTAAAAAGAAAATAAATAAAATAATAAATCAAGGTTCACAAGTGCAGCAATCAAGACATCGATTTTTCTCCCTTGGGTACTTTGCAGCTGAGACAAGCTGCTACCTGGTGAATGGTGGTACCATGTTTATTTGGCCCACAGTTCAAATAGCTTTCATGGAAGACCTCTTGAGAACATCACTTTTCTGTTTTAATTATACCATTTTATTATTGGCATGAAATTATGACTATATTAATGGAAATAATAGAAAAAAATTAAACCAAAAAAGTTAGAACTAATTAACAAATTCAGTGAAGTTGCAGAATAAAAAATCAACATAGAAAAATTCAGTTGTGGTTTCTATACACTACCAATGAACAATATGAAGAGGAAATTAAGAAAGGTATCCCATTTACAACGGTATTGAAAAGAATAAAATACTGAAGAAAGAACTTAACCAAGGAGGTGAAAGACTTGTACACTGAAAACTACAAATGTTGCTGAAAGAAATTAAAGAAGACACAAATAAATGAAAAGGTATCCTGTGTTCATGGATTAGAAGACTTAATATTAATATATCCGAACTATCCAAAGCGGTCTACAGATTCAATGCAATCTCTATCAAAGTCCCAATGGCATTTTTTACAGAAATAGAAAAAACAATCCCCAAATTCATATAGAACCACAGATGATACCAAGTACCCACAACAATCTTGGGAAAGAACAAAGCTAGAGGCCATACACTTTCTTATTTCACAACATATTACAAAGCTACAGTAATCAAAACAGTATGGTACTGGCATAAAACTGGACACATAGGCCAATGGAACCAATTTGAGAGTCTAGAAATAAACCCATGAAGCTACAGTCAACTGATCTTCTACAAGTGTCCCAAGAATATAACATGAGAAAAAGATAGTCTCTTTAACAAAATGTTGAGAAGACAAGACAGCCACATGCTAAATAATGAAATTGGACCCTTATCTTACGCCATACACACAAGTCAATTCAAAATGGATTAAAGATTTAAATATACGACCTGAGACTGTAAAACTCCTAGAAGAAAACATAGAGGAAAACCTTCTTCACATTAGTCTTGGCAATGATTTCTTTGCTATGACACCAAAACCACATGCAACAAAAGCAGAAATAGATAAGTGGGACTGCATCAAACTAAAAAGCCCTGCACAGCAAAGGAAACAATAGAGTGAAAAGGCAACCTATGGAGTAACAGAAAATATTTGCAAACCATATTTAATATCTAAAATATATAAGGAACTCTACAACTTGATGGCAAGAAAACAACCTCATTAAAATATGGGCAAAAGACTTAAACAGACATTTCTCCAAAGAGATATAAATAGCCAACAGGTATATGAAAAGATGCTCAATATTACTATCAACAGAGAAACGCAAATGAAAAACACAATGAGATACCACATACCTGTTACAATGGCCATTATCAAAAAAAACAGAAAATTACAAATGTTGGCAAGGATATGAAGAAGTTGGAACCCTTGTGCACTGTTGATGGGAATGTAAAGTGGTACAGCTGCTATGAAGTACAGTGTGGAAGTTCCTCCGAAAATTAAAATTAGAACTACCATACAATCCAACAATCCCATTTCTGGGTATTTATCCAAAAGAGCTGAAATCAGCATCTCAAAGAGATATATGCATTCCTATGTTCATCCCGGCAATACTCACAATAGTCAACAGGTGGAAAAACCTAAGTGTCCACTGACTGATGAATAGATAAAGAATATGTGGCATATAAATACAATGGGGGCTGGGTGTGGTGGCTCACGCCTGTAATCTCAGCATTTTGGGAGGCTGAAGCAGGCAGATCATGAGGTCAGGAGTTTGAGACCAGCCTGGCCAACATAGTGAAACCCCATCTCTACTAAAAATGCAAAAAATTAGCTGGGTGCGTTGGTGGGTGCCTGTAATCCCAGCTACATGGGAGGCTGTGACAGGAGAATTACTTGAACCTGGGAGGTAGAGGTTGTAGTGAACCGAGATCGCACCACTGTATTCCAGCTCAGACGACAGTGCCAGACTCCGTCTCAAATAAATAAATAAATAAATAAATAAATAAATAAATAAATAAATAAATAAAATACAATGGAATATTATTTAGCCTTAAAAAAGCAGGAAATCTTATATGTCATTATGCTGTAACATGAATGAAACTCGAGGACTATAGGCTAAGTGAAATAAGCCAGTTGCAGGACAAATATTGCATGATTCCACTTACTGAAGTATCTAAAGTAGTAAAACAGAAAGTAGAATGGTAGTCACCAGGGCTGGGGGAAGGAGGAAATGGGGAGTTGCTGTTCGACAGGTATAAAGTTTCAGTCATGCAAGATAGAAAAGTTCTATAGGTTTGCTGTACAACATTGTGCTTATTATTCACAATATTGTATTGTACACTTAAAAATTTGTTAAGAGGATAGATCTTGTGTTTTTAAAACACAATTTAAAAAAATGGAGGAGGAAAAAAATCTCATACATTACCTAGCATTAGTTATATCCTTTATAGCTTAAAGGAACTATGGAAGAATTCAGGCAGGAGCAGCAAAAGCAAAGAACAAGCAAATATACCTCTTAAATGACTTAAGTGCTAAAAGGTATAAATAAATAAATATTGTTAACAAGTAGTAGAATCTTTAAGTTTCAAAATCTTTAAAACCTGGATATTAACATATTTAGCATTTATGTATGTTCATATCTTAAAGGCAAGGGCATGGAATAATTGACTTGCCTATGCTCTCAAATACTAATCATGAAAATATCAAATTAAATAACCATAGAAAGGGGTATGTGAAAACAAACTTCGAGTTTCTCATCCATTAGGGAAGACCCATACTAAGACTGTTCCCTTTGATATGAATTTTTTTGAGACAGAGTTTCGCTCTTGTTGCCCAAGCTGGAGTGCAATGGTGTGATCTCGGCTCACTGCAACCACCACCTCCCAGGTTCAAGCGATTCTCCTGCCACAGCCTCCCCAGTAGCTGGGATTGCAGGTGCATGCCACCACGCCCAGCTAATTTTTTATATTTTTAGTAGAAATGGGGTTTCACCATGTTAGCCAGGCTGGTCTCGAATTCCTGACCTCAGGTGATCCACCCGCCTCGGCCTCCCAAAGTGCTGGGATTACAGACGTGAGCCACCGCACCTGGCCAATATGAATAATTTTTAAAAATAAAGAGGACTTCTGGTTGAGGTGGCTCTGTCAGGGGATGCTGGGATACATCCCCTCTGCATATATACACACGTAAGTGCAGACTTGTATGTATGTATGAATGTATCCACAACATACATAACACACACACACACACACACACACACACACACACACAGATAAAGCTAGGTTCAAAAACAAGATAAACAAAGCTGTGAAAAAGAAAAACAGTGCCTCCAAGTCATAATACAGCATAAAGCTCTTCCTGGTATCCCTATGCAATACACGGTATTATTTTACATGTTTTCAACTTCATGTAATATAGCCCTTTATATAAACAATATGCATTCTTCTACAGCTACATTTTTAAAAACTCTTTAAAAATGGATTTTAATTTTAGAACAGTTTTGGATTTATAGAAAAATTGAGAATACAGAGAACTCCCATCTACCCCATGGTTTTCCCTGTTATTAATATCTTACATTAATGTAATGTAATGTAACCTCACATTAATATGTTGTTACAATTAATGAAGCAGTATTGATACATTATTATTAACTAAAGTCCACAGTTTAGATTTCCTTAGTTTTTACCTAATGTCCTTTTTCTGTTCTAGGATCTAGGTTACATTACATTTAGACTGGGATTATGGATTATTGGGAAGAAAACCACACAGGAGAAGTACAGTTTTGATCACATAATGTTAAGCATACACACAATCAATATGATTCATCAATATGATTAACAACTATTGGTGTTGGCCTTAATCACCTGGCTTAGGTAGTTTGTCAGGTTTCTTCTTGAAAAGTTACTCTTTTTTCCTGCTTTCTCTTCCTGTACTCTTTTGGAAAGAAGTCATTATGAGCAGCTCAAAACTAAGGAATGGGGAGTTATGCTCTCCCTCCCTGAGGCAGAGTATCTACATAAGTTGTATGAAATTCTTTTTCATGGGAGGTGTATATTTCTTTTCCTCTATATATTTGTTTACTCAATCACTTATTTATATCACCTGGACTCATGGATGTTTATTCTATACATTGGATTATCCAACATTATTTTAGTTTGTTGCACAAATTGTTCCAGCTATAGTCATTGGAAGCTCTTTCATTTGGCTCCTGTATTCCTTTGCAATACCAATGTCAAAAAACAACATAAAATCATGTCAAAGAACAATAAAATAATGATTTTAAGATAATGATTTATTTTATCTTAGTTTGTTGCACAAGTTGTTCTGGCTTTAGTCATTGAAAGCTCTTTCATTTGGCTCCTGTATTCCTTTGAAATATCCCCAATGTCAAAAAACATAAAATCATCATGTCGAAGAACAATAAAATGATTTAAGATAATGATTTATTTTATTTTATTTAGTTTGTTGCACAAATTGTTCTGGCTTTAGTCATAGGAAGCTCTTTCATTTGGCTCCTGTATTCCTTTGAAATACCCCGAATGTCAAAAAAAAAAACATAAAATCATCATGTCAAAGAACAATAAAATAATGATTTTATATTGTTCTTTTTAGCACTTCCTTACTTTCTGGCACTACAAGATGCACAAGGCTCATCTTGTATATTTCCTGCCCCAGTATTAGAAGCAGCCATTTCTCTAAGGAGCCCTGGTTCATTTTATTAGAAAATGGTATTAGAAACCAAGATAAGGATGCTGTGCAAGCTCATTGCTACTGGTGTGTCCTTTCATTTGGGTCCTTTCATCTCACAGAATAAAAAATATGTATTTATACTAATCCATGTATATATAAACACATATAAATATTTCTATATGTAAACACTTATATCTATATTAAGTTAAACATGAGTTCATCCTGATGTCTCCAACTGTAAACCATTATCACATGGATCATTTCAGCTTCCTCCCTTTACTTATCTGTAGATTGCAACAGTGAGAAACCTGGCCCCCGCCATCTGCCATACATTTACTTAATTGTTCCATTCCATTATGCATGTATAAGAGTATCAGAATTGTTACTCCCTAAGTAACCAGTACCTGCCATGGGAAATAACCTTATCAATAAGGGTACCGTGCTTATGTGAAGTTCCATTTGCTTTTAGTCTTTCAGACTCCACATATTTCCAAAGATGCTTAGTTCAGCATCTTTTCCCCCATCCCTTCGATGAGGTTGTTTTACAGTTAGACTCTCTTCTCACTGTCTGCATTCTTTCCTAGGGTCTCTCAACCTCCTAAATGAGTTTTTAACATTTGCATACATTAAGTGTCACTCTTTGTGCTATGTAGTTTAATGGTTTTTGACAAATGCATGTCTTGCCTCTACAACTACAGTATTATACAGAATAATTTTACCGCCCTAAAGATTCCCTGTGTTTCATGTATTTCTCCCTTCTCCATTTCCCTCAAACCCTTGGCAGTCATTTATCATCTGTCTATAGTTTTCCCTCTTCCAGAATGTCATATAATGAAATCATACAATATGCAGTCTTTCCATACTAGCTTCTTTCAGCTATTAATATATATCTAAAGTTCCTCTATGTCTTTTTGTGGCTGGACATGCATTTCTTTTTATTGCTGAATTATATTCCATTGTATAGATCTGCCACAGGTGAATGTATCCATTAACCTATTGGAGGACATCTTGACTGCTTCCGGTTTTTGGCAATTATGAATAAAGCTACTATGAACATTCACATGGCACTTTTTGTTGAACACAGGCTTTTCAAATCAACTGGGTAAATAAGTAGGAATGCAGTAGTTGGACTGTGTGGTAAAATAATGTTCAGCTTTGTAAGAGGTGGCCAACCTGTCTTCCAAAGAGGTTGTATTACCACCAGCAATGAATAAAAGTCCCAGACTTCATGACTGTGAAATATATCCATAAAAAAAAAAAAAACTGCAGCCGGGCATGGTAGCTCATGCCTGTAATCCCAGCACTATGGGAGGCCGAGGCAAGCAAATCACTTGAGGTCAGGAGTTTGAGACCAGCCTGGCCAATATGGCGAAACCCCATCTCTACTAAAAATACAAAACTAGCTGGGCGTGGTGGCTCGCACCTGTAGTCCCAGCTACTTGGGAAGTTGAAGTAGGAGAATTGCTTGAACCAGGGAGGCAGAGGTTGCAGTGAGCTGAGACTGCACCACTGCACTCCAGTCTGGGTGACAGAGAGCGAGACTCTGCCTCAAAACACGAAACAAAACAAAACAAAACAAAACAAAACAAAACTGCACTTGTATCTTCTACATCTATAATTTTTAAAAAAGTACCTGTTGCTCTGCTTCCTGAACAGAATTTGGTATTGTCAGTTTTATTGTGGACTTTAGCGATTCGAGTAGGTGTGTAGTGGCACTTCTCATTTTTCAATTCTCTGATGACAAATAAAGATGAGCTTCTTTTCGTATGCTTATTTGCCATGTATATATCTTCTGTGGTGACGTGTTTGTTCTTATTTTTTACCCATTTTTTAAATTGAGTTTTTTAATACTGTTGAATTTTGGGAATTCTTTGTGTATTTTGGATACAAGTTTTTTATTAGACGTGAGTTTTGCAAATATTTTTCTAGTCTGTGGCTTGTCTTTTGATTCTCTTAAAAGTGTTTTTCATATAGCAGAAGTTTATAATGTTAATAAAGTCTGACTTACCAATTGTTCCTTACATATATTGTACTTTTGGTGATATATCTGATAAATACATCATCAAACACAAGGTCACTTAGATTTTAATCTTTTTCTTCTAGAAGTTTTATCGTATTGTGCTTTATATTTAGGTCTATGACCATTACGAGTTAATTTTTATGAAGGATGTAAGGTTTGTATCTAGATTCATTTTTTTTTTACATGTGGCTATTCAGTTGTTCTAGCACCATTTGTTGAAAAGACTATTCTTTCTCTACTAAACTGTCCTTGATCCCTTGTCAAGTATCAATTTACTGTATTTATGTGGGTCTAATCCTTGGGTCTCTATTCTACTCCATTGATCTGTATGTCTTCTTTTCCCTCAGCAACACCACACCATGCTACTTGATTATAGTAACTCTTGAAGTTGGGTAGTGTCAGTCCTTCAAATTTGTTCTTCTTCAGGAGTGTGTTACATGTTCTGGGTCTTTTGTCTTTTCATATAAACTTAGATTAAGTTCCTAAATATCCACAAAATAACATTCTGGGATTTCATTGGGATTGTGTGGAATCTACAAATCAATTTGAGAAGAACTGATATCTTAACAATATTAAGTCTTTCAATCCAAGAACACAAAATGTCTCTGTGTTTATTTAGATCTTATTTAATTTTTCATCAGTTTTACACTTTTGTGCATATAGAACCTGTACATACTTTGTTAAATTTATACCTAAGTATTTCATTCTTTTTTGGTGCTATTGTAAATGGTGTTGTTTTTAATTTCAAATTCCAATTGTTCATTTCTGGTATAGAGGAAAGCAATTGACTTTTGTGGATAAACCTTGTAACCTCCAAGCTATACTAATCTACTAGTCCCAAGAGTTGTTTGTTAGTTTGTTTTTTGGCTGATTCTTTGGGATTTTCTACACAGACATACGTGTTACTTGTGAACAAAGAGAGTTTTATTTTTTCCTTCCCAATCTGTATACTTTTAATTTCCTTCACTTGTTTTATTGCTGTAGCTGGTACTTCTAGTACAGTGTCAAAAAGAAGTGGGGAAAGGGGACATTTTTGCCTTATTTCTCATCAAAGGGGAAAGCATCCAGTTTCTGTTAAGTATAATGTTAGCTGTAGGGTGTTGCAGATATTCTTTATCAAGTTAAGGATGTTATAGTCTATTCCTAGTTTGCTGAGAGTTTTTATCATGAATCGATGTTAAGATATTTCAAATGTTTTTCTACATCAATTGAAGTGACCATATGATTTTACTTCTTTAGTCTATTGATGTGGCAGATTATATTAATTGAATTTCAAATGTTGAACCTATGGTGGATATCTGGAATAAATCATACTTGATCATAGTATATAATTATTTTTATACATTATTGAATTTGATTACCTAACATTTTGATTTCTCAATCAATATTTCAATCAAATGTTTTGATTTTCCTAACATAGAGGATTTTTGCTTCTATACACGAGGGATACTGTCTGTAGTTTTTTGTCATTGTAATGTCTTTATCTGGTTTTGGTACTAAGCTAAGGCTGGTCTCATGAGTTAAGAAGTGTTCCCTCTGCTTCCGTTTTCTGAAAAAAGACTGTAAAAAATGAGTATTATTTTATATGCTTCCATTTTCACCCTTCTCTTAGCCATATCAGTTGTACTTCTTTATATAATTTTTTTTTAGTAATTGCCTTAGAGTTTGCAATATACATTTACAACTGATCTAAGTCCACTCTCAGATAAAACTATACCACTTTATGGATAGTGCAAATACCTTATAACAAAGACAAATTTGTATTTATATATATACACTAATTCCTGCAACCTATTCCTTATAATATCACTGTTACTCATTTCACTTATCCATATACTATCATTATCCAACACATTCCTATTATTAATTTGAAAAGTTTTATTCTAGATTGTTTTAAAATGAGAAAATAAAAGATTTCATTTTACCTTAATGCATTCTCCTACGCTCTTTCTTTCTTTATGCAGATCTGAGTTTCTGACCTATATAATTTTGCTTATCTCTGGAGAACTTTTTTTGAAAGCATTTTTTTTTTTCCCTACAAGGTGGGATTTACTGGTGAAAAAATTCCCTCAGTTTTGTTTGTCTGAGAAAGTCTTTATTATTTTTCCTTCACTTTTGAAGGATTTTTTTTTTTTTGCTGGATAAATTATTCTAAGTGGGTGTTTTCTTTTTACTTTTGACACAAATATTTCACACTACTCTCTTGCACAGTTGCTGATGAGAAATGTAATTCTTACCTTTGTTTCTATATAGGTAAAGTGTTTATTTTCTCTGGCTGTTTTTAAAATCTTTTCTTTGTCTTTCTGTAGTTTGAACATGATACGCTTAGGTGTAGTTCTGGTATTTATCCTGCTTGGTGTTCTTGGAGCTTCCCAGATCTGTAGTTTGTTATCTGCTATTAATTTTGGAAAATTCTCATCCATTACTACTTCAAATATTTCTTCTCCTTCTTTTTCTCTTCTCCTTTTGGTATTCCAATAACATGTATGTTATACTCTGAAATCGTCCCATAGTTCTTGGATATTCTGTTCCTTTTTTTCAGTCTTTTTTTCCTTTGTATTTCAGCATGGGAAGTTTTTATTGCCATGTCTTCAACCTTACTGATTCCTTCCTTGGCTGTTTCCAACTTACTGATGAGCCTATCAAAGGCATTCTTCATTTGTTACAGTGTTTTTGATTTCTAGCAACTCCTTTTGATTCTTTCTTAGAGTTTCTCTCTGTTTAGATTAGCCATCTGGTCTTGCATGTTATCTACTTTTATTCATAGCCTACTTAGTATATTAATCGTGGTTATTTTAAATTCCATATCTGATAATTCCAAAACCTGAATTTGGTTCTCACGCTTGTTTTGCCTCTTCAGAATGTGTGTTTTTTTTTTTTTTAGCATACGTTATAATTTCTTTTGTTGAAAACTGGACATGATCTATCAAGTAATAGGAACTAATCCAAAGAGACCATTAGTATGAGGTTTTATGTTAATCTGGCCAGGAGTTGGGCTGTGCTTAATGTTTGATGTAGCTGTAGGTGTCAGAAGTTTCTGTTTCTTCTACTGTCTTTTTGTCTCCCTTGTTTCCTTTGGATTTACAAAAAAAAAAAAAAACAAATCAAAACAAAACAGCAACAAAAAAACCTCCTTAAATAGAGTCTGATCCTTGCAGGTCTTTCAGCTATAATCCACGATTATTATACTGAAGCTCTGTTGATGTAGTAGCAAGGTGTGGAAGGGGAGGCATTCTCTAATCCTATGATGAAGTCTCAATCTTTTAGTGTGCCTGTGTCTCCAGCCTGTAACCTTCACAAGCACTTCACAGCTTTTTTTCTCTCTTAGATGAGACAGGAAGGCTAGAAGAGCCTGGAGTTGGATAAGGCTTTGGTAAAGTTGTTTTCCTTGCTGGGTAGCCCTTTACTAAGTAGAAAGTTCTAGATACACTTAAAAATGATGTTTCCTCTCTCCATGCCAGAAACAAGAGATTTTTTTTTCTTCGGTCTTTACCTTGAAACTTGTGGGGTTCCTGGAAGCAATCAAAACCTCTAAGACTGTGGGCCCCCAGTTTTGTCATTCCTACACTAGTCTACACTCTGACGCCAGCAATTTGTCAAAGTTACCACCTAAGTGTTTCTACCAGTTTATGGCTCCAGTGCGTTTTGCTCCTGATAAGCAAATCTGGGATGTGATTTTCTGTAACTGCCCGTTTCTTCAGATTTCAAGATTACAGTTTGCCCTGTGACTTAAATTTTCTGTTGTGTCTAAGAAAAGTCATTGATTTTTAGTTTGCTCAACTGTTTTTCTTATTGTAAGACAGGAGTGATGACTTCTAAGGACTTCACATGTTGAAGCTGAAACTAGAAATCTGCAACTAGCTATTTTTGTTCAAAATTATGTTTGTGAGTTTCATCCAAATTGATACCTATAATTCTATTTTATTCATTTTCTCTACTGTGTAGTATTCTATTTTATAAACATACCATGTTTTATCTATACTCCTGCTGATGAACAATGCCACAACAAGCATCATTATAACATCTCCTAATGTGGATGTCTAAGGGTTTCTCTAGGATAGATAATGAAGAGTGAGACTGCTGACTTACAGTGTATGAAGATCTTCAATTTTACTAGACATTGCCATAATGTTCTTGGAAGTGGTTGTATTCATTTATATTCCCCTGGAGGTATATTAGAATTCTTATTGTTTTTCTTTTTTTTCTTTTTCTTTTTTTTTTTTTTTTGAGACAGAGTCTCGCTCTGTCACCCAGGCTGGAGTGTTGGAGTGCAGTGGCATGATCTTGGGTCACTGCAACCTCCACCTCCTGGGTTCAAGAGATTCTCATGCCTCAGCCTCCTGAGCAGCTGCGATTACAAGTGTGTGCCATCAAACTCGGCTAATTTTTAGTATTTTTAGTAGAGACGGGGTTTTGCCACATTGGCCAGGCTGGTCTCGAACTCCTGACCTCAGGTGATCTGCTGGCCTCGGCCTCCCAAAGTGCTGAGGTTACATAGAGTTCTTATTGTTTCGTATGTTCACCAATACTTGGCATTGTCAGGCCTTTAAATATATGCCAGCATTCTAAGTACTAAATGTATATATCATAGTATAGATTTATTTTGCATTTTATTGATTACTAATGAGATTTCTTAAGTCTATAGGCCACTGGTGTTTTTGCCTCTGTGAACTGCCTGTTATGTCTGTTTTTATAAACACTTTTATTTTTATTGTGTTGTTTGTATTTTTCTTATTGATTTGTAGGGAAGGATCTCCTTAAAATGATTCAAAAAGCACAAACCATTGAATAAAATACCGATAATCTGATAACATTAAAATGAAAGACTTTTGCTCAACAAAAGACATCAGGAACAAAGTTAAAAGGTAAGTCATCCACTGGGCAAAGATATTTGCTAAACAACAGAAAGGATTCATATGCAGAATTTTAAAATAATCCCTATAAATAAATATGAAAAAACAAACGATTAAATATTCAGCAAAGGAATGTAACAGGTAACTCACAGAAAGTTCCTGAAAGGCCAATAAATGTTAAGAATACATGCATAACCTCACTGGAAATCAGAAACATGCAAATTAAAACAATGAGATAACTTTTCAAGCTGATTAGGCTGGCAAAATAATACTCCAAAGTTTTGGCAAGAATGTGAAGAGGATCTCTGAAACCCTGTTACATTAGAAATTGAGATATACATACCCTATATATCACAGTAATTCCACTCCCAGGTATATAACCTAGAATGATGATTCTTAAATTGTTACTCTCGACCAGCAGGATCAGAATCTCTTGGGAACTTGTTGGAAATGCAAATTCTCAGGCCCCACTCCAGATCTACTGAGTCAAAATTTCTGGGGGTGGAGTCTAGCAATCTGTGTTTTAACAAGCCCCCCAGGCAATTCAGATGCACACTAACATTTGAGACACTGTAATAGAATGACACCTTCCCAACACTTTTGATTGAGATCTACACGAAGAACTGCATTCTTCAATGTGGCCCCACACACATTATGTCACATATACACAAACACATATAAAAAAAAAGCTTTAAGAAACAGTAATTACCCTAACATACTGTAGGGAACACTTTTTGATATTTTCTATTCTATTCCATTTCATTAAAAAAATCCCATTGGTTGTAACCTACTAATTGTAATCTAAGTTTGAAAAACACTGTCCTAGAAAAAGTCTGGCATATGTGCAACAAGAGGTGTATGATAATACTTGTTGCAGAATTAACTGTAATAGCAAAATAACAGAAAGAACAAATCTTCAGGAAAGTGGATAAATATAACAAATGATGGTCTATTTCTACAATGGAATACTATATAGTTCCTTGTATCTTTAGAAATAAATTTCAAAAGCATTATGCATATTGAGTCAAAAAGGTTGTAGAATGATAGAGTATGTCATCTATATAGTTTTAAAACATATAAAACTATATGTTATTTGTGAATATATGGCTATGTAGTAAAAATATAAAAACGTGCACAGGAATTATAAATAGCAAATTCAGGATAGTGGTTACATCTGGAAAGGATAAAGGAGAATGGGATTGGTGAGGAATATGTGGAAGTCTTCAGGAATATCTATAATGCTTTATTATTTTTTTAATTAAGCAAATATGGAAAATATTAGGAATTGATAATGATTAATAAAGGTTGGCTGGCTACACAGGTATTTGCTATATTATTCTATATAACTTTTGGTATATTAATATTTCATAACAAAAAGTAAATAAAAACAAAGCTACCCTTGAACTAATAGTATAAATACCCCCGAACTATTAGAAATTCAATCAGTCAAACAAACTGTTTTAATATCCCTCATCTAGAATGATTTTTTTTTAATTCAGAGACAGTCAAAAACTAACATAATAATTTTGGTTTTGTTTTTTAAATTAGACACAACAAAGTATATGCTCCAGGGGTTTGTGTTGTCTCTTTGAGTAATATAGTAATGAAGAGTTTTCCATTCCAGATGTAACATATAACATGAATGTGAAATAATGATTTGATCAATAAAATAAGAATTATCTACAACGTTATTTAGTTACGTATTGGACAATTTTTTTTGAGACGAAGTCTCGGTTTGTTGCCCAGGCTGGATTTTGCAGTGGCATGATCTCGGCTCACTGCAACCTCCGCCTCCCGGGTTCAAGTGATTCTCCTGCCTCAGCCTCCACAAGCTGGGATTACAGGCACACACCACCGCGCCCAGCTAATTTTTGTATTT
This sequence comes from Homo sapiens, assembly GCF_000001405.40. NCBI lineage: Eukaryota > Metazoa > Chordata > Mammalia > Primates > Hominidae > Homo > Homo sapiens. Next base: position 107,087,782 of record NC_000023.11, read on the forward strand.
TTAGTAGAGATGGGGTTTTACCATGTTGGTCAGGCTGGTCTCGAACTCCTGACCTCGTGATCCGCCTGCCTCAGCCTCCCAAAGTGCTTGGATTACAGGCATGAGCCACCACACCTGGCCTTGTTGGACAATTTCTTAAAGCTTATAGGACCTTTTCACTTTGCTGCTTTGCCAACAGCAATTTAAGTCATATGTCATATGACAGCCAGGTAGAGCATTCTGAAGAGAAGACTCATGTGGTAGCATATACCCAACTCACGACCAGGCAGTCAATTATTGGCTAATTCCAGAGGCACCAAGGCTACCAGCTATGGTGGTCCTATGAACACTATTTGATTATTACACTGTAGGAAATTGGATGTTACTATTCCTTCAATTCGGGGCTTCTAATGGGTATGGACTAGAGTCTTATCAAGATTTCTTTAAAACGCTAAGGATAGTTCAGGACCTTAGCAAAGTACCAAGAACCTTATAGGAAATATGCTACTTATATAGTATGCAGAGAATGAATAGTCAAGGTCAAGGACAAACACAATCACTGTGCCTATATCATGATTCTTTGGTATAATCAAAGCTAATTTAAAAGTATTACTTTAGGTAGAGGTAAATAAAAGCGAAATCAACCCAGGTTGTTTTACTTGGTTTGGCCTATACCTTGTTTGGTTCCCCTGGATTATATGAAGAAAACATAGGAATTTTTCGGATCTCTTCCTCTGACAAACGATTTCTCTGGATTTCATCTTCTGGGACAAATTCTATTGGCTGCGTCAGCTTCTTAGGCCCAGTCCAACACTGCTCAGGTGAAAAATCAATAACATTTGCCACATGGAGACTGGGGCCTTTACCCTGTGCTGCCTGTTTTCCCTTGTCCTGGAGTAATGATGGGCTCTCAGCTGTGCCACTATCACCCACTGATGTAGCTGAGACCAGTGAGTGGGAAGCAAAGGGTTCACCTCTCATAAGTTGAAACTCTTCAAGACGTTTTTTCATTATCATCTCTTGGTAAAAACTTTCCAGGTTGTTCATGGGATCACCTTTGTTCTTCTTTTGGGGTTCATCTGGATCAAGACAAAGAGATAGGGAAGTTCTACAAAGCCTACCAATACAACCTTTGGCAAATTAATAAAAATTAAATCCTGGACCTCAGATAAAGAAACACTGCTGGGGCAGGTCTTTACAACCTGTGACAAATGACAATGGTAAATAGTTATCTTATTATAGTATATTTCAAGCAGAACTATAGGCCAGAACTATGGTGAGGCAAGTGAGGCACCTAGAGTCATGCAAATATATGCACCTCTAATTGATAAGGACATTTAAAAACATATAAGCAATATAGCATTATACTTCACAAAATTAATAATTCCTTAGTATCATCTAATACCAATGTTATGTTCAAATTGTCCTGATTCCATCTAAGATTTTTTTATACTTGTTTATTCAATTCAAAATCTAAACTAGCCTTTGGCTGTTATATCTCTTAAGATACTTTTATTCTAAAACAGTGCCTCGTCTCTCCCATCCCTTTATTTCATTTTCTCACTCATCCATTGATTAAATAAACTACATTTGTTCTATGAACAAATGAATTTGATTAATCATTTTCTGATGGTGTTGTTTAACTTGTTCCTTAATCCCTTCTATTTCTTGGCAGATAATCCATAACTATGCTACCTAATATAGTAGCCACTGGTCACATGTGTCTATTTAAATAAATTTTTAAATATCAGCTCCTCAGCCGAACTTAACAAATTTAAAGTGTTCGACAGTCACATGTGGCTAGTGGATACCATATTGGACAGAACAGATAAAAACTATTACATCATTTTAGAAAGTTGCATTGGACAGTGCTGATCCAGAGGTTTGATTAGGTTCAGGTTCAATATTTTTAGGAAATAATCCTTTATAGACAGATATGTACTTCCTATTGTATCATGTCATAAGACACATAACGTTTGGTGGTCCTATTTTTAGTGATACTGAAATTGATCAGTGGATTGAGGTGGTAGATGGCATTAGTCTCATCCCTCCATTATTAAATTTTCCCATTCACCTTCCACCTAATGGGTTTTTTACATCCACTGATGACCACTGCCTAGTCTATTAATTTATTAAGAGTTGCAAATCATGGCTTTCCTAATTCTTTCTTTTACGCTTATTATCCGTAATTCTAAAATGAACTTACCATCATCAACTATGTGGTTTCCCTAAAAATGTAGATCATATGGGAATGGCAGGATAAATGCTTGATTCTTTGCCATTATTTACCAATTATGAGAGTAAGAGTTGACATCTTAGAAATGTCTAATGGAGGCCGGGCGTGGTGGCTCATGCCTGCAATCCCAGCACTTTGGGAGGCCGAGGCAGGCGGGTCACAAGGTCAGGACTTTGAGACCAGCCTGGCCAATATGGTGAAACCCCATCTCTACTAAAAATACAAAAATTAGCCGGGCATGGTGGCGGGTGCCTGTAGTCCCAGTTACTCGGGAGGCTGAGGCAGGAGAATTGCTTGAACCTGGGAAGCGGAGGTTGCAGTGAGCCGAGATCGCGCCACTGCACTGCAGCCTGGGCGACAGAGTGAGACTCCATCTCAAAACAAAAAAAATGTCCAATGGTGACCAATGGTTATTTTTAGTATAATAATGAAATCGTGTATTTTCATATACTTTATCTGTGTCAATTAAACATACTCATTATTCTTTTTAGTGGCCAAATTATCCCACTTAAGACCAGTGGGAGCCCCTTCAAATCGGCTCCTGTATTGCTTCTCGGCTTTCTGGCACAGCCAAATATCCTAAGCTCATCTTGCATACCTCCTAACTCAAACCTGGAATATTTTTGTAGGGACCCTTGGTTCCTTTTAGTAGGAAGTGGTATTTAGAAACCAAAGTGTGTTGCTGGTGTGTGCAGAAGCAACTTCCAAGTTGTTGTTTCCAGGCCTTTTCAGTGGACAAAAGCTAGGACATTTTTTTTAAAATGATCCACTAGAATGGTTTTATTTTATTTTATTTATTTTTTTTTAAATTTTACTTTAAGTTCTGGGATACATGTGCTGAATATGCAGTTTTGTTACATAGGTATACATGTGCCATGGTGGTTTGCTGCACCTATCAACCCATTATCTAAGTTTTAAGCCCCGCGTGCATTAGGTATTTGTCCTAATGCTCTCCCTCCCCTTTCCCTCCACCCCCCGAAAGGCCCCAGTGTGTGATGTTCCCCTCCCTGTGTCCATGTGTTCTCATTGTTCAACTCCCACTTATGAGTGAGAACATGCGGTGTTTGGTTTTCTGTTCTTGTGTTAGTTTGTTGAGCAAGAGGGACATTTTTAAAGAGAAAAGTAAACCATGAGTTTATATTGGTATTTCCAACTCAAATTTAAGATAACAAGATTTTTACTTAAACTCCTTTATTTTAGAGTGTATCTCCTCTCATATGCTTAATATTAGCAAAATTATTCATTAGCTTCTTCCTACAATATACTTACAGAATTTTACAATGTCAATAACAATACTATCACCAATAAAACTGCTGAATATAGTTTTATATTTCTTTTGCAGTTACTTTTGCCCTTAGAATATGGGTCCCATTGGAAATATACAAATGTTTTAAAGTCACTATAAGTAACTGCTTTGTTTTCCAATTGTGTGTTTATGCTACTAACTTTATTTATCATTAGGCTCATTTGCTTCAGGTTGTTTTTGAATTTTAGGGATTGAATTTTACCTTTTTGATTAAACTTTTAGATGATGCAAAATATTTACATGGATCTAAAGTGAAACTGTTATACAGTACCTTCACAGAAGTCTCACTTCCATCTCTGTCCCCTTTATCCCATTCCCTTCATTCCCCATAAATAATAATTTTTATTAGGTTTTGGCTTATGGTTCCATTGTTTCTTTTTTGAAAATATAAGCAAATAGGCATATATACACATATACATAATTCATTAGTTATACCTCTCTCCTACATAAAAAGTAACTTACTATAAGCACTGTTCTACAATTTACTTTTTTGCACTTAACAATATGTCCTGGAGATAGTTCCATGTTAATGTGTAGAGCTCTTCTCATTCCTTCGTAAAGCTGCACAGTACTCCATTGTGTGGATGTACCATAGTTTATTTAACTATTCCCCTCCTGATACACGTTGGTCTTATATCTAGTCTCATACTGTTATGAATAATGTCCTGATAAACAGCTTTGTGCATACAGGATTTGGTATTTTTCAAGTATATGTTTAAAATAGATTCCCTGAAGTGAAACTGCTGAGACAAAGGGCAAATGTGTATGTAATTTTTCTATGTATTGTTAAATTTCACGCTGTAGGAGTTATACTATTCTATATTTCCACCAGCAAGGCATAGGAGTAGTTATGTAAGTATTTCCTAAGACACAAAAAGCACTAACCATTAAGGAAAAGATTGATAAATTCAACTACATTAAAATTAAGAACTTCTGTTCATCGAGATGTCATAAAGAGATGGACCAAAAAAAAAAAACCCCACAGGATAGGAAAAGATATTTGCTACACAAAGAATTATCAGAGAACTTAAAACTAAAATACATGAATAACTCCTACAAATCAATAAGAAAAAGATGAACAACCATTAGGAAAATGGGCAAAATACTGAAGAGATACCTTACAAAAGAGGAAATACACATAGCTAATAAATATATGTGGGCCAGGCGTGGTGGCTCATGCCTGTAATCCCAGCACTTGGGAGGCTGAGGCAGGAGGAAAGTTCCTTGAGCCCAGGAGTTCAAGACCAGCCTGGGCAACATGGTGATACTCTGTCTCTAAATTAAAAAAAATAATAAAATAAATATATACAAAAGTGCTCAGCCACATTAGAATTCAGGGAAATGCAAATTAGGAAGGGTATAAGATACTAATAGAAAACCAACATATTGGCAAAAATTAAAAAGAATGCCAACATTACATGTCAGTGAAGTTGTAGAGCAACTGGTACCCTCACATATTGCTAGTGGGAATGTGTATACACAGTGCAAATCAACATGACATCATCTACTAATGTTGAAGATATGCTCAACATACAATCCATCAATTCAACTCCCACATATATACCTTAGAAAAATGTAGGCATATATGCACCAGGACACAATAATAAGAATTTTCAGATCATTGCTATTTATAATTGCCCAGAGTTAGCAAAAATACAAATGTTCATCTAAGAAGAATTAATTATAAAATTCTGGTACGTTTATATGATGAAATACTATCATCCAAAGAAAGTGAACAAATTTCAGCTACATATGTCCAAGTGGATGAATAGATTAATAAATACACTAAAAAATAATTAAGGATGCATCAATAAATAAGGATTCCTCCCTTTGTAGAGCTAAGTGAATTACATGGCATGTTAGAAGGTAGGAGTGCTATAAAAAAGAAAAAAAATACAAGATAAGATTGGAAGAGCTATGGGGTGGTTGTAATTTTTAATGTTGGTCTGGATAGGTCCCATTGAGAAGGTGCTATTTGAGTGAAGACCTGAAAAAAGCAAGGGCATCTATCATACTGATATTAGAGTAAGGTCTCAAGGTAGGAGTATGTCTCAAAAAAACTAAAAAAGACTGAAATCATATAAAGTATGTTCTGTAACCACAATGGACATACATTAGTGATCCACTACTGTAAGAAACGGGAAAACACAAATATCTGGAAATTGAACAACAAACTTCTAAATAACCCATGGGTCAAAGAACTCATAAAGGAAATTTAAAAATATTTTGACCTCAATGAAAATGAAAACACAACATATCAAAATTTATGGATGCAGCTAAAACAATGCTGCATCCATATGATAGACAGTTAAAGCTTTAAATGCCTGTATTGGAAAAGAAGAATGGTTTCAAATTTAAAACCTGAGCTTCCAAGTTAGGAAACTAGAAAAAGAGTCAACTAAACAGAAAGCAAGTAGAAGGAAGAAAACAATAAAGATTAAGAAATAAATCAACGCAATAGAAAATGGAAAAATAGAGAAAAATCAACAAAACCAAAAGCTGGTTCTTTGAAAAGTTTAACAAATGACAAACCTTTACCTAGACTGAACAAGAAAGTAAGAGAGAAGACAAAAATGACTAAAATCAATAATTAAAGAGGAAGCATCACTACTAACTTTAGGGAATGAAAAACAATTATTTAGGAATATTATAAATAACTTTAGGCCAACAAATTAGGAAACCTAGATAAATGGACAAATTCATAGAAAGATACAAATTACCAAAGCAGTCTCAAAGAAAAAACGAATAACAAGAGGGTGCATTAGTACTCAATAAACAACCCACAAAGAAAAACCCAGGTCCAAATGGCTTCATTGGTAAATTCTATCAAATACTTAAAGAAATAATACTAATCCTGCAGAAACACTTCAGAAAAGGGAAGAGAAGGAAATACTTTCCAATTCATTCTATGATATCAGTATTACACTGATAACAAAACTAAACAAAGATATTACAAGAAAACCACAGACCAATATTCCTCATGAATATAGATGCAAAAATACCTAATAAAATATTAGCAAGCCTCATCCAGCAACATACAAAATAATCACACACACATAAGTGGGATTTATCCCAGAAATGAAAGATTGGTGTAACATCTAAAAATCAATAGATTAAATCTTAAATCACATGATCATCACAGTAGGTGCAGAAAAAGCATTAAACAAAATCCAATACCCATTTATAATTTTTTAAAAGCTCAATTAACTGACACTAGAAGGGAGCATCTTCAACCTGCTTATGGTAGGCTGAATAATGGCCCCCCAAAGATGTCCACATCCTAATCCCTGGAATCTGTGAAAATGTTAAATTATACTGCAGAGGGGAATTTGCAAATGTGATCATGTTAAGGTTGAGATAGGAAGATGATTCTGGATTATGCAGGTGGGACCAATGCAATCATAAGGGTCCTTATCAGAAGGAAGCAAGAAGGTCAGAGACAGAATGGGAGATGTGATGATGTATGCAGAGGATAATGTGAGGAAGGGGTCAAGAGCCAAGGCATGCAGGTAACCTCTAGGATCTGGACAAGGCTCAACCAGAGCCTCTAAAAGAAATGCAGTCCTGTTGACATCTTAAGATTTCTGACCTCTAGAACTATAAGGGCAGAAATTTATATTGTTTAAGCCACTAAATATACGGTAATTAGTTACATACTAATTACTTTTCTTTTCATAGGAAAGTAATACACTGCCAAAGAGCATGTGCAGAAAACCCAGAGCTAAGATCATACTTAATGGTTAAAAACTGAATACTTTTCCCCTAAGACTGGGAACAAGGTAAGGATGTTAGCTCTCACCACTTCCATTCAACATTGTACTGAAGGTTCCAGACAGTATAAGGAGGCAAAAAAAAAAAAAAAAAAATCCTCCAAACTGGAAAGAAAGAAGTGTCTTTATTCACAGGAAATAGGATTGTCTATGTAGAAAACTTTAAGGTATCCATAATAAAACTTTTAGAATAAAAGAGTTTAGTCACAGGATACAAATTAATATAGAAAAATCAACTTTAGGCCAGGCATAGTGGCTCATGCCTGTAATCCCACCACTATGGGAGGCTGAAGAGGGAGGATCACCTGAGGTCAGGAGTTTGAGAACAGCCTGGCCAATATGGTGAAACTCTGTCTCTACTAAAAATACAAAAATTGGCCAGGCGTGGTGGCACATGCCTGCAATCCCAGCTACTCAGGAGGTTGAGGCAGGAGAATCGCTTGAACCTAGGTGGCGGAGATTGCAGTGAGCCGAGACAGTGCCACTGCACTCCAGCCTGGGTGACCAAGCAAGACTCCATCTAAAAAAAAAAAAAGAAAAAAGAAATATCAACTCAATTTCTATATAATTGCATGCAACAATTGGAAAATGAAATGTGAAAACAATTCTATTCACAAGAACATGAAAATCATTAAAATGCTTAGAAATAAATTCAAAAGGCTGGGTGTGGTGGCTCATACCTGTAATCCCAGTGCTTTGAGAGGATGATGTGGGAGGGTCACTTGAGGCCAGGAGTTTGAGACCAGCCTGGGCAACACAGTGAGACCCCATCTCTAAACAAAATTTTAAAAACAATTAGCCAAGCATGGTGGCATGCACCTGTAGTCCTAGCTATTCGGGAGGCTGAGGCAAGAGGATCCCTTGAGCTCAGGAGTTGGAGGCTGCAGCGAGCTATGATTGTGTCACTGCACTTCAGCCTGGAATACAGAACAAGACCCTGTCTCTAAAAAATAATAAATAAATTCAATAAAGAAAGCATAAGATTAAGTTTGATAAAATAAATGTAACTTAAAAACTACAAAACAATGCTGAAATAAATTGTAGAAGATCTAAACAAAGGAAGAGACATTCTATTTTCTTGTATTAAAAGATTAATGATTAAAGATCAGTTTTCTCCAAATTGAATTATAGATTCAACTCAATCCTTATTAAATTCCAGCAGGCTTATTTTTCTTAAAATATTGGCAAGCTGTTTCTAAAATTTACATGGAAATACAAAGCACCTAGAATAGAAAAGAGTGATTTTAAAAAAGAGAAACAAAGTTGGAGGAGTCATACTACCCAATTTCAAAACTTACTATAAAGGTACAGTAAAAAGATTTAGAGTATAAGGATAGGCATATAGATCAATGGAACCAAGTTGAGTGTCCAGAAATAAAGCCTTACATTTATGGTCAATTGATTTTTCCACAAAGGTGCCAAGACAATGGGAAAAATAACAGCCTTTAAATAGTGCTGGAACAACTGGACATCCATATACAAAAATATGAACTTGGACCCTTTACTTCACACATAAAAATCAACTCAAATGTATAATATATCTAGATGTAAAATCTAAGACTATAAGTACTCCAGAAAAAAAAATAGAATATCTTTCTGACCTTGAGTTCAGCAATGATTTCTTAGATATGACACCAAAAGCACAAGCCATAAAATAATGAATTGAACTTCATTAAAATTAAAAACTTCTGTGCTTCAAAAGACACCATTAAGAAAATAAAGACAAGCTACAGACTGGAAGAAAACATTTGCAAATCATATATATACCTTATAAAGGACTTGTATTCAGAATAAAGAATTCTTATACTCAGAAACAACCCAATCAAAAAATGGGCAAAAGACTTGAATAGACATTTCACCAAAAAAGACATATTGATGGCTAATGAGCAGATGAAAAAGTATTCAAGATCATTTGTTATTACAGAAATTCAAAATAAAACTGCAATGAGCTATCAGTACACACACTGAAATGGCTGTAATAAAAGACAGGTAATAACAAGTATTGGCAAGGATGCAGAGAAATAAGAACTCATACATTGCTGATGAGACAGTAAAATGATACAACCACATTAGGAAATAGTCAATTCCTCAAATTGGTTATACACGGAATTACTGTAGGACACAGAAATTCTACTCATTCAAGAGAAATGAAAACATGTTCATACAAATGTTCACGGCAACATTATTGATAATAGCTAAAAGTGGAAACAACATAAATGTCATCAAGTGGTGAAAAGATTAAACAATGCGGTATATCTATTGACATGGTTTGGCTCTGTGTCCCCACCCAAATCTCATCTGGAATTGTAATCCCCATAATCCCCACGTGTCAAGGGAGGGACTTAGTGGGACGTGACTGGATCATGGGGGCGGTTTCCCCTATGCTGTTCTTGTGATAGTGAGTTCATTCTCACAAGATCTGATGGTTTTATACATGTTTGACAGTTCCTCCTTCACACACACGCTCTCTCCTGCCACCTTGTGAAGAAGGTGTCTGCTTCCCCTTCCGCTATGATTTTAAGTTTCCTGAGGCCTCCTCAGCCACGCAGAACTGTGAGTCAATTAAACCTCTTTCCTTTAAAAATTATCCAGTCTCCAGTATTTCTTTATGGCAGTCTGAGAACAGACTAATAAAGCTGTAAAATAAAAAAACTAGCTATATAAAGGAACAAATTGCTGATACATGCCACAACATGGAGAACCTCCAAAACATTATGGTTCCTGAAAGAAGCCAGATTCAAAAGACCACGTATTGTAAGATTCCATTCATTATGAAGTATCTAGAAAAGACAAATTTATGGAAACAAAGGCTTGGGGTGTATGTGGGAGTCATTTACTGCCAATGAGCCCTAGGGAATTTTGCCCCGGGTGATGGAAATGTCCTAAAATTGGACTCTGGATTTGATAGCACAATTCTATAAATTTACTAAAAATCACTGAATTGAACACTTACAATAGGTGGATTTTATCATGTATAAATTATATACCTCAATAAAGCAGTTTAAAAATAAACAAATTATTCAGAATCACAAAAGGTGAGAAGAAATAGAAAACAGAAAATGTACTGAAAGTCATTAAAGGATAATTAAATTAATGGAAAGGTACCATGTTCACATTTGAAGATTTGAAGACTCATAGATATGTCAATTGACCTCAATTGACTTAAATGCTCGATGGAATCCCAATCAAAATCATATAAAGGTATGTGTGCATGTGTAACTTCATAGATTTTCAAATTTACATGGAAAGGCAAAGTGTCAAAAGTAGACAAAACACTTTTGAAGAAAAACAAGTTGGAAAGAATTATTCTCCAGATACTAAAACATCATAAAGCTAGACTGTATGATATTGATTCTAAAATAGCCAAAAAGACAAAGGAACAAAAGAGAGAATCAAAAAAAAATTCATTCATATATGAACACCTGATATATGACAGAATATCCATCCATATATGAACACCTGATATTGCAACACAATAACAGTCTAGACATTTTCAATATTTGGTGTTAGAAGGCTATCTACATGAGGGAAAAAAGGAACTGGAACCCTACTTTATACCACATACATAAATCAATTCCAGGTGGATTAAAGACTTAAATGTGAAAGGCAAAAAACATAAAGCTTTTAGAATAAAGAACAGTATCAGGCCCAGGCGCGGTGGCTCATGCCTGTAATCCCAGCACTTTGGGAGGCCAAGGAGGGCAGATCACCAGAAGTCAGGAGTTCGAGACCAGCCTGGCCAACGTGGTAAAACCCCACCTCTACTAAAAATACAAAAATTAGCTGGCCGTGGTGGCGCATATCTGTAATCTCAGCTACTTGGGAGGCTGAGGCATGAGAACTGCTTGAACCCAGGAGGCGGAGGTTGCAGTGAACCAGGCCACTGCACTGCGGCCTGGGTGACAGGGGAAGACTCTTTGTCTCAGAAAAAAAAAAGGATTTATTAATCAAAGCACAAAACCACTAAGTATAAAGAAAAAATTAATAAATTTTATTACATAGAGATCAACAACTGTTGTTTACCAAAAGATACCATAAAGGCAGTGAAATGATAAACTACAGAATTGGAATATACATTTTCAACATATATTACCAACACAGAACAAGTATCCATAATAATAAAAAGACTGGTACAAATTTATAAGAAAATGCACCTATGATTAGAGAAAAATTGGATACAGAGTATTCAGGATGTATAACCTCAACACTTTCCTACCTCCTTCCTTCCTGTAGAGAGGTGGCAATAACTGAGATGTGCTATATCTTAGTGCTTTGGTGTTCACCCATTGGTTATTTTGTCTTTAAAGTTATTTATCTGCTGACTTCAAGATTCACAAGCTATTGTTTTGATAGATGCCTAAAGTGACCTCTGAACCAAGACTGCATCTGGACAAAGATACAAACAGACGGAAAGACATTCAGATAGTAAATAGGCATTTTCACATTTGCTAAATGGGCAAAAGAACTGAATAGCCATTTCACAAAGCAGGCTGTCCAAATGGCCAGTCAATGTGTAAGAAGGTATCCAACATCACTAGTTATCAAGAATGAAATTAAAACCACAATGAAACAAACAAACAATATAGGCTCAGACTCTTAAAATGACATCCTGAAAGGTACACACACACACACACACACACACACACACACACACACGAACACGAAGGCAGGGGAACTGTTCGGGGAACTGTTCTAAAGCAAACTAAGTGTAATGTGTGATCTCCAATTGTATTCCGGATTTATAATTGAGAAACCTGATTGCAACATTAGAGAAGCAATGTTAAATTTCTTAAGAGTGATCATTATACTGTGATTGCACAGGAGAATGTCTTTGTTCTTAGGAGATACACAATTAAGTATTTAGGAGTAAATCCTTCTTATTTCTGAAACTTACTCCAAATAGTTTATCAGTAAACAAACTACATACACATACACTCATATGGAGGAAGAGAGGTAAAGCAAATGTGGCAAGTTGTCAACAGTTGGTGAACGCAGGTGAAGGGTGTGGGTGTATTCTTTCAACTTTTCTCCACATTTGATATTTTCCAAAATAAAAGGTTGAGGAAAATAACACTTGACTAAAGGCTTTAAAAAAAGTAACATAAATTGGCCAGGTGTGGTGGCTCATGCCTACAATCCCAACACTTTGGGAGGCTGAGGTGAGTGGATCACTGGAGGTCAGGAGTTCCAGACTAGCTTGGCCAACATGGCGTGTGCCACTGTCCCTGGTGAATATTTTGTATTTCTAGTCTGTACTAAAAATATAAAAATTAGCCAGGGGTGATGGCAAACGTCTGTAATCCCAGCTACTCGGAAGGCTGAGGCACGGGAATTGCTCGAACCTGGGAAGTGGAGGTTGCAGTGAGCTGAAATCATGCCCCTGCACTTTAGCCTGGGCGACACAGTGGACTCTGTCTCAAAAAAAAAAAAAGAAAAAAAAAGTAACATAAATAAATGTTAACTAATAATAAAGGGAAAAAAGCACAACAAAATACAAGTAAATACTCATCAGATTAGAGTCTGACGATATCTGTTGTGGACAAGGATGTAGAGCAACCTAAACATTTCCACATGGCTGGTGGAATTTTAACTTGGGGGAATCCCTTCAGAAATTAGTTAACAGCTATTAAAGTTGAAGACAATGTGAACACTTCACCACCCAATTCCACTCCTAGATATATACCCTGAGAAACTCCTGCACACGTGTCCCAGAAAACATGTACAAGAAAGATCACAGTGGCAGAAGTGATATATACAGCCCCCCAAATGGAAACAACCCAAATGTGCAACTACAGTAGAATGGATAAACTATGGTATGTTCATATAAAGGAATACTATACTATACTTCAATGAAAATGAACTATGGCTACACATAGCAATATGTACGAATATCTCAAATATAATTGCCAGAAAACACCACAATATTGAGTAGAAAAGGAAGACCCAATAGAATACATACAGTATAATTCACTGACACAATGCTTAAGCACAGGCAAAACCAAACCAGACTGTCTAGTGCTGCATGTATGGGTGGTAAAGATATAAAGAAAAATAAGGAAATTATCACAAGTTAGGGCAGTAGTTATATCTAGTGGGAAGAGGGTTGTGATTTGTGAGGGACATATGGGGATTTTTGGAGTATCGGCATGTTCTGTTTCTTGATCTGATTAAAAATGTTTTAAGTGCTGTTTGTCATGATCTATCTCACTATAAAGAGATCGTTTGCAAAAAAAGTGAATGAGAGGTGAACAAGCGGCAACAAGTAAATGTACTGGGTTAAATAGAATCCTCCCAAAATTCATGTCTACCCAGAACCTAAGAATATGACCTTATTTGGAAATAGGGTCTTTGCAGATATAATTAGTTAAGGTGAAGTCACAGGGTAGGCTCTGAGTCCAATGACTGATGTCCTTATAAGAAGGACATGTGAAGATACAGAGACAGATACAGTCAACAACCAGAATGCCATGTGATGGCAGAGGCAGAGATTAGAGAGATAATCTAAGAACTGCCAGCAAACACCAGAAGCTAAGAAAGAGGCATGGAACAAATTCTCCCTCAGAGCCACTAGAAGGACCCAACCTTGCCAACATTTTGATTTTGTAGCCTCCACAACTGTGAGGGAATAACTTTCTGTTGTTTTAAGCCATTCACTTTAAGCAGCATCCTACTTCCCAGTACCAAAGTCTGTATTAGATTCCTAGGTCTGCCATAACAAAGTACCACTGGTACTGGGAAGTAAGATGCTGCTTTAACAAATACCTAAAAATGTAGAATTGGATTTAGAATTGGGTAATGAGTAGAGGCTGGAAGAATTTTGAGCTGCTTGATGGTAAAAGCCTATATTACATTGAGGAGATTGTTGGTAGAAATACGGATGTTAAAGGCAATTCTGGTAAGGGCTCAGAAAGAAGTAAAGAGACAGTAGAGAAAGCTGCTATTACCTTAGAGAATATATGTGTTCATGATTACATACACGTAATCATGAACAAAATGTTGCTAGAGGTATAAATGTTAAAGGTACTTCTGGCAAGGCCTTAGAAGGAAATGATGAACATGTTATTAGACACTGGAGGAAAGGCAATCTTTGTTATAAAGTGGCAGAAACTTGGCTGAATTGAGTTCTACTGTTGGGCAAAAAGTTTAACTTAAAAGTGACAAACTGATATTTCACTAAGGAGATGAATGGGCAAAGTGTGGAAGATGCAGGCTAGTTTCTCCCTGATGCTTATAATAAAATAAAAGAGGACAGAGGAAAATTGAAGAAGGAACTGTTAAGAAAAAAGGGGACAACACTTGATGATTGGGAAAATTCTCAGCCTATACAGATAGCGTGCTCTGGAAACAGGGCCAACAGTATAGATGGACAAACTTTCATTGAAGAGATTAAGTGTTAGGGTGTTAGGATCCAATCAACCACCTCAGCAGAAGCCAGGAATACAGATGGGGTTATCTAGGAAGAATCTGTAGAGAAACCTCATGTCTAATGGTGTAAATCTCTTGACATATATGAGACTGACAATGTTTTTGAGAATCTTATACCAGCAAAAACCACCAGTGCCAGCCTGGTGTGAAAGAGACAGAGACAGGACAAAGGAAGGATGATTACAAGAGCAAAGCCACAGACATAGAGGCCAGAGAGGATGGGGCTATAGCTGCCCTGATAGACTGAGTATATGGGCCCAGTGGACAAAGCACTGAGCCCAGAATATTACTCATAGGCCTTGAAAACTAATGGAATTTGCCATGCTAGGCTACAAACTTGCTTTAGACCAGTAACCCCTTTATTCCCTCATTTTTGCCCTTTCAGAATGGTAATGTCTACCTTATGCCTGTCCCACTATTTTATTTTGGAAGCAGATAACTTGTTTTCTAGCTCCACCAGTCTCTGGATGGAGAGAAATTTTGCCCCAGGATGGACCATATCCAGAACCTCACCTATACCTGATATAGATGATTTAGATAATGAGACTTAGGACTTTTTGAGTTGGTATTTAGATGATATTTGGGACTCAGACTTGGTGCTGGAATGGGTTAAGACTTTTGGGGATGTTATGTATTTTGCACGTGGATAGATGTGAATTTTTGGCACCAGAGGGCAGACTGTACTAGGTTGAACAGTATACCTCTAAAATTCATGTCCACCTCAAGCCACAGACTGTGAAATATTTGGAAATAGGGTCTTTGCAGATGTAGTTAAATTAAGATGAAGTAATACTAGATTAGGGTGGGGCCTAAATCCAATGACTGATATCCTTTTAAGAGAGCACTGTGAAAACACAGATACATGAGAATGCTATGTGATGACAGAGGCAGAGATAGGAATTATGCATCTATGAACCAGGGAACACCAAGAATTGCTGGCAACTTACCAGAGCTAGAAGAAGTAACGAAGGATATTCTCCTAGAGCCTGCAGAGAGAGCATGGCCCTGCTGACACCTTTGATTTTAGACTTCTAGCCTCCAGAACTGTGGAGAGGATAAATTTCTGTTGTTCTAAGCCACCAGATTTATAATAATTTGTTACAGCAGCCCTAGGAAACTAATACAGTAATTATAGAAAACTCTTCTAAGAATTGTGCTGTAGAAAGGGCAAACTATTGATACATACGACAATATGAATGAATCCCAAAAACATTATGTTGAATTAAAGAAACCTTACACAAAGAACATATACTGTACAATTCCAGTTATATGAAGTTCTAGAACAAGCAAAACTAATCTATGGTGGAAAAAAATCACAACACTAGTTGCCTCTGAGAGGGTAGGATGGGAATTACTGGAAAGAAGTATGCTGAGACTTTCTGTGGTGATAGTAATCTTCTGTGTTGATAGGGGTTAGGTTACACAGATGCAGTGTGTCCTGGAGATGGTCCGATGATTGTCTTTATTCCCAATTCCATGTTCAGTGATAACATATTGGTAGCTTGAAACTGGCTATGGTGGTAATATGTACACCTTGGAAACTGGCAAATGATACAAATCAGGGCCTGTTTTCCCCGCTCCCCTCCCCTACCCCCCCGCCAGAGACCTGGTTGTTAAACATTTACCAGTATATCACTACAGATTTATACACCGGTCAAAAGTCAGCAAATGAACACTTGAAAGATCTTTACATTTAACTGCTTGCAAATTTTGCAACAAAAGAAAAATCATTAATAAATATTTAACTCTAATTAACAGTATACATGCTGAAGTATTTCGGGGGAAGGAATTTACATCAGCGGTTTTCTAACATACATTAATAAAGATGGATTGATAGATGGGTATGGGTATAGATAGATTTGTGATAAGGCAAAATATTAATGGTAGATTCCAGATGGTAATATAATGGTTCTTTGTGATAAAATTCTTTCATCTTTTCTGTGTGTTTGAAAATTTTCACTGAAAACAAAGAATAGAAAAAATCTTTTCCCATTAGGATATCAAAAATATTAACATATTATATTATCTATTTAATATTATCTTTTTTAGGGCTTAAATTTTTACATTTCACTTTTTAAACGAACTGCTACTTATTATGGTATACAGTAAAAGAAGAAGATCTTGTCAAAGGCCTTTTCTGCATCTATTGAGATAATCATATGGTTTTTGTCACTGGTTCTGTTTATATGCTGGATTACGTTTATTGATTTGCATATGTTGAACCAGCCTTGCATCCCAGGGATGAAGCCCACTTGATCATGGTAGATAAGCTTTTTGATGTGCTGCTGGATTCGGTTTGCCAGTATTTTATTGAGGATTTTTGCATTGAATGAAAACTCTCAATAAATTAGGTATTGATGGGACGTACCTCAAAATAATAAGAGCTATCTATGACAGACCCACAGCCAATATCATACTGAATGGGCAAAAACTGGAAGCATTCCCTTTGAAAACTGGCACAAGACAGGGATGCCCTCTCTCACCACTCCTATTCAACATAGTGTTGGAAGTTCTGGCCAGGGCAATCAGGCAGGAGAAAGAAATAAAGGGTATTCAATTAGGAAAAGAGGAAGTCAAATTGTCCCTGTTTGCAGATGACACAATTGTATATCTAGAAAACCCCACCGTCTCAGCCCAAAATCTCCTTAAGCTGATAGGCAATTTCAGCAAAGTCTCAGGATACAAAATCAATGTGCAAAAATCACAAGCATTCTTATATACCAATAACAGACAAACAGAGAGTCAAATCATGAGTGAACTCCCATTCACAATTGCTTCAAAGAGAATAAAATACCTAGGAATCCAACTTACAAGGGATGTGAAGGACCTCTTCAAGGAGAACTACAAACCACTGCTCAAGGAAATAAAAGAGGATACAAACAAATGGAAGAACATTCCATGCTCATGGGTAGGAAGAATCAATATCGTGAAAATGGCCATACTGCCCAAGGTAATTTACAGATTCAATGCCATCCCCATCAAGCTACCAATGACTTTCTTCACAGAATTGGAAAAAACTACTTTAAAGTTCATATGGAACCAAAAAAGAGTCCGCATTGCCAAGTCAATCCTAAGCCAAAAGAAAAAGCTGGAGGCATCACACTACCTGACTTCAAACTATACTACAAGGCTACAGTAACCAAAACAGCATGGTACTGGTACCAAAACAGAGATATAGACCAATGGAACACAACAGAGCCCTCAGAAATAATGCCGCATATCTACAACTATCTGATCTTTGACAAACCTGACAAAAACAAGGAATGGGGAAACGATTCCCTATTTAATAAACAGTGCTGGGAAAACTGGCTAGCCATATGTAGAAAGCTGAAACTGGATCCCTTCCTTACACCTTATACAAAAATTAATTCAAGATGGATTAAAGACTTACATGTTAGACCTAAAACCATAAAAACCCTAGAAGAAAACCTAGGCAATACCATTCAGGATATAGGCACGGGCAAGGACTTCATGACTAAAACACCAAAAGCAATGGCAACAAAAGACAAAATTGACAAATGGGATCTAATTAAACTAAAGAGCTTCTGTACAGCGAAAGAAACTACCATCAGAGTGAACAGGCAATCTACAGAATGGGAGAAAATTTTTGCAATCTACTCATCTGACAAAGGGCTAATATCCAGAATCTACAAACAACTCAAACAAATTTACAAGAAAAAAACAAACAACCGCATCAAAAAGTGGGCGAAGGATATGAACAGACACTTCTCAAAAGAAGACATTTATGCAGCCAAAAAACACATGAAAAAATGCTCATCATTACTGGCCATCAGAGAAATGCAAATCAAAACCACAATGAGATACCATCTCACACCAGTTAGAATGGCAATCATTAAAAAGTCAGGAAACAACAGGTGCTGGAGAGGATGTGGAGAAATAGGAACACTTTTACACTGTTGGTGGGACTGTAAACTAGTTCAACCATTGTGGAATTCAGTGTGGCGATTCCTCAGGGATCCAGAACTAGAAATACCATTTGACCCAGCAATCCCATTACTGGGTATATACCCAAAGGATTATAAAACATGCTGCTATAAAGACACATGCACATGTATGTTTATTGCGGCACTATTCACAATAGCAAAGACTTGGAACTAATGCAAATGTCCAACAATGATAGACTGGATTAAGAAAATGTGGCCCATATACACCATGAAATACTATGTAGCCATAAAAAATGATGAGTTCATGTCCTTTGTAGGGACATGGATGAAGCTGGAAACCATCATTCTCAGCAAACTATTGCAAGGACAAAAAACCAAACACTGCATGTTCTCACTCATAGGTGGGAATTGAACAATGAGAATACATGGACACAGGAAGGGGAACATCATACACCGGGGCCTGTTGTGGGGTGGGGGGAGTGGGGAGGGATAGCATTAGGAGATATACCTAATGTTAAATGACGAGTTAATGGGTGCAGTACACCAACATGGCACATGTATACATATGTAACAAACCTGCACGTTGTACACATGTACCCTAAAACTTAAAGTATAATAAAAAAAGAGGAAAATCTAAATGTATTATTTGTTCAAGTAGCTAATCAATTGAAAGACATTTTTCATTTTTATCATTTTCTTTAGATAGTTCATGGTAAGCGTATGTAGACCATGGAGTCTGACAAGTATACAAGTCATGTTAAAACCCTAAAAAGAAAGAAGGAATACTGGGGATGACTGAAGTTATTTGGAAGATAAAAGGGATAGGATCCAGCACAAAATTATACACATTAGCCTTAAGCAGAAAGGACTTCCCTAGCACTGAGTCAAGAGAGAAGAAAACAAGGGTGAGGATACAGAAGTTAGCAGAGCATGAAGCAGGAAATGGATGAAAGTTCTTGCTGATGGCAGTTTCCTTTGAAATAGGATGGAAGACTGTTAAAAATGACAAAATAGTAGGAAAGGAAAGAGTAATGAGGATTTAAAATACTATTTATAAGGAATGAAATAGTGAGCTGACTAGGGACTAGGAGATAGATTGTTGAACAAGGGAGAGGCTCTAACCAATAACAGAGACGAGAAAGTTGTAGAGGCAATAATCAACAAAGTTATGTTTTCTTTCTAGCAGTGCCCAGAAGCCATGATGTAGAAATAGAGAAGGCAATTAGTCTGGTTGATTTGAGTTTGAGGTTTTGCTGGGTGGATGTGATACATAGACAAGGAAGCAAAGAGAATGATTCATTGTCAAGATGGGTGGTTAAATAATGGATGATAGAGTCTAAGTGAGATTTGAAAGCAAGAAGAAATAGAAAGGGGCTGACAGATTGGGAGAAAATTAAAAGGTCAAGGAACTGGAGATATAAACAGGGTTGAAGAGATGGTATGTGAATTTAAGAGAGTTATGCGAGCCAGAAGGATAAGAGAAAGGTTGTAGTCAGAGAGTACCATACTATAGTTGAAGATTTCAGAGGAAATATATTTCTAGAGATAATATATGTTTCTTTCTCACTGATTCAAGGTTAGAAAATGGGATATGTATAACTCCAGAAAAGTTTGTCTCGAGATATAGTAAAATCACACTTAATAAACCAATAAATCTTTTCCAATCACATATACAAGTGCTGTGGACAAAAGTACAGACTTTTGTGTAAGGACAAACATGGATTTAAGTCCCAGCATGGCCACTTAATAATTGTGATCTTAAGAAAATCACTTATGCCCCCTGAAGCTCAATTTCATTTTCTGTAAATTGGGTATAATACTGTACTATCTCATAGGGTGCTGTAAGGTTTAAATGTGATAATTTACAAAAATACTTAGCAAGGACTGGCACAAATAAGTCCTCAAAATTAGTAGCTATTAGGACTTGTTTGTGGGTAAGATGAAGTTAGCACACTTCACTCCGTGACTCCCATTGAATAAAGTTATAAAACCTGGAAAGAATGTATGGTACATTTAAATGCTATGAAGAGTGAATGGCAGCAGGAGGAAGGGGTAAGAAACCAAGAATTTGAACTAACAAAGAACTCATGTGCAGAAGAGACATGGCATAATCAAATTGCTGAAAATGAAGAGGAAAAAAACATTTTAAAAAGCCTCTTACATTTATGGTAAATTGATTTTTCACAAAGATATTAAGACAATTCAATGAAAAAGAATAGTCTTTTCAACTAAAGGCACCAGGACAATTGGCTATCCATATGCTAAGAGATGAATGTAACTTAAACAGTGAGGTTTGTAGCATTTCGACTTTCCATCATCCCATCTCCCCTTCTCTAGCTTTGCAGTAGCCTTGAAAACCAACAACCTTGCAACAACAGAAGCTGCAAAAACCAGCAGCCTATCTGAAACTGGAGTGGCAGACCAGTTCTGGAGCACCATAAAAGCCCCATCCTTGGAGAATTTTCACTATTTTACCTGGATGGAACTATTTGACCTGCCTGGCACTTCAATGAAAAGCCACATTCTGAGATGTAATTGGTATGACAATTACAGTAGAAAGTATGGGAGGTAGAGAACAGCTAAACAAAGTTTTTTAATATAATTGAAATTAAGTTGGTTTTAATACAAATTAATTTATTTAAGCCAAGAGGTTAATTGTAATCCCCAGAGCAACCACTAACACACACACACATACACAAAAACAGTAAAAGAGGCAAGAAGTTAATTAAAATGGCACATTGGAAAAATCTATTTAACATAAAAGAAGGAATAAATGGAGGAACAGAGGAACAAAAAAGATAGAAGAGAAACAGAAAACAAAAAGCAAAATAGCAGATGTAAATCCTTAACAGACTCTAATTAAATACATTAAAATAAATGAACTAAACTCTCCACTCAAAAGGCAGAGATTGAAATAATTGATTAAAAAGAGAAAATATAATCCAAACTATTTGCTGTCATGAGACACACTTTAGGTTCAAAAACACAAATAGATTAAAAGCAAAAAGATGGAAAAAGATGTCCCATACAAATAAGAACCAAAGTGGAGCTGAGTTTTAGAAATTTGAGTCTTCTTTCTGTTTAACTTGATCAGTCTAGCTAAGGGATTATAAATTAAGTTGATCTTTTCAAAGAACTAACTTTTGGTTTTGTTGACTTCCTCTATTATTTCCTCTATGTCATTTATTTTTGCTCCATTTTTTATTATTTCTTTTCATCAGCTTGATTTGGATTTAGTTTGCTCTTCTTTTAATAAGTTCTTAAGGTGGAGATTTCAGTTATTAATTTGAAATCTTTTTTCTTTATTAATATGGGCATATACAACTATGGGCATTACAGCTAAATATCCCCCTAAACACTGATTTTATTTTACTCCATAAGTTTTTGGCATGCTGTGTTTTAATTTACCTCAAAATATGTTCTAATATTCCTTTTGATTTCCTTTTAATTCATTGACTGTTTGGTAGAGTGTTAATTTCCACATATTTGTAATTTTCCTAAATGTCCTTCTGTTATTTATTTCGAATTTCATTCCACTGTGAACAGAAGTGGCAAGAGTGGACATCCTTATCTTATTTTTGATCTTTGGGGAAGAATTTCAACTTTTCACCATTAATTATGAGGTTAAGTATTAACACACAAATTCGGCCAATTGATTTCTGACAAAAATGCAAAGGCAAGTAAATGGAGAAAGGATACTCTTTTAACAGTTGGTTCTAAAACAACAGGACATTTGAAGCCAAAAAAAAAAAATAAGTGAACTTTAACCTAAACTTCATACCTTATATAAACATCAAGTAGTCAAAATGGATCATAGATCTAAATGTAAAATGTATAACTATATAACTATCAGAAGAAAACATAGGAAAATATCTTTTTCATGAACAGGTAGAGTTGTTAGATACATATAAATGCACATACATAAAAGGCAACCCATGAAAGGATCAACTGATAAACAAGATTTGAAACAATACTTGAAAACATTTTCTGTGAGGTAAAAGACTTATACACTGAAAACTACAAAATGTTGCTGAAAGGAATTAAACAAGACACAAATAAATAGACATCCCATGTTCATGACTTAGAAGACAATACTGTTAAGACATCAATACTAACCAAAGTGATATACAGATTCAATGTAAGTCCTACCAAAACGTCAATAACATTTTTTTACAGGAATAGAAAAATCCATTCTAAAATTCATATGGAATCTCAACCAATCCCCAAATATCCAAAACAATTTTGAAAAAGAACAAAGTTGGAGTTCTCACACTTCCTGATTTCAAAACTTACTACAAGGTTACAGTAATTAAAACAGTGTGGTACTGGCATAAAGACAGGTATATATAGTCAAATGATTTTTGAATAGGGTGCCAGGATCATTCAGTGTGGAAAGAACAGTCTTTTTTCAACAACTGGCACTGGGAAAACTGAATATCAACATGAAAATAATAAAGCTGAATTTTTACCTTAATACCATATACGAAAATTAACTCAAAAGGTTCAAAGACCTAAACATGAGAGCTAAAGCTATAACACTCTCAGAAGATAACATAAGGAAAAGCCTTCATTTCATAACAATGGATTTGGCAATGATTTCTTGGATATGACACCAAAAGCATAGACAACAAAAGAAAAAAATCAACAAATTGGACTTCATCGAAATTAAACACTTTGTGCATCAAAGGACAGAGTGAAAAGGCAATTCTTGGAATAGGAGAAAATATTTGCAAGTCATATATCTTATAAGGAATTAATATACAGAATATATATAGAACTTCTACAACTCAACAACAAACAAGAAACTTATTTTAAAAATGGACAAGAGATCTGAACAGATACATCTCCAAAGAAGATATACAAATGGCCAAAAAGCATGTGAAAAGATGCTCAACAGCACTAATCATCAGGGAAATTGAAATCAAAACCACAATAAGATAACATTTCATACCCATTAGGACGGCTATTATTTTTTAAGAAAATAGTAAGTGTTGCCAAGGGTATGGAGAAACTGGAACTCTTATCTTGTGCATTGCTGGTGGGAATGTAAAATGGTACAGTCTCTATGGAAACTGATATGGCAGTTTCTCAAAAAATTACATGTAGAATTAAGATGTGATCCAGCAATTCCATTTCTGAGTATATACCTACAATAATTGAAAGCAGGTATTCAAACAGATATTTGTATACCCATGTTCGTAGCAGCATTATTCACAAAAGCTAAAACATGGAAACAACTTAAGCATCCATCAATTGATAAACAAAATGTGCTATATACATACAATGGGATATTATTCCACCTTAAAAAGAAAATTCTGACACATGCTACAACTTAGATGAATCTTGAAGATATTATGCTAACTAAAGCCAGTCACAAAAGGACAAATATTGTATGATTCCACTTATATACTGAGAGTAGTCAAATTCATAGAAACAGAAAGTAGGATGGTGGTTGCCAGAGGCTGGTGGGGATGGAGAAAACGGGGAGTTAGTATCTAATAAGTACAGAGTTTCAGTTTGGGAAGATGAAAAATTTCTGGAGATGGATGGCTGTGATAGTTGCAGAACAATGTGAAAGTACTTAATGCCATAGAACTACACACTTAAAAGTGGTTTAAATGGTAAATTTTATGTATATTTTACCACAATAAAAAAAGTTTGCCCTGCAAAAGACACTGTTAAGAGAATGAAAAGACAAGCTACAGACTGGGAAAAAATGTGTGAAAATCACATATCCAACAGAAGATTGTGTTTAGAATATACAAAGAACTCTCAAAAGTCATCAGGAAGAAAATAAACAACCCAATTATAAAACAGCAAAAGATTTGAACAGACACTTTAGCAAACAGGATATAAGGATGGCAAATAAGCAAATGAAAGATGTTCAACATCATTAGCCATTAAAGAAATGCAAATTAAAACTACAATGAGGTACCACTTCACAGCTATTGAAATAACCAAAATAAATACTGACAATACCAAGTGCTGACAAAGATGTAGAGCAACTCGAACTTTCATACATTGCTGGTGAAAATGCAAAATGGTACAGCCACTCTGGAAAATGGTTTGGCAGTTTCATATAAAGTTAAATGTACACTTACCATATGACCCAGTAATCCCACTTCTAGATATTTACCTTAGAGAAATAAAAACTTATGTTCACAAAAAAACCTGTACAAGAACGTTCATATCAATATTATGCATAGCCATCATAACCTGGAAACAACCCGAATGCACTTCAATGGGTGAATGGATAAACAAACTTTGGAATGTCCATATGATGAAACACTACTCAACAAAATAAATGAACTATTGATACACGCAACAACTCAAATGAGTCTCAAAGGCATTATGCTGAGTGAAAGAAGCCAGTCTCACAAGGTTACATGTTGTGTGATTCCATTTACATGACATTTTCTAAAAGATAAAACTACAGTGATGGAAAACAGTCAGTGATTGTCAGGAATTATGGTGGGTTGGGAATGACTATAAAGGGACAGCATGAGGGAGTTTTTTAAGGTGATGAAGCTATTCTCTTTCTTGATTGTGGTGGTGGTTACATGAATCTACATGATTTACAATTCATAGAATTGTACACCAAAAAAGAAGAAGCCCCATGCAATTTTATTGGAAGTTCATTTCAAAAGTAAGAAAATATTAGCTATCATATCATCATCATCATCAATAATTATACTTTACTGACTAATAAAAATATTCAGAATTATTTGTGAAATGGGATCTAAAAATCATTAAGGTCAATTTATGTCTGGTACAATAATTTAAATGTATAGAGAAAAAACAACAGCAGTAAATGTAAAAGCTTTACAACTTCTACTAACTCCTCTCTTTAATATTCTGTATCAGGATAATATGCTCCCTCTGGATCATTTCCTATAAACATTGTCATATACTGAATATGGAATTAAATAAGTGCTCAACTGGGACCCTAGGTTACATTCCTAAGTCTAACACTATAAGAAAACTCTCGACTTGCCTTTTGTGCCTAATTTTATCTTCCTCTTCATTGAGGTCATGTACTTGTCTGCACTTGTCTTTTTGTGGTATGCTGTGAAGGTTTAAAGCAAGGAGTTTCAAAGATAGGAAACAGAACAGATTCATAAACCACCCACCCTCCACCCCAAATACCAGGTACTGCTTTAAGTGATTTACATGTATTCTCTCACTTAATCCTCTTAGTAACCCTGTAACATAGCTACTATTAATATTCTCATTTTACAGATGAAGATACTGAAGCATAGAGAGGTAACTTGCCTAGCATCTCATAGCTAGTTAAGTGGGGGAGCCAGGATTTTCCCAGGCAGTCTGCCTCCAGAGCCCATGTTCTTAATCATTATGCTAAATGTCTCTCCACAAAAGGTTATTCATTTGTTCATTCATTCCTTCCTTCACCACTGCTCTGCCATGTCTATGATCCTTCTATCTCTAACAAATCATTCATCCATTCTCACGGCCTTAACATGTTATCTAAGGATAGATGATTCCCAGTTCTATATATCTAGTTCTGACCTCTCTCCTGAGCTTCACGGCTGCATTTCCAACTGTCTCCTCAACATCTGCATTTGATGATCCTGCCATTCTCACAAATTCCACATGTTTAAAATCAAACTCATCATCCTTCCTCGAAATTTCCCCATAAAGGCTTTCTTAATTTTGCCAATTGGTAAGTCACACAGCCTTGAAACCTCTGGATTATCTTTGACACATACCTCTGCATTGACCTCCCTCCTTCATTTTCAGTCAACGAGTTTTATTAGTTCTTCCATTATAAACCTACCTCTCTCCAATTTCACTGCTATCACTCTAGACCAAGTCTTCATGCCTAAATGACTGTAATATCTCCTATCCATTCTGCCTGCTTCCAGTTCTTCCTCTCTCTAATCCTATTTATTGACCACCAGATTAATAATTTTCAAATATGGCTTTTATCATGTCACTTCTGGTTCAAAAACCTTCAACCATATTGAAACTAACTGATAACTAACTCTGTATAAGTCTATACTAGTTACCAAATACAGTTCAAAATTTTTAGCTACCTTTCTAACCTTGTCTCACATCTCCTCCATAGTTAGCACACTCCCTAGTGCTCACACCATCTGTTGCAACTGAAATGTCATTACCTCTCTTTTCTAAAGAATAGGTAGTATTAAAAGAACATTTAAATCTTACCTCCTCTGAGAGGGCTTCTTCAATCACACCAATACACAGTGGCCTTTGCCTCCTCTGAACTCCAACAACACTTAACAAATGTATCTAGTATTGTCACTAAATGTTACATGTTTATCTCTCCAACCAGACTATACTTGGCACAAGGTGAGGAACCATTTCTTAAACTTCCATGCACCTTCCACAGCGTCTAGTAAAACTTATCTGTCAAACTAAATCCTTCTGGTTAAGACACATACTATTTATCTATATATTTTGTGCTAATTTGTAGTTCAGCCTAAAGACCCTTCACAATCTAGCTTCGCCTCCCCTTCCTTCCAGTGTCACCTCCTGTCATTCCCTGCCACTTCTTCTACTCCTGCCACGTTAAACTTCTCATTGTTCCTTAGACACACCAGGTTCTTTCATAATCCTGTTGCTATTTACTACCTTTAATCTCCATTCCCCTTTATTTACCTGACAAATGCCCATTGATCCATCAGGAGTTAGTATAAATGTCAACTTCTGACTCCCCCAACTAGACTTAGATGCTCTGTGTTCTGCACTACCTCAGCATTTTATTCAAATCTCTATAATAGCAGTTTCCATGTTGTCATGCAACTAACTGTGCACATATTTGTCTCTCTTATGGTATTATACATTTCTCAAAAGTAGTGACAATTTGTCTTTCCCCTATTCCCTTCACTAACTCTTCATATTTAATGCCCTGCTGTTTAATCTTTCTCTCAGTGAAAGAATATATCAAAGTCAGTGGGGATCACATACCTTGGTAATAAAGAGCCTTAAGGAAGGAGTGACGATCAGCTCCCTGAAATAAAGACTTTTCTATTTCCATTTCTCGCCGGGTCAGCTGTTTGCTCTTTGCAAATCTCTGTGGCAGGCAAAGAATGCGCTGACGCTCCGAGATCCTTTCTTCAATATCTTGAAGACGGTTCTGTATTGCTTCAGGAGTTGCCCTCAGTTTTGTCTTCTGAAACCAGAGGAATGAGATGGCATGTATCATAGAGGGCACAACCTGAACATGATGATCTGGTATCTCAAGTAAAAAGATGACCTAGGCCCAGAAATGAATGTTTACAGAAAGTGTTAGCTAAGAAGTTAAAGAACAGCTTCTCTTTTACCAATGTCTGCATTCTAAAAATCAAAGAAGATTCAGACACCAAGCTCAGTTTTGTGAGAACTAGAAATGAAAAGGCTCTCAGTGCTAAAATGAAGATATTTTGCTCTGTTTCTTTGAGGAGAAAAACCAACAAAAAAAAACATTACCCCACTCACCTTTTCACCAGAAACATGGCTCTTCCAGATCAAGATTTCTGTTTCATTAAGCCCTAATTCCCTGAGAGAAGCAGTTTCCTGGTCCTTCTCATGCAGTGTCTGGAATTGGGACAAAGTCATAGTCCCAGCTGCTTCCTTCCCAAAGGGCTTGTACATAGTACCAGGAGCAAAGCTCTCTTTCTTAGACATACATCTGCAAAACATGCAGGAGGAGAGTAAGAACATCTTGAGGTTACTATCATTCACAAAAATGGAGGTTCAGCACTGTAAGAGGTACAATGAAACTCACCAGCAAATTTTCTCTTACATCTTATTTCTAAGCTGAAGCACCACTGCAACAAAATGGAACTCCATCGAGAGTGCCGTCATCCAGGAATAATAAACTAAATCAACAAATATTTATTGAGTACTTACTATGCATCAGATACTCTGCTAGGTACTAAGGATTTAATAGCTTTATAAAAAAGATAAAAATGGCTCCTGCTTTTGTGGAAAAACAGTGGAACAGAGGCAAGTAAACAGGCAATGATAATATTGGGTTACAAGTGCTATGTTAAGGGAAATATGGGATGCTGTAGGAGGACATAAAATAGGTACTTGGCTCAGACTTAGTGAGATATGGGAGGCTTCCCAGAGGAAGAGACACAGAATTAAAACCCTACCTAATACATTGAAGTCTAACAAAGAAAGGGAGGTGGGAGAGGAACATTCCATCTAGGCTTTAAGAGAGATCTGTCACCTGGAGGTAAGAGTCTATGATACTCTCCGTTTGCAAAATCAATACCTACTCCTCAATGGAGACAGAAGTATCAAGTTGATGCTGAAGGAGGCTTTTCAGCTGCCTCTCCCCTTCTGTTTCCAGCTCCTCCAGGACATGCTCATCACTCTTCACACAGCTGTTTACCCTGGAGTAGACATAAGAATATATACAGAAAACGGAAGAGACTGTGAGTCTCAAAATATATTCCTTATCTATATTATCTACCATTACTGACCCCATTTATTCAAAGACACTTCTCCAACAATTCATTGCCCTTTACCATTTAGTCCATGAACACTTACTAAATACCTGTTTACACAGAAGGCACTATGCTAGGTACTGAGGGAAGTCAAAGGTGTTTAAGACATAGTCCCTATCCTCAAGAAGCCCACAATCTATTTAGGGAGAAGAAGTGTGTGTTTATGTGTTGTGTGCATGTGCCTTGGCAGCGGGGGGAGGAGAGAATAATAACACATAGAAGCATATGCCAAATTAGTAGAAATTCACAGAAGAGAAAATTGGGAGATAAAGGTGGTAAAGGAAGACTTCAGAAAGGTACTTTTAAGCTGACATTCAAAGGTGTGTGATGCAGAAAAGGAGAACAGGGAAAGAGAGTACAAAGGGATAGTAATATATACTGAAGGATAATAAGAAGTAGTAATTTATCAAACAGTTAAGTGACACAGTGCAAGTGATGGTTTAGACAGATGAATGTGGTTATAATATGCCATAGAGATTCAAAGGGAAGAAACAAGAAGAACTAGTTATGAAACTACTGAAGTAAAAGGTGATGAAGGTCTAGACTGAAATGGTAATAGTGAAAATGGAAAGAAAGGGTTAGATGAGAGAGGCCTTTTGGAGGCAGAGGCAAGGAAGTCAAAGATAATCCCAAAATTTCAGTCTGTGTAACTGAGAGAACAATGGTACCAATGAAGGAAAGACAAAGCTCCAGATGGAATAAATGATTTGGGAAAGGGAAAGTCAGTATTGTTTTAGCCACATTGAGTCTAGTAGCTTTTACAATAGAAACGCCAGCATGAAGTATCAGGAATACTTCAAATACATGACTAGGAACATTTTGTTTAGGGATAAATTCATATGTACTAGAAACTATTTGCTTTTTTAAAAGCAAGGGAATTAATAACACAAAATTCCGGATAGTGGTCACCTCAGGGGGGAACGAAGGGAGGGAAGAGACACAGTAGACTTCTAAGGGACTGGCAATGTCCTATTTCTTAAGCTTGTAGTGGATGCGAACCTTTATTATTCTTTAAGCTGTATATATACATTATACATTATTTCGCATGGAGGAGATATCATAAAAAAATATTAAAGGTTAGTTTCAGGCAGGCAAAGTCATAAACGGTTTTTTAAAAGATGCAAGGAACTGACAGTGCAGGAAAGCATATCAGTAAGAATTTTAAATGCACTGCACTATTCCAGAGTGATGATTCTACTTGCAGAGTGAATCTAAAATTAATTTAAGCCCGTCAATAGTTAGGAGGCTCAGGCCATTTAGGCTCAAGCGGCCATTTACCTCAGGACAAGTAAGGGGAACTGAGCCCAGCAATGCCTTCCACCTCCCCTCCCCCCACCCCATAAATCGAACCGCTTTGGTGCTGTCCTTCCACATTTAGAAACAAAGTACCGCTCCCTTACTTTAAGATTCGAAAGCGCTACATGGTTTCGGGGCCCAAGCAAGTAGTCTTTAACACACAGACGTTGCAAATAAATGCGCCCGCCCCGAGCCTTTCTCAGGTGGAGGTGGAGGTAGGGGAGAACGGCGAGGGGCTGGCCCGAGGTACCTACATCTCCGGCGCCGGGAATTTGTCAGCCTCAAACCCTTTTGCCCAGCTGGGTCCGGGTGAAACGACGAAGCCGCAGCACCCGGCCAGCTCCCGGGGCCCGTGCCGGGAGGGCATTCCCACAGCAGCCGGCCCCGGTGGCAGCCCTTCCTGAACTTCGCTCTGCAGGCCTGTTCAGCCCGTCTCCCCTCCTCCCGTCTCCTTTGTCGTGTTCCCGCTCCCACGAAACCGCATCCTGAGAACGTGCAATACCCAAACCAGAAAGCAATGGAAGCCATTTTCAAAAGAAAAGGTAGAACAAAGCTCCCCTTGCCGCCTGCTCTTCAGACAAGTCCTTACCTCTTCATGTTTCCACAGGCCCCTACCTCCAACTTGGGTAAATAGGCCGCGGACCTCAAGTCCCAGAACTCCGCGCGGCGGACTTCTAAGGGTATTGTGATGGAGCATGGGGCTCTGGGAATTGTAGTAGCACAGAGCTATGGCAACAGAAAGAGAAAGTAGATCTCAAGTGACAGGTATGCTGAACATTGTCCAAATATTTATTTTGAATTTCTCATTTAGGTTCAAAAGAAGACCCAAAATATCCAGCTCATAAAACGAGTCACCTTTGACTTCTTGATTCTCTCATCCATTACCACTAATTCCTGGCTCTTCTGTAATTTCCTTTGAACTTATCAACACTGCTTTTCTTTCAAGGATTTATCCAGCCTACCTACCGTTTCCAGTCGAGCCTCTGCTTCATCCTTCACGATGTAGCCAGAGTCATCAGACACGAGTCTGACTATATCACCTGTACTAATGGTTCTCCTCTATCTGTAACAGAGACTTGAGAGTTTTCTCCACTCAGAATCAGAAGTCTGTGTATGTTCAGGCCCACATATGTTTTATTGATAATTATGGTGAATCAAGAAAGAGGTATAGTATAGTGGTTAAAAGCATAGGCTCTTAGTTTCCAGAAATGGAAATGCAAATGTCTTTAAGTGTATGAAAAGATGTCCAATCTCACAAATTTTAAAGTACACTGACTACCAGTACTCCTTAAAACTAGCAAGGTCATCAAAAACACAAGAATCTGTCACAGCCAAAAGGAACCAAAGGAGTCATGATGACTAAAGTAATGCAGTATCTTGGATGGGATCCTGGAAAAGAAAAAAAGACATGAGGTAAAAACTAAGGAAATGTGAACAAACTATGCTCTTTAGCTAATAACAAGGTTCGTTAGCTGTGACAAATGTATCAGAGTTATGCAAGGGAAACTGAGTTGTACGTATGTGGAACTTTGTACTATGCAACCTTTCTGTATCTAAAACTGTTCTAGAACTTAAAGTTTATTTTTAAAAGTACATTAAACTACCATTTTTCACCTAACAGATTGGGAAAGATCCAAAAGTTTGATAACACACTTGTTTTATTGAGATTGTGGGGAAACGGGCGCTCTCAATACACTAGTGGTAGGAATATAAATTGGTACAACATCTATTGGGGGCAAATGAGGATACTACTAAAATCATAAATGTACATTCCCTTTAAAGCAGCAATTCAGTTATGAATAGAATCCTCAATACTATATATCCTCTAACCTACTATCATTCCTTGCAACATTGTTTATGAAAACAGAAATGAAAATATCCAAGAACATACTATGAAAATGTATCATTCAATGAAAAACTATGCAGCAGTTACCAAGATGACAAAGTTCTCTATGAACTGCTACTAAACAATCTCCAAAATATAGTTAGTGCAATAGCAAGGTGCAGAACGATATGTATACTATGCTTCTATTTGCATAAAAAGGGGAGCTCTAGTCACTTAAAAACATATATATGTGTGTTTGCTTGTATATGCACAAAATATGTTTGGGAGAACTTACAGACAAATGATGAGTGAATGCCTCCAGGTAGGGGAACTGGATGGCTGAGGGACAAGGGCAGAAAAAATTCTTCACGTATCTTTTTGTGCCCTTTGAATTTTGAACCCATGACTACATTACCTAGTCAATACTTTTTTAATTAAAGAGAAACCCTCTTACATCTCAAGAAGCCAAAGAAGAAAAGATTGTAGGTAATGGTGGGGGGCGGGGCACACTACTTGGATTTGAATCTCACTTCTCAGTTGACAGTATAGCACGACAGGGTTTTAGAGGCAATCTGGACTTGAATTTTTGCTCTGGTAAGTTACTAGACCATGTGGGTTTCAGTAAGTTTCTTAACTGGTCTAGGCCAGTTTTCTCATCTGTAAAATGAGGATACCTCCTAAGTATAGGGTGACTGTCAAGCACATACAAAGGTATGGTTTTAAAGTTATTCCATGATTGAGTGGTAATCTATGAGTAAATAGTCAAATGTTAATCAGTAGATTTAGACTTATCCAAACTGCTTTGTATTTCCATGCTCAAGTTAGAGCAAAGGACCAAAAAGCAGCTACTGAAAAACATTGTAGAATTTCCTGTCCTGAGAACTTCTATCAGATTGAAAATGTCATGGTGAGCTACCTAAGACCTGTCACATGCAAATAACTGTGCTCTTGAATCATAAAGGTGAATGACTGCAGGCATAGCATGTACCACTTTGTAGCTTTGGCACAGAACGTGAACTGAATATAAGTATAAACAAAACGGGGGGTCACATCATTGCCTGCACCAGGTAAATCCTATATGGTGGTAGAGCTGAATTTTGTGGCTCAACCAATCTGTCCCAATTGACATATTGACAAGGAAATGGAAAAATACACCAAGGTTGCTAGTGTGCTTATCCCCTGGGACGGTGGCAAAGGATGGAACAAATATTACACCAACCATCACACCAAACTTGTGTACAACTTCTAATAAAACATATAGCCTATTGATACTGAAATGATACACACTACATTGCAAATCCACTAGGTGGGATGAGTGGAGAACGAATAGCTAAGATACATATTCACATAGCTGTGGAATTGCAACTGGAAAGCAAGGTCATAAGAAGTACTCTACATACCTGTGTATAACTGTAACCAGCGCAAGTGATAGGTACAAACAGACAAACATTCAGAAAATTACACTAAAAAGAAAACCAGGCCATTTCTAATTCTGCCAAACTTGTTAACTGTGTAATAATAGTTATTCTGTTTCCCACAACATTCTTCTCCCCAGCTTAAAAGGACATCAGACAGTGTATACAAAGCCTTGGAGATCTCTAGATGTTATACATGGGCACAGAGATCTTACCTAATTTCACAATTTTACCCCTAGAAGAATTTATGACAAACCGAAAAATATGCCTCATTTGTCTTTCTGTCAATTTAACAAGGTTAGTTTAATTAATCCAGAAGCTCCTTCTTAACAGAGACACATTTTCTGAGTTTGTCCTTTTTAGGTGCTTTGTTTGTGGCACGCTTCTGAAGACTACATTATGAAGCAGTTATGATTCCAAGATATGGAAGAAGATGTTAAAACCAAAAATCTTCTCTTGAATCTACTCACCATCTTATATTAAGAGTAAACAACTGTGCAAGTCTTTCAAATTTCCCAAATGAAATAGCATAAATGCTGTTATAGAGAACAAATATAGCATCTTTTCAAAGGATTAAAAAATGGGTATGTACTGGGATAGTGTCAACACTTTAAATTTAAGAATTCTTCAGCTAATATGTCAGCTGGTTAACAATGGTTACGAGGGGCTGAAGACTCCAGTGCCTAACATAAATGATGCTTTAACATTACTGGTAAAAATAGCTTATTTCTGTATTTCTGACCTTTTAATTAAGATTTGTCAACGTGACTGGGCACGGTGGATCACGCCTGTGATCCTGGCACTTTGGGAGGCCAAGGCGGGTGGGTCCTTTGAGCCCAGGAGTTCAAGACCAGCCTGGGTAACATGGCAAAACCCCATCTCTACAAAAAACTCAAAAATTAGCTAGGTGTGGTGGTGTGCACCTGTAGTCCCAACTACTTGGGAGGCTGAGGTAGGAGAATCACTTCAGCCCAGCAGGCAGGGGTTGCAGTGAGCCAAGATCACGGCACTGCACTCTAGCTTAGGTGACAGAGCAAGACCCTGTCTCAAAAAACAAACAAAAAAAAATTGTTCAACAATGTCATTTCTTTACATGTTAGAAATGGTCAGGAAGAATCTTAGAGATGATTTATGATTTAGTCCAATGTACAATTCCAGACAGTATACTGAGATCACCCTGTAAGTCTTAATAACATTACTAGATCAATCTAGAAGCCAGTTGCTATCCTCTGGCATCTTCTATGTACTAGGAAAAACACTAGAACTCCCACTGAAGATAATGTAACAGTAAGATAGTATAAGCAGTATTGTAGTCTCCTTTTTCTTTATTTTACTTAGGAAATATAGAGTAAGCACTCTACTCACAGTGAAAAGACATAAAGGAATCTCAAAACTTCAGAGAAATGAAAACCAGTTCCTTCTCACAAAACAGTTTGGGAAACCCTAATATGATCCAACTCTTTCATTTATGGACAAAGATAATGCCCAAGATGAAATTATTTGTCCAGTTAATTAGGCAGGAACAAGACTAGAGTCAGTGTTTCTTCTGATAAACTATATTTTCATTACTGAATGTAGAACTTGTACACAGGCTACTTTACAAGAGTTGAATCTCCAAAAGCAATGGGAAAAAATGTCTTTAGTATTACTCTTATCTACAGTATAAGAGTAATAATACTGAACTGAAAAATTAGAGATTACTAAAGATTATACTTAAAAGTTGTGTATCTACAGAAATAATTCACAAGATTATATGAGTTCTGGATTATTTTCACATTCTATAATTCTGCGTGGTTACAAAAACTTACTGGATAAGAAGCTGCTGCTTGGAAAAGTTTGAGTAGAAAAAAAAGAGTCCATGTCAATTTTGGCATTTAGTCTGCTCATAAGACTAATCGTTGCTAATATTCATTTCAAAAATATTTCTTCGTGTAATGTGTACCCGCCACGATGGTCGTGTGCAATCAGTACAACAGAAAATTTAGCTCAATAAATTATAGGTTACTGAGCTCTAGTCACTTAAAAACTTTTAATAGTTAATTTCAGTATTACATGTTTTTTTTTAGGACATTACCTTTATTTATGACTTAGGTGAAACATGAAACACAGGAGACCAGACTGTTCCAAACCTAAGAACAAGGCTTATTTAAAACAAAACAAAACAAACAAACAAAAAAAAAGAAAAACAAACAAATATACGGAAATCACCAACTATAAATCATATGCTAAAACCAAATAAAATGCCAGTATATCCATACATTAAAAATAACCAAATTCCTTGAAACTTACCTTTCCTTAACCCTTTAATAATAATCTACCCTAACTTTTCCTCCCTGCTCTGAATCTCTATAACACACTTTCTATAATTCATACTGCACTTCTTTATATTATCTATATTGTTTTTATGCAGACAAGCATTAATTATATCTCAAACTAGACAGTAGGTTCCTTTGAGGAGAAGAGACTTTACAGTATCTAGCACTATATAGGTTGGCATGTACTTTTGGCAGACATCACCCTATGATTCAACTGGAGTGAGAAGGATGATGTGTACTGATGCCAGGGAGAGTAAGACATAAATTACACATATAGAGTCAGCATCTAAGAGGTTGCTGTCTGGACAAAGGGGCTAGTATAATTTTGATTTTCTAATACTAAAAACAAAACTAAGGTATAATTCTCAACAGTACAATACTTAAATGAAAAAAAGGATGCACAATTCATTATGATCAAGATGAAATATTAAGTATAAATACTACTCTATTTAACATCAGAATTTGTAGGTAATAATCCAGAAACGACATGCTGAAGATATGGTCATTCACTAAAAAGCAGTGTTGACATTGTGTGCATGCTCCTCGTGACGATAATCCTCGAAAACCCGTGTTACCACTTCTACCTTCCTTCGCAGCATGCCTATAGGAGAAAAAGTCACACAATCATTAATCTAAGGCCAAAATATCCCATGAACATAATTTACGTATTCCTTTCAACACATGATTAACAAAATTTTACATAGCAATTTCAATAGCTTTACGTTTTAGAAAACACATAAGAAAAAAACACTCATCTATCTGTTTGGAAACTGTGCAAACAATGGACAAGACTTTTTTTTTTTTCTGCTCTCCCTAGCTTTCAGGCAAATAACTGTCTAGTTGACATTTATGTTTTGTTAGGATGAGGTGTTAACTGCTTTTTGACTCATTATACCCTAAAAGTGACATACAGGGTAGTCATTAAATTGGGAGTATAGGTTTTGGTGGGTCTTAGCTACCTATAAGCAAATGAGCGCACTGAGTATATTTACATTTCTGTTCTTTTCCAATAATGATTTATTTAACTTGGTGGTTCTTAAATTTTCTCAGGGGCAGAGTACCACAGAATACCATTAATTTTATCATATGAAACAGTAACTTTCTGCTAGTAAAACTAAGCTGTTGAAGTAAGCATGATACTCTGAGTTTTTCTATTAACATGCACAAATAAACTTTGTCATTTCTTTTAGTGTTCATTAATGGTTACTCATGAATAAGCCATAACTGGTGCCCAAGAAGAAAAACAATTTACAAGAGAAACACTAAAAAATTTAAACGATATACAGTTGACTCTTGGAAAACATAGGTTTAAACTGCGCAAGTTCACTATACGTGAATTTTCTTCCACTTCTGCCACACTTGAGACAAGACCACCCTCTCCTCTTCCTCCTCACCCTGTTCAACATGAAGATGAAGAGAATGAAGAACTTTATGATGATCCAATTCCACTTAATAACTGGTAAATGTTTCTTTTCTTCCTTATGATTTTCTTAACAACATTTTCTTTTTCTCTAGCTTACTTTATCATAAGAATACAGTATATAATAATACATATAACATGCAAAATACGTGTTAATTGACTATGTTAGTGGTAAGGCTTCCATCAACAGTAGGCTATTAGTAGTTAAGTTTTGGGGAGTCGAAAGTTATATTTGGTTTTTTACTGTGTAGGGATTAGCACCCCTAAACCCTTCATTGTTGAAGGGCCAGCTGTAATATACTTTAATTTTCTTCACCCAATCAGAAAAACCCTAATGTTACCCAGTTTTTAAAGTGTAATACCTCATTTTATCTTATAAAGACATTCTGCAAGATCATGCTTTAAGGACAGTGATTTCAATGCTGGCTGTCTATAAAAGGCCAGAAAAACATTATGTTCAACCTGGCAAACTATATCTCCTTTTTGTTGTAATAACTAACTGCGGGGTGCAATTTTTTCACCTAAATAACAGTTTTTAATATGATGGAAGCACAGATGAGCACTACAACAAACCATTAACTTGAGATCAGAAGTGTCAACATAGGCACATTCTAGTAATTTGCTGATTGATACATATTAAATGCAAAGGGGTACATTTATAATGATTTTAAAAATCAATAAACTGTCAAGAAATACAAGTCAGCATTCTTAAGAAAGCCTTACTATTAGCATTTTGTCATGTCTTCTAATTGAATTCCCAGGACTATTTCTGTATTAACATACTTTAAATTTTTTAGGACTTTCATTCTTTAAGGGCAAAAACTGCACCTAGGTACTTAATGCCCAGAATTTTGGTCCCATGACAAGCATCAGTGATTGACTGGTTCCTGCCAGCATATTAAATATGGCATACACATATTGACATTATTAAAAAATAATTGTTCTAAACAATATGAAAATAAGAAAACAATTTCATTCACAATAGCATCAAAAAGAATTATAATACTTAGGAATAAACTTAACAAATGAAGTATAAGACCTGTACACTGACAACAAAAAAACATTGCTAAGAAAAACTAAAGAATATCTAAATAAGTGGAGATATATTCCATGTTCATGGATTAAAAGACTCACTATTGTTAAGATGGCAATTCTCCACAAGTTGATCTACAGATTCAATGTAATCCCTATGAAAATTCTAGCAGGCTCTTTTTATAGAAATAGACAAGCTTAATTTAAATGTATATGGAGAGGCAAAGGATCCAGAAAAAAACAATCTTGAAAAATAAGAACAAACTGTAGGATTTAACACTATCTAATTTTAAAACTTAATCAAGTAATCAAGACAGCATGATATGGGCAATAATAGCCATAGAGATCAATGAAACAGAAACAAAGTCCAGAAATAAAACCTTATAAGGTACCAAGGCAATTCAATGGTAGAAATCATAATCTTTTTCAACAAATGGCTCTGGGACAACTGGATATCTACATCCAAATGAAATCAAACCCCCACCTTTAACTATATACAAAAATCAACTCAAGATGGATTATCAATCTAAATGTAAGTGCTAAAACTATATTTTAAAAAACAACAAGAGGCTGGGTGCTGTGCCTCATGCCTGTAATCCCAGCACTTTGGGGGGCCGAGGCAAGAGGATCACCTGAGGTCAGGAGTTCGAGACCAGCCTGGCCA
Source organism: Homo sapiens (assembly GCF_000001405.40). NCBI lineage: Eukaryota > Metazoa > Chordata > Mammalia > Primates > Hominidae > Homo > Homo sapiens. Next base: position 107,126,848 of record NC_000023.11, read on the forward strand.
ACCTTGTGAAACCCTGTATCTACTAAAAATACAAAAATTAGCCAGGTGTGGTGGCAGGAGCCTGTAATCCCAGCTACTCAAGAGGCTGAGGCAGGAGAATCGCTTGAACCCAGGAGGTGGAGGTTGCAGTGAGCTGAGATTGTGCCATTGCACTCCAGTCTGGGTGACGAGAGAAACTCTGTCTCAAAAAAAAAAAACCAAGAAATGTCCATCAACTGATGAATGGATAAACAAAATATGGTATGACTGTACAATGAAATGATACACAGCAATAACAGGAATTAAGTACTGATACATGTTACAACATAGATGAACCTTGAAAATATTATGCTAAATGAAAGAAACCAGACACAAAAGGCCACATATAATATGATTCAATCTACATAAACTCTCCAGAAAAGGCAAATCTATAAAGACAGAAAGTAGATTAGTGGTTGCATGGGGTTTGGGATAGAAATGGGGAATAACTGCAAATGGCCAAGAGAAAATTTTGGCGGTAAAAAAAGTGTTCTAATACTGGATTGTTTGATGTCTGTACAACTCTATAGGCCTAACTAAATGGCTATTGGTTAAGGTGGTATATTTGTGTATTTTAAAATATTTTAAAACAATTATTTATTATTCTCAAAAGATTTTGGTGAAGCTGCTTCCAGTCAGTGTCATTCTGTTTTGGAGACAGATGTTTTCTTCAACTTAGCCTTTTGCAAATACTTTAGGTAAATATTCAAAAAAGATTAGGAAAAGAGATTTAGTCATTAAACCCAAACACAGACTTCTAGAAACTGTAATTAATGCTTTAAGAAAATTTTAAGTTATACATATAAAAATTATTAGATGAGATTAAATTCACTGTCAAAGAACACAATGTACTTTCATAAACAATGCTATATAGTATATCTCTCATTTCTCCCAGAAAAAAATTGAGGCAGTGAGATAAAAAAAAAATCCTGAGAGTAAAACAGTTAAAAACACAAATAGGCAACTTATAAAATGACACACAAATTATTTATAAACATTTTCAAAATACTCAACCTCATTAGTAACCAGAGGAATGCAAATTAAACCAGGAAAATATTATTTTAACTTGCAAATTTTGGCAAAGAATGATCATGGTGGTGGTGGTGGTAGTAATTACAGGAGTGGTACTGGAAAGAATGCAGAAAAATGGGTCCCCCCAATGAATTTCTGGTGAAAATATAAATTAGTACAACCTACCTGGAAGGATATATACCAAAAGCTTTTAAAACAGACATTACTACTGATTTAGCATTTTAACTTCTAAGAATTTTATTTATGTCCAGTAATCATGGATGTACACCTTAAAATTTACCTACAGCTAGGTTTTTACTGCAGCATGATTTAAAACAGCAAAAAGTTTGAAACATTAACTAATACCTAACAATGGGCTATTAACTAAACAAACTATGGTATATCCATATAATGCAATATTTAGCAGCCATTAAATGTAGAATGTTTAATAACATGGAAAGATGGTCATGTGCACATGTCTGTTAGCTTTGTATCTCTTTCTCCACCAAAAGCTAAATACAGTATCCTGTGTAAATATCAGGCAACAAATAAATTGAAACCATATATTGGACCCCAAGCTCATGCCAGGCATTGCTAAATTCTGAAGATACAAAAATAATTAAGATATTATCTCTATCAAGAAGCTCAAATTCCAGTAAACAGACATGTAGACAAATAACTGCAATATTATATGATAAATGCTAATACTACATTATGTAGAACACAGCCTGGATACAAAGAAGGGGATAAACAACTATTAGAATGATGAGCCAAGGCAGTCAAGGAAGGCTTCACAAACCATCTTGACATGGGAGCAGCTACCATGCAGACGATGATGGGGTAGAGTACTCCAGGCAAAAGAAACTGAACGTCCGAAAATATAGATGAGGAAAGAATATCAGGCGTTTAGAAAACCATAAATACTTCTTCAAGATGAGGCTAGAGAACCAGATAGGGGTTAGATTATGCAGGGTACTTTGTATATTATGCAAAGAATCAAATTTATCATTGGACAATGGGAACTAGTGAAGGGTTTTAATAAAGAGATGACTAGAATAGAGTGTGACTTTATCAAGATCATCTTGACAGTATTGTGAAAGTGAATTAGAATGGGGTAAGACTAGGCGGAGGAGACCACTAAGGTTACCAGTTAGAGATTAAGCACATGCATTTACCACTGCTCTATTTCAAAACATTTGTCAAATAGCAGTAAAGATATTTTTAACAGAAGAAGAAAAAGACAAAAGCATAAAATCGTAAGGACAAAAACAAGAAAGGAGACAACAAAAAAACTATGAAAATTGCAGCTGGATTTGTATGAGAGAACCCTAGAAAGAATATGGAATTAGTAGAGCTAGGTAATTCAAAGTGATATTGAAAGTGGAGCTAAAAACAGAATTGTCAAAGCATAAGAAACAGACCCCTCCTCTCATCCACATCCTACATCTGGGCAATTCTCCCTACCCAACTCCTGGAGATAATTTTCCTTTGGAGAGGGTGAACCAAATAAGCTGTGGATCAGGGACACCAGGCAGAGCAGAGGGCAAGTATTCTGTACCAAAACGGGAATTAAGTCAAAGTTATACAGGGATAAAGTGAAAGCCTACAAGCTGAACACTAAGCCTGCAGTCTCTTCTCTAACAGTTCTCAGAACACTGGCTTAACACCAGGCTTATCTCTAGCCAGGAGCTGGAAGTTTCTTCTCCAGAGAATTTGACCAGCTAAAGAGATAAATCCTGAAGATAACAGTTAGAGGTCCCCCAATGAAAATGTCTAGCCAAATTATCCTATAGTAAGTTAACAAGCCCCACCTACAAAACTTTTCAGTATATCATTCTTGAATATAAATGGACAACCAAGAATCACCAGATATTTGGGGAAAGCCTCTAACATGAGAAAGACTGAAACAAAACAGAAATATAAAGAAAGCTAAAAGAAATACTCCAGAAAGAATAAAACATACATTTAAAAAATCATTAATATCCTCAAAGAGATAATACTGAATTCATGAAATAAGAACAGGATGCTATTTACAAAGTACATATATATAATCATAAAACAACACAACATCTCTTGCAAAATTAAACTTATAGCAGAAATCAAAGATCAGTAGAAAGACAAATAAAAAGTTGAGTACATACCCCAGAAAATTTAACAAAAATATAACGAGAAAATAGGAGAGAAATTAAATTTAGATCAGTCCAGGGCATCAAACATTAGAAAAACAGTATTTCCAGAAAGAATGAGCAAAAACTTAATTCAAGAAAATAGACCCAAACTGAAAGAAATGAATTCCTTGAGTCACCAATAATGGGCTCAGTGGGTCAAACAGATCCACACCAAAACGCATCATCTGATATTTCAGTATTTTGAGGAAGATCCTAAAACCTTCCATTGAAAAACACAATGAAAAGTTCACATGAGGTTCAGGAATCAAAATGGCCCTCAAAGTTAGAAAACAACAGAACAACTTCTTCAAAAGTTCCAGGGAAAATTATTTCCAAGCTAAAATTCAATACCCGATATTATCGATTAGATGTGAAGGTAGAATAAACACCTTTTCAGACAGGCAAGGTCTCAAAAAGTTTACTTCCTATGCACTCTTTCTGGAAACTGCTAGAATATGTGCTATATCAGAAACAAGGGAATAAACCAAGAAACAGAAGTGTAAGTAAGAGCCATGAAACTGGAGAACCAACAAAGAGTAGAGTCAATATAAGAATGCTATAGAAGACAGACCATAGCCGAGCAGCAGATCAAGAAAGCAACAATTAAGGACTGTAGTATGGAGATTAGAGGACTCTGGCAGAGATGAATCAAAGAGGCAACTGATAGATTTACAGTAAAAGCAGGGACTTAGAAAAGTATATAGAAAACTAAGTAAATAAAGAAATAAGACTCAAAGGAAAATAAAACTTGTAAAAGGAAGAAGACATAATATAGTATACTACATGGCCAGGCTGCAAATAACATTTATGCAATCATAATCCAAATATTAAATATTGATTTATGTGAAATTTATAATATATACATATTAGGATGAGGAAAATGTGTGTGTGTGTATATATGTATATATGATGTAAAAGAGTTAAATCCTCCCCTCCACCCATTTTGGAAAGTCAGTAGAGAAGGCCTAATACGGAAAAACTAAAAAGTAACACTACATGATGTTTAAAAATATAAAAATAAATAGTTGCAAAATTTAGCTAACATAATTGAAAGTGATTGCCCCTAGGGAGTAAGAAAATAAGGTATGGACAAGGAGCTGATGTTTTTCATAAACCTGAAAAAAATTATATTTTCAAGGTGGGGGACAAAGAAAGCCTGAAATAGGGATGTGGTAGTGGGAAACTAGTGAAGAGAAAGGATTCAAGAGCTATTTAAGAAGTATAATCATCATCACTTACTGAAGAAATAGAAATAGCCTGCTTTAGATTCCTGAGTAAATAGCAGCAGTCTTTTGCTGAGAAAAAGAAAAGGAGTTACAGATCTGGGAGACCCGGGAGAATATGAAAATAAGGAGTTTAGTTTTAGACAAGTTTAATTTGAGCCTTTGGGATATCTATGTGCAGATGTTTGTTAACATGGAGCTTTATAATGGATAGTAAAGGAACCATTAGTGAAATTGACAGTTGGCGATAACAACTAGGGTTTTTAAATTGCTGATTATCAGAAATGCCTTAAAAGAGAATGTAGGGCCGGTACTCAAGATGGCAGCTCCGCGTCGCCAGTGACTAGTAGGCGAGGCGCCGCGGGACCAAGGCCGCGGCCGACTAGCGGGATCTGGAGGATGGAGAAGAGGAGGAAGAGGAGGAGCAGTTGGTTCTAGTGGAATTATCAGGAATTATTGATTCAGACTTTCTCTCAAATGTGAAAATAAATGCAAGGTTTTGGGCATTGACACTGAGAGGCCCATTCTGCAAGTGGACAGCTGTGTCTTTGCTGGGGAGTATGAAGACACTCTTGGGACCTGTGTTATATTTGAAGAAAATGTTGAACATGCTGATACAGAAGGCAATAATAAAACAGTGTTAAAATATAAATGTCATACAATGAAGAAGCTCAGCATGACAAGAACTCTTCTGACAGAGAAGAAGGAAGGAGAAGAAAACATAGGTGGGATGGAATGGTTGCAAATAAAGGATAATGATTTCTCCTATCGACCCAACATGATTTGTAGCTTTCTACATGAAAATGAAGACGAAGAAGTGGTAGCTTCAGCCCCAGATAAATCTTTGGAATTGGAAGAGGAAAAGATTCAAATGAACGAGAGTTCAAACCTGAGTTGTGAACAGGAGAAACCAATGCACTTGGAAATAGAAGATTCTGGTCCTCTTATTGATATACCTTCTGAGAAAGTTCTGTTTTTATGGAAACTCAAATGCTGCCTTAGAAATCACTCCTAGATGAAATGTTTCCCATAATAACTTGTCAAGAACTTTTTAGAGTTCTTACATAAAAATAATTGCTGTGTAGCTTTCAGTCTTTTAATGTTTTATTGCATTTTACTGGCTATACACACATATCCAGTCATAACACAACTTATTTTACCAGAATCATTTGGGACCAGACATGAATTGGATTTTTAAAATACAGTTTGGGCTGGGTGCAGTGGCTCACACCTGTAATCTCAGCACTTTGGGAGGCCGAGGTGGGAGGATCACTTGGACCTAGGAGTTTGAGACCAGTCTGGGTAACGTGGGGAGGCCCCGTCTCTACAAAAAATTTTTTAGAATTAGCTGGACATAGTGTCGTATGCCTGTGGTACCAGCTACTGGGCAGCTGGCCTGGGAGGATGGCCTGGGATGGGAGGTCGAGGCTGCAGTGAGCTGCGTTTGCGCCTCTGTACTCTTGCCTGGGTGACACAGTGAGACCCTGTCTCAAAAAATAAGTAAAATGAAATACTTGTAAATGACTTTAGGGACCCTTCTGAGTCCTTTAAATTCGAGGTTTTATTAAGTTAAGTATATAAGTTTTCCTTTGAGGCTGTTACAAATTACTTCAAACTCAGTGAGTTAACACAAATGTATTGTCTTATAGTTTTGTAGGTGAAAAGTGTGACAACGGGTCTTACCTGGCCTAAATTCAAAGTGCTGGCAGGAATGCATTCCTTTATGGAGTTTTTGGGGTTGGGGGCAAATCCATTTCCTTGTTTATTCAGTTGTTGGCAGAATTCAGTTCTTTGCAGTTGAAGGATCAAAGTCTCCTTTCCTTGCTGTCTGTTAGCTGAGGGTCATTTCTAGCTTCTGAAGGCTGCCTTCATTCCTTGGCTCATGATCCCCTTTTCTTCAGAGCCTGCAATAGTGGGTGAAGTCCCTCTCCCATTTTGAATCATTCCTGTTACTTCTTCCATCATCCCTCTCTCTGACCTACCCTGCTGTCTTCCATTCCTACTGTTAAATGTCTATTTGATTACTCTGGGCCCACGTGGATAATCTCCCTATTTTAAGATCGATAACTTTTTTTTTTTTCCTTTGGGACAGGGTCTCGCTCTGTCGCCCAGGCTGGAGTGCAGTAGCATGACCGCGGCTTACTACAGCCTTGAACTCCCGGGCTCAGGCAGTCCTCCCACCTCAGCCTCCTGAGTGGGTGGGACTGCAGGCACACACCACCATGCCTGGCTGTTTTTTTACATTTTTTTTAAGAGATGGGTTCTCATTATGTTGCCCAGGCTGGTCTTGAACTCCTGGGCTCTGGTGATCCTCCTGTCTTGGCCTCTCAATGTGCTGGGATTGCAGGCATGAACCACTGCACCCTGCTGAAGGTGTATAAGATTAATTCTGGCCGGGCGCAGTGGCTCACGCCTGTGATCCCGGCACTTTGGGAGGCGAGGCGGGTGGATCACGAGGTCAGGAGTTTGAAACCAGCCTGGCCAACATGGTGAAACCCCGTCTCTACTAAAAATACAAAAATTATCCAGGTATGGTGGCACACACCTGTGGTCCCGGCTACTCAGGGTGCTGGGGTGGGAGAATTGCTTGAGCCCGGGAGGTGGAGGTTGCAGTGAGCTGAGATTGCACCACTGCACTCCAACCTGGGCGACAGAGCGAGACTCCATCTCAAAGACAAAACAAAACAAAACAACATTAATTCCATCTGCAAAGTCTCTTTTGCTAGGTCATTTAACATACACAGGCATAATACTAGGGATTAGGGCATGGAAGTCTTTGGGGCCTATTTTTAGTCTACTACAATAAGTATTTTATCTAGGAACAGAAAAAGAATTTTGAAGTGCTTAAGGATAAAGGAACAATTCCAAATATTCCAGATGTAATTTTGCTCCTTTCCCACTTGAGAAAGATTATTGAAATTCAGCTGTATTAGTCATTTTATCATGGCAGTAAACTAAATCTGTGCTAGTTTATATTTTTTAAGTAAATTATTCACACCCTTTGATACTTTGTTACAGGTTGACCTGTGTAAAATTGCCAATATTTTATTGTTTCTGACTACAAAAAACAGCAATTTCCTATAGTTTAACCTAGCACCAGTAAGTTAAAATATACCTCATGTTAATTACATCTCACAATTGATGGAGATAAAACTATTTTAACAGATTAGAGAGCTAACGTTCTAGGATGAATAATTTTTTTTTAAATCAAGTTCTGGCTCTGTCGCCCAGGCTGTAGTGCAGTGGCGCAGTCTGGGCTCACTGCAACCTCCGCCTCCTGGGCTTAAGCCATCCTCCCACCTCAGCCTCCCTAGTGGCTGGGACTACAGGCGTGTGCGACCATGCCCAGCTTATTTTTGTATTTTTTGTAGAGACGGGGTTTTGTCGTGTTGCCCAGGCTGGTGTCGGACTCATGAGCTCAAGTGGTCCTCCTGCCTCGACAAGGTGCTATAATTACAGGTGTGAGCCATCATGCCTGGCCCAAAGAATTTTTTTCTTTCAAAAGTTTTGTATTTCATTGGAAAATGACTTACCTTGATAAAAAGCATTTTAAAATCATAAGCAGATGATTATAAGCAATCATCTATATCCCAATGTCTACATGACTTTTTAATTTTTTTATTTTTTGATAGTCTGTCACTCTTGTTGCCCAGGCTGGAGTGCGGTGGCATGATCTTGGCTCACCGCAACCTCTGCCTCCCAGGTTCAAGCGATTATCATGCCTCGGCCTCCCAAGTAGCTGGGATTATAGGCATGTGCCACCATGCCCAGCTAATTTATGTGACATTTTTTTAGTCTCAGCTTTTAATAAAAAGCTTATTGTTTCCCCCTTATGTATGTATAGGAGAGCATGCTAATTGCCTGACCCAATGATCTGTTCTCCCTTTTTTGCTTTGTATCAGAATCCCATAATTTATTCAGGTTAGCAATGTGCCTAGCTTTCCTTGCAGATACATGTGGTCATATGACTAAGTTCTGGAATTGACATGGAATAAGAAGTGCTGAGTGATGGGAAAAAAAAGAAAAAAGAAAATAACAAGTGCTTAGTGGTGCTTCTGGGAAGTTTCTTTAAACTTAAAGGCTTAAGGGGAAGCAGGTGGGCTCATCTTCTGTTCCTGCTAGAACATGGATGTGGTAGCTAGAGCTCCAGCAGGATTCTTGGACTTCAAAGTAACCTTGGAAATAGAAGCCATGAATGGCAGAGCAGCAATATAGGAGACTGGGTCCTGATACTGTGAGATTACCCTGGACTGCTATGAGTAAAGGGTTAATAAAACCTTTTCTTTCTCCCTGGTGAAATGACCTCGAGTTTGGCTTTCAACACTGTTTCTCTGGAAACCTACTAGGCAAGGTAATAATGGAATGTCAGCTGTAATATTAGGCAATATTATTTATGATTAAAAATGAGCCCTTAGCTGGGCGCGTTGGCAAAAATAAATAAATAAATAAATAAGGAGAATGCAGTAGTCCTCCCTTAGGCATGGTTTCACTTTACGTGATTTCAGTTACCAGTGGTCAACTGTGGTCAGAAAATGTTAAATAAAAATTTCTAGAAATAAACCATGTATAAGTTTTAAATTGTGCACCATTCTGAGTAGTGTGATGAAATCTTACACAGTTCAGCTCTGCCCCACCCAGGATGTGAATCATCCCTTTGTCTAACAACACCCACGCTGTATATGCTACCCTCCAACCCATAAGTCACTTATTAAAAAGAAGGAGAGTTTGCAAATCAATAATCTTAAGTTCTTACCTTAAGAAAACAGAAAAAGAGCAAAATTAACCCAAAGCAAGCAGAATGAAGAAAATAACAAAGAGTTGTTATCAATGAAATTGCAAACAGAAAAATCACAGAAAAACATCGAGACAAAAAGCTGACTCTGAAAAAAATCAATAAAATTAATAAACCTCTAGCAAGACAGAAAAAAAAATAGAGAAAACACAAATCACCAAAACCAGGAAACAGGGTATACCACTACAGATCCTACTGCCATTAAAAGGGTAAAAAGGAAATCCTATCAACAAATTTATACTCATAAAGTCAACCACTTAGCAGGAATGCACCAATTCCTAAAAGACTACAAACTATGAGATCTCAACCAAGATGAAACAGATAATCTGAATAGTCCTGGAAACATTAAAGAAATTCCATTTGTAACTTAAAAGCTCTCAAAAACAAAATATCCAGGCCCAGATAACTTTACTGGAAAATTCTACCAAGCACTTAAAGAAGAATTAATACCAATTATTCACAAATCCTTCTAAAAAATAAAGGCCAGTATTATACTATTACCAAAACCTGGCAGAAACAGCAAAAGAAAACAAAACAAAAAATGCCCCAAACTACCAACCAATACATATCATGAACACTTGAAAAATCTCTCATACATTTAAAAATCCTCAACAAAAGACTAGATGTATTTGGCTACAATGTATAAAAGGAATTATAAACCCTGACCAAGTAGAATTTATTCCACATATGTAAGGCTGACTCAAGATTGAAAATATATCAACGTAGGCTGGGCGTGGTGGCTCATGCCTGTAATCCCAGCACTTTGGGAGGCTGAGGTGGGTGGATCACCAGATGTCAGGAGTTCGAGAGCAGCCTGACCAACAAGGTGAAACTCTGTCTCTACTAAAAATACAAAATTAGCTGGGTGTGGTGGCACGTCTGTAATCCCAGCTATTTGGGAGGCTGAGGCAGGAGAATCGCTTGAACCTGGGAGGCGGATGTTGCAGTGAGCCAAGTTTGCACCATTGCACTCCAGCCTGGGCAACAAGAGTGAAACTCTGTCTCAAAACATAAAATAAAATAAAATTATTATATCTCAATGTAATCCACTGTATCATGAGTTAAAGAAGAAAAATCATGATTATGTCAATTGCTACAGAAAAGGAATTTTGACAAAATCCAGTACCTGTTCATGGTAAAACAAACAAACAAACAAAAACTCCCAGAGGGGAATTACCTCAACTTGATAAAGGGCGTCTACAAAAAAAATCTACAAATAACATCATACTTAAGGTGAAAGACTGAAGACTTTCCACATAAGATCAGGAACAAGGCAAGGATGTCTGCTCTTATCACTACTACTCAACATAGTATACTGGAAGTTCTAGCCAGTGCAAAAAGACAAGAAAAAGAAATAAATGACATACAGATTGGAAAGGAAGAAATAATACTCTATTTGCAGATGACATAACTGTCTATAAGGAAAATTCCGAGGAATCCACACAAAAAAACCGCCTAGAACTAACAAGTGAGTTCAGCAATGTCAAAAGATATAAAATCAACACACAAAAATTGTGTTGATTTTACACTAACAAAAACTTGCGTAACATAATACCATTCATAATCACTACAAAGTAATAAAATACTAAGGTATAAATCTAACAAAACCAAAACATGTATGTGATGTGGGTGATGAAAATTACAAAATGCTCATAAAAGAAATCAAAGAACACCTAGATAAATTTTGGGACATATGTTCATAGATGGGAAGACTCAACACAGTAAAGATGTTAATTCTCCCCAAATTGATCTATAGGTTAAATGCAATTCCTATCAAATCCCAGGACATTTTCATGGAAACTAAAACAATCTTGACAGAGTAGAATAAAGTGAGAAGAATCATTCTACCAGATACTAAGGCTTCTTACTGTATGGCTATAGTAATGAAAGCATTGGGGGAAAGACACATAGACCCATAGTATAGAGACCTCAGAAAAAGACCCACACAAATATGTCAAACAGGTTTTTTGTTGTTGTTGTTTTTTAAGGCACAAAAGCAATTTAATTGAGGAAGGATACTTTTTCAAAAATGGTGCTGGAACAACTGGATATTTGTAGGAAAAAAAAGAAGAATCTTAATCTAAGCCTCCTATCTTATATAAAAATTAAATCAAAATGGGTCACAGCCTTAAATGTAAAATGATAAAACTTGTAGAAAAAAGATATAGGAAAAAATCTTGGGGATATGGGGCTAGGCAAAAAGTTCTTAGACTGGACACCATAAACATAATCCATAAAATAAAACTGATCAAATGCATTGCATCAAAATTAAAAAACTTTGTTCTGTGAACAACTCTACTAAGAAAATGAATAGATAGGCTACAGACTGCGAGAAAATATTTGCAAACCACATATGTGACAAAAGACTTGCATCTAGAACACATGAAGATTCTCAAAACACAACAGTAAAAAATAAACAATTTGATTAGAAAATGGACAGAGGACACAAACAGGCATTTCACTGAAAAGTTTATACTGATGGGAAGTAAGTACAGGAAAAGGTTCAGCACCATCATTCATCAGGGAAATGCAACTTAAAACTGCCTTGATATCACTACACCTCCATTACAAGAGCTAAAATGAAAAATAGCGAAAATACCAAATGCTGGTGAGGACACAGACAAACTGGATCACTCATACACTGCTGGGGGATACATAAAATGGTACAGCCAGTCTGGAAAATAATGTGGCAGTGTCTAAACCCACAACTACCATATGATCCAGCAATTGTATTCTTGGATATCTATCCCAGAGAAATGAAAACTTACATTCACAAAAGAACCTGTACATAAATGTTCACAGCAGTTTTATTCATAATGTCCTAAAACTGGAAACAGCCCAGATGTCCTGCAACAGGTGAATGGTTAAACCAACTGCGGTATACCCATACCATGGAATATTACTCAGCAATAGAAAGAATCAAACTATTGATACACACAGAAACACAATGAATCTTTGGAGAATTATGCTGAGGGGGAAAAAAGCCAATCCCAAAAGGTTACATGCTGTATGACTCTATTTATGTATTTTGAAATGATAGAATTTTAGAAATAGAAAATAGATTTGTGGTTGCCAAGGAGTTAATTAGGAAATGCGGTAGAGGGGTGGGTAAGGGAACTTGGTAGAAGGGAGGGAAGGTGGATGCTGTGATTAAAGGGGGAACATGAGGAAATGTGGTATGAAACTGTTCTGTATCTTGACTATGGTGGTAGATATACAAATCTACATGTGATAAAACTGTACAGAACTAAATACACACACACAAGTAAAACTGGGGAAATCTGAAGTAGATTAGATTTTATCAATGTGAATATCCTAGTTGTAATACTGTACTACAGTTTTGCAAGATGTTGCCTCTGAGGAAAACTAGGTAAAGAATTAACATGACTTCTATATTATTCTACAACTACCTCAATAGAAACTTCAATTAAAAAAAGACCAACGCACACAAATAAGTTTTGATTCCCAACCTCTTTTCCTACAACTGCCAGCTCAGTAACCATATAATATGACCCCCAATTTATGTTAGGCAACAGTTTTACCAAATCTGTTCTAACTGCTTAATATGGCTGGCCATCTTTTCAGCCTTCACCGTATGTTTCCTCATTGTTGCCTGCCTGCTAAGCCAGTGCCACATTTTAAGGTTTCAGTTATTGTCCAATCTACCTTCTATGTTAGTGAGGTTGTTAGTTAGGCTGTTTAAAAGCAACCTTGAAATCTTAGGGGCTTGCCATAATTAAGGTTTATTTCTCATTCAGAAACGGAGGAAGGGAAGGATACAGGGAGAGGGGAGAGGGAAGAGGATGAAAGAGAGAATACTGTCTTCTCACTACTCATAGATTCTTTTAAGATACCCAGTTTATTAAAATCAAAGTTACACTCAGAATTAATGTACCTGAATTCCTAGTGCTAAGTATGTCTGATGGGAGAAAGAGTATTTACAGAGATGTACAAAGCTCCATTTCTGCCATGAGAATACACATACTGGTCTTGCCACTGATATATTAAGGTGGTGACAAGACATTCTGCTTGTGTGTAGCACTGCCCTTCACACAAAATTAATAAAAAATACATTTCAAGGAAGAGTGTAAAAAGAAAAGATGGTGAAAGCATCCTGAATTCATGGAGGCAGAGGAGAAAAATGTAGTAGAATTATTATATCTTAAGTGGTCTTTATTCAGTCATCCTGTTGAAATTATTACTTATTCAAGTCTCATTTCAAATTCTACCTTTTCTAGGAAATCAACTGAATATTATGTTCTTCTTCCTTTACCATACCCCTACCCCCTCACTTTGTATCTGTTCAAGGCAGAGGTGCCATTAATATTTATACCTCCTACACTGAGATACACAATGACTTGGCATATAGTAGATGCTTTGTATTTAGAGTCACAGCTACTGTGCTGTTTCAACTGGCATCTAAAAGAACATCTTCCAATTATATAGCACTCAGTTTTCAAAATGCCCATATATATTACCCACAATACCCTGGGATGGAACAAATAATTAAAAACTCAAGAAGGTTAAGTTACCTCTCAAAGGCCAAAGCTAATGAATTTCTACTATGACCTGTATCTTTAGATTCCCATACAAGAGTGCTTTTTCTGTTACAGTACACCTGTTTGCCAAATGCTGTGCAATTTTTTAATAAAAAGTATTATGCTGAGCTAATAACTGGCATTGCAGCAAATACTATTTGTTGTCCCTTCAAACACTGAAGTGCTTAGAATGTGGCTGGCCTATCTGAATCCCATCTGGCAAAGTTTAACTGGTGAAATACCATCAGTTTATCTTATCCATGAGGTGGCCATTGAGATGGGCCCCAAAAAAAGCATTAGAGTAAGACTCCAGTGTACGGTGTTTGTTTTTTGGTCAGTAACAGAAATAAAATTACTTTGGAGAAAAATCCGTCCTTCTCACAAACAATATATATTCTGCTATTTGGAAGTGATTTAAATTATGTTACATATTTCATCTGGGGAGTCTCTCCAACTTGAGGAAATTCACTTGGGCACAAAATGTACATAAGTAGGATTAGTGAGAAATCTAATTTTGCAGATGTATTGAGTGTATTTCAAATCTGGATTTACATATAGAAAAGGAAGTTTGGGAAGTGGAGCTCTGAGAATGTTAACCATCACATACATGTGCTTTCCTAACAGCAGCTGAATACTTGCTCAATTCTAATTTTAGTACCCTAATCAAACCTACAAGAAGTTCTTCAGAATCAAGAGACAAAGGTGTGACAAAAAATCTATTTTGTCTGTAAAGGGGAACAAAGATGAGCAAGTGGCTAATAAACAGTGGAAAGACATAAAATACCTTTCAATTAACTGCACTGGGAACAACCAAGTGTCTCTGTTGAGGTTAAGAGACGCTAAAAGTGAACCTCACAAACAGAGATATCTTTGTGTTGCTGCCGCATCTCTGGCAGAACAAGGGCATTCACTTTTCAAGTAGGTGAAGTGGAACATTATACTCAAGAACACAAGAGATGACCTCACCAATCAACCAATGCCACCAAGATTTCCCAAAGAATTAAAGAAAAAGAGGAAGTAAATGAAACAACCTTGCTCAGTAAATCAGATTCTATTCTAGAAGACGAAACAGGAAGAAGGCACCTTAATTGGAATTCAAAGGCATCTTTTGGCATCTCAGCATCTGATACTCTTCAGATATGAGAGGGATGGATGAAAGTAATTAATAAAAATATTTTTAGGCCGAGTGTGGTGGCTCATGCTTGTAATCCTCACACTTTGGGAGGCCGAGGCGGTGGATCACTTGAAGCCAAGAGTTCGAGACCAGCCTGGCCAACACCATGAAACCCTGTCTCTACCAAAAAATACAAAAATTAGCCGGGTATGGTGGTGCGTGCCTGTAGTCCCAGCTACTCGGGAGGCAGAATCACTTGAACCGGAAGGCAGAGGTTGCAGTGAGCCGAGATCATGCCACTGCACTCCAGCCTGGGTGACAGAGTGAGGCTCTGTCTCAAAAAATACATATAATATATGTATTTTTAAAAAATCTTTCTTGTCTGCACCAAAGCTTCTTAAAAAAATCCTACTCCAAAAAATCTAATTAAAAGCAATACCCTCAGACAATAAATATTAACACTGGGTAAATATAAAGTATGATTATTACATATCACACAAAACTACTTCTCTAAAATGATCCTATGACATTTTATGCAAGAGTTAGTCAAATCATGAGAGACAACTAAGAATGTTTTGCACCAAAAAAATAAGGTGTTCATAGCCATTCAGCTTAGTACTAATGGGATTTTATTTTGGAAATATTACAAAATCCCTATGGTGCTTATAGTTACTCTAAGGAGTAACTCTGCCCTAAATAGCAGCCTAAATGTTGTGAGCAGCTATTAAATAATTATCCAGTTCTATTCCTTAAGAGACTGCAATAATTGTGGAAGAAATATATTTTAGTCTTGAAGCTTTGGGATACTTTATGAAAGAAGTAAAATGCCATGAAAATACTCAGTGAACTTTCAAATAATTACAAGTATAAGATTTTTCCATTGCCCGTTCCTTTATTGGGGTGTTGGATAAATATTACCAGACATGATTATGGTTTGGTATATGAAGAAACAGAAAATGCCTATCCCTCACCCCATGTTGCCTCTCTAAGAGAAGTAGCACCATATACTTAAAACTAGTAACGAATTGGTTCAGATGCATTGCCAATTCTGTCATAAGTGGTCCCAGAAGAACTGGAGTTGCTGCAGTTTCAATGACTACCAACTCAGAAGACAGATGTGTGACTGCAGCATTGCCATCAAGTCAACCTCAAAATAATGTTGTAAATTTTTACAAAGAGAATAACAAGAGGGGAAACTGGTATTTGACTATAGTTACTACTAATTCCCAATTATCTAGACTGATCGGGAGGAAAAAAGGCATAGTTAATGTTAAACAAAGGAGGGAAATATCAAATGTAAAAACTGGTCATTACCTACACATGTTCAGACACTCCTTAATTCAATTATCTAGTACTTTGACACCTTTCTAGTTCAGTCCCATCACTTATCTAACCCATCACATAAGTTAGAGAAAGAAAGGGGCCTAGTTCTCTGTAACTTATTCATGGATATTGAAAAGTTGACTGGACTTTTATGTAATATTTTAACATATTTAAAGTGTAATGTTTCATTTCCAAATCACGCTTTTTTATTAGACACAGTCTCACTGTCACCAAGGCTAGGGTGTAGTGATGCAATCATGGCTCACTGAAGCCTCGAACTCCCAAGCTCAAACCTCCTACCTCAGTATCCCAAGTAGCTGGAACCACAGGTGTGTGCTACTACACCCAGCTATTTTTTTTTTAAGAGATGAGGTCTCACTTTGTTGCCCAGGCTGGTTTCGAATCCCTGGGCTCAAGCGATCCATCCACCTTGGCCTCCTGAAGTGCTGGGATTGCAGGTATGAGAGACAGTGCCCAGCCTCCAAATCACTTTTAAAGAGCCAACTTTTTAGTTAAATATATGATCTTCTTAGTGCAACAGTTGTCATGTTTTATGATGGAAAAAAATGTGTACTAAAATTAAAGATATTGAATTATCAAAACATTTCCCAGAATCCTTTTAAAATAAAGATTTGATTATATACAAGTTGAAGATTTCTCTTTAGTAAAAAACTATAATATTTGTATTGTTAAAATAACACATCTATTACTTTTTCTATAACGATTATTTGAGTAGAAATAAATGGATTCATTGAGCTTACTCAAAAAACTTTTCAGTCCACAGATCATTTCAGCATACATGATCCAATTAACTACTAAAAAACAAAATAAAACAACAAAAAACAACCTCTCTTAAGACAGCATAATTAAACCCTGCCACTCTCAATTTCTTCATCTTGTCATTTCCTGATATGAAAAAGAAAGTCTCCTTGGGTGGGAATGGCAAAAAGGAGCCCACAGTCAAGAAATACCAGGCTTTTTTTCTCATTCTTTTTCATGGCCTCCTTTGTCTCAGTTGAGAACCAATATGAAATCTCATCGCCTCTCCAGCTCAAATGAATTTTTAGCAAAAAAGTAACTCCAAGTAATCATTACTCTTCATTGTTTTACTCTTTTTATCCTGTGTTTACTTAGAACTTTCCCCAGATACCTAGAACTTATATCCTATCCAAAGTACTATCATACTTTGATAACCTTTGTCCTCTACTATTAGGTACATGACTAAGATTTGTTTTTATATTTAGTGATCCTACATTACAATTGTTTTAAGAGCATACCAGAAGAAAGAACACCATTCTGATAATAAGGAAGTCTGGATCCTGGTCCTAGCTCTGCCATTAATTAGCTGTGTGTTCTTAAAGAAGTCATTCAACCTCTCTGAGCCACAGTTTCTCCATTTAAATAAAGTAAGTCCCTTTTCAATGCTAACAATCTTAATTTTATTAAGGAAACACTGGCTGAAAGCCTTGAGATTTCATTTATGACAAAGAGAATCCCTGCCAAGAGAAAAAAATCACTATAATTTTTCTCTACAGCCCAAATTACTTTTTGACACCTTCCTCAACTCTACCCGAGAAGCACTGATCACTGTAGAAAAATATGCGACAGGAAGACAACTAAGTCAAGCATTGTTTAATCTCATTCCTGAGTGTTTTCTAGTTACTGACACTCTCACATCTCAGCAGTTCTTATAACCTGTCTAGGTAAGTGGTTTTTGGTGATAAACTACCTGGAACTACCTTCTCTAGATCCAATTTAATAGCTACCTTTTGAATCACATGACCCTTCTTTTCTCTTACCTGACCACACAAACATAGTAAATTCTGATAATCAGTAACCAGTTCTGCCACTACCATTTACTGACATTGCTTCTTTTAATCCTTACAAAACCCCTAAAAGATAGATATTATCCCTCATTTTAAAAATGAAGATACAGACTCAGAGAGATTAAGTAACAATTAAGGTCACACAACAATTAAGTGGTAATGCCTTGACTTGAACCCGTATCTATCTGACTTAGAAACTCTCCCCATCAGGCAGTTTTAAAAAATATTAAAGCGATATAGAATTTAACCTCCCTCTGATAATTCAAAATAGTTTCAAAATTGATAGAATATTTTTTCCTTAACACAGGAGAGAAGGAAGTAAAGATGAATGATGATATAGGTATGTCTGGAAGGGAAAGAAGCTGAAGAAGTTCATGGTTGATGACCTCTATTAATGCAGAAAATGAAAAATCTAGCATGCCAAATAATAAAATTTGTATTATTTTAAGGCCACATCTTTAAAAGTAGTTAACTCTGGTTAACTAGCTCCCATTTGTCTTAATTCCTTAGGCTTCATTATATTCCATATTTAGGCAAAGTCTATAAAAATGATTTCCACCCCCCAATTTTTAAGTCTATAGGAAAGTTGAGAGAATAGTAAAAACCACACACTTGTATGCCTTTTACCTAGATTAACCCACTGTTAACATTTTGCCACAAATTGCTAAATCTTCCTCTTTGCAAATTTTTGCTGAAAGTAAACCACAGACATGAGAATTCTCTAAATAACATAGCCTGAATCTTCTAAGAATAAGGATCTTTTCCTACATAATCAATAACTATCACATCTAGTAAAATAAACAATTCCTTAATATCATTTAATATACAGTCCATATTCAATCCCCCAATATTCTAAACAATATCTTTTTAGTTTTGATCAGTACCTAATCAAGGGTAACAAGGTAGACTTGAATGTTATGCCTTTTTTAATCTAAGACTATCCACTTATTTTTGTTTGCTTGCTTCGAATTTTTTTTCTCATAACGAACTTTTTGAAGAGTCCAAGCCAATTATCTTTCAGAATGTCTCACACATAGAATGTCTGATTATTTTCCTGAGATTAGATTCAAGTTAAACATTTTGGGTAAGAATACTACATCATCTTTCAGAATGTCTCACATGTGGAATATCTGATTATTTTCTTATGATTAGATTCAAATTAAACATTTTTGATAAGACTACTACATAAATGGTATTGTATACTTCTTATCATGTCAGATCAAGAGGCACATAAAGTCCAGTTATTCTACTATTGGAGAGGCTAAGTTTGATCACTTCATTAAAGTGGTACAAGTTAGATAGCTGTTGTAAAGGCACATTTTGTCCTTTGTAACTATTCAGTAATCTATGGAGTGATATTTTTGAGACCACATAAATATCCTATTCTCCAGCGATCTTAAACTCAATGGTTTTAGCATTCATTGATGATCCTTGCCTGAATCAATGATTGTGCTGGGGTTGCAAAATGGCTCTTTTCCTCATTGAAGTGTACAATTAAAATGGGTGAACTTTATGGTATGTAAATTATGCCTCAATAAAACTGTTTTGAAAAAATTAACTCAGCAACTTACAGACTGTATTTGGTACATTTTCTGCTAGCATATTTTTCTGCCAAGAAATGACAGTTTGAACATTTTACGAATGAGGCAGGTGTTCAAGATGAGAGTGAGCTTAATGAAAGTGTTCTGTTGAAAGTTTTATTAATAGCAGTTTTCTAATTTTATCATTCCTTCTTTCAATAATTAGCTGGCATGCTTCTGTAGACTTTCTCCTGTACCTCCTTTTTTTTGGAGTATCATTATAGATTCATGAGATTTTATTTTCCCTCAATCTATTATAATCTGTTACTACTACTATTCTTTTTGATGTTCAAACCATCCTAATGTGGCCAGTGGGAGTCCCTTCAAGCACAATCTTGTGCCCTGATATAACCTTATTAGTCACTGAACAATGATTGCTTTCTTGCACAAGAAGTCTCAAGCTCACTCTGTACTTTCCCAGCCTGAGGCATGAGATTAGACAGTTCCCCAAGAAGACTTGGTTCCTTTTAGTGTGAATGGCATTTAGAAACCAAGATCTAGGTTCTAGGTGTGCTCATTGCCACTGGGATATGTCTGTCATTGCTTCTAGGCCATTTCTGTGTATAGAACAAAGGAACAGGAATTCATTACTCATATCTTAAATTCAAATTTATAATGCAAATAGAAAAGAAGAGGAAAAATAACTTGTATCTCTTTGACTTTCAATGAAAATCTTGACTTCTATTATCACTAATATGCTTTACTTTATTTCTCAATATATATGAAATGGTAGTAATACTGGTATTATAATTCTGAAACTAATAATAAACCTATTAAGAGAAAGTTTAAAATTTCCCTGATGTTCCTTATATCCTTAAGATGACCTCCTAGAAGGATGCATCATCAAGAACACTATGTTCAAAAGTTATCTGAACTGGGCGATTGTTATAAATTAGTTATGTAGGTTTGTTTAGTTTCAGTATGTATTCAATTTTAGTATTTGTCTTCCTTCTCATTATTTTTGACTTAATTCTAATTTTTTGGTATGTAAAACATTTATATGGCCCCCAAGTCAAAACTGTGTAAAAAGGCATATTCATAGAAGTCTTGCTTCTATCCCAATTCTATGTGCCCCATTCCTATCCATCCTCTATTTTCATTAATTTCTAGTTTATCCCATGTGTACTTCATTTAAAAAAATAAGGAATTACAGTTTTTCAGAACTATAATACACATACTGTGCGTTAAGCAACACCCATACAACAGCTTTTATATGAGTTTGGTCATGGAGCATACAACTGACATGTATCACGTTTTCTACTTGCAATAAATACACAGAGTGGCATACAAGCAAACTCCCACCTGAATTCCGATCAATCCACTGCAGGGAGTCCATATGGGCATTCAGAATTCTGCAGATCTGGTGGAGCTAAAAATACATATAAGACTTTTAGATTATGATTATTCTGAGGTGGTAAATAAAAAATAAACATAAGAAATTGACATTAGGAAGTGACTTTTAATTTCTTCTGGTAAGAAATGGACTGAGAATTACTAAATACTAATTTTTTTGTTGCTAATTCATATTTGCAATGTTCATTATCTTTATATATTGGTTCAATTTAATTATTTGTAACTATCATGAATTGGATACCTACAATTCAATAAGAAACTGACTACCACAGTATAAAGAACATTAAGACACATTTCACAAGACAATGAATTCACATAAAAAAATTAAAAATAGCACCAGTTGTCAACCAAATCAGCAATTTTTTAAAAATGGTCTTACTCAGTTATCGAGTGTGTGGGAAAAAATAGTTACATTCATATATAGCCAATAGTAATATAAATTGACCCAACCTTTCAAAATGTAAATTTTTATGATACATATCAAAAGCTTTAAAATATTCATACCTTTTGACTCAGTCAGTATATTCTATTTCCGTTATCCAGAGGAGATAATCAAATCTAAATATAAGTGGTGATTACTGGACTATTTTATATTGGCTAAAGATTGGAAACAATATCTCTACCAATCAAAAAATGATTAAATAGATCATGGTAAAGTCAACCCTGATGAAACATTATAGTACCATTAAAACTCATGTTTTCAAAGAATGGTTAAAATTTTTGGGAAAGACCATGAAAGAATATTAAGTGAAGATAGAATACAAAAAGTTATATAGTTTCCAGTACTCTTTAATACAAAAGAAGTATTTTTAGCAGCATAGCAAAAAAGACTAGAAAGAAATACACCAGTATATTATCAGGGTACTGTTAATATAGATGACTTAATTTTCCTTATGGATTTTGTAAGAAAATGTGACTGAATAACACAGTGCATAATATGAACTTACTTAATAAAACTTTTAGACATTAGGTGGTCTTTCCCATTGCCGCTCACAAAAAAAGGGGGAATAAAAATAGATAAATCTCATCACCGTGAATACTGGAACACATAGCTCCTATTTTTCTACCCTAGTATATGACCCAGAGTAATAAAGCTTTGTTAATCCGGTTAAAATAAATTATCTACAGGAATATTATTGTTCAGAAAATGTTTTTCCCGTTTCTTGTCCAAGGATTTATGCTATCTGCAAAAAGAGCTGTCAGTGATCTCTTTCTTCTTTTATTCTGCAATCAAACAGCAATTACCCTTTAATTGACTCATCTTAAACATCCCAATCACCCCTGCCAGGAAAACAAAAAGACTCAAACCATTTACTACCCACTACTAAAATAAAATAAAACAATCCAGGGCTAAGTAGAGAAAATGGACAAAGACAGAATTATAGTCTCCTTTTAGTTACTTGATTGAGAACACTCCACTTATATTAATTCAACACAGAGAAACTAGAAATCAACTCTGCTGAATGTCTAAATCTGCATATATTTACCTATGCACCAAAATTCTATTACAACAAAACAATTTTGAATTTTGGAATTACAATGGTAATCTAATATTTCATTAAGAGAAAATCTGTATTTTGTAAACTCTTGATCATTTGTGTGAACACAGGGACATGGTAGCATGAATAATTTCAGATTAATTTATATTTGTCTTTGTTCAACTTTAGATTCACCCAAAGTACAGAATGGCATAATTTTTATAGCGGGAAGGGACCTACAGATCATTTAGTCTATCCTTGACATTTTGCAAAAAGAAGGAGCCAAGACCCAGAGAGATTAAATGACTTAAACAAAATTCTAATACTTTCTCAGCTATAACACACTGTATCTTCATAATTTAAAAAATGGTAATGTGTATGTAGATAAAGAACTGTCTGTATATAATTGAACAAAGAGCTTACTAAAGAATAATCACCACTTACATATATGTCATTCATCTTCACCTACCCGATCCTGGCCTCACTCCTGATTATGATTAACTGATAGAAAGCACAATGGGAACTCCCACAATGGGAGATCCCTCTTACTACTACTGCCACAGAGTGGGAGCGGGAAAAGGAGGACTCCATTTAGCTGCTAAGACAACAGGGAAAGGTACAGGAAATAAGCTGTTTAATCAGAGTATAGAGAAAGAAAAAAAAAACAATTCTTTCTTACTGCCAAATTAATTCACAGCACCTTAACTCTAATTGGAGCCTCAGCTGTAATTCCACTGATATAATACATTTATTATGAGCTAAATAGTATTCTGTGGGGGCAGGTGTAAACCTAATAACCATATTTCACCAAGTTTCTATAGAAAAATGTAAAGTCTCAAATAGTCAACCTAACAAATTTTAAAATACAATCTAACCATAAATTAAGGATTGCCTGGTTGTGTTGAACAGACACAAGCATACCTACTAACACTTATATAAGTATGTAAACAAATATGTAAAAAGAAGAATGAACTGGCTAGTAAGTGAACAGAAAAATAAATACAGGTACATACTTAGTTATGTGAAGAATAAGGGAGAAAAGCATGACAACTTAGGGAAGAGTAATATTTTCACCTTCCTGGGAATAACCACAAAAAACTCACAACCTTTTCTGCCTCTAGATGTTTCCTGCTCCACTAACCACACCCAAGGGGCTTCATATTTCTAGAGGCAGGAAGAAACACTATAGAAGACGGAAAAAAGGGACTAGCTTAAAAGAACCACAGAATGCTAATTTCTTTCTAGAGACAGGATCTCACTCTGTCACCCAGGCTAGAGCACAGTGGTGCAAGCATAGCTCACTGCAGCTTTCAACTCCTGGGCTCAAGTGATCCTCTCACCTCAGCCTCCAGAGTAGGTAGGACTATAGGTATGTACCACCATGCCCAGATAGATTTTTTCATTTTTGATAGAGACAGGGTCTCACTATGTTGCCCAGGCTGGTCTCAAACTCTTGGCCTAAAACAGTTCTCTTGCCTCGGCCTACCGAAGTGCTGGGGTTATAGGCATGAGCCACCATACCTGGCTGTATGCTAATTTCATACTAAATCTTGGTTGCCTAAGTACACAAAGCAGTAAACACACCGGATCAGTAGTGTCAGAAGAACTTTCAAATGTATTCAGGTGATTAACAACGTCCTTGAGATCTTGGGCCATTTGTTTCAGCTGAGCATCTATACTTTCTGCTAATCTGTAACTGAAAAGGCAAGTAAAATAAAGGGATTAACAAAAAGTGTTTTCTCCACTACCTATTGTTATTGATATATAAACATGACACTACCAATTGGATTTGCCCTAATTCCCCTGTCTTTTCAGTGGAGCTCAGTTATGACTACTGATATATTTTCATGGATGCAGCATTTGTGACGTTATTATTACCATGTTCTAAAAAGACTCCAAATGAGAAGACTTTTATCTACCTTGCCTTTTTACCTTCACCTATTTATCCTCTAGGTGAATACCCTGGGGATCTGTAGAGCAAAGGAATCCTTTAAGGTGTCAAAATACACCTATAGCACATTTACATACAAAAGAGAAGTTATTTAGGGTTTGGCAATATTCAATAGATGCTGAGATGTCTTCAATGATCTTGAATACACAAATTTTCAAAATAAAACCTCATATAAATATACTTCATCAGGCAAAAAAGATGTTTTGAGAAATGAGCTTCACAATAATCAAAGATAGACAAACCTGCTAAGTTCACAAGTTAGTTGCCTAAATTCTCGAGATTTCCACCCAAACCACACACACACACACACACACACACACACACGACCCAGTCAATAAATATGTTTATGAGAATTAAAGTGGCCAGAGGATTTTTCAACCTTAATGTGTATAAAGATTGAAAGAGTCAATTAGATTTGTAGGTAACAACTATCTACTGCCTTTCTATGGCATAGTACTTATGCCATAGAATTGGTTGCCTACATTATTGAAGATTCTGGTAAATATTTCATCACAATACAAATCTGGGCCGGGCGCGGTGGCTCATGCCTGTAATCCCAGCACTTTGGGAGCCCGAGGGGAGTGGATCATGAAGTCAGGAGTTCGAGACCAGCCTGGCCAACATGGTGAAACCCGGTCCCTACTAAAAATACAAAAAATTAGCTGGGTGTGGTGGCGCATGCCTGTAATCCCAGCTACTCAGGACGCTGAGGCAGAAGAATCGCTTGAACCCAGGAGGCAGAGGTTGCAGTGAGCCGAGATCGTGCCACTGCATTCCAGCCTGGGCGACAGAGCAAGACTTCATCTTGAATATATATATATATTCAGATATATATATATATATATATATATATTCAGATATATATATATATATTCAGATATATATATATATTCAGATATATATATATATTCAGATATATATATATTCAGATATATATATATATATTCAGATATATATATATTCAGATATATATATATATATGACTACAAAGGAGCAACTGGAAAGGAACTAATGTCATGAAGATTTCTTCAAACTACAGTTAGGATCTTATGGCCAAAAATGTAACTCTATATGTTTCAAAAAAATGATAGAATGCATAGAAAGCAATACAAAGAAAAGAAAAATTCACAAAGGTTGAAATACAAAAGCAGAAACTGATTTAGGTTAGTATAGATTAGTTGTACTTACCACATTTAATGCGCCTACAAAAAAGTTAACTTGCAAGCATGTTAAAAACAGGCCCAGTCTTAACTCATAATAAGTCATTGATAAAATGTGTCCAATTTAGTCTCAATCTAGATTATGTTGTTCATTCATACAAATTCTAATACTTAATAAATTGGCCAATTACCAAACCTCAGTTCCAGAGAAATAAAGTTACTTTGGGAATACTGGCACTGTATTGACAGAAGGTAAAGACTGAAGAGTTCACAAATAAAATATAGCCCTCCTAAGACATTGACAAAATCACTCCATTTTTGAAAGCTATACAGTTTGCCTCCAGATTAACAAATTGCCTTTAAAATAGCAAATGATTTATCACTAAAGCAATTGCATGACTATTAGTTTTAGCAGAATCAACATAAAGAGGAGACCATAAATATCCCACAATACCATGACACCATACACATAAAATTTGTACTTCTAATTTAAGAACAAATTTGACAAATACAAAAACTTTACAGTGAACATGCATAAGGTTGACAGTAATAACAGTAAACAAAATGCTATAAAACAAAATTGCCAGAATGATTTCCTCATTTACAAGCATCCAGAAAAGATAACCAGAAAACAATCAAACAAATTGATAAATGTCAACTACAAAAGCTTGTCCCTTTCTACCGATTTGTATTCCTTGCCTTCCAATTCGACTTTTCCCCTCTGTTCCTGGAATGCTCTCAGAATACGTAAGTCCTGCCCCATTCTTCAATCTTTTTTCAGTTACTTACATCTCCACATGCTCCTCATCTGCATCCTGCAGATAATGAAGTCCACTCTGGTCACGCGTAGACTCCTCTAAATAAGTCAACAGAAATTCTAGTTCCTGCTGCTGTGACAGGATAAAATCCAATTCTTGTTCCAATCTGAATAAAATAAGTTAATAAAAAGGCTGATGAAAGGAATTTGGAGTGACAAAAAGAAAAGAGTTAACAAACTACAGAAGGAAAAAAAAAACACTGAATAAAAAGATAGGTCTTTAATCTTTCAACCAAGGAAATCTAAGGTTCTACCTTTTCTGATCCAGTTTCACTTTGTTCACTTCTCCATGTAAAATACGAATCTATAAAGAGAAATATGAATACAACAATATAAGTATTTGAATTTATATAACAATTTTAGAGCAATATTAATTTTCTCAAATACACTTCAAATATGAAAGATTTCCTTTTATTCAGGGTACTTATTGCCTAAGGAATATACTTTGAGCTGCTCACCAATATTGGAATAGAAAATTAACCACAGGGCTGGGTATGGTGGCTCATGCCTATAATCCCAGCACTTTGGGAGGCTGAGGCAGGAGGATCACTTGAGCCTAGGAGTTTGAGACCAGACTGGACAACGCAGTGGGACCCTATCCCTACTGAAAAAACACACACACAGTTAGCTGGGGGTGCTGGTGTGCCCCTGTGGTCCCAGCTACTTAGGAGGCTGAGGTGGGAGAATTGCTTGAGCCAGGGAGATCGAGGCTGCAGTGAGCTGTAATTGCACCACTGTGCTCCAGCCTAGGTGATAGAGCAAGACCCTGTCTCAAAAAACAAAAACATAAACAAAACAACAACAACAAAGAAAACCACAAAACACAGGTCTATTTTCTTGTGTTCATCTGCAAATACTTGCACAATGTAGGTAGATTAATGAAAATATTTTCTTACCATCTCACCATTCTCAATCAATGTATGGTCCCAAGCATTGACCTGAGTGGCCTGGAGAAGAAAGTACTTCTCTTGATCTTCCAGCTCAAGGTTCCACTCATTTATAAGACCCTCCAGATGACCATATGTCATCACAGGAGTTGCTACTACACTAAAACATAAAAAGATGCAGGATGATCCAATAATCATACTTTAAAAAGTGTGATCAGATTTTAAAAACGAACACAGGAGGACTCTGAGAAGAAAACAGCATGTAAGGAATTTCCCATACCTGCTTCCCAAGAAAACAAACATAACTGGTAAAGATGATTAAAAAAAACAACCCCTCAAAGTCACTTGAAATTATCCTAGGTGAATATAGTAAATAAAGATTTATTAAGAAACCTACTAAATCACAGCAAGAATAGCTAAAGTCTGTGCCATAATCTGCTCCTTCTCTTCCCCTCATCCCAGCTCAGCATGAGAGAAGCTCCTTTCTGGGTAGGCATAGCTAAGGAGATAGGATTCTCTCTCCCCCAGCTCTTAGTCAAAGTGACCCATTCCCTGTTTGAGTAGTATCCACAAGAGAGTGGGCATTCCTCACTGGGTAGAACCATGCAGAACTCTGATTCCCCTGCCAAGTGGTATCAAAAAAGGCTCAGCAACTAGCTGATCTTTTGGCCAGCAGAGCCAGTCAATGGTGATTCCTCTGCTGGGGTAGTGTCAGCACGGCTCAGTGGGAAGGTAATCATCAATTCCCTAAGTGGAAGACACAGGCACGATTCCAATTCCTCCACCAGGGTTCTTTCTGTGGGATCCAATGACAAGTTGAACCTAAATCCCTACCCAGTAGCAACAGGGCTCAATGAGGCAGAATGAGGCAGGGTTAGTCACCATTAGGCTTCACCTCTTGCCTCTGGTGTCAGAGAGACCCAGTGGGGAGCTGAATCTCTATACCCACCCAGCATCATTACAACTGAACAAGGTGATTCAAGTTAGGGCTTGTAGGGATCCCACTTCCTGCCATCCATGGGGTCAGCAATGCTCAATGAGAAGCTTGACCTCCACATCCACTGGCAAAGCCAAGACTAAATGAGGTAGGGCAAAGAGCGCCTAGTCAGTACTTTGTCCCGCTTCTCCCATGAGCCTGTGTCAGCTGGGCCCAGTAGAGAGCTAAGCCTTCATACCAACCAAGGAGGCTGAATGAAGTGATATGAAACAAAGTAGTTGACATTATGCTTCTTCTTCCCTCCCCTTGTGTCAGTGGGGCCAACAGGAAGCTGAAATTCTGCCTCCATGTGCAGCAACTAAGCAGTGTGAGTCAGTCCTCCACTTCCCCCTGATCTGGGGGCTCCAGGGCCCAGCTGGGAGCTGAGCTTACATCTCCACTTACTGTCAATAAAGTGGTAGCATGCAATGTTCACCTTTCATGAGGGATGAGTCAGTGGGGCTAAGCGGGAAGCAGTTTCCATACCACCCATCTGCCTTGAGGCAGCGTGGTAAGTGCTCCACTTTTGCTGGAGTGGTGTGGGTAAGGTCCAGTGGGAAGCTGAACATACAAACACACCCACCCCTTGTACTACATGTCAAAAAAGAGATGCTTGATGAAAAAAAAATATGAAAATAGGACCTAGACTTTCCTAACATAATAGACAAAATGTCCAAGATAAAATTTTAAAAATTACCTATCATAGGGGAGGAGCCAAGATGGCCAAATAGGAACAGCTCCGGTCTACAGCTCCCAGCGTGAGCGACACAGAAGACGGGTGATTTCTGCATTTCCATCTGAGGTACCGGGTTCATCTCACTAGGGAGTGCCAGACAGTGGGCGCAGGCCAGTGGGTGCGCGCACCGTGCGCAAGCCAAAGCAGGGCGAGGCATTCCCTCACCTGGGAAGCGCAAGGGGTCAGGGAGTTCCCTTTCCGAGTCAAAGAAAGGGGTGACGGACGCACCTGGAAAATCGGGTCACTCCCACCCGAATATTGCGCTTTTCAGACCGGCTTAAAAAACGGCGCACGACGAGACTATATCCCACACCTGGCTCGGAGGGTCCTACGCCCACGGCATCTCGCTGATTGCTAGCACAGCAGTCTGAGATCAAACTGCAAGGCGGCAGCCAGGCTGGGGGAGGGGCGCCCGCCATTGCCCAGGCTTGATTAGGTAAACAAAGCAGCCGGGAAGCTCCAACTGGGTGGAGCCCACCACAGCTCAAGGAGGCCTGCCTGCCTCTGTAGGCTCCACCTCTGGGGGCAGGGCACAGACAAACAAAAAGACAGCAGTAACCTCTGCAGACTTAAATGTCCCTGTCTGACAGCTTTGAAGAGAGCAGTGGTTCTCCCAGCACGCAGCTGGAGATCTGAGAACAGGCAGACTGCCTCCTCAAGTGGGTCCCTGACCCCTGATCCCCGAGCAGCCTAACTGGGAGGCACCCCCCAGCAGGGGCACACTGACACCTCACACGGCAGGGTATTCCAACAGACCTGCAGCTGAGGGTCCTGTCTGTTAGAAGGAAAACTAACAAACAGAAAGGACATCCACACCAAAAACCCATCTGTACATCACCATCATCAAAGACCAAAAGTAGATAAAACCACAAAGATGGGGAAAAAACAGAACAGAAAAACTGGAAACTCTAAAACGCAGAGCGCCTCTCCTCCTCCAAAGGAACGCAGTTCCTCACCAGCAACGGAACAAAGCTGGATGGAGAATGATTTTGACGAGCTGAGAGGAAGGCTTCAGACGATCAAATTACTCTGAGCTACGGGAGGACATTCAAACCAAAGGCAAAGAAGTTGAAAACTTTGAAAAAAATTTAGAAGAATGTATAACTAGAATAACCAATACAGAGAAGTGCTTAAAGGAGCTGATGGAGCTGAAAACCAAGGCTCGAGAACTACGTGAAGAATGCAGAAGCCTCAGGAGCCGATGCGATCAACTGGAAGAAAGGGTATCAGCAATGGAAGATGAAATGAATGAAATGAAGCGAGAAGGGAAGTTTAGAGAAAAAAGAATAAAAAGAAATGAGCAAAGCCTCCAAGAAATGTGGGACGATGTGAAAAGACCAAATCTACGTCTGATTGGTGTACCTGAAAGTGATGGGGAGAATGCAACCAAGTTGGAAAACACTCTGCAGGATATTATCCAGGAGAACTTCCCCAATCTAGCAAGGCAGGCCAACGTTCAGATTCAGGAAATACAGAGAACGCCACAAAGATACTCCTCGGGAAGAGCAACTCCAAGACACATAATTGTCAGATTCACCAAAGTTGAAATGAAGGAAAAAATGTTAAGGGCAGCCAGAGAGAAAGGTCAGGTTACCCTCAAAGGGAAGCCCATCAGACTAACAGCGGATCTCTCAGCAGAAACCCTACAAGCCAGAAGAGAGTGGGGGCCAATATTCAACATTCTTAAAGAAAAGAATTTTCAACCCAGAATTTCATATCCAGCCAAACTAAGCTTCATAAGTGAAGGAGAAATAAAATACTTTACAGACAAGCAAGTGCTGAGAGATTTTGTCACCACCAGGCCTGCCCTAAAAGAGCTCCTGAAGGAAGCGCTAAACATGGAAAGGAACAACCGGTACCAGCCGCTGCAAAATCATGCCAAAATGTAAAGACCATCAAGACTAGGAAGAAACTGCATCAACTAACGAGCAAAATCACCAGCTAACATCATAATGACAGGATCAAATTCACACATAACAACACTAACTTTAAATGTAAATGGACTAAATTCTCCAATTAAAAGACACAGACTGGCAAATTGGATAAAGAGTCAAGACCCATCAGTGTGCTGTATTCAGGAGACCCATCTCATGTGCAGAGACACACATAGGCTCAAAATAAAAGGATGGAGGAAGATCTACCAAGCAAATGGAAAACAAAAAAAGGCAGGGGTTGCAATCCTAGTCTCTGATAAAACAGACTTTAAATCAACAAAGATCAAAAGAGACAAAGAAGGCCATTACATAATGGTAAAGGGATCAATTCAACAAGAGGAGCTAACTATCCTAAATATATATGCAGCCAATACAGGAGCACCCAGATTCATAAAGCAAGTCCTGAGTGACCTACAAAGAGACCTAGACTCCCACACATTAATAATGGGAGACTTTAACACCCCACTGTCAACATTAGACAGATCAACGAGACAGAAAGTCAACAAGGATACCCAGGAATTGAACTCAGCTCTGCACCAAGTGGACCTAATAGACATCTACAGAACTCTCCACCCCAAATCAACAGAATATACATTTTTTTCAGCACCACACCACACCTATTCCAAAATTGACCACATAGTTGGAAGTAAAGCTCTCCTCAGCAAATGTAAAAGAACAGAAATTATAACAAACTATCTCTCAGACCACAGCGCAATCAAACTAGAACTCAGGATTAAGAATCTCACTCAAAGCCACTCAACTACATGGAAACTGAACAACCTACTCCTGAATGACTACTGGGTACATAACGAAATGAAGGCAGAAATAAAGATGTTCTTTGAAACCAACGAGAACAAAGACACAACATACCAGAATCTCTGGGACGCATTCAAAGCAGTGTGTAGAGGGAAATTTATAGCACTAAATGCCCACAAGAGAAAGCAGGAAAGATCCAAAATTGACACCCTAACATCACAGTTAAAAGAACTAGAAAAGCAAGAGCAAACACATTCAAAAGCTAGCAGAAGGCAAGAAATAACTAAAATCAGAGCAGAACTGAAGGAAATAGAGACACAAAAAACCCTTCAAAAAATCAGTGAATCCAGGAGCTGGTTTTTTGAAAGGATCAACAAAATTGATAGACCGCTAGCAAGACTAATAAAGAAAAAAAGAGAGAAGAATCAAATATACACAATAAAAAATGATAAAGGGGATATCACCACCGATCCCACAGAAATACAAACTACCATCAGAGAATACTACAAACACCTCTACGCAAATAAACTAGAAAATCTAGAAGAAATGGATACATTCCTCGACACATACACTCTCCCAAGACTAAACCAGGAAGAAGTTGAATCTCTGAATAGACCAATAACAGGAGCTGAAATTGTGGCAATAATCAAGAGTTTACCAACCAAAAAGAGTCCAGGACCAGATGGATTCACAGCCGAATTCTACCAGAGGTACAAGGAGGAACTGGTACCATTCCTTCTGAAACTATTCCAATCAATAGAAAAAGAGGGAATCCTCCCTAACTCATTTTATGAGGCCAGCATCATTCTGATACCAAAGCCGGGCAGAGACACAACCAAAAAAGAGAATTTTAGACCAATATCCTTGATGAACATTGATGCAAAAATCCTCAATAAAATACTGGCAAACCGAATCCAGCAGCACATCAAAAAGCTTATCCACCATGATCAAGTGGGCT
Organism: Homo sapiens; assembly: GCF_000001405.40. Lineage (NCBI taxonomy): Eukaryota > Metazoa > Chordata > Mammalia > Primates > Hominidae > Homo > Homo sapiens. The sequence goes on from NC_000023.11 coordinate 107,159,447, forward strand.
TCATCCCTGGGATGCAAGGCTGGTTCAATATACACAAATCAATAAATGTAATCCAGCATATAAACAGAGCCAAAGACAAAAATCACATGATTATCTCAATAGATGCAGAAAAAGCCTTTGACAAAATTCAACAACCCTTCATGCTAAAAACTCTCAATAAATTAGGTATTGATGGGACGTATTTCAAAATAATAAGAGCTATCTATGACAAACCCACAGCCAATATCATACTGAATGGGCAAAAACTGGAAGCATTCCCTTTGAAAACTGGCACAAGACAGGGATGCCCTCTCTCACTGCTCCTATTCAACATAGTGTTGGAAGTTCTGGCCAGGGCAATCAGGCAGGAGAAGGAAATAAAGGGTATTCAATTAGGAAAAGAGGAAGTCAAATTGTCCCTGTTTGCAGACGACATGATTGTTTATCTAGAAAACCCCATTGTCTCAGCCCAAAATCTCCTTAAGCTAATAAGCAACTTCAGCAAAGTCTCAGGATACAAAATCAATGTACAAAAATCACAAGTATTCCTATACACCAACAACAGACAAACAGAGAGCCAAATCATGAGTGAACTCCCATTCACAATTGCTTCAAAGAGAATAAAATACCTAGGAATCCAACTTACAAGGGATGTGAAGGACCTCTTCAAGGAGAACTACAAACCACTGCTCAAGGAAATAAAAGAGGATACAAACAAATGGAAGAACATTCCATGCTCATGGGTAGGAAGAATCAATATCGTGAAAATGGCCATACTGCCCAAGGTAATTTACAGATTCAATGCCATCCCCATCAAGCTACCAATGACTTTCTTCACAGAATTGGAAAAAACGACTTTAAAGTTCATATGGAACCAAAAAAGAGCCCGCATCACCAAGTCAATCCTAAGCCAAAAGAAAAAGCTGGAGGCATCACACTACCTGACTTCAAACTATACTACAAGGCTACAGTAACCAAAACAGCATGGTACTGGTACCAAAACAGAGATATAGATCAATGGAACAGAACAGAGCCCTCAGAAATAACGCCGCATACCTACAACTACCTGATCTTTGACAAATCTGAGAAAAACAAGCAATGGGGAAAGGATTTCCTATTTAATAAATGGTGCTGGGAAAACTGGCTAGCCATATGTAGAAAGCTGAAACCGGATCCCTTCCTTACACCTTATACAAAAATCAATTCAAGATGGATTAAAGATTTAAACGTTAGACCTAAAACCATAAAAACCCTAGAAGGAAACCTAGGCATTACCATTCAGGACATAGGCGTGGGCAAGGACTTCATGTCCAAAACACCAAAAGCAATGGCAACCAAAGCCAAAATTGACAAATGGGATCTAATTAAACTAAAGAGCTTCTGCACAGTGGGGGAAACTACCATCAGAGTGAACAGGCAACCTACAACATGGGAGAAAATTTTCGCAACCTACTCATCTGACAAAGGGCTAATATCCAGAATCTACAATGAACTCAAACAAATTTACAAGAAAAAAACAAACAACCCCATCAAAAAGTGGGCGAGGGACATGAACAGACACTTCTCAAAAGAAGACATTTATGCAGCCAACAGACACATGAAAAAATGCTCATCATCACTGGCCATCAGAGAAATGCAAATCAAAACCACTATGAGATATCATCTCACACCAGTTAGAATGGCAATCATTGAAAAGTCAGGAAACAACAGGTGCTGGAGAGGATGTGGAGAAATAGGAACACTTTTACACTGTTGGTGGGACTGTAAACTAGTTCAACCATTGTGGAAGTCAGTGTGGCGATTCCTCAGGGATCTAGAACTAGAAATACCATTTGACCCAGCCATCCCATTACTGGGTATATACCCAAATGACTATAAATCACGCTGCTATAAAGACACATGCACACGTATGTTTATTGCGGCATTATTCACAATAGCAAAGACTTGGAACCAACCCAAATGTCCAACAATGATAGACTGGATCAAGAAAATGTGGCACATATACACCATGGAATACTATGCAGCCATAAAAAATGATGAGTTCATGTCCTTTGTAGGGACATGGATGAAATTGGAAACCATCATTCTCAGTAAACTATCGCAAGAACAAAAAACCAAACACCGCATATTCTCACTCATAGGTGGGAATTGAACAATGAGATCACATGGACACAGGAAGGGGAATATCACACTCTGGGGACTGTGGTGGGGAGGGGGGAGGGATAGCATTGGGAGATATACCTAATGCTAGATGATGAGTTAGTGGGTGCAGCGCACCAGCATGGCACACGTATACATATGTAACTAACCTGCACAATGTGCACATGTACCCTAAAACTTAAAGTATAATTTAAAAAAAATAATAATAATAATAGTAATAATAATAAAAAAAATTTAAAAAAAATGAAAAAAAAATTACCTATCATATCAAAACCGAGAAAACCCACAACTTGAAAGAGAAAAGGCAACAGATGCCAACACTGAGAGGTATCAGATGTTGGAATTATCTGAAAATAATTTTAAAGCGACCATCAAAAAAAGGCTCAAACAAGCCATTTCAAATTTTCTTAAAACAAATGAAAAAAACAGAAAATCTCAGCAAAGAAATAGAAAGTATGAAAAACAACCAAATGAAACGTATAGAACTGAAATGTAAAATAACCGAAATAACAAGCTCACCTAAGGAATTTGATAACAGAATGGAGTCAACAGAGGATAGAATAAGAAAACTTGATGACAGACAAATATAATTTACAGAAAACAAAGAAAAACTTCGCAGAAACAAATGAAAAATGTCTCAAGGACTTGGAAGACAATAATAAAAGCAGTAACATTTGTATAATAAGAGCTCCAGAAAGAGAGGAAAGAGAGAATGGGACTGAAAAACGTATTTAAAAAAAAAGATTGAAAACTCTCAAAGTTTGTGAAAAGATATAAACTCATAGATTCAAGAAGCTGGACAAATCCCAAAGAGAATAACTCAAATCCACGCTAAGACACAAAATAATTAAACTTCTGAAAACTAAAGACAAAGAAAAAAAAATCTTGAAAGCAACCAGAAAGAAAAAAATGCATTACTTAAAAGGGAGTATCAGTTTAGATGACACCAGATTTCTCGTCTAAAACCATGCAGGCTTCAAGCACTGAATGAAAAAAAGTGTCAACAATGACTTCTGTATCTGGTGAAAATGTCCTTCAGAAATGAAGGGGGAGATAAAGATATTCTCACACAAAGTCAATTCAAGATAATTTGTTGCTAGTAAACCTACCCTTGAAGATTAAACAGAAAGGAAATGAAAACAGAAGACTTGGAACATCATATAAAGCAGCGATCCCCAACCCTTTTGGCACCAGGAACTGGTTTTGTGGAAGACAATTTTTCCACAGATGGCGGGAGGGGCCTGGGGGAGGATCATCAGGCATTAGATTCTCATCAGGAGCGCACAACCTAGATCCCTTGCATGTGTAGTTTACTATAGGGTTCACGCTCCTATGAGAATCTAATGTCTGATCTGACAGGAGGCGGAGCTCAGGCAGTAATGCACGCTCACCTGCTGCTCACCTCTTGCTGTGTGGTCCGGTTCCTAACAGGCTACAGAGCAGTACTGGTCTTCAGCCCAGGGGTTGAGGACCCCTGATATAAAGTAAGGAATATCAAAATGGGTATAGACAAGGTAAATATACTATTCTACTTCTCGTTTCTCAGATCATTTGATGGCTGAAGTAAAAATTATAACCCCATGTGATGTGATATTCAATGTACACAGAAGAAATGGCTGAGACAACCATACTTAAAAGCTAAGAAGGGTAAAAGGAACTAAATGGAATTAAGGTTTCTGCACTTCACCCAAACACTGTAGTGGTATGACTACACTGTTGTAAGTAATGCATGTATCTGTAATACCTAGAGCAACCAGTAATAAAACTATACAAAATAATGTATTTAAAAACACTATAAACAGAACAAGATGAAACCCCCCCAAAATACTCAAACAACTGACAGCAGGGTAAAAAAAAGAAAGAGAAGAACAAAAATCAGAGGCAACAAACAAATAAAATGGCAGATTTAAGCTCTAACATGTGAATAGTTACCTTAAATATAAATGTGCTAAACATACCAATTAAAATACAGAGAGTGGAAGAGTGAATAAAAAATGATCCAACAATATACCGTCTATAAGAAATTCACTTCAAATACAAGGATATATTAATACATAGTTTGAAAGTAAAAGAATGGAAAGAATGTACCATGCAAGGTTCATTTTTTTAAAAAGAAATGGCTATATTAATATCAGATAAAGTGGACTACAGAACAAAGAAAATTACTAGAACCAAAGAGAGACATTACAGAGTGATAAAGGAATCAAGGCATCCAGAAGGCTAGCAATCCTAAATGTATAGGTGACCAAACAAGAAAGCCTCAAAATACATGAAATAAAAACTGATAGAGCTAAAGGGAGAAATAGAGAAATCCACAATTAAAGGCGGAGATTTCAAAAAGCCACTCTCCACAACTGAAAGAACTACTAGACAGAAAGACTCCAATAACACAGTATCTGAAATTACAGTGAAGCAACAGAATTTAATTAACATATATAGAACATTCCACCCTGCAGCAGAAAACACAATTTTCAAATGTCCATGGAACATTCATCAAGACAGACTGTATCCTCACCCACAAAACAAACCTAAATAAATTTAAAAGAACTAAAATCGTACAAAGCATATTCTAATACCACAATGGGATCAAAGTAGCGATCAATACAGAAAAAACAACAAGAAAATCTCCAAACACTTGGAAATTAAACAACACACTTCTAAATAATAAATTAGTCAAAGAAGGATTCACAAAGGAAATTTAAGAAGTATATAGAGCTGAATGAAATCACAATATAACATAATATGTAGGTCACAGTTAAGGAAGTGTTGAGTTGGGTATTTATAGCACTAAATGTGTACGTTAAAAAATAGGAAAAATCTCAAATCAATAGTCTGAGTTCATACCTCAACGAACTAGAAAAAGAGCAAAATGAACTCAGTGCAATCAGAAGGAAGGAAATAATAGAGTAGATATCAAGTGAAATTGAAAACATGAAAAGAATAGAAAATGATTAATTAAACAAAAGCTGGCTCTTTGGGAAGCGATCGATAAAATTGATAAAAGAAAGACACAAACCACTAACATCAGAAATGAAACAGGAATATCCCTACAGCCATTAAAAGGACAATAATGGAATACTATGAACTACTTTATTTTTAACAATATAAAAAATGGGCCAACTCTTTAAAAACAATACATTCATCAAAGATGAACTAGATAACCTGAATAGTTCTAGAACCACTAAAGAAATTGATTTGTAATTTAAAAGCCCCTTTAGCCTAAAAGCCCCTTTAGCTGGGCGCAGTGGCTCACGCCTGTAATCCCAGCACTTTGGGAGGCCCAGACGGGAGGATCACGAAGTCAGGAGTTCGAGACCAGCCTGGCTAACACGGTGAAACCCCGTCTCTACTAAAAATACAAAAAAATTAACTGGGCGTGGTGGCGGGTGCCTGCAGTCCCAGCTACTCAGGAGGCTGAGGCAGGAGAATGGCGTGAACCTGGGAGGCGGAGCTTGCAGTGAGCCGAGATCGTGCCACTGCACTCCAGCCTGGGCGACAGAGCGAGACTCCGTCTCAAACAAACAAACAAACAAACAAACAAAACAAAAAAACAAAAAACAAAGATTAGCTGGACGTGGTGGCGGGAGCTTGTAATCCCAGCTACTCAGGAGGCCTCGGCTGAGGCAGGAGAATCACTTGAACCTGGGAGGTGGAGGATGCAGTGAGCTAAGATCTTGACACTGCACTCTAGCCTGGGCGTCACAGTGAGACTCTGTCTCAAAAAAAAAAATAATAATAATAAATTAATTAATAAATAAATACCCCTTTAAAAGAAAGATACAGGCCGAGAAGTTTTCGCTAGAGAATTCTGCCAACATTTTATGAATTAACATTAATTTTACACTATTTCTTTTAGAAAACAGAAAACAGAATACTTTCCAGATCATTTTATAGAGCCAATGTTACCCTGATATCAAAACTAGAGACATAAAAAAAGACGAAAACTACAGACTAATATCTCTCATGAACTTAGATACAAAAGTCCTCAAACAAAATACCAGGAAACCAAATTTTTAAAAATGTACCAAAAAATTATACACCATGATCAAGTGGGATTTATTCCACATATGCAGGGCTGGTTGAACATCTGAAAATCAATCAGTGTAATCTACCACTTCACCAAGATAAAGAAACAAAATCTTAAGACTATCAATTGAGGCTGAAAAAGCATTTGACACAAATTGATTTTTGACAAAGGTGCAAAAGCAATTCAGGGGGGAAGATAGTCTTTCAATAAATGATGTTGGAAAAACTCGACATCCACAGACAAAAAAAAATTAATCTTGACCTAAACCTCACACCTTATATAAAAATTGACTCCAGTTGGATCACAAGCTCAAATGTAAAATGTGAAACTATAAAACTTTTAGAAAAACACAGAAGAAAAAGAAAATCTTTGGGATCTAGGGCTAAGAAAAGATTTCTTATAATTGACACTAAAAGCACAATTCATTAAAAGAAAATGTGATAAACTGTAACTCATTAATTAAAGGTTTTGATACAGCAAAAGGACCCTGTTAAGAGGATGAAAAGCCAAGTTACACAGTTAAAGAATATACTTATGAGCCACATATCTGACAAAAGACTGGCATCTAGAGTACATAACAAACTCTGAAAACCAAACAGTAAAAAAATCAAATAATCCAAGTAGAAAATGGACAAAAGATATGAACAGACATTTCACCAAAGAGGATCTACTGATGGCAAATAAACATGTGAAAAGACGTTCAACATCATTAGTCATCAGGGAAATGCAAATTAAAACCATAATGAGATATCACTTCACATCTGTCAGAAGGGCTCAAATAAAAAGTAGTGACAACACCAAATCCTGGCAAGAATGCAGACAATCTGGATCACCCATACATTGCTAGTGGGCATGTAAAATGGCACAGTACTCTGGAAAAGAATTTGACAGTTTCTTAAAAAACAAAACAAACAAAAAACATGTAACCACCATACCACCCGACAACTGCACTCCTAGGCATTTATCCCACAGAAATACTTATATTCATAATAAACATGTACATCAATGTTCACACCAGCTTTTTTCATAATATCCAAAAAACTGGAAACAACCTATATGTCCATCAACAGGTGAATGGTTAAACAAACCATGGTGCATCCACAATACCATGGAATACTACTCAGAAATAAAAAAGAACAAACTGTTGATGCACACGACAACTTGGGTGGATCACAAGGAATTATGCTGAATAAAAAAATCCAATCCCCAAAGGTCACATATATATGACTCTATCTGTACAACACTCTTGAAATGTCAAGATTATAGAAATAGAGAACATTAATTGTTGCTCAGGGTCAAGGAAAGGAGGGGAGTGGGTGTGGCTATACAAGGGTAACAGGAGGAATCCTTGTAGTGATAAAACTGTTCTGTATTTTGACTGTAGCAATATCAATATCTTGGTTGTGATATTATACTGTAGTACTGTTGAGATGTTATCATTGGAGGAAATGATATAAAGACCATACAGAATGTTGTGTATTATTTCTTACATATACATGTGACTCTACAATTATCCCAAAATAAAAAGCTTAATTTAAAAAATGAACAAATACTAGAGAGAAACATCATATACAGGCTCCAGAGCTTGACTGTCTGAATTTTAATCCTGGCTCAACCATTAACAAGTATGCGACTATGAGCAGATTATAAAATCTCTATATGCTCTTGTTTTCTCACCTATAAAATGAAAATGAAAATACTGCCTACCTCATAGGGTTACTGTGAGGATAAATGACATGATGCTTGTAATGCATTGTCATCTTGCTAAACATACACAGATTACATACACAGTAATTGCACAATAAGTGGTAGCTATTATTAGTAATAGTAATGATTCTATTATAATGATATTCAGAAGGTAAAGGTGTGCTGCTGTTTATTCAACTTCCTAAGCTACAGAAATCTTTCTCTTGACTGTTCCCTCAACTCAGTCATTTAGCTAACTTTCAAATATTATTCTAAAGTTATCCAAGCAAATGTCTTGTACATGATAAATAAAATGAAACACATGCAAGTTTTTAAATAAATAGGCTTACCTAACAGTTGAAGTATAAGGTACAAGGTTTTCAAACCCTCTTGATAACAGTTGGTTTTGGTTCACAGTAAAGCCACTGGTGATTGTGGTAGTAGTGTTGGTGGTGAAAGTGGCGGTGGTAGTCGTTGAAGTTGTAACTGGAAAATAAAGTGTATAATGTTAGTAAGAAATGAGAAATTTGTTTCATTTAAGCCTTGATCATTCAGATTTAAAATTATGGAGGCATTTTTAAAAATACAAATTTGAACTCAAAGATGCAGATTTGAATTCAACACTGTTGTAATATGAAATAATAAATGGCAGGCCAGGTACCTGGATTAACTTTCCAGCTGAAAATCCTGGATAAATTCATAGAAAAATAAAACTTCTAACCAGCCCAATAACCATGAAAGAAATCAAATCAATCCTCAAAATTCTTCTCATAAAGGAAACTCCAGTCCCAGATGCCACTGCTGGTAAGTTTTATGAAACTTTCAAGAAAAGAATAATTGCAATTTACAAAAGATCTCTGTACATCTATATCTTTGCATATTTACATGACTGTATCTGTGTAATTAATTCCTAGAAATAAAATTTCTAGATCAAAGTGTCAGCATGCTCTAAATTTTAACATAACTTGCCAAATTGCCCTATCTAAACAATTTTGCCAATTTATGTCCCTATCAATAGGAAAGAGTGCCTATTTCTTTATACCACAGCCAATACTAGGCATGCATTTTTGCAAACCCTAGTCAAAAGCCTCTCAAAGCTTTATCTACAGCCCAGACTCTCTCCTATATGTCTTTTTCTGTTACACCCCTATTAGAATGTCCTGCTCTCTATAGATAAAATCCTAAGTATACTTCATGGCTTGACTCAAATTCTTTGTTCCCCATATTTATCACCCACTTCTCTCCTACTCATAGTTTCCTTTGGTTTTCTAAATTTCTGCAGCACTTTTGGTTCTTACTACACACTGAGCACTTAATGAACAAGGCACAGAAAATTGTGGCTGCTAGGGCATTGGGAAGGTTTTATTTTCTTCTTTTTGGTTCTCTGCATTTTCAAATGTTCTTACAACTAGTAAATGCTGCTTCTGTAACAAGAAATATGTTATGAAAATATAACGTACATGATTGTTTGTTTTATGTTAGCTTTGCTTTCCCAATTAGCAATAGTTTCAGGTTAATGGCCACACTGGATAAATGCATAAACCATGGTGCCTGCTGCAAGCACTGACTACTCTGAGGGAGGCTGGCCTGAGGGAACATTCCTGCTGAGGGAACAAGCTCAAATACCCATTCTTTGTTCCAGATAACTCTGTCCTTTTTGTTCCTGGTTCAAAGTTGACTGGGCAGGATGGCCAACTGAAGGATGGGAAGCCATCCAATGTACTACTAGCAGCCTACCTGAGGGTCTGGCACAAAAAGCTCTAGTGAAACAGGATTAATATGAGTCAGAATTTCATTTTCAAAAATTTAGCAATACGGAAAAATCTGACTCTAGGCAGATACTGGGAAATATTTCCAAAAGTATAGAAGGAATCCAACTATAGGCAAAAAGACTTGATAGGACTGACAGAAGAAGGAGATGAAGTAGAAGTAAGGGACCATGAGCAAGTCACAATTAAGAATAAGGTACAGCAGGAAGGCAGAGAAAGAGGTAAGGAAACCAATGAGAAATTTAAAAAAAGAAAAAAGTAGACAAAGGGAGAATAACCGAATTATGTATATGCAATGTTTGATTTGGGAGGTCCCTAAAGCTGCCTTAAGAATAATCTTAAGTTCCAATTTCCTTAAGGTAACAGTGTCGTGGCAATGACTTTACTTGAATTCCACAAGACTCCATTTCCTTTTTGGCCACAAAGGTTCTTATGATAATTCCCCATTCTTTATGTTAGCCCTTGTGAGGGTAAAATGTGCACCACAGAGGAAGACCATGCCCAATCACAAAGAAGCCCAGGAGTCACTATGGTTAGAACAGTGGAGAGATTACAGATTGGATCTTGTGTGATATTCTTTACAACCATAAGTCATCATTTTATTCATCTGAGAACAAAAATCTTACCTGAAAGGAAAACCTTCCTCACAAATGCTAAAAATTAATGATAATGCCAATAGACTCCCTTTATTGATTAATTCAACCAAACACTGAGTAACTACTGCATTCAAGACAGAAAGAAATTTTTTTTTTAAAAAAATGAGCCCTTCTTGTAAAGGAGAATATCTTCACCCAAAGATGGTTTTCTAATAAAGTAATCTGTACTTCCTAACATGGATAGATATTCAAAGATATATAATTGGCTAGGCATGGTGGCTCACACCTGTAATCCCAGCACTTTGGGAGGCCGAGGCAGGTATATCACTGGAGGTCAGGAGTTTGAGACGAGCCTGGCCAACATGGTGAAACCCCATCTCTACTAAAAATACAAAAATCAGCCAGATGTGGTGCACACCTGTAATCCCAGCTACCCAGGAGGCTAAGTGAGCGACAGAGCGAGATTCTGTCTCAAAAAAAATAAAAGAAAAAGAAAAAAAAAAAAGATGTGTACTTAAGAGGAAACAGCAAATTCTAAGAATGTGTACACACACACACACACAGAGTATGGTACCATTTTTATAAAACAAATTTAATGTATGTATATGCTTAGAAAAATGTCTAAAAAGATAAACTGTTCTCTCTAGAGGGAGTGATATGTATATATGCATGTACGAATTGTTTTTACCTATAAGCAGCCCAAACATAAAGGAATCCTGAGTCATTTTAAAATGGTATGATTATTTTAACTTTTTTTTTTTTTTTTTGAGATGGAGTCTCGCTCTGTCACCCAGGCTAGAGTGCAGTGGCACAATCTTGGCTCACTGCAACCTCCACCACCTGGGTTCAAGTGATTCTCCTGCCTCAGCCTCCCGAGTAGCTGGGACTACAGGCATGTGCCACCACGCCTGGCTAATTTTTTGTATTTTTAGTACAGACGGGGTTTCACTGTGTTAGCCAGGATGGTCTTGATCTCCTGACCTCGTGATCCACCTGCCTCGGCCTCCCAAAGTGCTAGGATTACAGGCATGAGCCGCCACACCCGGCCTATTTTAACTTTTTGTACAGTTTTATTTTTGTTATCTTTCATGCTATTTTTAAAGGCATAAATTAACTCTGGCATATTCAAATAATATTTCAATTAATACCAAATAAAGGAATGGGTTTGAAAGTTCTATCACAGTCTGATTTTGCAAATTACAACTTTGGTCTTAACCAGTTAATACAGTCAATCCTACAATATCTGTGTAGTAAAAGGGAAGTATGGTTCTAAAAATAATACAAAAAACTACACACTAAATTTGAACTCACATTTAAAAAATAATGAAAATAGCCTTTAAAATATTCTACTATCAAATTTTCCTATCCTGTCCCTGATCAACAACTATACATCTCAATCCATGCTGGAAATGGACATCATCACCTTCCCAAACTATAAAAATCAAATTTCTCTTAAAATTTGCTGATTATATCTAGGGCAGACAGTAATCCCAAATGGCTGTAAATCTACAGATACAGATGCTTGAAAGCTGCTCTGCAAGACTGGTTAGTGAGATGAAGAATCTGAATAAGTAAATACACTTGAAGAGAAAGAAAGGTAAGTAGGGGGAAGAAAACACCCCAAATTGGGGCTGTCAGGTTGAGACATACCTAATGGGGAGAAGGGTAAGTGCTTAAGGTCCTGGTGGGTGAAATGGTGTGTATTAGTCTGTTCTCATGCTGCTAATAAAGACATACCTGAGGCTGGATAGTTTATAAAGGAAAGAGGTTTAATTGACTCACAGTTTCACATGGCTGGGGAGGCCTCAAAATCATGACAAAAAGTGAATGAGGAGCAAAGTCACATCTTACATGGTGACAGGCAAGAGAGCTTGTGTAAGGGAACTCCCTTTTATAAAACCATCATATCTTGTGAGACTTATTCACTATCACAAGAACAATATGAGAAAGACCTGTCCCCATGATTCAGTTACCTCTCACCAGGTCTCTCCCACAACACATGGGAATTATGGGAGGTACAATTCAAGATGAGATTTGGGTGAGGACATAGCCAAACCATATCATGGTGCTAAGGGATGGGCTAGTGGCAAAAGTAGTATTTGTAGGAAGGAATTTGAGACTTATATAGATAAGGGCTGGGTATGACAGCATCATCAAAGAGGCTGCCCATTCATATTTCAGTGATTCAACCCATGACTAAAAGAATCAGGGTTTTTTTTTGGTCATTGTTTTATGGGGAAATGTGTTACATTTTTTGCAAATATGGTAACTTGTAATGTTCTTATGACACACCCTTCACAAGTCTCATACATTGGCCAGTTAGTCTACTAAACAGTAGAAACTCATAAGGTCATGTAAAAGAAGAAATAAAAAGATGAGGCCAGGTGTGGTGCCTCAAGCCTACAAGCTGAGCACTTTGGGAGGCCAAGGTGGGAGGATAGCTTGAGCCCAGGAGTTTGAGACCAGCCTGGACAATGTAGTGAGACCTCATCTCTACTAAAAAAAAAAAAAAAAAAATCAGTTGGTCATGGTGGTGCATGCCTGCAGTCCCAGGTACTCAGAAGGCTGAGGTGGGAGGATCACTTGAATCCAGGAGATTAGGCTGCAGTCAGCTATAATCACGCCACTGCACTCTAACCTGGGTGACAAAGTAAGACTGTATCTTAAAAAAAAAGGGAGGGATGATATACATGTCTGTTTAGGAATAATTATTTTAAGCTTAAACGGGATTGACTTTTAGTTTAAGCCAGATTAAAACAGATTCATTTAATCCCTAAGTAAACTTCTTACAGTAAAAACAAACAAGACTTCTCCAAAATGGAGTCTAACTTAAAAGACAGGTTTGAGTAGATGACCCCTTACCACCCAGCTCTAATAGCTACGGGCAATGGATAACCAAGTTTTCTTCCATCTACAGCCTAACTAGCTCCTAACTGGCAGAAACAAATTTAGAATAGGTCTAGGGAAACTCCTATAACCAACTTTAGAAGAGGGCCAACTTCAATAGAGGTCAAAACTTAAATTAACTTTTAGAGAAAAAAAAAACTTTATCAGTCTCAACCAGCTAAATACTGTGATCAATAACGAAAATTCTTAAGTTTGATGGTTGGCAAGAATTTGGCAGCTGTTTTGCCTGTAGTCATCTCAAAGAAGTAGCATCATTGATATCAACTGTCTCATTGTACTCTTTGGCAATCATCTACATAAACATATTGGTGTACCTTTTGGATACTCTGATGAGATGGTCAAAACCACTTAGCCCTAAAAGCCATAGAACCTACTTACTGCTTGTTATGAAGCACATTTCCAATGAGACCCCCAAGACATCCTGATAATTCTAAAATCTTACTAACTGCAGTAGGAGCTGCTCCACCTGCTCCAGGGAATTTTAATGCAAATCCCAAGGTTATAATATCAAGTGTTCTAGCCGAAGTTGTTGGAGCACCAACTGCAGAGAACAACATAATATTAACTATTACCCTTTAAATCAAAAACAGTGAGAAATTTATATAGTCTTTTTCATCTGAAGAGTCCTTTAGAAACTTTTGGTTAAACTTCAAAAAACCATGGTCAAACCATTTACATGAAATGTCCAGAAAAGGCAAATATATGGAGATGGAAAACAGATTAGTGGTTGTCTGTGGCTGAGGGATCTTACTGCAATGATGGAAATGCTCTAAAACTAAATACAGTGATGGTTACACAATTCGATAAACTTACTAAAATTTCTGGATTGCATACTTAAAGTGAGTTAATTTTATGATGTGTAAGTTATAATTCATTAAAGTTAATTAAAAGATATTGTGGTCCCAATATCTTTTCATTTTGTAGACAAGGACATCAGAGGGAGAAAAGTGGGGGAACCTGTCAAAGGTCAGAGAGCAAGTTTTGACTGAACATGGAATTAATTCAATAATTTTAACTCCAAACCTTGGACATGGTCATATTCATGAAATCTATCACAGTTGAGAAGGATACTGCTTACATATATCAAAATGATTCCAGAATCATAGTCATGTCTCAAAATTGAAGTCTAAGTGGTAGAAAACATAATTCATGTGGTAACCAATCTTAACTAATGCCTAACTATGCCAATAACACAAGAGGATGGTGATGGTTAATTGAGCACTATTCATGCTCAATTAAGCATCAAACATTTTCTGGCTAGTTGTATTCCCAGGAATGGAGACAATCTTACTGTCATAGAGCTGGGGAGGGGGGCTATTACAGCTAGGATTACAACAAAATTTAATGATGAACATTATGATATTGTGAAGAAGAAACCTTGAAAGAAGTCAGTTTATAGAGGCCTGTAAGAAAAAATTGCCTAAGACATACAAAATTCAGTATTTTCTTTTCTTTTTTTTCTTTCTTTCTCTCTCTCTCTCTCTCCCTCCCTCCCTCCCTCTCTCTCTCTCCCTCCCTCCCTTTCTCTCTCTCTCCCTCCCTCCCTCTCTCTCCCCCTCTCTCTCTTTCTTTCTTCCTTTCCTTTTTTTTTTTTTTGGTTTGACAGGGTGTTACTCCGTCACCCAGGCTGGAGTGCAGTGGTGCAATCTTGGCTCACTGCAGCCTTGACCTCCTGGGCTCAAGCAATCCTCCCACCTAAGCCTCCCCAGTAGCTGGGACTACAGGCATGCACCACTATGTCCGGCAAATTTTTGTATTTTTTTGTAGAGACAGGGTTTCACCACATTGCCCAGGCTGTTCTCAAACTCCTGGGCTCAAGCAATCCACCTGCCATGGCCTCCCAAAATGCTAGGATTACAGGCATAAGCCACTGAGCCTGGCCTGAATTCAATATTGTCAACATTTGCTATTACTATACTAATGGAAAATGTGTAACAAAGAAGTTGGGGTTACGAGATAATGTCTCACCTCTTAGCTCAAAGCATCCAGATAGATGGTCCTCTTCAGGTGGAGAGGTCACAAGACATTACACAATGTCAATTAGAACCCCAAAACTACAGCTGGCCCTTTGTCATGTTCCACTTCTGATAGGTAAAATGTAAGGACCACAAACCAGGTCGGTATCAGAAAACACACTATAGCAAGGCTCCTACATTTATTTCCCATTTTATCTTAGTCACATGGATAAGGACTTCTTCCCTTCAGAAATACTTGGCAAAACTCCCACTCTCCCTTCTGTTAATAGCTTCAAGGAGTTGTTTCAATGCATCACAATATTAATGAATTATATGCTTAAAGTTAGCATTTTAAGCTATAATAACCATGTTAATATAAAAAATTCACAGCTAAAGCCATGAGAATTAGGTTCTTAAGCAAAGCTACTATTGATATCAGCAATTATAAATGGGTTCAAGAATAATGATAATTTCTGAGACAGAGATCTGTAGCATATACTGGCAAACTGAGTAAGGTGGCATCATGGGAAATAACAGTATTTTCTTTAGAATTAGTAACTTACATGAGAGCCCAATAGCAGCAGTGGAGGTCAAAGAATTTGATATTGAGGTAAACTGCATGGTGCTTGAACTAGTGGTGGTGGCAACAGCAGCTGCTGGAGCCAAACCTAAAAATCAAAGTAACAAACAGAAAAATATGTCACTAAAAATAATTTTTAAAAGTAAAACAACATTATGACAAGGTTCATTAATATGGAGAAATAAAAACAAAGCAAGGAAAAGCAGGTATCCTGAAACCTAATCAATAAGACAGAGTAAAAGCTTGATTTAAAAAACAGTTCATTGGTACTACTTTAGTATAGTCAGTCTTCTAGCACCATCATAACAAAGAAATTCTACTTTACTGAAAAAGAAGTCCTAAGAGGGGGGATCCACTTCCAGAACTGCAGCATAAAAAGTCCCATGGACCTGTTCCCAAGTAAATCCATAACCAGCAAAAAGTTCCAGCAAAAAGTTACTTTTTTTTCTTTAAATCGGAAATGGCTGGAAATTGTTTTAAGACCCCAGAGCAAATGAAGAAACATTTATTCAAGAAAATCTACTAAAACTCAGTAATGTAACAGTGACAGTCAATGGCATATGAGCCACAAGGCACTCCTTTCCTTTCACCGTCCCCTTGTCTACCTTGATGGAAGCTACTCTCTAGGGAGGGGTAGCCAAAACTTTACTCCCTCTGACCCCAGCTCCCAATCAAGGAATAGAGTATCCCAATGGGAGGGAAAGGTAGCCAGCATTTCTTATCACTTCCAACACAGAGTTGAAGGGGTGAAATTCCTGTTCAGTATAGCCAAGAGTTCAGGGGCTCCCTTCCTTTACTCACAGGGTGGAGACTCTACCCCAAGTAGAGAAGGCTGAGAATACTGAGGCCCCAATCACCCTCACCCTGATTATTCCACCCCAGTTTACTTGCAGGGTTAAGGTCCACACCTGAAGAGGTAAGCAAGAAGACCAGTGGCTACTGCTACTGCTCAGTACCCAAAGCACTGGCTGAACGATTCTGCCCAGGGATAAAGGCCATTCATAAGAACAGAGAGCTCCCAAGCCATTCCCCAAATAACTGACTTTATTTGAAACAGAGTGTGAGGACATTCAAGCCCAAAACATTACTATAAAAAATGGAGATTTGGGAGGTAAACAATTAAGAGGAGGCAGGGAGCTTTATGAGAATAACAATTTAGGGTGTAAGTCGGATAGTTTATCAGAGATAACCAGGGAAAAAGAAAGCTGAAAAGGTCCGTCCTGAAATCGGAAGAATTAAGTACTGATGTACGCTACAACATGGATGAATCTTGAAAACATTATGCTAAATGTAAGAAGCCAGACCAAAAAAACAAAACAAAAAGCTTCATATTGTGAAATTCTATTTATATGAAATGTCCAGAATAGACAAATTCATGGACAGAAAGTATATTAATGATTCCCAGGGGCTGGGAGGAATGGGTAATGGGGAGTGACTGCCAATGGGTATAGGGTTTTTTTTTTTGTCGGGGGGGCGATGAAAATGTTCTCAAATTACATAGTGGTGATAGTTGTACACTCTGTGACTATATTAAAAACCACTGGATTGTATACTTAAAACAGTGAATTTTAAGATATGTGAATTATACCTCAATTATGCTATTATTAAAAAAAACACATTATCATCTCAATAGAAGCAGTAAAAGCATTTGATAAAATCCAATACCCTTTCATGGCAGAAACACTCAACAAATTAGGAAGAGAAGGGAGCTTCCTAAACAGGATAAAGGGCACTAATGAATAATCTACAGTAACATCACACTTAATGGAGAAAGACTAAATACTTTCCCACTACCATCAGAAACAAAACAAGGATGTCTGCTCTAGCCACTTCGATTCAACAATACATTGAAAATTCTAGCCAGGACAATAGGCAGGAAAAAGAAATAAAACACATGTGGATTGAAAAGAAAGAAGTAAAACTCTCTATTCATAGATGACATGATCACGAATACAGAAAATTCTAAGAAATAAAAAAAATCTACTAGAACAATAAACAAGTTTTGTAAGGTTGCAGGATACAAGATTAATATATAAAAATAATTACATTTCTCTATTATAACAATGAACAATACAAAATGAAAGAAATTAAGAATATAATTCCATTTATGATTGCTCAAAAGGAAATACTTAAGGACAATTTTTAAATTACATAATGTACACAAAAATATGAAACATCATTGGAAGAAATTAAAGATGTTCTAAAGGATCTCATGTTTATAGATCAAAAGACTTAATATTGTTAAGATGGTGTGATAGACAGAAAACCAGTCCCCAAAGATGGCCTAATACCCAGAACTTGTGAACATATCGCCTTACTTGATAAAAGGGATTTTACAGATGGGATTAAGGTTAAAAACCTTGAGATTATCCTGAATTATCCAAGTGAGAAAATTTAATGACCCCAATCCCTTAAAGCAGAGAACCTTTCCAGGATGTGGTCAGAGGCAGATGTGACTGCAAGAGAATGGTCAGAAAGATACAAAATTGCTGATACAAATGGCCAACAAAGCACATGAAAACATGCTCACTATCCTCAGTCATTAGGGAATTGCAAATCAAAGCCACAATGAGATACTACATTATACCCATTAGGATGGCTATAATCAAAAAGATAGATCAAGTGTTGATGAGGATCCTGTTGGAAATGTAAAATTCTGTACCTCTTTGGAAAACTGTCTGGCATTTCCTCAATGCGCTAACATAGTGTTACCGTATGATCCAGCAATTTTACTCTTAGGGATACATATATATGCCAAAAAGAGATGAAACATATATCCACACAAAAACATATATGTGAATATTCATAGCAGTATTATTCAAAATAGACAAAAGGTAGAAACAATCCAAATGCCTATTAACTGATGAATGGATGAATAAAATACAGCATATCCAAGCAATAAAATTGTACTTGCCATAAAAGGAAAAGTACCACGCTACCATATGAATGAGCTTTGACAGCATGCTAAGTGAAAGAAGCTAGTCACAAAAGACTGAATAATATATTATTCCATTTATAAAAAATATATGATTCCATTACAGAGACAAAATGTAGATTAGTGGTTGCCAAAGACTGGGGAAAAGGAGGAATGGGCAATGACTGCTAATGAGTAGAGAGTTTCTTTTGGGGATGATGAAAATATTCTAATACGGCCTGTTGTAATGGTTGCATAGCTCTGTGAACCACTGAACTGTACATTTTAAATGGCTGTACAGTATGTAAAGAATAAATGAAGGTCTGGAATAAATTTTCAGAAAACAGATTACCTGCCTCTTTAAAAAGAAAACTATAAGGATAAATTAATGCATAGTGACACAAATAAGATAGAGTTACTTGAAAGCAAAGTTCATATCTTTTCATCCTCACTGCAGATCAATGCACATGGCACATAATAGTAATTGTTCAATAAATGTTTCTGCTGAATTGAACCAACTTTTTCTAGACTCTAACACATAATTACAGATATTCTATTTCACCTTTAAAAGGAAAAAGGTGCTTAATAAGTAACTGTACTTGCACCTATTATTGCCTGCATTCAACTGTCATGGTGACAAATGATGTAAGATTCTGCTATCCAAAACATCTAGGTCCTCTGGGGGTGAAAGAAACAGAAAGGAGATGTGGGGAAGGAATTGGAAACTTTACCACATACAAAAGCTACTTAAAATTTACACAGTGCAATATCCCTATGTTTCATTTAGGAGAAGAACCATATGTACACTTTTAAAGAAATAACCAATTGTACTTTGGGAGGCTGAGGCAGGAGGATACAGGTCAAGAGATAGAGACCATCCTGGCCAACATGGTGAAACCCCGTCTCTACTAAAAATAAAAAAAAAATGAGCTGGGTGTGGTAGTACACCCTTGCAGTCCCAGCTACTCAGAAGGCTGAGGCAGGAGAATCGCTTGAAACCAGGAGGCGGAGGTTGCACTGAGCCGAGATCGTACCACCGCACTCCAGCCTGGCAACAAAGCAAGACTCCATCTCAAAAAAAAAAAAGAAAAGAAAAGAAATAACCAATTGTATAGCAAAGGCATTTATATTTACAATTCATTACCTATCTGAGAGGTTGAATTTTTAATATGGGTTTCATTGCTACTTCAATTTTTTCATTTGAAATTGCCTATTCATGTCATCTGCCCATTTTCACATCAAAGAATACTGTCTTATTACTGATATTTTTAAATTTTATTTTAAAGTTACATAGATATATTGCATAATAGTGGGGGTTGGGCTTCTAGTGTACCCATCACCCAAATAGTGAACACAGTACCCAATAGGTAATTTTTCAACCTTTACCCCTACCCCCAACTCTCTCCTTTTGGAGTCCCTAGTGTTTATTATTTTCATTTTAATGTCCATGTGTACCTACCGTTTAGCTCCCACTTATACATGAGAACATGCAATATTTGATTGTCTGTTTCTGAGTTACTTCACTTAGGCCTCTGGCTCCATCCATGATATCACAAACGATATGATTTCATTCTTTTTATGGCTGCATAGTCCAATCAACCACTTATGGACATTGAGGTTGATTTCATGACTTTGCCATTGTGAACAGTGCTGCAATAAACATGTAAGTGCAAGTGTCTTTTTTATATACTGGTTTCTTTTCCTTTGTATAGATACCCAGCGTGGAATTGCTAAGTCAAAAGGTGGTTCTATTTTTAATTCTCTGAGAAATCTCCATATTGTTTTCCATAGAAATTGAGACAATTTATACTCCTACCAACACTATTACTGATTTTTAATAAAAGTGTATATCAAGGCTATTTATTTTGTCATATGTTGCAATAATTCCTCTACCCCAGTTTGCCATTCAGTTTTTATTTTATTTTTATGTAGTCAAATCTTTCCATCATTTTTTCTCTCTGTCTATGTCTCTATATAATAGTCTATGTCTTCATATCATGTTTAAAAAGACTTTTCTCTTAAACATATGAAAAGGTGTTCAACCTCATTTTTAAGAGAAAATTGCAAATTATAACTACATTGAGAATAATTTCATTTAACGAATGACAATAAGTCAAAAACTAAACACACTCTGTTAAGGACACTATAAAGAAGCAGGCAGCCTCACAGATTCCAAATGGGGGGATAAATTGGTACAACTATGGGAAACAACTGGTCAATGTTTTAAAAATTACAAATGCATCTATCTTTTGAACCCGCAATACTTTTTCTGGAAATTTAGCCACAAAAATATACTTGAATACCTGTAAAATGACATGTAAAATGATATCCATTGCATCACTGTTTGTATTAGTAAAGGATTATGTAAACAACCCAAATGGCCATCAGCAAGGGACTGGATATATAAATTATAGCACATCCAGAGCATGGAATACTACGATCCTATAAAAAATACTGAGGAAAAACATACTGAAGTTCTCTATGTACTGACTAATGTGAAAACATTCCAAATGTGTAAAATAAGCACATAAAGTTTTTAAGTAAGGTACAGAATACAAGTTAAAAAGCAAGGTACAGAATAGTGTCTAGAGTATACCATTTATATCAAAAAAGGCAGAGGACTAATATGTATTTTTATTTCTCAACAAACTCATGAAGAAGCTCTGGAAAGACATACGCAATTACAGTGGTTAACTGAGTATGGGAAAGGGGCAGGGGTAATAAAGATGCAGATGGGGAATAATATACCTATTTATGCTATTTATAGTTTTATTTTTGAATCATTTGACTATGTTATTTTAAACTCCTATAGAAATGCTTATCTCCTCAACTCCAGAAATATTATTTACATATTTTCATATTCACCTATGCTTTAAAAAAATTTATGGTTTCGCTTTTTTTTTTTTTTTTTTTGAGGTGGAGTCTCGCTTTGTCACCCAGTTGGAGTGGTGCAGTGGCACGATCTCGGCTTACTGCAACCTCCGCCTCCTGGGTTCAAGTGATTCTCCTGCCTCAGCCTCCCTAGTAGCTGGGACTACAGGCATGCATCACAACGCCCAACTTTTTTTTTTTTTTCTGTAGTGACGAGGTTTCACCATGTTGGCCAGGCTGGTCTTGAACTCCTGACCTCAAGTGATCCACCCACCTCGCCCTCCCAAAGTGCTGGGATTACAGGCATGAGCCATGCACCTGGCTATGGTTTTACTTTCTACCTTAAGTAACCAAGGATTTTTTTCAGTTAATCTTTTTAGGCAAAATTCATCCCCTTACCCACAATAACTGGTTAGCCAGCTACTGCAATTCATTTATTCACTACTCTTTTCTCTATCTCACAAATTTGAAATGTCACCTTCACAAGCACAGGTTTGTTTCTGCACTGTACTTCAAAATATTTCACTGATTTTTCTTTCTATCCCTGTTCCATAGCACTAGAATTATTTTATTTTTATGTTACATAATATTTTAAATTTACAGGAAAAGAATAAATTTATAATAATTTTCACATATTTTCTTGCAAGTTCTCATTACTTTCCTAAAAAAAAAAATAGAGGTGGCTTGTCTCATGCATTTATTCCCCCATATAAACTTTAAAATCTTGTCAAGTCCTTCCTTCCTTTCCTTCCCCCAAAGATTCCCATTATGGTTTTACGAGAATTGCATGAAATGTATAGATTAATTCAAAGATAAATGACATCTTTATCTTATAGGGTCTGAGCATTCAGTGGGTCTTTTCATTTATTCACATCCTCTTTTACATTCATCAGTAAAATGTTGTGGTTTGCTTCATCTAAGTCATGCATATTTTTAAAAGTTTACTCCTATGCATCTCATACTTTTGGCTGAAATTGTTAATTAGACCTTTCTCCATTATATTTCCCAACTGCTATTGCTTAAACATGGGAAAGCTATTGATTTTTGTATTATTTATTTTGTAACTGGTCATATTACTGAAACCTCTTTACTATCTCTAATTAAATTTACACTTGATTTATGCCCGTATTTAAAAATCTTGATCATTTGTCCCAGATACTGGCATAATTTCAGGCGCCTGACCTTAAATCACATACCTAAAGGTAACTAGGGGAGCAAATACCACTTAATATGATTTGCTTTTAAGTTAAATGAATCTTAGAAAAGGATTTAAGAGACAAAAACCTTAGCTTCCTAATTAAAGGACAAGATCAGAGTTGTTCGACATTACCAAATAATTCTTTGCTGTGGGGGACTGAACTATGCACTGTAGGATGTTCAGCAGCATCCCTGGGCTCTGATGCCAGTAGCATCTCCCTAGTCTTGACAACCAAAAATGTCTCCAGATTTGGCCAAAATTCCCCCATGGTGGGGCCAACTGTCTCCAGCTGAGAACTACTGAACTAGAAGAAGGGTTCAATATCACAATTTCCTCCATCTAGTGCTATAAGGATCCCAAAATCAGCCTTAATTCCTTTACGTTTAAGAACTTAAGAAAATGCCAACTATCTTAATAAATAGTAGGACATAGAAAATAGCAGTTTTTTTTAAAAGAATAGAGGTAGTGACCTTACACTACAAGATAGGGGGGGCATGCTACAGTAACAAAAATGGTAGTACTAGAACAAGAAAAAGAGATCAACAGAACAGAATAGAAAGCCTAGAAGCAGAGTCAAGCCAAGTCAAACAATAATTTGGTGTATCAGGAAGGCAGCAACTTCAATTAATAGAGAAAGGATGTCTATTTAACAAAACACAATGGTTCAATTCACTAATCTCTTAGGGGGAAAAATTAAGATTCTTAAAAATATAAAACACAAAATAACCAAAAAAATAAGAATGTTGAGATGGAAAGGCCTATATGAATAAGCTGTGAGAGAACCCCTAAAAAATGAAAGTTTTGACAACATAATAACTAAAATCTTAGGCTAGGTGTGGTGGCTCATGCCTGTAATCCCAGTGCATTGGGAGGACAAAGAGGGAGGATCATTTGAGGCCAGGAGTTCAAGACCACCCTGGGCAACATAGCAAGACCCTGTCTTAAAAGAAAAATATTAGCCAGGCATGGCGGCATGTGCCTGCAGTCCTAGCTACTCCAGAGGCCGAGACGGGACAATCACTTGAGCCCAGGAGTTTGAGGCTGCAGTAAGCTGTGATTGTGCCACTGTACTCCAGCCTGGGCAACAGAGTGAGACCATGTCTCTAATTAATTAAAATCTTAAGGACTTCCATTTCAGGGCAGATGGAGTAGCTGTACTTCTCCCTCTTCTTCCCCCTAGATACAACTAAAACCCCAGGACGTTACATATAAAATAGACGTAAGAAGCCCAGGAGTGGTGGCTCACACCTGTAATCCTAGGACTTTGGGAGGCTGAGGTGGGAGGATCACTTGAGCTCAGGAGTTCAAAACCAGCCTGAGCAACATAATGAGACCCTGGCTCTATTGCTTAAAAAAAGAGAAAAAAGTAAAATAAGATAAAAAATAAATAAACCTAAGAAGATTCTGAAAGGTAGAGAGAAGAAGGCAAACTGGCTAGGGATTCCAAAACCAAAGGAACAATATGGTGGTGAGTTCCCTAGGTTTTCTTTTTGCCTCATATTTCCCAGGCTTGGAGTTGAACAGGCTGGCAACCCAGAAATGCCAATGGGTATAAATTTTTCAAAAAGCCCTAACAAAAAAGTCTGCTTTTTTTAGACAAAGGGCAAGGGAGGGGGCAGCCAAGCAAGTCAGAAAACTTTTAGACAATAACCACTCCAACTATAACCAACCACCACAGAAAAATCTGTGGTCCTATCTGCACTCATGCTAGCAAACACCAGGAGAGCCTAGACACCCACCCTTGTGAGGCTATAATAAGGCATCCCAACACCCTCGCCAGGGTGGTATAAAAGAAGACCAAACTCGAAGCCAGGTTTTTCATCCCTGCCAGCAGTTAATAAACTCCATCCTCACCTTGCCAGCAGAAACCATGTCGGGGGCAGGAATCCCCACTCCACCTAGCAGTAACTTGGAGACCCTCATTTCAGGTGTCCACTGAGACCAAGTATGGAAACTGAAGTCCTACTCCCATTCTGCAGTAAAAAGGCAGCACCTCCCCCCCCTCCACCAGAACAATGTCAAATAAAGCCAGCCAAAGCAAAAGGTTTAAATCAGATCCAGAGTCTCATAACATAGTATGAGAATATCTAGGTTTCAGTTTAAAAATTACAAAGATTTTAAAGCATTCATGTAAAACAAATTCATCAACAAACAATTATTAACACACTTCAAACAAATGAAAAAACCCGCCTCAGCACAAAAAAAGAGAAGAAAGAAAGAAAGAAAGAAAGAAAGAAAGAAAGAAAGAAAGAAAGAAAGAAAGAAAGAAACTAATTAATTATTGGTAAAGAAACGGAAGTTATAAAGAACCAAGCAAAAATTTTAGAATGAAAAATTTGTAATAGATGAAATGCAAAGGTTGGTAGAAGGACCCAGTAGTAGAATAGAGGGAGAGTACAGAAATAAGAATCAGTGAACTGGATGATAGAATCATAGAAATTATCCAATCCAAACAACAGGGAAAAATAGACTGAAAAAAAATTAACAGAGCATCAGGTCCTGTTGGACTATAACCAAGGACTTAACTTTCGTGTCATCAGAGACAAGAAGAGAAAGAGGGTAGCGCTAAAAAGTAAATAATAGCTGATAGAAAAATAGGTGAAAATGTTCCAAATTTATGCCAAAGAGGCATAAATGAACATACTCAAGAAGCAGAGCGAACCCAAAAAGGATAAGCACAAAGAAATTTACAAAGACACATAATAATTAAACTTCTGAAAACCAAAGGCAAAGAAAAAAACTTGAAAGCAGTAAGAGAAAAATAGCATCTAACCAAGAGAGAAAAGACTATTTAAATGACAGAGGATTTCTCATCAGAAAGCAGGAAAGCAAGAAAGAAGTAGCCCAATACTTTTCAAGTGCTGAAAGAAAAGAACTGTCAACTCACAGCTAACGAAAATATCCTCCAGAAAAAAGAGAGGAAATCAAGGCATTGAGAGATGATGGAAAGCTCAGAAAATCTGTTGCCAATAGACTACCGTAAAAGTAGTCCCAGCTACTCGGGAGGCTGAGGCAGGCGAATGGCGTGTACCCCGGAGGCGGAGCTTGCAGTGAGCCGAGATCGCGCCACTGCACTCCAGCCTGGGCGACACAGCGAGACTCCGTCTCAAAAAAAAAAAAAAAAAAAAAAAAATGGCTGAAGGAAATTATTAAAACAGAAAGGAAAGTATAAAAGAAGGAATCTTGGAACCTCGGGAAGTAAAAAACAACAAATAAAAGCAAAAATATGGGTAAATATAATAGGCTTTCCTTCTTACCTTCAGTTTTCTTAATTATGTTTGAAAGCTGAAGCAAAAATTATAACCCTGTCTGATATGGCTCTAAATATATGTAGAGGAAATAGTCAAGACAATTACATTACAAATGGGGAAGGGTTAAGGGACATACAGGGAGGAACAATTTTTAGACTTCACTCAAACTGGTAAAATAGCAATGCCAGTAGACTGTGATAAGAGATGTATACTGTATATGATATCTAGAGTGACCGTAAAAGCTATACAAAAAGATACTCTCAAAAACACTATAGACAAATCAAAATGGAATTCTAAAAAATGTTCACATAACCAATAGGAAGGCAGAAATGGAAAAGAAAGAAATGAAAACCATAATTTAAAAAATGACACACTTAAGCCCTAATACAGCAATACAATAATTATAGTACATGTAAATGGCCTATACATACCAATTAAAAATTGGTAGAAGGAATTAAAAACACGACTCAACTATATGTTGTCTGTATGAAAGTCACTTCAAAAGTAATGATATAGGCAAGTTAAGAGTTAAAAGATGGGAAAAAATATACCATGCAACATTTAACAAAAGGGAGTAGGGAGTAGATATATTATTATCAGACAAAGTAGACTTCAGAACAAAGAAAATTACCATAGACAGAGGAGGATATTTACAATGATAAGAGGGCCAATCCTCTAAGAAGTCTTAGTAATCATATGTGTATGAACCAAACAACAGAGCTTCCAAATATGTAAAGCAAAAACTGATGAAACTTACAGAGAAATTCACTATTACACAGTTAGAGAGTTCAATACCCGTCTCTTACCAACTGATAGAACTTATCAGAAAATCAGCAAGGATACAGAAGAACTCAAAAACATCATGAACCTTCAGGATCTAATTGACATTTATAGAACACTTCACCCAACAAAGCAGAATACACATACTTTTCATTTTTAAAAATCAATTTATTGGGTATATTTAATATATTAAACATAATGTTATGGGATACATATAAATAATAAAACAGTTACTATAGTTAAGCAAATTAACATAGCCATCATCTTACATAATTATCCATTTTTTTGTGTAACAGCAAAAATCTACTCAGTTTTGCAGATACTTTTAATACACAATTT
Source organism: Homo sapiens (assembly GCF_000001405.40). NCBI lineage: Eukaryota > Metazoa > Chordata > Mammalia > Primates > Hominidae > Homo > Homo sapiens. The sequence goes on from NC_000023.11 coordinate 107,186,459, forward strand.
TGTTAACTATACTCCTCATGATGTTATATATTAGATCTCTAGACTTGTTCATCCTACATATCTACTACTTTAAAAAAATGTCAGTAGCATTTGGGGTACAAGTGGTTTTTGGTTACATGGATGAATTATATAGTAGTAAAAAATACACATACTTTTCGAGCGGGGCGTGATAGCTCACTCCTGTAATCCTAGCACGTTGGGAGCTGAGGTGGGCAGATCACTTGAGGTCAGGAGTTCGAGACCAGTCTGGCCAATATGGTGAAACCCTGTCTCTACTAAAAATACAAAAGTTAGCTGGGCATGGGGGTGCATGCCTGTAATCCCAGCCACTTGGGAGGCTGAAGCAGGAGAATTGCTTGAATGCGGGAGGCGGAAGTTGCAGATCACGCTACTGAACTCCAGCCTGGGTGACAGAGCTAGACTCTGTCTCAAAAAACAAAACAAAAGAATACACATACTTTTCAAGTGCCCATGAAAGAAATACCAAGATAGATCATATATTTAGCCATAAAACAAACAACGACAAATTTAAAAGAATTAAAATGATACAGAGTGCATTCTCCAACTACAATTGAATCAAACTAGAAAGATAACAGGAAAATCTTCAAACATTTGGAAACTGAACACTTCTAAATAATACATGGGTCAGAGAGGAAGTCTCAAGAGAAATTTAAAAATACACCAAATTGAATGAAAATGAAAATACATCCTATCAAAATTTGTGAGACACAAAGCAGTACAGACAGGGTAAGTTACAGCATTAAATGTACACATTAGAAAAGAAGAAAAATCTAATCAATAATTTAAGCTCCCAACTGAAGAACTGAGAAAAAAAATAGCAAAATAAGCCCAAAGCAAACAGAAAAAAAGACCAAAAACTCAGTAAAATTAAAAACGAAAACAATAAAAAAAATTGTACAAACAGCTAATTCTTTTATTTATTTATTTATTTATTTTGAGATGAAGTCTGGCTCTGTCACCCAGGCTGGAGGGCAGTGGTGCAGTCTTGGCTCACTGCAACCTCTGCCTCCCGGGTTCAAGCAATTCTCCTGCCTCGGCCTCCCGAGTAGCTGGGATTACAGGTGCGCACCACCATGCCCGGCTGACTGTTGTGTTTTTAGTAGAGACGATGTTTTGCCACGTTGGCCAGGCTGGTCTTGAACGCCTGACCTCAGGTGATCCGCCCGCCTAGGCCTCCCAAAGTGCTGGGATTACAGGCGTGAGCCACTGCACCCAGCCAAGAGCTGATTTTTGGGAAGATCTATAAAATTAACAATTCTAGTAAGACTGACAATAAAAGAGGGAAAACACAAATACAAATATTAGGAATGAAAACAGGGGATATCATGACATACCTAGCAGACATCAAAAGAATACTATGCCCATGAATTTAATAATTTAGAAGAAATGGACCAACTTTTCAAAAAACATAAACGACCACAATTCATCAATATGAGAAACATCATTTGACTGGCCCTATGACAATTAACGAATTTGAATTCATAAATGTGAAAACTCCCAAAAATCAATCTCCAGGTTGGGATGATTTCATTGGAAAATTCTACCAAATGTTTGAAGAATTTCTTTCAGAAAATAAAACAGGAGAACTCATTTTATGAAGCTAGTATTACTCACTGACCAACTCATTTTATGAAGCTAGTATTACTTACTGACCAAAACCAGACAGACAATAGAAAAAAGAAAACTGCGGACCAATATCCTTCATGAACATAAATGCAAGAATCCTTAATGAAATAATAGCAAATATAATTCAACAATATATAAAAGAACTATATACCATGACAAGTGGGATTTATTTCAGAGATGCAAGGTTGTTACAATATTTAGGGCCAGTTGATGTAATTCACTGTATTAGCGGGATAATGAAAACCAATCACATGACCATATCAATTGATGCAGAAAAAGCATTTGAAAAACTTCAACACCCAGTCATGGTAAAAACTCCCCCCCACCACTCCCCCAGCCCCGCCAAAAAAAATTGGAATACAGAGAGGGGAACTTCCTTAACTTGATAAAGAACACCAACAAAAAACTGCAGCTAAGACTATACTTAATAGTGAAAGACCGAATGTTTTCCCCCTAAGATCAATAACAAGGCAACTTGCTCTCACCACTCTTATCCAAAACAGTGCTGGAAGTTCTAGCTATTGCATTAAGGCAAGAAAAAAAGGCATCAGATTGGAAAGGAAGAAATGAAACTATATTTGCAAATGACATAATTATCTATGTAGAAAAATCATAAGAAATTTACAAAAAAAACTCCTAGAATAAATGAGTTCTCCAATGTTTCAGGATACAAGATAGACATACAAAATCAACTGTATTTCTATATACTAGTGATGAAAAGCAAACACAATATCATGTACAATCTCTAAAAAAAAGAAATACCTAGGTGTAAGTTTAACAATAGAAAAAATCACAAACAGCATTCTGTCTTTTGTAAAATTATATTATCCACTGACATTACTCAAATCCTCATGCAAAAAGGACTCCTATAATACATTGCTATTTTGGATGCTTTTTTTCTCACTAAAAAAAGACATGAACTGATAAGATATACAGATGATAAGTACAGGAAAAGATGTTCAACATCATTAACTATCAGAGAAACTGTAAATTAAAACTACAATTATGGTATCACTATCTACAAAAATGGCTAAAATAAAAAATAGTAACACCAAATGATAGTGAGGATACAAAGAAACTAGATCTTGTATACATTGCTGGTGGGTATGTAAAATGGTACAGCTAACATGGAAAAGTTTGGCAGTTTCTTATAAAACTGAATATGCAACTACTGTATAACCCAGAAATTGCACTACTGGGTATTTATCCCAGAGTAATGAAGACTTATATTCATGAAAAAAATCAGTACACAAATGTTCATAGCAGCTTTATTCATAATAGCCAAAAAGTAGAAAAAATACAAATATCCATTCATAGATAATAGTTTTAAAAAAACTGTAATACATCCATACAATACAACAGTATGCAGCAATAAAAAGAAACATGCAGGCCAGGCACAGTGGCCCATGCCTGTAATCCCAGCACTTTGGGAAGCCAAGGCAGGAGGATTGCTTAAGCTCAAGAGTTTGAGACCAGCCTGGGCAACATGGTGAAACCCCGTCCCTACAAATAATAATAATAATAATAATAAATTAGCCAGGTGTGGTGGTGCACGTCTATGGTCCCAGCTACTCAGGAGGCTGAGGTGGAAGAATCACTTGAGCCTGGGAGGTCGAGGCTGCAGTAAGCCATGATCGTGCCACTGTACTCCAGCCAGAGAGAGAGCGAGACCCTGTCTCAATGAAAGAAAGAAAGAGAGAGAGAGAAAGAAAGAAAGAAGGAGGGAAGGAAGGAAGGAAGGAAGGAAGGAAGGAAGGAAGGAAAAAGAAAGAAAAGAAAGAAAGAAAGAAAGAAAGAAAGAAAGAAAGAAAGAAAGAAAGAAAGAAAGAAAGAAAGAAAGAGAATCGATACAGACAACAATCTGGATGAATCTCCAGAAAATTACGCTGAGTGAAAAAAGGCATTCCCAAAAGATTATATACTATATGGTCCACTGTATATAACATTTTATTAACTGCATTTTGGTTTAGCAAGATCCTGAATGTCTTCTCATTAATGTTGAATACAAGTTAAATGTATTTTACTGCAACCTAACTGGAAACTGGTTACCCATATATAGTATATAAGATGTCTCCACTAGCCAAAATATTTTAGCAAGAATATACCACTCCCAAATCATGCCATATAACTGACTTATTGCATCATATAATATTCTCTAAAATGTCATACTACCCTAAAGATATGCTTTCTTGTTCTATTGTTCCTCCTGATAAATTTCATTTCAGAAGTTTTAAGAGAGGAAGAAAAACAATCAACAGATTGTGAACAAGAAATATTTGTTAAACATAAGCATTAAACAATTGGCCAAAATATTTCAGGGTAACTCTGATTACTATATGCCAATTGGTCTAGACTACTGGTTCTCAGGAGTTTGTTGCTTTTTCCAAAACAAAGATTGATTGGTTCTAAACCTAAAACTATAAACCAGAAGGGGCACTTTGTATTTAATTTCCCCTATATTCATCAATAACACTAACCTCCAACAAGAGAAGTGACCACATTTGGATTTGAATCAATCAAGTAAGAATCTCAAAATCAATCTTGAATACTGTGCTTCTCCATTAGAGAGCAGAGTTCAAACCTTACTTGTGGACTGTCTGCCAAGGACGAAAGGAGCTATTGGTTGTACAGCAGTTGTGCCACTAGATGCCTAAGTAGCAGGAATAAGGGGTAATTCTACAAATGCTGTTGGCTGAGCGGCATGCCTCATGGAAACAATATTGAAACTGGTGCTCCCAGTCTGAGGTGTGCCTCCACCGATGAATGAGAAACCTAAATAGCAGAGGAGGGAGAAGAGCCAAAAGCAAAAGGAGTGGATGCTGTCACCTCATGTGACAGGGTATTGCTAGTTGCAGCATTAGTAAGGGTGTTGGCACCTACCCCAGAAGCCCCTGTAATCACTGTAGGTTGTGTGGAAGCAGTGTTGTCCAACTTTTTTTTTTTTTAATTGTTGTGGGTTTAGTAGGTGTATAACTTTACGGTTACATGAGGTATTTTAATACAGGCACATTCTAAATAGAAAAAAGGAAACAAAAATCAACATAATAGTTATCTGACATATTAAAAGGCAACTAGATAACATGGCTCCTGTCAAATTAAGTTTTAAATGTGAAGGTTTTGTTCTATAGGTTATTTCATCTCAATACAGAAAGATAACCAGATATTAATATAGGAATACATGTACAGAGCTCCATATTTCTCATTCATAGATAAAGGTTACCTAATTTGATCCACCTTAAGGGGAAAAACATTTAAAAATGTTTTAATGGGGAAAGAGTAGTTCAGAAAATTTTGTCTTCTGTAGAGACAAAAGGACTTATATGGCCGGGCGCCGTGGCTCACACCTGTAATCCCAGCACTTTGGGAGGCCGAGGCAGGTGGATCACGAGGTCAGGAGTTTGAGACCAGCCTGGCCAAGATGGTGAAACCCTGTCTCTACTAAAAATACAAAAATTAGCCGGGCACAGTAGCGCATGCCTGTAATCCCAGCTACTCAGGAGGCTGAGGCAGGAGAATTGCTTGAACCCAGGAGGCAGAGGTTGCAGTGAGCCAAGATCACGCCACTGCAATCCAGCCTGGCGACAGAGTGAGACTCCATCTCAAAACAAAAAAAAGGACTTATACTTCCTCTTTCTGCCAGCCCAGCACTTTATTAAACAACACAAGTTTTTGTTTTAGACACTAAATCAAACAACACGCATCTCTTTAAAACAATTTTTAGAGATTTTTTATCTTTTTTTCCACACTAACCAACTACAGAAAAGTTTAGAAATTTTTAAATGTATTTCATGACCCATGACAAAATGCTTTAATATTTAAATTAATCCTCCTAAGAAAGATTATTTAGCATTCAATTACAAGTTATTAGATAACTATAACAGGATAAAGGAGAATTCCAGAGGGAATACCCTTGCTTTCACCAGGTTCTCAGGTGCTACTAAAAGACATGAGGCTATCAGTGCTACAAAAAAACAAGTGGATTTACCTAAAAAGGCATGAAATGAGTACCTCCTTTAAAATTCTGAGATGCATGAGGGAAAACTATATAATGAGTTCATTACAATGATCGATAGAAAAAGATCTCTCTAAAGAGTCACTTATTCAGCAAGTAGCCTAATTTCAAGATGATACATTTCCAAAACTCAGTGAGTACTCCTCCTATGGTTCACATAAAATGAAGGGAGTCCACAGTACAGAATTCAGTGTGCCTTGTGCCTCAAATCTCAGCTGCCTTCAATTTGGTAGACTACCTTGGGAATAAATAGCATAATTCCAAATAGATTTTCATTTTTGAGACAGCGTCTCGCTCTGTCACCCAGGCTGGAGTGCAGTGGTGCAATCATGGCTCACTGCAGCCTCGACCTCCCGGGCTCAGGCAATCCTCCCACCTCAACCTCCTGAGTAGCTGGGACTACAGGCACATACTACCACGCCCGGCTAATTTTTTGTATTTTTTGTAGAGACGGAGTTTTGCCATGTTACCCAGGCTGGTCTCAAACTCCTGTGCTCAAGCAATCCACCTGCTTTGGCCTCTCAAAGTGCTGGGATTACAAGCGCGAACCACTGCGCCAGGCCAGAAATAGTTGATTTAGAAATAACATATCATTTCTTTACCCAGTTTGTCTCTCAGAGACAATTACCTTTGTATCCACTAAAAAAAATCAGAAACTGTATTGCTCTTACTCTAAGGAAAATTCAGTTGCTACTGGGGCAGGAGTTGACACAACCAGTGTTCCAAAAATGAATCCTGTAGTCTGTGTAGCTGGAGCTGGATGTGAATAAGCCAGTGGAAGATGAAGATGCACTTGCAACTGGTTGGGACAACACCCTCAAATTTAACCCTCCTATACCAGATGTAGAGAAAATAAACCCTGTAGTGGAAGTAGTCACTGTTGTTTTTGCAGAGCCAAATAATGAACCCACCTGTAAAGTTCCTCCAAAATTAAACCTGCTGATGACTCCAAACCCTAAAAAAGGATAAGAGAAGAATGGGAAAAAAAATTAGAGCTCTCAATGAGACCTCAAAGAAAAGATGGTGGACAGAAGCCACACTGGAGTTGCTCCCTCGTACTCCAAACTTCTAGAAGTACCAGTTTACAATCATTTAATAAAAACATTTTTTAATACAAAGCAAAGTTTTTCCAGAAAGAAGGACAATTTTTTAAGTGTCAGACAGAAAGGGAATTCATACCCATGAGCAGAAGTTAATGTTGATTAGCCCAAGATGATACCTTGAATGAGATATGTGCCTTAATAGCTGGAAATACAATGCTGAATTTGGGGTACGATTTAAGGCTACCTGGTAAGGCCACAGGCTCCTGAATCAGCAGAGACCTAGTGAAGTTTAAATCTGAGAAACATCTACAGGAGGATGGAAAAGACAAGAAACATGTGAGAATCCCAAACTGCTACAGAAGATATGCATAGATGGCTCAAATTCAATTTATGTTTGTGATGTAGAAACTTCAAGATAAGATGTTATCATAAAAACTGGTTAGGAGTTGATAAAACCTTCAAGGTCCAGGCAGGTTGCCCATGACATTACTCAAAAGGGACATCTCCACTTCCTAGGTCACATATAGTCAAAAAAAAAAAGCCCTTAGAAGGTTACTCACAGACAAGATATACAAAACATCTAAGTCAGTCATCTTTAGACCTAAGAAAATGAGAGAATTCTTATCCCAGAAATTAGAGATAAAAGCACAATCTGAACAGCACATCAAAATATATGTCTGATATGTTCAAAGAGCTCAAGAAAGAAATAGCATCCATAAAACTAAGTGAATGTGAAAAAGAACCAAAAGGAAATCCAAGAAACGCCTAACAGTATTAGAAATAAAAATGCTCAAAAGACAGATTTAAATAATAGACTACACAGTTGAAGAGAAAAAAATTAGCAAATTAGAAGAGAGAACAGAAAAAAATCTGCCAGTACCGAGGGCAGATAAAAATAAATAAATAAGAAAGATGGAAAAGGGGAGAGAATTAAGAGATAAGGAGAAAAAGAAGCTCCAATATATATCCAGAAGGAACAGAGAAGGAAAAAATAGAATGGCAGAGGCAGTATTCAAAGAGTTGATAAGTGAATTTCCTAGAACTGAAGAAAAATTAGTTCTCAGATTTAAAAAGCCACCAAGTGCAAGCAGGCAATCCCTCCTCACTACCATACAAACACACATACCCGTTATATACAATATATTGAAACCCTATAGAGAAAAAATTCTCATAGTTACCAGAGAGAAAAAAACAAATTTACCTAATAAGGAGCAACAACTAGATTGACAGCAGGCTCTTCATTAGCAATAATAAACATTAGAAGACAGTGGGAAAATATCTTAAAAGTGTTAAGGGAAAAGTCATTGTGAACTTATAATTCTATCCCAGTCAAAATTAATAAAATGAGATGACTAAAAATTAGTTTTTAACACAGTAGCTCTGAAAGGCAATTCTAACAAATTTCAAAAATGTCTCATTAAAACTAAGAGTTGCATTACTTTATGCACCACTAAGAAAGGAAGGGAGAAAAACCACCAACCTGTCATAATTCCTTATTATTTAATTTTTAAATACTTTTTGAAAGAGCTCTTTTCATTGTAGACATAGATTTTAATCAAACATGCATATATTAGAAAAACGTATAAGCAAAGTAACTTGGTTAATGTATCTCAAAAATTCACATTGAGTCCAATTTTCTTTTCTTTCTCTCTTTTTTTTTTTTTTTTTTTTTTTTTGAGACGGTCTCCTTCAGTCACCCAGGCTGGAGTGCAGTGGCACAATCTCAGCTCACTGTAACCTCCGCGTCCCGGATTCAAGCAATTCTCCCGCCTCAGTCTCCTGAGTAGCTGGGACTACAGGCATGTGCCACCATGCCTGGCTAATTTTTGTATTTTTAGTGGAGACTCGGTTTCACTGTGTTGGCCAGGCTGGTCTCGAACTCCTGACCTCAGATGATCTGCCTGCCTCAGCCTCCCAGTGTTGGGATTACAGACATAAGCCACCGTGCCAGGCCCCAATTGTCAACACAAATTTCTTGATAACTTCTATGCCACCAGGAGCACTGTTAAAGCAGCATTTTAAAAAATAAATTATAAGAGAACTAAAAGCCATTTTTGCTATGCTCTTAAGTCAGCTTTGCAAATATGTAGACTAGCTTCCTTTTGTCTCCCATTTCAGCATATTGGTAACTAAATCTGATTTACTATCTCCTCCATTCATTCCCCACAACCACTATTTTCTAAGAGTTAAAGGTGATCCTCCATTGTCTCAGGGATTTTTCACTTCAGTCATCCATTATGAAAGTTTTGATCCTAAAGATTTTGATATTATCTGTGCATGCAGGAACAACTATCATGTCACAACTGCCACCTGGCCAAAAGATACCATTCAACTATTGGACTTGCCTCCATTTCAGAGATGTTAAGACATGAAAAAAATGTACCTCTTTAAATGGCTGAGATACAGCATCTTGAATACTGTTAGTGTCATGGGTATAAGGGAAAACTTTCCCAAGAGTAACTCTGAAGGACAACATTTATCTGAATGTGTTAGTTACAACATGCTTATTTTCAAGTCTTATACACATCTTAAAACTTTTTAAATGTGAGCTCCAAATGGTGATTTCAACTGTAACAACTCAATCCTGGAAGGCACAGAAAGGGAAGCAATAAGAGCATTTGCTGTGTTTAGTTTTATATTCCCAAGTGTACCACTTTCCTGAGGTTACAAGTGCTATGTTGTTATAAATTATAATATTATTATAGGTTTTATAACATATAATTATTTATGTGTTATATGTTTTAATATACATGATGATAATATAAATATTGATAGAAAAATTCATTGTTGTCAAACCATGGTGGGTGTTTATCCTGTAAAAGAAATTGACAAACACTTCCAGATTTAGGTATTGTCATCAATGTCATATTGCAGACAAAACTAAAGTTTTCTGGTAGCCATCAAAAGGTGGATTTTTTTTCCTATGCCCTTGCATTTATGGAATTTCTATTCTTTTGGAAATAATTTAAGAATCTTCCTATTAAATGTAGCACATAACTTTAATTTTTTCTGCCTTAGAAATTTGAGAAATAAAACAAAAAAATCACTTTTTGGACTAAAAGTACATTTTTGTCACTAAAAATTTGGAATTAAATATTCTTGCCCTTCCATCTCATTTAGATCTTAAATATTTCATATCCTTAGCTTTTTTTATTTTTTAATCTATTTTGCTTGACCAGTTTCTGACAAAGGTGTTTAAAAGCCTCCAATTATTATGAATTGTCAGTTTTTCCCTATAATCCCATTGCTTTTTCCTTTATATATTTCTTTTGTTTGTTTGTTTGTTTTGAGATGGAGTTTCACTCTTGTTGTCCAGGCTGCAGTGCGATGGCACAATCTTGGCTCACTGCAACCTCCTGCAACCTCCGCCTCCCAGGTTCAAGTGATTCTCCTGCCTCAGCCTCCCAAGTAACAGGGATTACAGGCATGTGCCACCACGCTTGGCTAATTTTTTTGTTTTTTGTATTTTTATAGAGATGGGGTTTCACCATGTTGATCAGGCTGGTCTCAAACTCCTGACCTCAGGTGATCCACCCGCCTTAGCCTCCCCAAGTGCTGGGATTACAGGTGTGAGCCACCACGCCCGGCCTCCTTTATGTATTTCAAGACTGTATTGTTAGGGGCCTATATGAAGTTCACAGTTGACAGACTCTTCTTGGTAAGTTTTCTTTCTTTCATCAGTATGAAGTAACTAATTATTACTAAACTGCCTTAAATCATATTTTGTCTGACACTGATGTTGCCTCACCATTTTTCTTTAGGTTGGTATTGGCCTAGTGCATCTTTTTCTATTCCCTTGTTTTCAACCTTTCTGTGTCATTTTAAATGTGGTTTTTGTAAGTAGCATAGCCGAAATATTTTAAATCCAATCTGACAGTCTCTTAGTGAGTTTAACTTACTTACATTTATTGTGACTACTAACACTACTGGATTTTTCTTCCATCTTACTTTGTATTTTTTATTTGCCAGGCTCTATATATCTTTTATCTTTTTCTGCATATTTGGATTGATGAGATTTTCTTTATTCTCTTAATTTTTCCCAGGCGTGGAAGTTACATATTCTATTAATTTGTAAGCATTCTCTTGAATTATTTCTTTTCACACAGAGTTAAATTTATATTTTTTAAAACAAAGTCTGAAATTATTCAGTATTCCCTATCCTTTTTTAACAAACAGGAACTTAGCACACTTTAGCTTCCCTATGCATATCATTACTTTATTAAAAAATGGGAAACAGGTCTGTACTCCCTATCTGTGGCAATCAAGAGGAATACGCTATCTCTGCCTTGTTGGGTTTCTCCAGACAACCTCTCTTCCTCTTCTAAGTAACCTCTCCTTATCCACACTGCCTAACTACAGGAGCTTAAAACTGATAAAACTACAGCTTTGTATGTTGAGCCCAGCTTACAGTCTCTCTTGGGTGACTCAATGCAAGCACACATATTCAAAGAAAGGAATACTAGATGATAAAGGCCCTCAGCAGAAAGCACACTAGGCCCCCAAAAATCATCAGAGCTTATTAGAAGGGCTACTAGAAATGAGCAGAATGTTCCCTACCTGGCAGTCCAATCTAAATGGGGCTTACTGAATTAACTAAATGGCTGGAGATAAAGAAAACAACTGAATGAGTGTTGATGCCCACTAGACTGTTCTAGTCATTTAAATGCATTTGGAGCCTCAGTTTCCTCACTTCTAAAATTCTGACGGTTCCATTAAGTGAATAACCAAAATATTATTTTAAAAATAAGTTTGTATAGGACTCTTCACATATATTACCTTGTCTAATTTAATTTTATGTAAAGTGCTATGTGAAAGCTTTCCAAAGTATAATGCTGGGGTTATCCTCACTGCTGGTGAAGAACTAATCAGTGTCTTCTAATCAGGTCTGTGTCTAACTAATCAGGTGGGGACCTGGAGAACTTTTCTGTCTAGCTAAAGGATTGTAAATGCACCAATCAGCACTCTGTCTAGCTAAAGGTTTGTAAACACACCAACCAGTGCTCTGTGTCTAGCTAAAGGTTTGTAAACACACCAATCAGCACTCTGTAAAAACACACCAATCAGCGCTCTGTGTCTAGCTAAAGGTTTGTAAATGCACCAATCAGCACTCTGTAAAAACGGACGAATCAGCACTCTGTAAAATGGACCCATCAGCACTCTATAAAATGGAACAATCAGCAGGATGTGGGTGGGGCCAAATAAGGGAATAAAAGCTGGCCACCCGAGCCAGGAGCAGCAACCCACTCGAGTCCCCTTCCAGGCTGTGGAAGCTTTGTTCTTTCACGCTTCACAATAAATCTTGCTGCTGATCACTCTTTGGGTCCACACAGCCTTTATGAGCTGTAACACTCACCGTGAAGGTCTGCAGCTTCACTCCTGAAGCCAGTGAGACCACGAACCCATCGGGAGTAAGAACAACTCTGGACGCACCACCTTTATGAGCTGTAACACTCACCGCGGAGGTTCACTCCTGAAGCCAGCAAGACCACGAACCCACCAGGAGGAATGAACAACTCCAGACACACTGCCTTTAAGAGCTGTAACACTCACTGCAAAGGTCTGCAGCTTCACTTCTGAAGTCAGCAAGACCACGAACCCACCAGAAGGAGGAAACTCCGGACACACCATCTTTAAGAACTGTAATACTCACCGCGAGGGTCCGCAGCTTCATTCTTGAAGTCAGCGAGACCAAGAACCCACCAGAAGGAACCAATTCTGGACACACTATCAGCTGGCCCAGACAGTGAACATAAACTGGATTTCAAACTATAATTTTAAAAAATTACTATTCATCTATCTCATGTATCAGCATGCAAATTATCTGCTCTGTGTACTACCTACTATTATTTATTGATTCTGGGAGTGTTCTTGGTAGTAGGAAACCTGATCTAGAATCAATAAATGATGGTCATTTCAGGACACACCACTTTATCACTCAAGTTCTAGACTCTCTTATGTAATATAAAGGGGAAAAGATAAAAGGAAGCACTTATTGAAACTGAAATCCCTTACCTTCATTACCTAACAACAAACCAAAAAGGTATTTTGATCTCCATTCTATAGCTGAGGAAGCAGAGGCTCTGAGACACTAACTTTCCTAGGGTCAAGCAACTAGTAAGTGAAGGAACCGGACACTATTCTTCTATTTTAATACTAGCTTAAGCAACACATCATTAGGAAGATAAATCTACTGTGTGTCAAAAGGCAGAAACAAAATCAGTTCAAGCCTGGGTACCTATCATAAGCCATTTCAGCATAATGTTTAAGGATTTCTGTCTCACAAAGTATAAATGATTTTGAGAGTAATCATTCATTCCCCTACATTTACTTTGAGAAATGACTGTCAAGAGGTGACCAGCACAGAAGCTTAGCCATACGATTTATTAAAAATTGTTCCTAGTTTCTTAGAAGCAAATAGACTATTCTTCTTTAGAGGCAACATTTTCCCTAAACCGCCTAGTTATTGACAATCATCAAGTTCCACGAATGCACTCAACCTTCTCAAGAACATCATGACTGAGAGATCTGGCCTGAAAATTCACATATGATTAGTCATGTTATAAAACCATTTCTATAAATAGCAACCTCTGGCAATACATATGATTGTTTAACACATCATTAATTAGAGAGGCAGAGATGCAAAGGAAGTACAAATTCACAGAAGAAACCCCTTGTTCTACCAAGATATAAAGTCTTCCAGAAAAAGTACTCAAGAAGAAAGTAGAAAAATCTAAGCCTCAAAGCACAGTAATGACCCTATTTGTCAGTAATAGTTATGCATGCCAACTCTGGAAGTAAAAACTGAATTACTAATGTCTTACTCTAAATGTTTCTGTTCCCAGAGAGAAATTGATAGGGAGAGGTGAAGTTAGCCCAGGCATTTTGAAGGAAACAGAGAGGGATCAAACTTCAAATGGTAATCATCTTATGCCAAAACAAAATATAGGGCTTCTGAAAATGGTGCATTGGTTTCAAGTTCATATTAAACATCTTAAGCAGTATAATTTGCTGATTATCTTTCACATTAAGTTCTTTTTTCCCCCTTCATACTATAGCTTCTCAAAGCCTTAAGGTCAGAATCTAATTTTAAGACCTAGAAAAAGTTTTTATTTTAATCCCAAATGAGGATGGATCAATTCTTCAAATGTTAAAAGTGTGATATTGCTGAAGACTGTTAATTGCTCATGTGAAGTTTGATCCTGTAATCCCAGCACTTTGGGAGGCTGAGGTGGGCAGATCATGAGGTCAGGAGTTCAAGACCAGCCTTGAGCAACATGGTGAAAACCCGTCTCTACTAAAAATACAAAAATTAGTCAGGCGTGGTGGTGAGTGCCTGTAATCCCAGCTACTCAGGAGGCTGAGGCAGGAGAATCGCTTGAACCTGGGAGGTGGAGGTTGCAGTGAGCCGAGATCGCGCCACTGCACTCCATCCTGGGCAACAGAGCGAGATTCCGTCTCAAAAAAAAAAAAAAGAGAGAGAGAGAGAGAGAATCTTGGAGGAGCTGAGAAGGACCCAAGGGATGGCAGAGTGTATGTGTGGGCATGAAGACCTAGGAAGAGGTATGGCAGCTTGGAAAGGGGATGGAGGGATGCAAGAGAGGGCAGGGAATAGGGGAGGGTAGGTGAGGAGAGGAGAGAGAGTAAAATACTTGAAAGAACTAACTGGTGAATAGCAGTCAAATGCAAAAGACAGCCTCAAAGGTACGCCCATATTTATAAGAATCTTTCCCAAAACTCTGGAAAAGTAGAGCAAAAAAACCCTCAAAAAACAAAAAACTGGAGAATTCTGAAGAATGATAATCATAAAAACCTTTTACAGACATGCAAGTAAGAAAAGTTGTCATATAAAGATCTCAAAAACTGTTATTTACAAGGAAAAACAGATCTGGCTAATATAACTTAAAGTTTATTTTTTAATAGGAATGTTCACTTTTTTCATGGCCTCACTCCACAGAAAATAAAGCAATTAAACATATGCTTCTGAAAAAATAAGCATAATTCTTATGTTTCTAATTTTTAGTTTTTTAATTGTGGTAAAATACATATAATATTTGCCATTTTACCCATTTTAAACTGTACAATTTTGGTAGTATTAGGTACACTCATGATGTTATTCAACTGTCACAACTATCTGTTGACAAAACTTTTTCATCATCCTGAACAGAAACTCTGTACTCACTGAACACTAACTCCCTTTTCCTCCCTCCTCCAGCCCCTGGTAAACTCTACTTTACTTTCTGTCTCTATGAATTACTCTATTCTAGGTACCTCATGCAAGTGGAATCATAACAATATTTGCATGATTTATATGAATCTTATCTCTATATTTACAACAACCTAAATGTCCAACAGCAATAACGGAATGGAGATTTTTTTAAAAGTGATTTAGTCATATATTGGAATACTATATAGCAATAAAAAATAACTTTATTTGCATTTTAAAATCTCAAAAATACTGCTGACCAAAAAAAAAAAAATGCTGCAGGGCCAAGCACAGTGGCTCACACCTGTAATATCAGCACTTTGGGAGGCTGAGGCAGGAGGATCACTTGACCCCAGGAGTTCAAGAACGGCCTGAGCAACATAGTGAGACCTTGTCTCTACAAAAAAAAATTAAAAATTAGCCAAGCATGGTGGTGCGCACCTGTAGACCTGTGGTCCCACCTACTCCAGAGGCTGAGGTGGGAGGATCACTTGGGCCCAAGAGGTGGAGGTTGCAATGAGCCAAGATCACGTGGCTGCACTCCAGCCTGGGCAGCAGAGTGAGACCCTATCTCAAAAAAGAAAAAAAAACTTCAGAAGAATAAATTATACCATTTATATAAATCTTAAAGACACACAAAACAATATATTACAAATCATTTATGGCCACATGTCAGGGCACTTATAAATACAGATTGGAAAAATGTATACCAACTTTGGAAAAGTATCTCTGGGATGGGAAGGAAATGAGATTGGGAAGGGGTATAAGGAGATAGCTGTAATGTTTTAGTTCTTTAAAAAGATCAACACCTTAAAGAAAATGTGGCAAAATTATAACAATTGTTAAATCTTTGGTAGATACATGGATGATGGTTCATAAGTCTATTTTTCTGTTTGAAATATTTCTTAATTTTAAAGAAGTAATGTTTTAGAATGACAGAAAATAAGACAATATGTGTGCTTTGAAAATGGAGATGTGCTAATATAGACTAATTGTAGCCTTTATTCTCCCAGCCAACTTAATTGGCTCCTTTATAAAAATTGTTTAAATTATAAATTAATACACACTCATATAATCTTCGAAAAAAATATTCATAAAGTAACAGTGTGAGTGTTACTATGGCACTTGAACCTATGTGAAGCTGCTGTGATTCATATATTTTTTAAAGTAAATCATTTTAAAAATGTCTATACTTAGTAAAAAAATAAATTCAGGCTGGTCTGACTACAGTGGTATTTATTAATACAACTAATTAATCACAACCAGTTACAGAATTCTTTGTTCCTTCTCCACTCCCTTTGCTTCACTTGACTGTCTTAAAAAAAAAAAAAAAAAAAAAAGAACATTCATGGCTGGGCCCAGTGGCTCACACCTGCAATCCCAGCACTTTAGGAGGCTGAGGCAAGTGGATTGCTTGAGCCCAGGAGTTTGAGACCAGCATGGGGAACGTGGTGAAGCCCAGTCCCTACCAAAAAAGAAAAAAAAAAAAATTAGCCAGGTATGGTAGCATGTGCCTACAGTCCCAGCTACTTGTAGCCCCAGAGGTCGAGGCTGCAGTGAGCTGTGATCATACCACTGCACTCCAGCTGGGCCGACAGAGCAGACCGTCTCAAAAAAAAAAAAAAAAAAAGTACATTCAACCTAACTCATATGTATAAAGGACACCAGGACTGATCACTGCCTGCTCTAGCACATAGAAATCTTGATTGTCAAATTCATACATCCAAGAGGGGCAAAAACTCCCAGCTCAGGTCCAGATCTAGATCTGGCCTTCCTGTTAGGCTTCCTATTGAGCTCACTGTTATGTAAGACATAAGTTATAGAAATGATTTTAAATAACCCAAGACATCATGGAATAACTATATTAGCACATCTCCCTTTACTTTTTTTTTTTTTTTGAGACACAATCTTGTTCTGTCGCCCAGGCTGGAGTGCAGTGGCGTAATCACAGCTCACTGCAGCCCCAACCTCCCATGCTCAAGCGATCCTCTCACCTCAGCCTCCTGAGTAGCTGGGACCACAGGCACATGCCACCAAGCCTGACTAATTTTTTAATATTTTTTATGGAGATGGGGGTTCACTGTGTTACCCAGGCTGGTCTTGAACTCCTGGATTCAAGTGATTCTTCCGCCTCAGCCTCCCAAAGTGCTGGGATTACAGGTGTGAGCCACCGCACCTGGCTACATCTCCCTTTTCAAAGGACACATAGTATCTTATTTTCTGTTGTTGGTTAGTTAGGCTAAGTAAATTACAGCCAACTCACTCTACGAAATATTAGGTTGCTGTTAATAATGCAAAATATAAAGATCATCACAACACAGAAAAAAATTTCCAAAACAGTATTAAATAAAAATAACAAAAAAGTATATGAAAAAGGATCACAATCATGTAAAAACATGGGTACATGTGGATAAAGATAGGAGGGGAACAGAATTATCAGTTATATTATGGTAGCAGAATTGAGTGAGATTTTTCATCTTTAATTTCTTTCAATGTTGCATTAATAAATTATTTAACCAGTGTTTTAAAATACTCTATATAAAAGAATTAGCTAAACTATATCCATTTTTCATAGCTATAAATCCACAGAAACCTTTGGGTGTATTTTAAAAAATATTTTAGATCTCTCAGGTTTCATTATTTTTTTTCCCTTTAAAAAAACCTTTATTTCACCATTATTCTTTTTTTTTATTATTATACTTTAAGTTTTAGGGTACATGTGCACAATGTGCAGGTTAGAAGTTTCATTACTTTAAAACCGAACTAGGAGTCAAATTCAGTTGTCTCTCCTTTGGGATAGGCAAGTTAGGGAAGCTCTCTTTCTGCTTCAACCACTGCCTCCAGATTGCGGCTGCTATCAAGGCAGAATGGACAAGAATATTAGAATAAGGAAGTGACTTCTAGTCTCGGAGATCCACTTACTGACAGCACAATCCTGGGAAAGTCACAGAACCTCTCTAATCCTTATGTTCCTCAACCTCTAAGCTTCTGTATTTCCGACATTGTTCAGGGAAGCCAACTGCTTAAAGATTAATCTCAGATCCTGGACCCATCCCCCACCCCGCTACTTCCTCTACCTGGGGAAAACAGTTCTTAGTATTGGACGCCACCTTGCCAGGGACAGATGAAACCTTGAAGAGTTGATTATATCCCTAAAGATAAATAACATTTGTTCCCCAAGAAGAAAACTAATATTCACTGAACACCTGTGCACTTGACACTGTACCAAGTATTTCATATATGCTATATTGTATATCTTCCTGGGTCCCACTAGACCACAGAACCAATTTCTGGAGGGAGCCAGGGCAATCTGCATTTTAAATAAATTATTTATTTAAATAAATTTTAAATAAATTATTTATTTAAATAAATTTTAAATAAATTATTTAAATAAATTTTAAATAAATTATTTAAATAAATTTTAAATAAATTATTTAAATAAATTTTAAATAAATTATTTAAATAAATTTTAAATAAATTATTTATTTAAATAAATTTTAAATAAATTATTTAAATAAATTTTAAATAAATTATTTAAATAAATTTTAAATAAATTATTTATTTAAATAAATTTTAAATAAATTATTTATTTAAATAAATTTTAAATAAAGTGCACACACAAGTTTGAAAACTAAAGGTCTAGGGACAAATCATTAGGGTGTTGTGGTGTACATTTTTTAAAATGTAATGGAAATTATCAGAGTATATTGCAAGTAGTAAGTGTTAAGTGTTGTTTCTGTAAAAACAGTTGTCGGTTATATATTGTCTACATGTGTACTAGGTCACAATATAAAATTTATTTCTTACTGTCGGTCACAGTCAAAAGGTCTGAAAAACACCGGCTGAGCATTACAGACTTAGAATAATGCACAGTGAGGCAGAATAAAAACAAAAAAGCAAGAAGAAGGAGATGGCATAATATCTATAATTTAAGCTCCACAAGTATCTAGTGAATTAGCAAAATGCAAGACAGCTAAACTCTGATCATTCACAGTAATAAGCGGAATTAAGGTATTGGTAATTTGGCCAAAAGGCCAATAACGTTACTTTAGCCAATAACCTTATTCTACCCCCATTTTTTGTTTACTGTAGATAAGAACAAGTAGAAGGGACAAATTAATCAAACTTCACTATCTCTTATGCCAGATGGGATGGTCGTTAAGAAATGCATGGTATATAGAAAGAAGGGAAGCAGTTTAGTTCATTCATAATCAAATTCCAATACCTGAATAACCAAAAGTAACCATTCATTAAAACCTTCTGTGGGGTCCTACTATTGATCATGGCTAATCAGTCCTGAATACTCCAAATATTTATTACGCCATCCCCCCGCCGCCCCTTTGTTTAAAACCAAGCCACGGAATTTATGGGAAACTAGGGTAACAACTCTATCTCTAAGTGAACTTAAGACAACCAGATTCCCTAGCAGTGGCAAGCGAGCGGCGCGCCTGCTTTTCTCCACTCCGAGGCGGGAAAAGCAGAGCTCCCGGAGTCGCGATGTTCCTTAGAGTGGGAACGACACGTAGCTCAAGCCAGTGCCCCACAGGAACCGGGTGGCAGTTGACCAGGTGCTCCCCCGGGGACTTGGGGCCCGGAAGCCTTGCCTACAGAGGAGAATAAAAAGCGCGATCCCACCTGCACACATACAAACACACTATCGCCCGCGACAAGCCAAGACAGAAGCACAACACGTGTTTCTGTCGCGTGGGGGAGACGTGAAAGGCTGGGGGCGTGGAGGACTGTAGCAAAACCTTCTCTACCCCCGGCCCACTGACCCTACCCTTCTGCCCCCGTCTCTCCAGATCGGCTGGAGTTCGAGTCCTCAGATCGGGAATTCACGCGCGGGAAAAGCGCAAAAGAGAGCGAAGCCTGCTGACGAACGGGACAAACGAAAACCCCACAAACTTACCTTACTGGCAAGTCGCCGCCGCTCGCTGTCCGGCCCTGAACTATACGGGCAGGCCTCCGAGACTGCTAGACGCCAGAGGGGCGGGTCCGGACCTGCTCGAGCCGGAAAGAATCGGCCTCCTTAGTGGGCAGGTTCCCGCTGAAGTGAAGCTAACCGAGACTGAGGCTTAAAAGGGGTCGACCTGGTTAACTAGAAAGGGCGACCAGTGACCCTGACCTGGACGCGCTCGGATTGGTCGATTCCAGTGCAGTCTCAGATGAGACTCTTCTATGATTGGCCAGAAAAGTCAAGCGGGAACCCGGAGGTTGGCAGGTGGGGGGCGGGAACAAAACAAAGTTGTTACCCTAGCAACGGAGAGACGCCACGCTCTGCACAGTCTATTTTCGGAGCCTAGCCAGAGACGGGAAAACTGACCAAGGTGAGGAAACTCGAACCTCAAGACGGGGAAAGACAGGGTCCTCAGATGCTGTGGCTATCAGAAAAACTAGGGAGAACTCTAGATATTTATAACTCTGCGAGATACCCCAAAAAGCCACAAGTTGGGCAAGGTGGAGAAGACCCGTTCCCTAAATCCCGCTATCCTAGACTCTTCACTAAATCCCGCTATCCTAGACTCTAGAAACAGGACGCTGCTTTAACAAAACTCGGTTTTACAGGATGTGAGTGAAAGATGGATGCTGATCGACTGTCAGAAGGCAAAAGTAAACATCTGAAAGTTTCCCAACTGGTCTTCTCTCAACTCTCACATGCACTTATTGGTTCTCCCTTCCCATTAATAATGACTAATTTGGGAATGTAAACCATATTTTCTTATAGGAGGACCTGGGTGCTCCAAACTGGAGCAGCCACTGTACCCTTCTGTTTTATATGTGCAGGCACGATTTATCCTGGCCTAGCATGCCTTGGTTAGGAAATGTTTTGGGGGATATCACACTTCAGACTGAAAAAAAAATGGCCCCAGTACTTACTACGTGAATAATGTCCTTTGTGCGACAACTTGAACGCTGTGGTCTGAGGGTTCCAGTGTTGCTTGGTTAGATAAGCTGAGGAGTGAGAAGTAATCAGACCTTCACTTGGTGGGCCCGAGTGTACTGTGCAGAGACTACTTGTACCTACAAGACCTGCTACTCGCCAAGGGCTGATTGGGAGAGTAAGTATTACATGTCGTTTGACTGTAACTATCAAAAGGTGGGGAAGTGTGACCAAAAAAATTAAATCTGAGTGAAGGGAGAGAACCTAGTTTGACCAAAGAGGGAGGAGTCATTACTCCTTAAGAGCTTCTTGTGATAAGGATTCAGAACAGAGACCATATTTCCTGAAGAAAGGAAAAAAATAGGACTAGGGAGAAAATTTAAAGCACAGCAAGAAAATTTGCCAGGCCGAGCGCGGTGGCTCCCGCCTGTAATCCCAGCACTTTGGGAGGCCGAGGCGGGCAGATCACTTGAGGTCAGGAGTTCGAGACCAGCCTGGGCAATATGGCGAAACCTGGTCTCCACTAAAAATACAAAAATTAGCCGGGTGTGTTGGCGCCTGCCTGTCTGGATGCTGAGGTGGGAGAATCACCTGAGCCCTGGAGATCGAGGCTGCAGCGAGCCGTGATGGCGCCACTGCACTCTAGCCTGGGCGACAGAGTGAGATGTGGTCTCAAAAACAAAAGAGTTCTCATACTCCACCTGTATCTAAAAAGAGTCCCTCCAACTTCTTTTTAGATAGAGGTGGAGTATGAGACTTGAGATAGATAAACGAAGAGAAAAAAATATTAAGTGTATTGTTTGTCTGAAATGTACTATAGAGCATTCGATAATTCAGGATGGGTTCTACAGATACCAAGGATTTGCCTCTCCATATTAAAACTAATTTTTCTGTCAACTCAGCACTTTGAGAGTCCTAAGCGAGGGATCACTTGAGCTCAGGAGTTCGAGACCCATCTGGGCTACACGGTGAAGCCCCGTCTCTACAAGTAATAACAAAAATTAGCCGGCGAAACCCCGTCTCTACAAATAACACAAAAATTAGCCAGGTGCAGTGGCACAGCCTGTAGTCCCAGCTACTTGGGAGGCTGAGGTGGGAAGATTACTTGAGCCAGGGAGGTCGAGGCTGCAGTGAGCCGAGATCGCGCCACTGCACTCCAGCCTGGGCTACAGCAAGACCCTGTCTCAAAAACAAAAAAACAAAAAAACCCCTCCATTTTCAAAAAGGATTGGGATGGTACAGACTCCTTATGAATAAATGACTAAAACAGAGGAAATATTAAATCAAAAGACGCAATTTTTTTTTTTTTTTGAGACGGAGTCTCGCTCTGTCGCCCAGGCTGGAATGCAGTGGTGCGATCTCGGCTCACTGCAACTTCCACCTCCCGGGTTCAAGCGATTCTTGTGCCTCAGCCACCCGAGGAGATGGGATTACAGGTGCGTGCCACTATGCCTGGCTAATTTTTGTATTTGTAGTAGAGACGGGGTTTCACCCTGTTGGCAAGCTGGTCTCAAACTCCTGACCTCAAGTGATCCGCCGGCCTCGGCCTCCCAAAGTGCTGGGTTTACAGGCATGCACCACCGCGCCCAGCCAAAAGACACTTTTTTTGATTTAGTAATCAATAACTATTTAATTTCTTGACTTCTTTTTCTATGAAAGATTCTAGGTACTTTCAAAAAGCATCTTCCTTAAATATATTTTAAATTTGAAACGAAAACTGTTAAGTTCCCATAGTTACTTATGAGTTAGTACATTTGATGGTAGCGAAAGTTAGAGACCTGAAAAAGAAACCATTCTTAGTATTGTAAAGATAAATTCAAAATGAATTATTTTTAATAGGTGGGAAATCATTGATGAGTATAGTTATCAAAAAATGCAAAGCAGAAAGCAATTAGTCAGTATATTATAATTTAATTCAGACATAGGCAGAGATGATATCACTGTTGTGTTCTCAAGAATTTTAATGGAGGAATTGCTAAATAAGGCACTATATAAATAAAGTTGCTTCAATCTAGGAAAGCTGATTTAAAAAAAATAAATAAATAAAAATAAAGTTGCAGAAGAAATGCCAAATTTATTTAGAGAATAAATAGATTTTGAGTACTTGCAAATCATTGTGTTAAAGTCAGTATTTTACATAGGGATATATCTATTTACTTAAACAAGTTCCAAAAGGATATTGCTTGGTGACTTTTTTTGGGGGGCAGGGAATTGAGTTTCTCTCTGTCACCCAGGCTGGAGTGCAGTGGCATGATCTCGGCTCACTGCAACGGCCACCTCCCAGGTTAAGTGATTCTCCAGCCTCAGCCTCCCAGGTAGCTGGGATTACAGGCGCCCGCCATCATGCCCGGCTAATTTTTGTGTTTTTTAGTAGAGTCGGGGTATCGCCATGTTGGCCAGGCTGATCTTGAACTTCTGACCTCAGGTGATCCACCCACCTTAGCCTCCCAAAGTGCTGGGATTACAGACGTGAACCACTGCGCCCAGCCCTGCTTGGTGGTTCTTTATCACCCTGATTTTATTTACCATATATACTTGAATTAATAAAATCTATTATCTATTTGAATAGTCTGTAATTCAGAGTTTTCACTAATTTAACCTAGACTTTTCTACAATTAACTGATGTCAAAAGCCATCTTTATTGATACTGTGAAGGAGACAAATAAAATAGAAAGCATGATCCCAGCCTTAGAACCAGTCTGACTTTAACTCAAGGTTACTGATGTTGCTTAAGTGCTGTGGGTCTGGAGCCAATCTGGTTGAACTTTTTCAGCCCCTGACTGGCTCCAGTGTTATGGTAATGAGCTGGTTCTGGAGTGTCAGTTGCTTTAGCTCATTGTGGCTAGTAGATGGTCCAATCATGCCTCTATTTATGAAGACCCCAAGTACTCAGGTTAATGTGGGAAAATCAAAGGCTCTGTCTGGAAAATGTTGCCATTAGCATTGGCCTAGCAAAAGAGAAGGAGAGAAAGAAAAACAAAGGGCCTAAAAAATTTATTTTCTAAATACAAATCTCAAATAAAAGACAGTAATATATTTTGTTTTTACTGAAACTCTTAAATTTTCCTTACTTTAAGTTTATTCTTGGCCTATTTAAGTGACAGTGCCAGATTCAAACATTTTAGGCAGTGTGGCTCCAGAATCTTCTTTTTCATTTTTTATTGTTATTATTTTATTTATTTATTTATTTTTGAAACAGGATCTCACTCTGTCTCCCAGGCTGGAATGCAGTGGCCCGATCTGGGCTCACTGCAACTTCCATCTCTGGGACTCAAGCAATCATCCTGCCTCGGGCCCCTGAGTAGATGGGACCACAGGGGCACACCACCGCGCCCGTCTAATTTTTGTATTTTTTGTAGAGTCGGGGTTTCGCTATGTTGCTCAGGCTGATCTCGAACTCCTGAGCTCACGTGACCCGTGAGCTCACCTTGGCCTCTCAAAGTGTTTGCATTACAGACGTCAGTCAGCCACCATACCCGGCCAGAATCTTCTTTTTAAAAATCGCTACACTGTACTATCCAATAAGTCAGGGCAAAAGGAAGAATGCACTCCAAGGTACAAAGGCAGGAAATTATAGAGTATGTTTAATAAGCAGTTTAGTTTTTAACAGAATATGTAGGAGAATAATAGAAGGGAAGGACAGAAAATTACGTTGGGACTATATCCTGAAGGACCTTGATTGCCAGACTCAGGATGAACTTAAATGTATATCACATTTAGAAATAAAAGATAGAGCTATAAACTAACACTGCATAGTTCATTGTAGTGAAGATAGTTCCCTACAAATAGTTCTTTGTAGTTCCTAAAAAGTCCTCCTGTTTTAGTTTTTCAGCTGTGATCCACTTGTGTCAAATGAATTTTAATAAATGTTTTTTAATAAAGTTGAATAAGTTATTCTAAATATGTTAGACTTCTTAAAAAGCTAGTAGAATCTTCCTTTCCATTGAATTTTGAATGTTTTTTTCTAAAAATTCACAAACTGTTTTTCTCTTTTGATACTTTGAACCATTTAACTAGTTAGTCACAAAATATTTGGGATTCTTTTGTTTATCAAAATACAATATCAACAAACTTGTCATGATTGATTTATTTATTTTTGTTGTCATGATTTATTAATTTGTGTTTACAGATTATTATTACATTTGATATGGCAAAAATATTTTGGCTAAAGTGGTAATTTTATTATTATATTTCTATTTTAATTGAGCTATAGTGCAAATCTATGGCATTTTATTCCAGCATAATTTGGAAGTCCAATTGTACTTTAAGAAGTCTAACTCCTAATATGCTTCAGATATATAAAGTGTTACTAAGAATTATTGTGAATAATTTAACAAAAACAAGTGTACACGTTCCAAGGAGGACCATCCCCTTCGAAGTAGTCACTTTAGGAGACTAATCTATTTACTCTAATGTTGTTGTTATTGCTAAAATTGCTTTTGAAACTTCTGTTTTAGAATCACCTTGAGGCATGTAGCACATTCTTTTGAATATCCTCAAAGAAGAAAATCTTCATATTTTGAAAGTAGACATGATATCTAAATATATCTAGAAATCACTTGGCGACAAATCTGATGTGTAATCAAACCAAATGATACCATAATGATACCATAATGATACCTATTTTCTTGGTGATACATATGAAGGCAATTCCAAATAAAAAGAAAAATCCCAAAATATTTTGAGCATTGATAGCATAATTTACATCAGTGTATAACCTTCCAAATGACTATTTTGAAATATAACATTCAGATGAATTTAGTCATGCTTCATTTGGTATTAATCAACTGCTGACTATGTGCCAGCTGCAGTTATTAAAGACACTAAATCTACAGGTATAGCTTCCCACTGCTCACACTGGCCTACTTCCCACCTAATGAGAACCAGGCCAGAGTTCCTTTCCAAATAACTGGTAGGGATTCAGAATTAATCTGGTTTTTCTGAATCCAGTATCCAATGTACCAAAGGAACCATAACATTCCTTCATAACCTCCACTGTGGGTACCTAGGTGACACGAGAAAGCCACCGACACAGTGCCTGGTTTGTTTTCTCTTTTCCAGCTGGAACTTTGAGCCCTATTCTGCCCTATTCTGAACCTTCATCTCTAGTAGTCAACTTGTGCACAAACCTCAAGAACTGTACCCCACCTTCTATAGGCCAGCGTCCTTCTTCACTTTAAATAGGTCTCCCTGTAACCATGACTTCAACCTTTCTGCCCTGAAGCACTGCTCATGTCTAAAAAATATGTTCCCAAATGATGATACATAATGTATCATACACTTTTTCTAGAGGTAGGGCTTAAGAATCTGCATTTTAAACCAACTCCCCCAAGTGATTATTAAGCACATTAAAACCCGAGAACCACTATACTAGGTGCTCAATAAGTGCTTGTTAGCTTGAGTATGACATTTTAGTAAAGCAGGCTGAATGTTTGAGTTTACTTGGTGCTCCAGGTCTGTGAGTTAGCAAAATACATATATTTGAAGGAGTTTAAAAGGATTTCCAAGGAAGTATAAGAACCAATGGAGTGATCCAGGGAAAGAAGGGAGATATGACAATAAAACATCTTCATGTCTTAAATAAAACAGAAAAGTAAAATACCTCTTTCTGATTATCTTTTTCTTCAGATAATGGAATCTGAAAATATGGATTCTGAAAATATGAAGACAGAAAATATGGAATCTCAAAATGTAGACTTTGAGAGTGTTTCTTCAGTTACAGCTCTGGAAGCCCTCTCTAAGCTACTTAATCCTGAAGAAGAGGATGATTCTGACTATGGACAGGTGGTCATATACTTAACAGTTGAATTAGTTTTGTTCATGGGAAGTTGTGGAACTGTATTTGAATAACCTGTTCCCACCTAGCTGTGGGAACAGAGCTGTGTCATTTGATACATTCACAGGAAGCTACAAGGCTGATTATGCATGACAATGTAACCTGTAGTACATTTCTAGCAAAGATAATTATATTTTTCTAAACCACCTGAACACTGAATAGGAAAATAGTTCTGTAACTGTGGTAGCAATAGCCACATCTCAAAATGTTGTCATTTATATTTATAGCCAAAGAATGCTTGACAACCATTGCAGAGTGGTAGCTAGGATTGTTTAAGCCTAGGCAATATTTCTATAAAACAAATATTTTCAGTTATACAGTATTAATTGGACCACCAAGTACCAGTCCCTTAATTTTTTAATTTGTCTACACATTAACGCAGAACAGAAAGTTTTTGAGCCAAATAATAGGGCAAACTAGTTTCAGCCTACCAAAATTGGCTTCCCAGTAATGCACAAATAAAGTTGTGGAGTCTAATTAGTTGAGTAGCATTTGGGGTCAAGATAGGTAATGCCAGCAAGGCTTGCAGTAGCAAGATGGGCTTCATTTTGGGTAGAAGAGTTCATTGAACTGACCTTTGACCACTCCAAGGTTACTGCCAGTATTCCCAGAACAATTAAAACACTTTTATATAACTCCCTGCTCTCCATTCTCCTATTTCTTAACTATCGGTGAGCCTTGGCTATCAGACTGCCTATGATAGGGCAAACAAAATTTGGGGCAAAAAATCCCATATCATAACAGAATCTGTCAATTTGCATAAAATTATTTTAATGAAGTGTTTTGTTATATGACCAATTTATCATGAATAAATCATCTTTCACAAACGTACATATCAATTTACTCCTCCCAAAATTTATTTTTGCCACAATGTGGAGAAAAAAGCAAGCTATGAACAGGCAGCAAATTCAGTGGCTCAGATTGACACTGAACTGAGCTACCACCCTAAGGAAGAGCTTAGGTGGAATAGGGCAGAATAAATAAGATGTGAAATGGGAATAACATTTGTAGAAGAACTGAGTCAGCTTGGAGCCAGGATCAGGAACCAGGAAGTTTTAGTCAGGGAAAAGTCTTAGTAGAGGCTAAACAAAGAAACATCAGGATGTTAATGACAGCATTAGCTATACACAACAAACAGGATACAGGAGAAAAAGTTAGGAACAATGTATCAATGAAGTTGGGAAGGCAAGCTCATTTTTGCTACCTTAGTTGAGTAGCAGAATAATAATTTTCTGGAGCCTACATCCTAGGAAAGGTAAGGTTATGCCATATAGAAAAAGTATATCAAGTATTTGAGAAACAGTGACCTTGAATATAGTGAAGTGGAACTTGTAACTGGGACAGATTCAAATATAAGGATTTACCCTGGTTACAGAGCCTATTCCATTTGGTGTTTATGGCTGGAGGTGTTTATTTGCATCTAGAGGTGTTTCTAGGAGAAAAGATGAGTGCTTATGAGAATAGACTAACATAATATTACTGAGTTGTACAGTTTATAAAGGAAAATTACTATAATAATGTATGATTCTGTATATCTGGGTTATAAACAATTTTGAGATAATTGGTCATTCAGACACCACAGTACAGATATCATTAGAGGACATACAGTATCAGAACAGTGGGAGAATAATTAATGTTTCTAATGAACTATTACATTTTCCAGGAGAGAAACTGCTTTTCATTTTTTAACATGTATTAATCTTGGGAACTGTGGGATGATTACAAGAGTGATGTGTTTTTGAAAATATGCTCTCTGAAAACAGCAAGAGAACAGTTGCATACACATTGCTTCATTTACACTATCCCTTTTCTATATGACTTGTTAAGAATCTGGGAGATTGAGGAGAGAGTGTGTCTGTCATTTTTCAAAGCCATGAGGGGATCTTAAGGCCTGTGGGAAATAAGGTTCACTGCTCTTCACAGACATTATAACGAGGATGTTCTGTCTTACATATTACAAAGTGGCATGAATTGCAGTGATAAATTGCTCAGATAATTGGCTGTAGATTCATGGTAAAGGCTCAAATGATGTTCTAATAGAAAACAATTGCCAGATGGTTTTTAATGTTTTTATGATCCCATTCCATCTTTTAACTTGAAAATTTTATTTTTAATCATTTATTTTCATTAAATTAATAAATTGAAACTCCCATGTGTTCTGAGCCAATCACTGTCCATGGAAAGTATACCAATTTTTGTCAAGAATGTCCAAGGTTTTACTTCTACTGCTTTTAATTTTCTGTGGAAGGCAGCACTCAACTAAACAAGAGGCCCTCATGTTCTGAGAAATGCTTTACTCTGACTATTAGTGTTCTGATGATTAATAATTTAAGAAAAGTACTACACATTTACATGACATTAGTGATTAAAAAAGAGGGAAAAAAATGTCCCAAATATTATCTTGGGATTTTCACATAAAAATGCCTGTAATGCCTTAACCGCAGACATAGCACTTTTGAAACACCTTTTGGAAAGGAATAGTTACTGTCTCAGACACTGTTGAGAGATTATAGATTAATTTCTGATTTATAACTCTTGGAATAGTTTCACATAATAAAGACCCACGTGAGCTGTTCCATCAGCTTTCAAGAACAGACACTACTCTCCTTGCCCAAACAAGACATTCTAACTTTTGTACATGTCTAAAGTCTTAGGAGATGAGGACAGGGGCCTGAGAAAAGAGAGATAGAGGTGCTAGTTGGCCAGTAGGCAAGGAGATAAGAATTTTTTGACTGCCAGCAGTGGAGTGAGTTGGAGCTGCAGGGTCTGTCATCAGCAAAAAACAATTGGTAAGAAATTGGGATTTTCTTGAAATATCAAAGAATCCCTGAGACGGGCCAATGAGGTGGTGTCGCTATGTGTTATACTTAGTTGAAAAAAATGAAGATTGCTTGTATTGGTGAGTCAGGGCAAGTCCTTTGGGGATGTGTATGCTTGTGCAGAAGATGGAAAAATAAACTTATGAAGTTATGAAGACTGAAGTACATCAGCATGTATTAGAGACTATTAATTTGTGGTTGCTGTTTAAATCCACTAGTTCAGTGTCATGAGGCGGTGGGACAGGGAAGTGTTTCATACCTATAGTGGAAAAAAGTAAAAGCAGTTATCAGGGCTTTTGAATGATTAATCTGAAGTCTGAATACTTAGCTTCTGCTTAGTGTTAGTTTTTATTTCTATAAAACTTTCACATACTCTGTCCTCCATCTGACTACAACCAGACACTGCTAAACCCCAAAAGTGTCAATGCCTTTATACTAATACTTGGTTCTAACCTTCATAGAGATGAATGTGGCTCGTTCCTCTATCCCCAGGGATACATGATTCACTGAGCTGGAACTAGGGTTTTAGCCTGACTAAAGATCAATTCTGCTCTTGAGTCTATTAAACCAAACACTTTTTGAAAGAACAAGGAAAGCATATTCGAAATAGTACTTGACATCTGTCTTTCTGTTTTATAACAATGATGGGTAATTAAAGTGGAAAGCTCCATGAGTTTTTTTATGGAAATCCTATCAAATTTAAAGTATCACTAGTCATATAGGTTATACAAGTATTAATTACAGAATATTGAACTTTTTCTCCTCCCTCAGACAAATGGTTTATCTACTATTGGAGCCATGGGTCCTGGGAATATTGGACCACCCCAAATAGAAGAGCTCAAAGGTAAGTTATTTAACAAAGCAATATAGATCAATATAATCTTTTCCTTGGTAGAGAAATTATAGGGAGAGTAATAAGTACTAATACTAGTATTTATTAAGATGAACTAAATAACAATGTATTGTATACTTGGAAATTGCTAAGATAGTAGATTTTAAGTATTCTCATCACAAGTAAATGATAAGTAGGTGAGGTAATCCATATGTTAATCAGCTTGAGTTAGTCATCCACTGTGTATACATATTTCAGAACATCATATGGTATATCATAAATATATACAATTTTTATTTGTTCATTAAAAATGGAGAAATGAATAAATAATTTTTAAATAGAAAAAAGATGAACTAAAATAATCATGGAAATGATGAATAGCCATTTACATATAAAGATGCTGTTTTTACTCTACCACTGCAGGTAAATAGTTTTTCTAATAATGGAAATATATTTGCCTTGAATTATCCACATTCCTTGCATATTTTCTGAGATAGAAGACCAAGAAAGTCACGTGTGGTTAGATCATTTTTTATTTTTTAAGGTCTATTTACCAAGATGCTTAGCTTCTTTACCTTCTACCTTCCTATATTCTAGCAATTTCATGGAATTCATTCATTGAATTGTTTAATAAATATTTATTGAGAACCTATTGTATCAGGCAGTATGACCATCTCTGATACTACAATGCAGATCAAAACAGAAAAAGTCCCTGTTCTGATTGAGCTAATAGACTTTTGGAGAAGACAATAAAACAAATAACTACACAATTTTATCTTACATTAAGAGGCTTATACATTAACATCTTTGAGTTTACTTATAAAAAAAAGTCCAATAAATAAGGCTAAATAATATTTTTACATTTCCCCAGCATTTTGAGCTATACATTTTTACAGAGTTGAACATTTTACAAATCTTTAAAAATATAAAAGGCTCTAATTCTGTTGGTCATGATCACCATTAACCAGAGGATAGGAAGGGAGAGGAAGTGAATTTCATTCATCAATTTAGTTAATTGCAAAAGATTAATCTGGACAAATGTTTAAAATAATGGCTAAAATGAGGTCTAAGGATGGTTTTAAAATTTCAGTTATTATTGCTATACATACTCAAGAGGCTATTTGCCTTACCCAAGAGATATTCGCTCCATGGCAGTCTAATTCACATTTCATGTATTTCTGTGCTGCCTGTATTTCTGATAATGTAGGTCTAATAATCTTTAAATTCTGAAGGCAATGATTCATATGTAAAATGTTATATATAAATCTGTAGTTAGGCTTTACAAAGCCCGTGCTAGATAGAAGCTGATCATTTCAAAAGAATTGCCAGAATTGAAAACCTAACAATCGGGTGCATTTCTGGGAATGCTTAAAATGACTCAAAGCAGTGCTCTGCACCTAATGCAGGTCTCCACCGGATGCTACAATAGTTAAAACAAATGTGAGCTGGGTTTTTGCATGCCTACTGGAGCCTATCCATTTTTAAACATTTAAAGATGACATGCAGAAACCCAACCTCATGCTCAGCTCTGCATGAGGAAAATGCTGGACTAAAAAATGATCATTGTATCCACTGCTTTCAGTTTCTTTAATTGATATTATTGAGAATTATGTCATGCTTGCATGGAAAAGATATCAAAGCGTTTTTATATAGTAAAAACAATGCAAGATAAGACATTTCTCTCCACATCAGATTGATTGTAGTTGTAATTTTTTCTTTTATATAAAAATATTTTTAAATATAATCCTATTTATGTTTCTGGAAAAATGTGTAATATTTCTTTGCATATGTATATGGAGAGAGAGAGAGAGAGAGACTGGAATGATACACAACAGAATACTAACATTGATTATCTCCAGGCAGTTGGATTGTAGATTATTTTCTTCTTTTTGTTTATGTTTTTGCCAAATTCTCTACAGTTGTTATTAAAATTCTACAATGTATTGGTTCTGTATTGATAGAAACATTTAGTCAGTAGTTACTAATTTAGTTTGTTTTGATCAAAAAAAAAAGCTAGCGATTACAAATAATGTTTTATTTCAATGAACCCAAACTGAGTGTGAAGAAGAACAGGAGCAATTTAGAGAAGGAAAAAAGCATGAGCTTCAGCTTTATCTTCCCTTTCTTCACAGTCATCCCTGAAACCAGCGAGGAAAATAATGAGGACATCTGGAATTCAGAAGAGATTCCAGAAGGAGCAGAATATGATGATATGTGGGATGTTAGAGAAATCCCAGAGTAAGTCAAATGAAGCCAGGAATGTCTTTAGGAGTTTAAGTTAGCTGTGTCATCTGATAACATTTTACTTTTTACAAGATTCATAAAGTAACATACCACATAAAAGATAAAACTACAGTGACACACGGAAGGCATGTGTAATTGATTATTTTTTTCCTTCTAGAGCAGAAACAAATAATAAAGCATAACACCTTCCTTTCAGTTACTATCTAGCAAAAATGAAAAATATAGTCATTTCCATTATAAATTTATATTTAATGTCAATTTGTTGTATAATGTGGAACTAGCAGTTGGAGAAAGCCAGCCCATTAAATTGCAAGCATTCATACAAACTAAATTACAATGCCATGTTTATTTGTCAAGCACTTGCTTTTAATTACTCAATGTTCCACAATTTCGGTAAAAGGCTATGTTCTCTCTCCAATTATCAATTATTACCCAGACTTGTTTACTAGATATTCTAAGATTATATTTAGTGTTCAGTGTATTTTGCAAGCAGGGTTCAAGACTTGCTTTGTAGCCTTTTCAATACAATCAAGTTGTAAATATGAAATTTAGAATTATTATAAAAAGCCTTTTATTCTGATTTTAAAAGCACTCATACTTTTAAGAACCTTAAAATATATTTATATACATAGATTAAATTATTGGTCAAATAGACTAAGCTTTACATATGTGTATTTTGAAATAAAATTTGGATTGACTATTTAGAATAGCAGGAAAAATAAAGCCAACACTTACTAAATTATAATGTACTATATAAATTCTTAAAGACTTCTATGGCAAGTGATCTGACAACTTTTCTAATACTGAATACAAAACTATCCAGTATTTTTTTTTTTTTTTAGACAGAGTCTTGCTCTGTCGCCCAGGCTGGAGTGCAGTGGCACAATCTCTGCTCACTGCAACCTGCGCCCCTCCTGGGTTCAAGCAATTCTCCTGCCTCAGCCTCCCATGTAGCTGGAACTACAGGCACCTGCCACCACGCCCAGCTAATTTTTGTATTT
The DNA here is from genome assembly GCF_000001405.40 of Homo sapiens. Classification (NCBI taxonomy): domain Eukaryota; kingdom Metazoa; phylum Chordata; class Mammalia; order Primates; family Hominidae; genus Homo; species Homo sapiens. Next base: position 107,219,977 of record NC_000023.11, read on the forward strand.
TTAGTAGAGACGGGGTTTCACCATGTTGGCCAGGCTGGTCTGGAACTCCTGACCTCAGGCAATCCGCCCGCCTCAGCCTCCCAAAGTGCTAAGATTACAGGCATGAGCCACTGCGCCCAGCCAAAATTGTCCAGTATAAAACAAGCAAATAAACAAAAACTCCATGCTTCTGCCTTCTACATAAGTTCTGAAAACAGAAGCAGTGGGAGACTGCAGACAATTAACTAGAAAGAAGTATCCAGCTTTCAAATAAACAATGTCAAGACCATAAACCTCATAAAAAATCAAAGGAGATTTTAAAACATTTCTTAGAGAACGAAGAGAGTAAATTTGAAGTTATGTTTATATAGTGTCCACGTATCATATGAAAAGTAATAATTAAGTCACTTATTTGTCATATTGTCTAACAAATGTCAAATATCCATATGCAGCAAACTTCAAATTTGAGTAATTTTTCCCTTTTCATCCTGATGTTTGATGTTAGGTAGATAGAACATCCATGAAAGCTTTAAATGAATAATAACTTCAGGTTATTATGAGGAAAATTGCTTTATAAGATTTTAAAAATCTTCATCTTCTACCTTATGAAAATACATTTCAACATTTCTCAGTGGATGCAGAGGAAAATAGGTAAAGAACATGAACAGGCAGTTCAAAAAAGAAGAATCACAAGTGGCCAAGTAAAAGAATAACAAGGAGCTGAGCTAAGGCACTGGCCTTGGGGAGAAGTATGAGGGTCTTTATTTGAGTGAGTTTTGGATGAAGAGTTGGTATTTGGTTAGATAAAATGGATGAGAGGAGAGCGTCAAAGATGATGCTGAAGTTATTAGCTTGGGTGACTGAGGAAATGATAATGCCATTAACTTTGATAGGAATTATAGGTTAAGAAGAAGCAGTGAGTTTGTTTTTGTTTTCTTTCTTTCTCCCTTTCTTTCTTTCTTTCTTTCTTTCTTTCTTTCTTTCTTTCTTTCTTTCTTTCTTTTTCTTTCTTTCTTTCTTTCTTCCTTTTTTCTGAGACAGAGTCTTGCTCTGTCGCTCAGGCTGGAGTGCAGTGGTGTGATCTCGGCTCACTGCAACCTCTGCCTTCCGGGTTCAAGCGATTCTCCTGCCTCAGCCTCACAAGTAGCTGAGACTACAGGTGCATGCCACCAGGCCTGGCTAATGTTTTTTGTGTTTTTTGTAGAGACGAGGTTTCACCAAGTTGGCCAGGCTGGTCCTGAACTCCTGGCCTCAAGCAGTCCACCTGCCTCAGCCTCCCAAAGTGCTGGGATTACAGGCCTGAGCCACAGTGCCCAACCAAATTTGTTTTTTTTCTTCGCCAACCACCGCCCCCCCGGCCCCGCCCATTGTTCACTGCAGCCTCAACCTCCCGGGCTCAAGCAATTCTCCCACCTTACTCTCCCAAGTAGCTGGGACTACAGGTGCACACTTTATTTTTGTGAAGACTGCGTCTAACCGTGCTGCCCAGGCTGGTCTCAAACTCCTGGACTCAAGCAATCTTCCTGCCTCAGCCTCCCTAAGCACTAGATTACAGTTGAGAGCCACCATGACTAGCTGGTTTTTGATATGTACACTTTGAGTTGTCTTTGGGACATCCAGGCAAACCTTTGTAGTAGACAGTTGGAAAATTGCGTCTGGAGCTCAGGATAAGAGCAGGAGCTTGAGCAAATCCATTAGGAGCAATGAACATATAGATCAATCCTCTGTTTGTTTTAACCTGGCTTCACCTTCATAAATAATTGGTAGATGTTATAGCCTATTAAGAGAAAAGTGCCCCATAGCAAATAGCTGCTTATTGTTAGCCATGTTCAAACTCAGAGAAATCCCTTTTTTATTTTTGGGCATTCCTATTGGCAAATGGTCAGAAGTTCAATCAAGTCCTTTAGTCTTACTATCCAGAGATCTACAATTTCTTCATTAAGGTAGCATTAAGCATAATAATAATAATAATAATAATAATAATAATAATTTGTAAATATTTGTTTCATTCTATCTGAAGAGATGGGGTACCTTGTGGTGGGTGCTTCTATAAACCATTGTATTCCTGGAGGCCCAAATTTGGAGGGAGGAATGATTTGTGAATTGTCATGTGTGGGGTGAAATATCAGGAAAACCTTTCATTACACTCAGAATTCTGTAAGACTAGATTCTAAGCACTATGGTGTAGCTGTGCTGACTACATTACCAGTGTTTCTATTGTAGAATTTTAGCCGTGGAGATCATTCAGTTCAAACTCACCCCTCCCTCCCATAAATCATACAAATGTAGAAACTGAGACCCCATGAGTTTGTGACTTGACCAAGGTCCACAGTTAATGACAGAAACAGTACTAAACCTGAATTTTCTCCTCTGCTCTGTGGTTTAAACTTGGCAGAGGAAGGTTTCTATCAATCCCTAGGTTATGGACTCAGTATTTTTCTGAGCTATTGTTTTTCAGGAACAGACTTTCCTTTTTTTTCTTCTGCTTTTAATCTTATTAGAATCTTATTACAAGTTCCCTCAATCTATTTTATTTGTCTAGCTCTGAAACAGTTAAAGCTTTATTTTAGAAAATAATAACAATCCTGCCTTTCAGTGTTTATTTTGACCACATTTCTAGACTTCTTTTCCTTTATGTTCTATTATATGCCTGAAGACCTGCAAGCACTTTATTTGTTTAGTCCTTTTATTTTACCTAATAGCATATCCTCATAAGTTACTAGTTTTCTTTTCTGTGACAGGAAATTGCTCTTTCATCTGAGTCCCTATAATCATTGATTTTTTTTCAGGTATGAGATTATATTCAGACAGCAGGTGGGAACTGAAGATATATTTTTAGGGTTGTCAAAAAAGGACTCCTCAACAGGTTGTTGCAGTGAACTAGTGGTAAGCCTCTCCTCCCCTTCTTCATTTTCTATACAACCATTGTAGCTAAATTGACTGACTATTATTTACATAATATTGTAGGCAAGGTTGTAAACTCTTTAAAAATCGTGGTTGCTATGTTTCACGTACTAGGGTAACAATGGGATAGACAGTTTAAAATTGTTAACTTGTACAAAATAAACTAAGTTTACACATTTGGATGAGATTTACAAATAAACATAATGGAATCATATGACACAATACACAATTTCTATTTTTATCCCTATTAAAACTTCCCAATTGGATTGGACTGGATTTTCTTCCATCCTAGTTCCGTCCCATGCATGCCAACTGATTGGTTATTAACTTATGATGAATTGACAGGCAATCAGAATGAAGTATCTCCTTCCCCGCATCTGTCTTATCTCTTATTTCTGTATTTCTCGTAATGACTCAGCTTACAATGTGGGACTTAAAAAGGGATTTTCTTAATTTTGGGATCTGACTTCTGATTAAAAACACTAAGAAAGACATCTAAAATGTTACTTTGCTTTCTTATCTGAATGACGCTACCGAATGTTGGAGAGCATCCTTTACCAGGTCACTGTTTCTGTATAACAGTTGTGGCAATACCAACAATATCAATGATACCACCTTACTTTTGCTTATTTCATCCTGATAATGACCTTGTTGAAAAATCTGGGCCTAACCCAGAGTGTGGAATTTGATTCATTTTAGCAACATTAACAAGTAATTCTTGTGTTAAAATTTTATTTTTTGAGATCAGGAACTTTGCTTCTATTTTTTTTCCTCCTTTCTTACAATACATTATAGAATACCATGGTGCCCATGGGAGATGTGTAATATTTTTTTCTTAAGCAAATGATAAATGGAATTTCTCTTTTGCATGAACTTCAGGTTTTCTCTTATTAGCAAAATCTAAGACATTCAATTCAATCAAGTAACATAATGGGAATAGTGGCTTTAAGTACCTCAGGAGATTTTTCAAACTCTAATGAGTTATGCTTTCAAGTAATCTTGAAGTAATTAGCTCCCAGGGTTTTACCAGTAATATTCAAATTCCTCTCTTTTAAATTATTGTAAAATTGTGTTTTTGATGTGTAATGTTGGGGATTGCTCTAAATTCTGGAGGAATTCTAGGCCCTAAATAAATAAAACTGTTGCAAGCCTTACAGTTTATCTCATGCAAAAATTGCCACTAGTTTTAATAATAAAGGTATCCTGAATGAAGAATCTTGGAAACTAAATCATACCTCATAATAGGAATATATGGTTTATCTAAAACTCAATAAGTATATACAGAAGACTTGATATTTCTCTCAAATGAATTTATAATCAACTGGGGAGACAAAACTAACATAAATGAACCAATTTTATTATTAAGAATTAAACTCAGTGTAAACAATTATAAGTCGAATAGAAGTTCAGAAGGTTGGGATAAGTCATGGACACCACTGAAAGGCAGCAGCAAATAACACATTTGTTGATACTGTGGCACTTTGTCACGTGTATACTGTTCCTTTTCTCTTTCTTTCCTTTATTTCTCTTTGTTTCTTCATTTATTACATCTTTAAATACTTAGTGAATGTTACTACATACCAGGGACTGTCCTAAGTACTAGAGATACAAAAATAAATGATAAACAATCAATTGTCCTCAAGGAATTTACAGTAAAGGAGATTGACACCTAATAAATCACTGCAGTTCAGTATGGTAAGTACATATTTAGAGGCAAACACCATGAACAGAATGATGGTTACCAGAGACTGGGAAGGGCAGTGGGCAGTGGGAGTTGGAAATGTGGGGATGGTTAATGGGTACAAAAATATAGTTAGATACAATAAACACGATCTAGTATTTGATAGTACAACAGAAGGATAACAGTCAGCAATAATTTGTTGTACATTTTAGAGTAACTGAGGGAGTACAATTGGAATGTTCATAACACAAAGAAATGGTGAATGATTTAGGTGATACAAACCCACCCCATTTACCCTGATGTAATTATTATACACTGTATGCCTGTATCAAAATATCTCATGCACCCCATAAATATATTTTCCTATTATGTACCCATAAAAATTAAAGATAGAAAAATAAAGACATATATCAGGTACATAGTGACATAAAGCAGGAAGAGATCAACTTCAAGTGGATAATATTACTACAGTGGACAACATTCTAAAAAGGGCATTCCAAGCAGAAGTAAGAGCACGTGGAAAGGTATCCAGGCATGAAATAGCATGGCATATTTGAGTAAACAGAGAATATAACAAGAATAAAGAGTAAGTGTCGGTAATAATGGACTAGTAAGCTGACTCTCAAAAAAGATAAAAGCTTGTAGCTTTTATTTGTAGCTTGAATGTTATCCTGTAGGCATACTAATGATGACATCCACTATCATTGCTTACTCCACTGACAAGACTCAGAGTAAATAGGTTGTTGAGCCCATCTCAAGTATTTCTTGCTCAAATGTATATGCTTATCATTCTTCTTGATAATATGGTGTTTCCTTGAATCTAAGACATCATAAAATTGTAAATGTGCCATTTATTTAACAATAACAATGTTTCAGAGGAAAATAGTTATAATGCCATATTATACCACCATTGATTGTGCAGTTCGTCTCAATATCATAAACATTAAAATGTGGGGAAAATTGTACCTGAGAATTGCCTAAATATGTTATTTGTGTCCTGGACCTGGTCTATATGTAACAATCCAATCCAAAAACTTTAAGAAAAAATCCTTACTTAAACCGAGTAAGGCAATAGGAGTACAATCTGTTTACGTACAAGAAGTGATTTGGGGTTTAAAAATTCACAAGGACCATCCTTTCCTTTACCCTCCCCAGACTCCAAATAAGAAAGCAAGATTTATGAATCCTAAATCAAAGCAACGGTCCTAAACAAAATTATGAATTAGGAATGTCTTCAGCAAACCCTTCGAACCTCAAACCCAAAGAGCCCCATTAACCAAACACTCCCTGCCCTATTGTTATCCTCTGCAACTGCTTTACTCCTGAGTTTGTAGCCACCAAGTTTCCCTTGCCTTAATCTATATTTAGGTATTTTAGAGCTAGAGCTAGCCAGTGGTTTACAGGTTTGTTTTGTTTTGTTTCTAGCTCTCAAGCTTTTTTCTTTCCAAATAAAATTCTATGAGTAAGCCCAGTGTAATAAACATAAAAAGTACCACTGCCTTGTTTAAGAAGGTACTATCACCCATGAGGCAGCTCTTAGGAGAATGGCTGAGGCTCCTTGGAACACAGTTAGAAAGATGCTGATCTAATTTCTCATCCTGATATTACAGTTGATAAACTAAGGTCAGGCTTACAAGGTTTCAAATACTCATATACATTAATGGAAGAATAATAAGAAATCTAGAGGGCTTCTTTTTCCTTGGTGACATATATGCTTTTCTTTAAACCCCACGAGTGGAAGGCCCTAGCTTATTTCATTTTGTTTTGGTTGTTTTTCTTTTTATCCTCTAGCCATATTCTCCATCCCTCTCCCCAAAGCTCTCACTGTAATGGGTGTGATATTAGGTTGGTGCAAAAGTAATTGCAGTTTTGCTATTGCTGACTACTGGTTATTGCCAGACTGACTGAAGTACTGGACCTCTTGGGTGCCAGCTGAGGAGCATGGAAAAAAGAACTATAGGTATAAAAATATGTAGCAAGATACCCTAATTCTCCATAGGATTATTTGTGGCAGGAAATGGGATGGGTGTATTGGAAAAATAGGTCAGCAGATTCTCATTTTCACCCATGGTGCCAAAATCCAAAAATGAATGGGCCTAGGGTTATTGGTATTCTGCCAAATTACCCTTTGTTTGTTCTAGGAGAGGGGAAAGGCAGCTTGCAGATAGCTTGATGCTCTTTGACCTAGAATGAACACATATTTTGATGTTTTACTTTGATAGATCTATATTGATAAGGCGACATTCTGATATGACCCAAGAAACAAGCCACTAAGCCTATTTTTTCCCAACATCACCTCCTCCCTAGGATATGATTCTTCCCCCATCTTTAAATCTCACTGAGAATGGGATGAGAGTCAGGGATGGGATAGAAGTCAGTCACCATCTGGCAGGCAGACACAACCAGGAGTCACATGTTTATCATACATATTTATCTCAGAAAGTGCTATCAATCATTTTGAGCAAAGTATTTGCTCATCCTCTAAGAATTCACTTGCTTCCTGAATGGTCTGCTCTTCAAATCCTGATTTCTTTCTTAAGGTTAAAACAGTTATATTTGTTTACTTTTTTATTTTTTGAGACAGAGGCTCACTTTGTTACCCAGGCTGGAGTGCAGCCTCAACTCACTATAGCCTCGGCCTCCCAGATTCAAACAATTCTCCTGATTCAGCCTCCCGAGTAGTTGGGATTCCAAGCATTTACCACCAAGCCCGGCTAATTTTTGTATTTTTAGTAGAGATGGGGTTTCACCATGTTGGCCAGGCTGGTCTCAAACTCCTGACCTCAGGTGATCCACCTGTCGGCCTCCCAAAGTGCTGGGATTACAGCCGTGAGGCACCGTGCCTGGCCTATATTTGTTTACTTTTAATGAAAAAATGTATTTGGCTGCTTGATAATGAAATAGGTTTTGTTCTCCATTCTATTCCCCTCTAGAGGATGGACCTAGTTTTTTTTTTTTGGTAGGCTTCCTGATTATGTTAACCTTGTTTGATTGGTTGTATACCAGACCATGTGGCACAGGGAAGGATATCTGATCTGTACTATGATTCCTTATTGTCAGTTCCAGGCAGCACAGTAAACCTTCACTTAAATTTCTAATCGCTGTCTCAGTAATATATTCATAATATATACATTTATAGTTAATGTCATAACACTCCTTCATAATGATGGTGGTTGTGGGACATGGTAACAAATACTTCCTTAAAAGCTAATCTAATCATATAGACAGTATATTTCTGATTATGGAAGTAATATATATGTAAAATTTTAAGCAATACCAAAATTAGTAGAGTTGATGATAAAAGTCCATCATAATGAGATGGAGAAAAATTGAGAGAGAGAGTGTGTGTGTGTTTGAAATAGGCTATGGTCAAGGATGGAATAAAGGTAAAAGATGTCATATACATATTACTTCATATATGTATCAGTAATTTTACATTTTGATGATGTCATTTTGAGGTTTCATCAAAATATCTGAATCACATGGTCTGGAATCCTTGAGCTGGACCTGGCAGAAACTCCCGATTCCATGCAAGCAGATTCACAGATTGACCTTGGAAATTACCAATACTTGAGGGATCAATAAAGGTAGAGGAACTGAGAAGGATATTCAGAGATGGGAGGGAAACCATAGTAGTATCCGCTGCTGTCAAGCAGGATTAGGATGCAGAAAGAACTTTGAGATTTGTCAGTTAAGAAGTCTTTGGTGATCTTTGGAAGAGAGCAGCTTCAGTGGCATGGCCAACACCAGATTGAAGAAAGCTGAGAAGTGAAGAGGAAGTGAGGAAGAGAAGCCAGCAAATATAGATTGTTCTTTGAGGAAGTTTAGTGGTGAAGAGGAGGAGAATGAGGAAATGATTTTTGAGAAGGAGGCAGGATTTAGGGGAGTTTTTTTAAGACAGGAGAGATTTATGTATGCATTTCAGCTGATGACAAGAATCCATGCATTCATCCATGTAATATTTATTTAGTTCCTACTGTGTGTCACTAGAGCTAATGAACAAACAGTAAAAAAAAAAAAGTAGTCATGGTGTGGGCCCCTAGGTGGAGGCATTTTTGGTTGTCACAATGATTACAGAATTTTTTGTTTTTTTGAGATAAGGTCTTGCTCTGTCACCCAGGCTGGAACGTAGTGGCTTGATCTCAGTTCACTGCAGCCTCAACCTCCTGGGCTCAAGCGATCCTCCCACTTCAGCCTCTCTGGTAGCTAGGACTACAGGCATGCACCACAATGCCCTGCTAATTTTTCTTTTTTATTTTTTGTAGAGACAGGGTCTCATTATGTTGCCCAAACTGGTCTCAAACTCCTGGGATCAAGCAATTCTGTCACCTCGGCCTTCCAAAGTGCTGGCATTACAGGCATGGGCCCCCATGCCCAGCTGATTACAGGATATTATTGTCATTTAGTATTCAGGGCCAGGGTTGCCTTAAATCTTGCAATAAGAGGTATAGTCCTCAAGAATGAAGAGTTGTCCTACACAAAATGCCCATATTGCTTTCCTCTAGTTTAAAAACACTGATTAGATAAAGAGGGATTGAAGATATGAGGGTGCTGCTACTCAGCAGCATTCCACCCTGTTGACTACTCTTTTTTTTTTTTTTTTTTTTTTTTTTTTGAGACAGAGTCCCGCTCTGTCGCTCAGGCTGGAGTACAGTGATGTGATCTTGGCTCACTGCAAACTCCACCTTCTGGGTTCAAGCTGTTCTCCTGCCTCAACCCCCTGAGTAGCTAGGACAACAGGCACGCGCCACTACGCCTGGCTAATTTTCATATTTTTAGTAGAGACGGGTTCCCAGGCTGGTCTCCAACTCCTGGCCTCAAGTGATCTGCCTGCCTCGGCCTTTCAAAGTGCTGAGATTACAGGCATGAGCCACCGCACCCGGCCTGCTCTCTCCTTGAAACACAGTTTTCTCTTTACTTTAATGACCCCATTCTCACTGAGGAGTGAGGAAAGACTTCACTCTTTTCTTCCGAAATCACTAGGCATTCCTCCTCTCTTTCACTCCCAAATCACTGGCTCTTCCTATTCTGCCTTAAGTTCTCTGGAGATTTGACCTATGTCTTTTTTTTTCTCTACCTATTCTCTTTTCACCTAGTCTCATAGCTTTAAATATCATTTATCTCTCTAGTCCTGAACTCTCCCATGGGCTTTGGATTCATATAACTCTTTTAACTCTCGCTCTGTCACCCAGGCTGGAGTGCAGTAGCGCGGTCTTGGCTCACTGCAAGCTCCACTTCCCGGGTTCACACCATTCTCCTGCCTCAGGCTCCGGAGTAGCTGGGACTACAGGCGCCCCCCACCACGCCCGGCTAATTTTTTGTATTTTTAGTAGAGACGGGGTTTCACCGTGTTAGCCAGGATGGTCTCGACCTCCTGACCTCGTGATCCGCCCGCCTCGGCCTCCCAAAGTGCTGGGATTACAGGTGTGAGCCACCACCCCCGGCCTCATATAACTATTTACTTGCCATCTCTTACTTGTTTAATAGACAACTCAAACCTAACATGTCTAAAACAGAACTCTTAATTGTCTTCCATAAACCTTTTTCTCATTCATCTTCTTTGTGGCAATAACATTCACCCAGTTGCTCAAGCTAAAAACCTAAATCAGCCATCATTCCTCTTTCCTTTATACCTCATGTCTAATCCATCAGCAAGTATTACTGGCTGTACCTTCAAAATATATTCTAAATCCATCTAATTTTCATTACCACTGCAATTGCTATCATGTTACTAACGATCATCATCTCTATCTGGACCATTCTGACGAGTCTCTAATGACATTATCTCCCTGCTTTGACTCTTCCTTCCCTATAGCCTTTCCACACAGAGTGTAAGAGTTCCTTTTTAAAAGTAAGTCAAGGCCAGGCACAGTGGCTCACACCTGTAATTCCAGCACTTTGGGAGGCTGAGGCGGGTGGATCACCTGAGATCAGGAGTTCGAGACTAGCCTGGCCAACATGGCGAAACCCTGTTTCTACTAGAAATATAAAAATTAGCCGAGCATGGTGGTGCACTTCTGTAGTCCCAGCTACTTGGGAGGCTGAGGCAGGAGAATTGTTTGAACCTGGGAGGCAGCAGTTGCAGTGAGCAGAGATCACGCCATTACACTCCAGCCTGGGCGACTCCGTCTCAAAAGAAAAAGTAAATCAGACCATATCACCTCTTCGCTTACAGCCCTCAATGGCTTCCTGTTGCACTTACAGAACAAAATCCAAACTCCTTATCTTAAAAGTAGGGAAGGGCCCCGTGTGATCTGACCCTTACCTACTTTTACAGTTTCATCCAATGTGACACTTTCTTCCTTGTTTGTTATGTTCTGCTTATCCTGACCTTCTTTTTGATCCTTCAATATGCCAAGTTATTTCCCGATTCCTTGTTATTCATTCCACCTGGGTATTCCACCTAGTCCCTCAGATAATGAAATTTTACTTCTTCCTTTCCAATCATTTTAACCTATTTCTTGTTTAATTGCATGTTAGTACCTCCAGAACTATATTATGTAATAATAGTGAATACTGAACTTTATTTCTTATTTCTCACTTTAAATTTTTAAAAATTAAAAAAATATGAGTACGTAATAGAGATACACTATTCAGCCATTAAAAAAAGAGATCCTGTCATTTGAAACAACGTGATGGAACTGGAGATCATTATGTTACGTGAAATAAGCCAGGCACAGAAAGACGAACATCACACTTTCTCACTTATTTGTGGGATCTAAAAATCAAAACAATTGAACTCATGGACATAGGGAGTAAAAGGATGGTTACCAGAGAATGGGAGTGGTCATTGAGGGAGGGGAAGTGTGGGGTTGGTTAATGGGAACAAAAATATAAATTTCTCACTTTAATTGGAATGGTTCTAGTGTTTCTTCATTTAGTTAGATACTGATTTTTGGGGTATGTGTTAAGGATCTGTTCATCTATTCTGATTTTAAGAGTTCTAAGCAAGAATAGATGATGAATTTAATCAAATGCCTTTTTACCATTTGTGAAGATCATATGATTTTTTTAGTTTTTATCTATTGGTAAATTATATTAGCAAATTTCTTAATATGGAACCATCCTTGCATTCATTCATTCAGTCAACAAATATTTGTTGAGTGCCTATGATTTGCCACTAAGTATTTTATGAAAACTCTCATTAACAATGATAAGCTGTAGGAAAATGAAAAAAAAATTAAAGGTGATGGGTCTCTGTTTTGAAATTATAAAAATATTTACCTCTGAAGTATAAAAATGTAGAGGTATGTATTGTCCAAAACCAGGGCAAAAAACCAGTAGGTCATCTTTTTAAATTGATAGATAAATTTCTTTTTTTTCTTTTTGTTTTTTGAGACAAGGTCTCACTCTGTTGCCCAGGCTAGGGTGCAGTGGTGCAATCTTGGCTCACTGCAACCTCCACCTCCTGGGTTCCAGCGATTCTCCCACCTCAGCTTCCTGAATAGCTGGGATTACAGGTGCATGCCACCACACCTGGCTAATTTTTGTATTTTTTCTAGAGATGTGGTTTCACCATATTGGTCAGGCTGGTCTCAAACTCCTGACGTGAAGTGATCCACCCACCTTGGCCTCCCAAAGTGCCAGGATTACATACATAAGCCACTGTGTCTGGCCAGATGGATAAATTTTGATAATGCTACCACTTTGAAACAGTCCAGTACTATATTACCATACCTGTCTTTTTAAAAATAGTTTATAGATGCATGACTCCTCTCCCATCACAGGAGTCAAGAGTCCTCAGAGGCCTCTTGTGGCTTTCCACAACTTATTGTCCCATATTTTTATGGCCAGTTCATGCAGGCACCCCATAAACCTTTTTCCCAACATATTACCATACCTGTCTTTTTAAAAATACTTCATAGATGCATGACTCCTCTCCCATCACAGGAATCAAGAGATACTGTTCTAAGTATAGAGGATAGCATAGTAAACAAAACATAAACATCACTGCCTTCACAGAGCTTACCTTATTGTGGAAGAGATAAATAAAATAAACACATAAATTGTATTGTACATTAGAAGGTGAAAATGCTCTGAGGAGAAAAGGAGGAGGAAGTGATAGGGCATACTAGAGTTGGTGGTGGCTGAAATTATTAATAGTGTGGTCACGAAAGCCTTCACTAAGAAGGCAATATTTGAGCAGACACCTGAAAGAGATGAGGAAGTGAGGTTCCAATGTTAGAAAGGGTTTTGTTGTTGTTGTTGTTGTTGTCATTTGAGACAGGGTCTTGCTCTGTCACCCAGGCTGGAGTGCAGTAGTGTGATCTTGGCTCACTGCAGCCTTGATCTCCTGGACTCAAGTGATCCTCCCACCCCAGCCTCCCAAGCAAATGGGAGTACAGGCGCGCACCACCATGCCCAGCTACTTTTGTATTTTTTGTAGAGACGGGGTTTCGCCATGTTGCCCAGGCTGGTCTTGAACTCCTGAGCTCAAGTGATCTGCCCATCTTAGCCTCCCAAAGCACTGAGATTATAGGTGTGCACACCACACCCACACTAGAAAGGTTAATCTAAGTGAATATTTAAAACTCCAAGATTTAAGACAGGAGGTAATCTTAGAAATATCAATAAAGAACAAGTAACTATTCTTAGAGAAATCAGGGGAAGTGTCCCAGGAATTAGTAAACGATTCCAGCAAGATGGGTAATAGGTGGTATCGTGTAAGAACATGAGTTTTTACGTTGTATATGTTTTAGGTGTACAACATGATGTTTTGATATACATATTCTCAGTAAAGTGATTACTACAGTCAAGCTAATTAATGTATTTATCATCTCAGGTAGTATCTTTTGTGTATGTGGGGGATAAGACCACCTAAAATCTACTCTTAGAAGAGTTCCACTACTTGGTATAATATTAACTATAGTCCTCATGCTGTACCTTAGAGCTCTAGATTTATTCATGCTAAATAACCCAAGTTTGTATCCTTTGACCTGCATCTCTTCATCTCCCACCCCACCTCTAGTAACCACCATTCTTCTCTCTATTTCTATGTATTAGATATTTTTTAGGTTCCACATTTAAGAGAGATCATGCCGTATTTTTCTTTCTGTGTCTGGCATTTTTCACTTAGCATAATGGAGGACATGAGTTTTTTTTTTAACTGGAAGAAAGGGACAGGCCCAGTGTTATAAAGGAAATAGGAGAGAAAAAAAAACTGGCGCCAACTGAGAAGACTATAGGGGAAGCAGTGTAATTGGGGAGATCCAGATTTCAGTTAGATTAAGAAGCTGAGAATATTCAAAGAGGCTAAAGAGATAAGGGATGATGTACTATGTATTCCAGAGGACCTAATGGAAAAGGCTCAGGATTTGATGAGGGATGGAAAATGGAGACATAATAGGAGATATGAAGATCCATATGGTAGTTATGTGATAAGGAATGATTTGGGAGTCTGAGACTTCTTGTGGTTATTGACAAATAGAGTTAAAAGTATAATGAATTTAGTTCTGGTGGTCTCAAGACAGGTAGTGGTGGTGAGGCTATGATTATTTTGGGGGAGAGGGTGAGTGCCAGTGGAGATGTGGATGCCTGTAGATGAATGTTCTTACTGCAGAGTGAGTTGACTCCTGTGGTGGAGAGGAGGTATGCATCTATGAAGCATTTTTAAAAAGACAGGTGTGGCAATATAGTACTGGACTGTTTAAAAATGGTAGCATTATTGAAATTTATCCATCAATTTAAAAACATGACCTATTGGGCCTTTGCCCTAGTTTTGTACAATACATACCTCTATATTTTTATCCTTCAGAGGTAAATATTTTTATAATTTCAAAGCAGAGATCTAATGCCTTTAATTTTTTAAAATTTTCCTATAGATTATCATTCTTCATGAGAGTTTTTATAAAATACTTAGTATGGCTGCAGTGGAAAAAAATATCTTATACATGTTTCTGTAGTTAAACAATGGGAAATTAAACAGTTGAAGCAATTCAGAATGAAATCTACCCAAACTTTTTCTGTTAATCAAAATTTCCTAATATTGTTAAGTTTCAAATGGGAACTCAAATAGCCTTCTTTCCTAAGAATCAAATGTGTGAGGAGTGGTTTCTGTATTTCTGTCAAATGGAAATATTCTTATAATATCTAGAACCCATAAATAAATTAATTTAGAATATCTTCCAAAGTGTCAGTCCAAACCCTCCAGTGAAGCAGCTTCACTGAAATATCAGTAAATAGTGCTGGTCAAGTTACATATATTTTTTACTTATTCTTATCGTGGTGATGAAGTGACAGTTCAAGAGGAAACCTAGAATGGATGACCTCCATGAAACACCTGCTATTTGGACTTCTCTTGTCAATTTTCAAACATCTTATAATATAATTGTAGACATTTATCTGAGGAGCTGAGAAGCCTGTTAATCACTTACAAATTATATGACCTTTCAGGAACCATCTTGTCATACACATCTCTCATAAGAACACGACAGGAAAGAAGAGATTTGAAACTCACAATAATAATCACTCAATAATGACTCCCTAGTAAGTCAGCTCTCTTACAGCACATAGAGGACAATAAATGAAGGCCAAGGAAAACGATTTGCAAGCACTTTAACCTTCCTTTACCTCTCTTGAGGGAAGCCTCAAAGTAAATTCCCAGAGAGAGACTGAGTAGTTTTTACTACTTGCCTGAAGAGAAGCTGAAAGTGGGAAGAAGGGATCTCACAAACCTTAAATTATGGGCTTTTTTCCTGTTACTTTTTATTTATAAGGACAGAAGGCAGATATTTGAAATAAAGTTAGTGATGGATACTGGGGTAACCAGCTTCCAGCATGGCACCCAATAATTCTCACCTCCAGATATTCTTCTCTTTGTGTAGCCCCCTCCCACATTGAGTAGGGCTGACCTGTATAACTAATAAGATTTTTTTTAATGAAAAAGTGTAATCTATGAGGCTACATTCTAAAAAAGGCATTGCTTCTGCCTTCATCTTTTGGATCCTTTACTCTGGGGAGAATACAGCTGTTGTATCCTAAGGACACTCAAGCAACACTATGGAGAAGTCCATGTGGTGAAGAGCTGAGGCCGCTTACAAACAGCCATGTAAGTGAACTATCTTAGACACAGATCCCCTAGCCCTAGTCAAACCTTCAGATGTCTACAACCACAGCCAACATCTTGACTACAGTCTCATAATAGAGCCTAAGCCAGAACCATCTAGCTAAGCCATTCCCAAATTCCTCATACACGAAAACATGTGGCATAATAAATGTTTATTGTTGTTTTGAATTATAAATTGGGGGGGGGAGGTATAATTTGTTATGCAATAATAGATGACCAGTAAACAATAAATAATAAGTGGCTGGGCATGGTGGCTTACACTTGTAATCCCAGCACTTTGGGAGGCCAAGATGGGAGGATCACTTGAGCCCGGGAATTTGAGACCAGCCCGAGCAATATAGCAAGACCCCATCTCTACAAAAATAAAAATAAAAATAAATTAGCCAGGTGTGGTGGTGCACACCTGTGGTCCCAGACACCCAGGACACTGAGTCGGGAGAATTGCTTGAGCCCAGGAGGTCGAGGCTGCAGTGATCCATGATCACACCACTGCACTCCAGCTTGGGTGTCAGAGTGAGAGCCTGTCTCAAAAATAAACAGTTAATTTTTAAAAAGTAACAGAACCAGAATTTAAACCTAAGTTTGATTCCAAAGGTTGAGTTCTCAGAAGGTTAAAAGTTTCCCAATGAATTTTTAAAGTTTTCCTTAGTTTACCTGTTAAAATAACTTATTCTTTAAAACAAATTCAATTTGCACCCTATGTAAAGAAAGGAACATCAATCCCTTTAAATTGTTTGGTCAGTGACATCATCCTATATTTACTAATGTTTAACAAGTTAGGTCTTGAGCGCAATCAGTTAGAGGTCAATTAATATCCATGTCTGTATTCCAGGTATTTGTTTTAAAGTATTGCTGGAAAAATCTCATGCATGTGTCAGGAGTTGTTTTTCTATTAAGATTCCTCATTGAGTCTTCTGTCTTGCAAGATATTAATGTGTGCGATTCCACCTAATTTGTCCCTTCTCTTGTCTCTTCTCTGAAACCACTGTAGTATATAATTTTAATTTCCTTAAGAAGAAAAATTAGTGAGTTGTTTCTGAATTGCCCTTCACTAGAACAGCAAATGATTTTAAGAACCATTTTAAAGTTCTACCCAGAAATTGTATCTATTTTTGTCTTTCTCAATTGGCATTTTAACCCTGGAAAAATAATATTTTGCCATGAAAATTCTAAACATTTCAGACTAAAGAAACAAATATTTGTATCTCTTCTTTGAGGTGACATGAGTTAACATGTGACGTTAAAGATCTCAATTTGACTATCAGACCTGAGTATTAGAGTAAAAATGGGTGGGACTTTCTTTGTCGAATAGAATGCCTATTTACTTTGAGGCAGAGCACCTGTAACTACCCCCTGAGAACTGTACGTCTCTCACTTGAAGCATCTCTGATTATGAAGATCCAAATTTTCAAAATATAAATTAGGAGGCAATTTTTTGTTGAATGAAAATGTTAACCGTAGTATTTAGATAGTAGCACCTGTAGAGCTCTATTTACAAATCTTTGTTTATATACAGATTTAATAAAGTAAAATATAACTCACAAGCATGTATTGCTCCAAACACATTATATTGCAAAAACACAACTGCCTACTTTAAGCTTCTTACAAGAAATCTCAATTTGTCGCATTATTTATTTGATATGTATTTTCCTCATAACTTACTGCTTTCCCTCTGGCCATTAGAGCCATGAATTCACCAGATGTTCAATATTTCAAGTCTTCTATCTCATTTTACAGAAAGCTTCATAATTTACCTGAACCTTGGGCTGCATTTTCTTCATTTCTTTGTTTATGGAAACCATATGCCATGCTATCCTATATATAGACATCAACTTCCATCAGAAAGAGAAAGCATGTAGAGAGTAAGAGATAGACTTTGTGTTGTGGTAAAAATACACATAGTATAAAATTTACCATTAGTGACATTTAGTATATTCACGATGTTGTGCAACCATCACCAGTATCTAATTCCAGAACACTTTCATCAGTGCTAAAGGAAACACCATACCCATTAAGCAGTTACTTCCCTCTTCTCCATTTCCGCAGCCCCTAGCAACCACCAATCTCTTTTCTGTCTGTATAGATTTGCCTATTGTGGGCCGGGCGCGTGGCTTACCCCTGTAATTCCAGCACGTTGGGAGGCTGAGGCGGGCAGATCACAAGGTCAGGAGATCGATACCATCCTGGCTAACACGGGGAAACCCCGTCTACTAAAAATACAAAAAATTAGCCGGGCGTGGTGGCACGCACCTATAGTCCCAGCTACTCTGGAGGCTGAGGCAGGAGAATTGCTTGAACCTGGGAGGCAGAGGTTGCAGTGAGCCGAGATTGCCCCACTGTACTCCAGCCTGGGCAACAGAGCGGGACTGCGTCTCCCACAAAAAAACAAAACAAAAACAAAAATTTGCCTATTGTGGACATTTCATATAAATAGAATCCTATAATATGTGACATTTTGTCCCTGGTTTCTTTCACTTAGCATAATGTTTTCAGGATTCATCCATATAACAGTACTTTACTCCTTTTTATGGCTGAATAATATTCCATTGTATGGATACAACACATTTTGTTTTTTCCATTCATCAGTTGATGCACATTTGGGTTGCTTACACCTTTTGACTGTTATGAATAGGGCTCCTATAAGCAAAAACATTATGTACATGTTTTTGCTTGAAAACCTGTTTTCAGTGCTCTTGGGTATATACCCAGGAGTGGAATTGCTGGGCCATGTGGTAATTGAGATGAAACATTTAAAGTGAAATCTTACTAAACCAATATGTTGTCCTTTTGGGGAGGTGGGAGTCATATTGTTATTTCTCTTTTGTTTTGATAACATAACACCTGAACTCCCACACCTCCCTAGAAAATGTGGTATGGAAATTTATGCCAGAAGACTATTAGATGGCATCACCAACTCATACCCAACATGAGAACTAAACTTTTTTTATACAAATTGCCAACTGATATAAAGGCAGTTGAAGGTCCCCAACTCTAACAGGTGTACTACTATGTACCTTCAGAAAATGAAGGTTACAGTCAAGTAACCAAAGTGTTTCTGTATAGCTTTGGAGCCAGAAACCTTAGTCAGATTACAGGAGGTTGCCCTTGGGCCACTCACTAAATTTCTCTGTTGTAGTTTCTCCATCTGTAAAATGGGGATAATAATCTCTGCTGCTCAAGATTGACATAAAGATAGGGCATAGCCTGGCACATAGTTGACAATAAATATTAGTCTCTTTTCCCCATATATTCTTATATTCTTCAAATTAATTGCTCTCCAAGATATCACTATTTTTCTTCTCATTTTCTCTTTCAGGCTAAAATTAAATTGCCAAATACAAACCCTTCTGATATTCAAATTGATATCCAGGAAACAATCCTTGACCTTCGTACTCCTCAGAAGTGAGTAAAACTTAGAACTGGAATAGTGTATTATAATATTAAAGAGTCTTCAGTCAATATTATTTTTTAAAATGTACAGTTATTTTGTATCACCCCTAAAGTCTGAAGAAAAGTGGAAAATTTTGTATTCAGATGTTTGATCTACATTAATATAAACATAAATATGTTTGGAAATACTTGGACTTTTTTCTACTTTGCATCCGTGCATTTGGAGTGGGTTAATGCTATTAAAACACAATTCTTGACACCCAGATGCAGTTTATCTATCAGAAAAAATAACTAGAAGTGAAAATGCCATTAAGTTGTAAGTCTTATATGTGGTTTTTGTACATTGATTACATAAGGGAAGCAATATCTTTATACTTTTGTCATTTTGTGGGGCTGTAAGGTTAAATTTGAGTGTTTTCATTTAAATCAACAAAAAGATCTTGCCATCAATTACTATCTAAATACCTCACTGCTTTGTGCACATCTTATCTGGATATAGAGCAGTGAGCACATACTGGTTCACTGCAATGGTCCTAACTCTGTAACTCATGAACATTTCAAACTGGATTTGGGAGGCAGGCAGTTGCTGGCACATTTTCTTCCTTCCATTATCAGTACCTATAATTCTCCTTTGTTGAGCTTAGGACTTCAAGAAAATGACAAGAAGATCCTTCATACAAAAGATTCCTATGTGTAAACAACCCAATATGCATATGTAGCTTAATCTTGGCTTCTATAGTAAATGCATTTAACCCAAAATGGTCTACAGATAAATATATATCAAATGTTTTCTTATTATTTACATCATTTCAAAAATGTATCCTCACAGAACAATCATCTCATGTTATAAAAATTATATTCACTATTTCTGCTGTTTACTTCAAGGAGTATTGTACCCTTTTGTTGCATTTTATACACGAATTTACTCTTCCACATAACCTTTACAAGGAAAATTGGTTAAATGAACAATCTTCCAAGATATTTGCAAGCTTGTTAAAAGCACACACATGTCTACACACCATGGGGTTAATTTCCGTTTCCCTAGCAGTTCTCACTGTCTGTGAGACTTTCATTTAGTGGATTCTGATGGATATCTGTAATGACGGCACAGCCATAGCAGCTACCTAAAGATTGATGGAGACAGCAGAAATACTGAATACAATTTTTATAACATGAGATGTTTGTTCTGTGAGGATACATTTTGGATTAAAAGTACTTTCCCACATAGAACATGGGCTATACACTAGGTCCTTTGGATCATAATGTACTTATATATTAAATGCGCAGTGCAGAGAGGTACCATCTCAAGAAAACCTGCTTAACTAAGATAGAAGACAGAAAATATAATTAAGGATTTTATCATGTTTCCTAAATACTTGAGAATCCTTTAGAGCCATGCTTTTCTCTGAAATTGCATTATCGGGAATGTGTCTTGTTTTCGAGTTTATTGATATTCACACCTACTTTCTTTAGTTTCTAACTTTGACATCATATAACGCTATGTTTATCCAATCTGAGAAAGATTTGAGAGGGCATTCTGTTCTTGTATCTATAAGGCAGAAACAAGCGAATTTATTTTAACTGAATTGACCAGTGGTTTCTGTCAAACAATAGTCAATTTCATTCGAATTACCAATAAAACCCAGGTATTTACCAAAATAAATAAAGCAGTTTACCAAATTCTTCACTTTTTTCAATTGGTTGTTTTGGCATGTAGATACCCAACATGGAGTAAATGGAGAGGAGGAAAGACGGAGAAAATTGGATAATTTACGGGGATCTCTTAAGTCTTCATATGAGATTTCATTATTTTTCTAAGTGAATTCTAAGAATTTCATAAATGAATACCTTGAATGTGATAATAATAACACATTCTAAAGACAAATGTAAGCTAATTTTTGGTTGAGTGCTGCTTTAGATTACTCACACATTTGCTGTGCTCCTTTAGTTTGGATTGGGAATTGACTGATTTTCAAAGACTGATAGCTAAAAAAGAAGTTTTCTAAATGAAATAGTTGAGTTGCAGCTCAGTAGCTATTTCTGCACTTTCTTTGAAAATAGTTATGTCTCCTTCAGTAAACCTTAAAAAGGTTTTTAACCCAGATATGTAAGTCAAATAATTTTGTTAATTATATAAGATAAAAATTTCATTATGCGAATATGCTGGGAACCAGGATGTCCTTTGCTTAAATCTCTTGTGAGCAACATCAACTTAAACTCTCTAATATAAGTATAAGCATGTAAGTCTCTAAACTTGAGTTCACTGTAGAGATTTTTTTTGTATTTACATTCATGTATTATTGTTTGCATTTAATTTCTAATGAAAATTAACACTGGATGAACCTTTGATCACTGCCTAGACTGTAACTTCTGAAAATGCAAATACATTGTCAATGTAAAAGTAGAGGTATTGGGTTTAAATGTTTGTTCATATCTTATAGTACTAATCTATGGTAATTATTCAAATGTTATTTTGTGGTGACCTGAATACTTGCTTCATTTATTTACTCACTCATTCATTTATTTATTCACTCAACATTTATAAAGTCTTCCACTAGACACTAAGGGAGCACCAAGATAAGATACATTAATGTCCTTCCATGAATTGTACATGGATAAGTATTTGGAGAATTTTTATTTTGTTTAAATATAAATCTCAGTACAGATAATAAGACAGTAAAACAGACGACGAAAATATTTCCCTTCTCCTAAGAGCCTAAATCAGTTGTACAGTTCTACTGTTCAACATTTTATTATGTGAAGCCATACTACTTAGAACTACACAGAAATGCAGGCGTAGATGGATCATTCCAATGGCCACTAACTGTCTCTTTTGAATTTATTTCTCTCTGGACAGAGAAGTGCACATTATCATTGGAACTCCTTCTTCAGCTGATTTATAGTTGTCTTTTAGTGCAACGAAGCTACCATACTAAGCTTTGCTTTCTTTTAAAAGTGAATATATTATCATTTATTGAATAAAGTATAAAGGAAATCTAAGTCTAGCACAACCTATATAGTAAACAGATTTAAAGGATGGACTCTACACGGTTTTTGCACTCACTTTTTTTTTCCTGAGATGCCAAATATTACAGTCTACATTAAAATGCATTGCCACTACGTTTGGCAACGTATTCAGGCGAAGTGTTTTTCCTACCCCACATGGAATGGAACAAGAGTCACAGAAAATTTATCCTTCAGGTTCCATAAATGTGTAATAAATACTTTTAATGAACCCAGTCTTCTGAACTCAGGTTTTTGCAAAGGAATAAAGAAGGAATTGATTTTCAAGGGTTTTGTTTTCAAATACATACTAGTTCTCAATTCAAGAACCCAATAAGTGCCCCTAAAAATACCATATTCCTTTACTTATTTGGATATTATACCTTCTAAAAGAGCATCCTGTCCACCTTTTATAGAGATACTCAGACCTTCTCTACTGAAAATGCGAGGTAACAAGTGTTTCATGCATTTAATTTTCTTCCAAAACCAGCATGTGCTGACCCCGTGCATAATTTAGATTCATGCCAATATGGCAGAATTATGGATGTCTCATCCCAGCAATGCATCTAAAGCATAAAACTATCCAGCAACTGAACTATAAACCACAAAATAAACCTAGCAATCTATCACAGGGAATTTTTGTCAATGTGTAAGTAGAAAGAATCAGAAGCAAGGAGAGAGAAGCACTTTCATTGATTTGGTATTGAAATCATTCCCAGCCTCAGTTTCAAAAACTACACCTGTGGTAGAGACTCTGCTTAAATCTATGTTAGCAGAAGTGTCATAGAGCCATTCCAATTTTCAAATTTGTATCCGTCGGCCACATTGCATCTATACATAAGTATGAGTGGCAACAGATCTGTCCAGCAAACTTAAAAGTTGCATAGTTCTATTTCTATGCCTGTAAACATAGCCTGAGACTATGTAAAATGAGGTCAATTCGGAGAAAAATAGGGGCGCCAAAACAACTGCTTGGATTTTTAAGTCCAGAAAAACTGGTATACTGTTTGTGTTATTTAGGCATATTTTTGATCCAATATTTACACTATCTAAATATTGGGGGGGGGTTGTTTTCTAACACTCTAGTGGCATATGTTGTTTGCAATTGTCTTATTGAAAGTGATACATCATTTTAGGAAGCTAAGGTTTTATTTTGTTGTTTTTTTTTAGGAAGCTGTTGATAACTCTTCCTGAGCTGGTGGAATGTACCAGTGCCAAAGCATTCTATATCCCAGAGACTGAAACTCTTGAAATCACTATGACTATGAAAAGAGAGTTAGATATTGCTAATTTCTTCTGAAACTGCATGAAAAAGATAAAAAGTAGTAAAATGGCATTGGTAACAATTAAAAAACTTTGAAAAAAATGATTGTTTTCTATATTCTCTTTATTATTCTGACATATTTTTGAAAGGGACAAAATTCAGTTCTAGTGATATTGTGACCATTTACAGTAATTTCTATTACTCTGTTAGGAAATATGTTTCCTTGGCCAGGTGCAATGGCTCATGCCTGTAATCCCAACACTTTGGGAGGCCGAAGCAGGCGGATCACTTGAGGTCAGGAGTTTGAGACCAGCCTGGTCAACATGGCGAAACCCTGTCTCTACTAAAAATACGAAAATTAGCCTGGCGTGGTGGCAGGTGCCTGTAATCCCAGCTACTCTGTCTCAAAAAACAAACAAAAAAAGGAAATATGTTTTCTTATGTAAATAAACTATTCTATTTTTATAGTGATAGCTGAGTAGAATCTTTACAGGTTAAAAAATTAGAATATTTCATGGTCAATTACATAATTGAAATATGATCATGAAATGGTTGGTCCACTTACTTCAGTAGTCTGAAAAACTTATGCTAATTATTTACATTTACACTGTGATACAATCAGTTGCATAGCAATTGGTCATTATTATTACCAGAGAATTTTATTTGGTTGCTTTTTCATTGATTTGAGCAAATGATTTACAGTGTTCTCTGTTTAGGCTCTCACTGTTGTTCTGGAATATACAGGTAATAAATAGTTTGATGTACCATACTATCAACATATTTACTTGAGTAAGGAACACTTTTGTGCGTACAGTATTATTTGGCTTCTTCAGTTGTGCTTTTAATGCTTGGATATAGTTAGGTTAAAAACATTTTTTATATGCACTAATAATTATTAGCATTGCCTTTTTGGGTACTGTATTTATATGTAGTCAATTGAAATCCTTGACTTTAAAATAAATTTAAAGTGTGGCACATTTACAAATCCTGTTTGCTCTCATTTCCTATCTTTCTTCTTAAATAGACATATCTCTTTTAGGAATTGTCTCAATGTCCCCTCCTTCTTCTATACTGTATTGCATATGTTTATTTTGGAATTATTTATGAATACATTATAAAGCTTGTGTGACTTGGCTTCATACATTATTTTAGAACTGTGGAGTTACCAAGGAGTAAATTTTGAAAAGATGAACAATGAAAAGATGTTCATCACTTCTATATGAACTATTAAGGGAATAAATAGCAGATATTTTCTAGAGTTAATTATATATATACAACTATGAAGCATCTAGTTTGTGACTAGATGAAATGATGAAATAGAATGAAAAGACTGAGATTTTGGAAAAAAAAATGGTTGTGTTAGAACACTAAGCTCTTACAGAGAATTTGACATTTAAGCTACCAACACGACTTTCTTCTATGGGGGCAAAAGTTGAGGGTGGGATTAGCTGAAAGGAAGCTAGTGTCTGTGAGTTTAGGTCCATGATGTTACAGGACCTAAAGAGCATCATACTTTGCTTTTTTAGCATCTTTTTAAAAGGCTATATTTTAAGAATTTAAGTTGATGCCCCAAATTTAAGCTATGGGGCAAGTCTAAGCAGTAACTGTATTAGTCAGAGGTCTCCAGAAAGACAGAATCAATAGGATATATATAGAGAGATATATGGAAGGGAATTTATTAGGGGGATTGGCTTACCCATTTATGGAGGCTGAGAAGTCCCACGACAAGCTGTCTGCAAGCTGGAGACCCTGGGATGCAGGTAGTGGCGCAATTCAAATTCACAAGCTTCAGAAACAGGGAAGCCAGTGGTGTAACTCTCAGTCCAAGGTCGAAAGCCTGAGAACTGGAGGGGATGGGGGTGAGGAGGGGAGGTGCTTGTGTCCAAAGGCTGGGAGCCTGGTGTTGTTGTCCAAGGACAGGAGAGGAAGAGTGTATCTCAGGTACAGCAAGTTTGGATGAACACATTTGCCTTTTCTCTGTTTTTGTTCTGTCTGCACCCCCAGCAAATTGGATGGCACCCACCTACATTGAGGTCAGATCTTCCCCACCTAGTCCACTCAAACTCACATGCTAATAATCTCCTCTGGAAACATCCTCACAGACATACCCAAAAATAATACTTTATCAAGTTTCTAGGCATTTGTTTCTTTTTTTTTTTGAGACAGAGTTTCGCTCTGTCTCCAGGCTGGAGTGCAATGGCGCGATCTCAGCTCACTGCAACCTCTGCCTCCCAGGTTCAAGCGATTCTCCTGCCTCAGCCTCCCAAGTAGCTGGGATTACAGGCACGTGCCACCATACCCAGCTAATTTTTGTATTTTATTAGAGACGGGGTTTCACCATGTTGGCCAGGATGGTCTCAATCTCTTGACCTCATGATCCACCTGCCTTGGCCTCCCAAACTGCTGGGATTACAGGTGTGAGCCACCGTGCCCGGCCTCTAGGCATTTCTTAATCCAGTCAAGTAGACACCTAAAATTATCCATCACAGTAATCAGTATTTTTTTCTTCTCTAGAGAGAAACAGAAAGCTGGTGGAAAATGTATCTTTTTCCTATGTCCTGGCCCTAATTACGAAGACTATTCTTACCCAAGTTGACTAAATGTGTACAGATTGTTCCCAGAAGAAGAGATAGAACATATCCAAGCCAGCTTGAATTGGGCTTTGGTTATGTGGTATTGTATCAATTATATAATGAAACAGCTTTGAGAACAATGAAATGTGATCCAGTGACTTATACCCATCTAGAAATCATCCTGGGTCACTGTCCTTGGCTTCAGAAGTAACAACTATAGTAGTTATTTTGTTGTTTTGTTTTCAAGCTAATTCACAGTGCTTTCTTCCCTTAAAGAGGAATAGTCCACTAAAGCAAATGGAGAAAAGAGAATACAAAGGGAAACTTATCTTGTCAGCATTTATTACTGAATCTTAGCCATTACCAGGAGAACTGGAAGTTAAACCACAATTGTGGCATAGTGTAGGCTACATACACATCTCCTTCATGAACTCCTTTATCTCATTTTTTGTTCCATAATCTCCGGTAGCATTTGTGGGGATTCAATAATTCATTTATTCATTCATTCACTCATTTATGCATTCTTTCAGCAAATATCCACTGAGCACTCCCCACATGCTTAGCACTGTATTAGGTGCTGGGCATATAGCAACAGCAAACCAGATGTGGTCTGGTTTGCTGCTCTCATGAAGCAGACAGTGTAGCAAGGGAGACAAACAATAACCGAACAAACAGACAAATATCTATGTTCAAATTATAATTGCTGCTATGAAGAAACAGAACAAGTACCTAGAGAATATCAGAGAACCAAACCTAGTCTGGGGAGGGGTAACAGAAAAGGTTATCTTAAGGATGTAAGATTTCAGCTGACAAATAAAGAATACCTGGACTTAGGTAAAGAGAGTGTTGGGGGAAGGAGAACAGTAAGGCTTCTGGGTGCAAGGGGTAGCAAATATGAAGACCCAGGGTGAGTACAGCTTGGGGAGTTCCATGAAATGAAAGTCAGTGAGTCTAAGGTAAACCTGGGGGAGGTCAACTAGAGGTAAGTTTGGAAATGTAGGCTGGAGCAAAGTCATGTGGAATCTCATAGGCTAAGATTGGGAATTTGGAATTTATTCTAAGTGCTTGGGGGAAGAGAATGTATTAGGAGGCAAGAATGGAAAAGAAGAGATAAGTTAGAAGGCTACTGCAATAGGCTAGGTTATTATTCTATATGTTAGCCTAAATAAAATTCATTATCGATTTCATTCTAATTAGAAAAAATACATACGGACTGCTATGGTTTAAATATAGTATGTTCCCACCAAACACATGCTAAGGCTTGGTTCTCAGTGCAGCAATGTTGGGAGGTGGGGCCTAGTGGGAGGTGTTTGGGTCATGGAGGGAAGATCCCTCATCAATAGATCAATGTTGTCTCGCAAGAGTGAGTGCTCACTCTCATGGGATTGGATTACAATGCAAGAGTGGATTGTTATAGAATGAAGTTGCTCTTCATGTCTTCTTTCTTTGCACATGCCTGCTGGCCCTCCCACCTTTCCACTGTGAGATGAAACAGCATGTGGCCCTCTCCAGAAGCCAAGTAGATGCTGGGCCCATGCTTCTTGGACTTCCGAGCCATCAGAATCTAGAGCCAATTAAACCTCTTTATTGCAAATTACCCAGTCTCAGATATTCTCTCATAGCAACTGAAAACGGACTAAGACACTGACATGTTCCAGGCAGGAAACTTTAACAATAGAAAAGCTCTTTAAAAATGAAGCAAAATTTAAAATCACCTATAAGCAAACGAACCATAAAAAAACACTGTTATCATTTTGGTGCCTCTTCCCAACCTTTTATTTTCGATGCCTAACATTGATGTTATTTTTTCCCAAATGGGATGATATTGCACACACTGGTTTTATAATCCACTTTATTTTAATTTCCAAGTCTATTCCTTTTTAAATCATATTTTTTCCTGAATTCTAATTGTATTGCATTGTGGTAAAAGAATGTGATAAATAATCTGTGTATTTTAAAAGACAATATTGTGTAATTGTTGGGTACTGAATTCTACATATGTCAATTCAAGTTTTTTGTGTTTTTCAAATCTTCTACATTCTTGATAATTTTTGGTCTGCTTTATCTGCCAACACTAACAGGTATATTAAAATTTACCACTGATGATAGATTTGTCAGTTTCTCCTTGTAATCCTGTCCATTTTTGTTTTACATATTTTGAGGCTATATTTTTGGGTACAGACAGATTTAGAATTGTTATATCTTCCTAGTGGATTACTTCTTTTATCAATATGCTGTGAAACTCTTTAACCCTAATAATTGTTGTTTTAATGTATGTTTTGTTTACCATTAACATGGCTGTATCATTTTGGTTAGTATTTTTCAGGCATACTTTATTTTCTATCACTTTCCATGTTTTCCATGTTTTAGATAAGACTTTTATTAACAGCATGTAGCTAAATCTGGGATTTTAAAATTTAACGAAGATTCTGTCTAAACTCACAAGTTTTAGTCCAGTTGCATTTATTGTGATTAATGATACATGTGGATGTATTTATATCATTTTATCATGAGATTTATCTTTTATTCTTCTTTTTCCTCCTTTCTTGCTATTTGTCAATTTTTAAATATTTTTTCTCTTACTGGTTTGAAAATTATATATTCTGTGTTTTTTTAACATAAATGTCTAAAGTTTCTCAGTAGTGCTACCCTCCCATAAAATAATTCAAGGACTTAGTTTTAACCCAACCACGCCTCTGTCACTTTGTTTATATATTACCAGATTATTCATCATCATTATTGCTTTTAACAGACAATGCTTGTCTAGATTTACCCATGTGTTTACCAGTATCTTTGTTCACCATCCTTTTTCCACATCAATGCTTCCTTTCTGAATGTACACACTTTAGTGTTTCCCTCAGCAAAGGGAGTTCTTTATTTTCTCACTTAATTTCTGAAAATATTTTTATTGCCCTCATTCTTGAATACTAATTTAACTGGGTTTAGAAATCTAGGTTGACAGTTATTTTCCCTCAGACAGGGAATTTCTCTCAGACAGTTATTTTCCCTCAGAACTTTGAAGATATTATTTACCTGCATTCTGGCCTATACTGTTGTAATGTAAAAGTCTGTTGTCTGTCTTTTTGTTGCTGTGTAGATAATCTGTCTTTTCTCTCTGGTAGTTTTAAAGATTTTTCTCTTTATTTTTTGGTGTTCTACAATTTGACTATAATATGTTTAGATATAGATTTATTTTTATTTTTTTTACTTGGCACTTGTACTTCTTAAGTCTTCCATCAATTCATAAAAATTCTCAGCCATTATCTCCTTGAATATTGCCTTTCTCCCATTTTCTGTATTTTTCTTCTGGAAGTCCTCTTAGGTAAAGGTTGAATCTTTCATTCTGTCCTCCATGTCTTTTAGCCTCTGTCATATTTTTCATCTCTCTTTGTTCTTAATACTGGGTAATTTTCTCAGATCTATTCCCCAGTTTAATAATTCTCAGGATTCTAATCTTGCCAGTGATTATGTCCACTGACTCCCCCTCATAGTGAAATGAGATAGTTCCCTTTACACCTTCACAGGACTCCTGAAGGCGTTGGCTCATTTACTCAGACTGCAGCTCTCAACCCCTTGTGGGAGGGGGGTGCACACAGGTCAGCAGGTGCAGAGGCCAGGATGAGCGCTTCTGGGCAACTGGCCTGAGCAGATCTCTGTACAGGCCTGCAGCAGCATCTAGGGGTTGCCCATGACCCCTGGAGCCCCAGAGGGAATGTGTTACAGTGTGCTCTTTTAGCTTTGCCATCCATGGACGGCTTAAGTGTTAAAAAGTTCAGTGGAGGGTCAGTGTGCCAGCCTCTTACACCTGCACCTGGGCCCTTATCCAGTGTCCAGGAAGAATCAGGTTGCATGAATGAATTGAAGAGTGGTGAATGTGGAAGATTTTATTGAGCAATGGAAGTGACTCTCAGTGGGCTGGGGAGCTGAAAAGGGGATGGAATGGGAAGGTGGTCTTCCCCTGGAGCTCAGCCATCCCTGGACAAACTCTTCTCTGAGGTTCCACCGTCAAGCCCTCCCTCTGAAGTCAGGTTGCTTCTCTCTGATGTCCAGCTACTTCTTCTCTTCTCTTCTTCTCTGCCACTCTGCCACTTTGCCAGTGGGGCCTAGGGTTTTTATGGGTACAGGATGGGGGGCAAGGTGAGCCAGGGTGGTTTTCGAAAATGCAACATTCGGACAAGAAAACAGGAATGCATGTTCTCACTTTGGGCCATGGATCCAGGCTTGAGGGTATGGCCCTCACTGGGGACTGCCCTCTTCTACCCAGTATTTCCCTGCCCCCTGTTCATATCAACAGTAGGTAATTTACTCTTGTATTTTTTATTGTGATATCCCTTTTCATGGGGCTTTAAAAAAATCTGTGAAAATCTCTTGTGGTCTGTGTTGTGGGAGCATCCTTCCAAAGCAGTTTTTCCTTTGCTTCTGCCAAAAAACCTCAGAGTTAATGTTCCCAGGCCATTCAGGTAGAATAAATTAAAACCGCAACCCTATTTGACTTCCAGGCCTGTGCTTTAATTCTCAGAGGAATTTTTTCTTCCACCTAAAGCTTAGATG
Organism: Homo sapiens; assembly: GCF_000001405.40. NCBI lineage: Eukaryota > Metazoa > Chordata > Mammalia > Primates > Hominidae > Homo > Homo sapiens. The sequence continues at coordinate 107,250,387 of NC_000023.11, forward strand.
AGACAGATAGGATTCCTTGTTGTTTCCCTGTGCCAAGATGCACAGAATCTGAGCTTTATGATAGGACCTGTGGCCTAAGACATCTTCTGTCTCTGTGTTTGTTAAAAATTGAAACTCCCTTACCAGGGCAACCACAACTTTCACAAGATTACCACTCTGGCTTTCAGTTTTCTCCTCATTTTTGGCTTTTGGGAGTTTTCCCTTATTTATTGGGGGCTCAGTTATTCAATTAAAACAAATTTTGTATATCTTACCTTGTGCTAATAGAAGTTTATATCAAAAAGTAATTAGTTGACCATATTGCTGGAAATGGCTGGTCTGTTTTCTTAACTTAGCAATACATTTCAAATATCTTCCATGTTAATATTCTTCAACATGATTGTTATAGATTGAATTTCCTAGACAGCGGATTCCAAATCAGACAAAAAGTTTACTGGGGAGTACTCTTGGGATCAACACTTGTGGGAAGAAGAAAAGGAAGCAAAATTGGACAAAGAGGTTGAGCTATGATGCAGTCATACCAAGGCCTTAGCAGACCACACGGGGAGCTCTGAATCTGGAATAAACTTCCAGAATTGTTTCCATTTGGAGCAAGGAGGCTGAGACTATACTCCTGCACTGACTGGCCATTGAATGCAAACTGCACCTGGGAAGGGGCATAACCTTACATTAGGTCACTCTCTTCAGCCAAGGGCGGTTGCCAGAGAAGAATGACAGCAGAGAGCTGTCTGCCAGCAGCCCTCTCAGTAGCTGGGAGAATAAGCCCTTTGTCTTGAAGCAGGATATGGATGGCACAGAATAGTGTCCACAACAATGATTTTAAATGGTTTGAAGTCTCCCATCATATATATATGGACTCTGAATATCCAATAATGATTATTTCTATTTTTTCTACAAGAATAATAAATGAATAATACTAATATGAGCATTATTGTACATTCTCTTTGTCCGCATCTTGTATTTTATTCCTCAGGTTAAAGTCCTAGAAGTGAAATTGCTCTATATGCACATTTCTAAATATTTTGATAAATTTAGCCAAATTGCCTGTCAAAAAGGCTCATATTAGTGCGCATTTCTTTACACCCTAAGAAACCTTGAATAACATCATCCTTTTTAATGATTTACAACTTAATAAGGAAAAATAACATTATATCATTTTTACAAATTCTATACCTTGACATACTTAGTGAGGCTGAACAATTTACCATACATTTATTGGCTATTTATGCTCTTGTTTTGAGGTCTATTTATTCTTGTCTTTTGTTAATTTTTCTATTAGAGTATTTAATTTTTTCTTATTGATTTGTAAAACCTTCTTATATATTAAGAATAGTAAAGTTAGCTATCTGTAACATATTTTACAAACATTTCTCACAGGACTTTTTGTCTTTTAATTCTGTTTAGTATTTTTAATATGAAGTTTTTATGTTTTGTAGCATATTCTTAGGTTATTCACTTATTTTTATTCTGGTGGTATTAAGATTTCATCTTTTACTTTTAACTGTATCCAGCTGGAATTTATTTTGGAACAATTAATTTTTGGCTTTTTAACTCTAAAGTTGAACATTATAAAATATGTTTAAAACATTCACTGTCACACTCTGCCTTCTCCCATTTAATTTTACTATGAAATCATCCATAATTTTTGCTGCTAGAAGAGCATTTGATGATTTGTAATATATTATAAAGCAATGGAATTTGAGTGCAGTGCACTTTTAGTCAATTCCCCTGACAAGATAATTTTTAAATGTTTCTATTTGACTTTAAAATACATTTCACATATGTACATTTCACACATACATGAATAGGTCTTACACTAAATTTATACCAGTCCGAATTTCAGAAGCATCATTATTAACATCCAACTTGACAGATGGGAAGCAACCAGTTTTCCTTATCCTGCTAATCTGTTTAAACGCGTTTTTGTTTCTTACTCACATGCAGAAAATGACTGTATCACCTATGAAAGGAAAATAAATATTGGTACCCCAAAATCACTAAGCCAAAGGGAAAAGTCAAGCTGCAAACTGTGTCAGGCAAATATGCCTCCCATTCTATTCCTAAATAAGATAGCTACAAAGATAAAAAAGCTACATACCTCCCTCACAATTTGCCCACGAGGAAATTCCTTGTGGACAAAGGATAGGCAGAACTCAAAGTTATCCCTCTGCTCATGTGAGACAAATGCATACCTGACTGCTTCCTTTGCCCTATTGTTTCACTAAGCCAGACTAAGGCATAAGCGACTATTCCTGTAAATTGTGCATTCAGTGAAAAGCTAATCAGAAACTCAAAAAAATGCAACCATTTGTCTCTTATCTACCTGTGACCTGGAAGCCCCCTCCCCGCTTTGAGTTGTCCTGCCTTTCCGGACAAAACCAATGTACATCTTACATATATTGATTGACGTTTCATGTCTCCCTACAATGTATAAAACCAAGCTGTGCCCCGACCACCTTGCGCACATGTTGTCAGGACCTCCTGAGGCTGTGTCAGTGGCACATCCTTAACCTTGGCAAAATAAACTTTCTAAATTGGTTGAGACTTGTCTCAGATAATTTTTAGTTTAAACACATTTCAACCTAAGCAGTGCTTTTACCTAAATACATTGAATATTCCCACACTCAGGAGGGGGAATTGAATGGATGAGTAGTGTGTGAAAGGTAATTTTTTTTCTTTGAGATGGAGTTTCACCCTTGTCACCCAGGCTGGAGTGCAATGGCATGATCTCGGCTCACTGCAACCTCTGCTTCCTGAGTTCAAGCAATTCTCCTGCCTCAGCCTCCTGAGTAGCTGGGATTACAGGTGCCCACCAACATGCCTGGCTTATGTTTGTATTTTTAGTAGAGATGGGGTTTCGCCATGTTGGCCAGGCTGGTCTCGAACTCCTGGCCTCAGGTGATCTGCCTGCCTCAGCCTCCCAAAGTGCTGGGATTACAGGTTTGAGCCACCACACCCGGTAGAAAGATAATTATTTCTGTTTAAAGCATTTTCCATGTGGATAACGCACAGTACAGGGAAAGGCAAGGCCAAGGTTAACATGGAATCTTTATGCCAATAAGAAAAGCCCTACCCTATTGAAGAAGAGGTTAAAAAAAAAAAAAAAAGGCATCCTTCGCAAACAAATTACAACCTCCACCACTACCCGAGGGAGACAAATTAGGAAAAGGCCCTCAACATTGCTATGCTGACTTTTGGCTTCAACTTCTTGCCTCTTTCTCAAATGCCTTTGGGCCTATACAACCTTAGGCAGTACCTTCTCTTCATCCTCCTTTTTGTTGTCCTCTTCAATTCTTGCTGTACTACAGGCTTTAACGGTCAGTTAAGGAATCCAAATAAAGTCTGTAATTTAGTTAATAATATTATACCAATGTTAATTTCTCAATTCTGATCATTGCACTATAGTTATGCAAGACATTAACATGAGGGGAAGCTGAGTAAAAGAAACACAAAAACTCTGTATGATTTTGGCCACTTCTTGTGGGTCAAAAATTATTTTTTAAAAAAAGGTTGTTTTAAAAAGTCAGTAGTGACTTTTTTTTTAAAAAGTAGTGTTTTAAAAAGCAGTGAGATGGCAGTGTAGGACTCTCCATTAATCATCCCCCCCACAGAAACATCAATTTGAACACATGAAAAAAATCTTTACAAGAGCTAAGGAAACCAGGTGCAAGATCACACCACCTAATTTTAGCATAATAAGACACACTGAAGGGGATGGAAAGGGCCGTTTTACATTACTCACTTCACCCCTCCCCCAACCCCAGGCTGCATGGCTATGAGTAAGTTTAACCAGGGAGGTGAAAGAGCTCTACAATGAATAATATAAAACACCAATGAAAGAAATTAAAGAGACAAATAAATGGAGAGATATCCTGTGTTCATGGATTGGAAGGATTAATATTGTTAAAGTGGCTGTACTACTGAAAACAATCTACAGATTCAATGCAATCCTTATCGAAATACCAATGACAGTCCCCACAGAAGTAGGAAAAATTGTACTAAAATATGTATGGAACCAAAAAATACCTGGAATAGCCAAAGCAAACTCAAGCAAAAAGAACAAAGCTGTAGGCATCACAATACCTGATTTCAAAGTATGTTACAAAGCTCTAGCAACCAAAACAGCATGCTACTGACACAAAAACAGACAAATATACCTACAAACTAAAAATAAAATCCTAAGCCCCCCCACTCTCTGAACAGACCCACTATTGGCCAAGGGGATCCCAGAAAAACCTTAAAAACTGAATTCTTGGTCATAATGGGAAGGAAGGTCAGACGTGCCTTGTTATACTCCCTCCTTTTTGGAGATTATGCACAACTGACCAACATTAATGTTAAAATAGAGATCATAAGACTAACGAAACAGACTTTGTGACAATAAGATAACAAATTATAAACAGGACCTAATGCCTGATCCAGTGTATTGGTTAACAGACATATCTATCTTACCTTTGTGAAAGGAAAATAAATCTTGGGGCCCCAAAATCACTAAGATAAAGGAAAAAGTCAAGCTGGGAACTGCTTAGGGCAAACCTGCCTCCCATTCTATTCAAAGTCATCCCTCTGCTCACTGAGATAAATGCATATCTGATTGTCTAAATTGACTGAGACCTATCTCAGGTTTTTGGGGTTCACAGGTGCCAAGAACACACAAAGGGATAGATTCAAGTCTCTTGAATCAATGGTGCTGGAAAAAACTGGGTATCCATATGCAGAATAATGAAACTAGACCCTTATCTCTCACCATATACAAAATTAAACTCAAAATGGATTAAAGACTTAAATGTAAGACCCAAAACTATGAAATTACTAGTAGAAAACATAGAAAAACACTTCATGATGTTGGTCTAGGTAAGGATATTTTTGGATAAAACCTCAAAAGCACATACAACAAAAGCAAAACTAGACAAATGGGATGACATCTCACTAATAAGTTTCTGCCTAGCAAAAGAAACAATTAACAGAGTGAAAAGACAGCCTACAGAATGGAAGAAAATATTTGCAAACTATATATCTGACAAGGCGCTAATATCCAAGATATACCAGAAACTCAAACAACTCAATAACAACAACAACAACAAAAAACCCAATTGACAAATGGGTGCATTACCTGAATAGACATTTCTCAAAAGAAGAAATACAAATAGAAAACAGGCGTGTGAAAAAATGCTCAATATTGCTAATAATCGGGGAAATGCAAATCAAATCCACAATGAGATATCACCTCACTCCAGTTAAAATGGCCATGATCAAAAAGAGAAAAGATAATAAGTACTGGCAAGTATGTGGAGTACTTATCTCCACATACTTATAGAGATAGAGAGTTACTGGAGGCTGTGAAGGGTAGAGGAGAGGGGAGGATGAAGAGAGGTTGATTCATTGGTACAGATATACACTTAGAAGAAATAAGACCTGGTGTTCGATAGATCAGTACAGTGATTATAACTAACATGAATCGATTGTACATTTCCAACTATCTGGGAGAGAAAAATTGAAATATTCATAGCACAAAGAAAAGATAAATATTTGAGGTACTAGATATCCCGATTACCCTAACTTGATTATATGAATATATTGAATTATCACATGTACTCTGAAAATATGTACAGCTATTATGTATAAAACAACTTTTTAAAGAAAAAGAATTTTTAAATGTAAAAATAAATTTAGAAAAGAAAATGTGGTATATATACACAATGGAATGTTACTCAGCCATAAAAAGAATGAAATCCTGCCATTTGTGACAACATGTATGAGCCTGGAGGACATTATGTTAAATGAAATAAGCCAGGCACAGAAAGACAAATACCACATGATCTCACTCACATGTGGAATCTAAAAAAGTTGATCACATAGCAGTAGAGAGTAGAATGGTGGTTACCATAAGCTGAGGTCATTAGCAGTGAGGATGGGGGATGGAGAGATGTTGATTAAAGGATACAAATCACAGAAGAGGAATAAATTTTAAGAGAAATACAGCAAGGTGACTGTAGTTAATGGTGACATATTCTTAAAAAATGTAAAGAGAGTGAATGTTATGTACTCTTACAACAAAAATAGCTAAGTGAGGTAATGCATTTATTAATTAGCTAGATTTAACCATCCCATGATGTTTATGTACTTCAAAACATCATGTTGTACAAAATAAAAACGTAAAATGTTATCTGTCAATTTATTCTTTTATTTTTGTTCTTTTTATTGTTTTTCTTTTTTTCTTTGTTTCTTATCTGTCAAATTAAAATAATATTTTTAAAAGTCAGTACAGGAGAAAGTCAGCTACAGGATTTTGATCCTAGCCTCATGGCTCTGTCTTCCTTTGCAGCTCTGAACTCTATTTTTTGTCATTCACACCTGTGGTGTGCTTCCAATTTTGCTGGATATATTGCACAAACCAGCGAATCTTTAGATTACAGCTGGTTTTCTTTCCCAAATACAACCTGTTCAACATAAAGACATAAACAATAAGCTCAATCTCAATTTCAATAAAGTTGATTAATCAACTTTTTTGCTAGACACTGTGGGGGTGGTATACAGAAGTATACATTAAAAAAATTTACAATTAAATTTAGAAGACATGAGTAGCACACATAATACAAAAGAAAACATATAAGCGACAATATGTAAGTGTTAAATTGTGTACTTCAGGACATTAGTGAAAATGGTGGGATCAGAACTTGCAAAAATCCTCTCCTCCATAAAGCAACAAGAGCATTAAGTGAAAACTCTAAGAATTAAATTTCCAGAACCTGGAAATGTAACCAAAAGCTTACAACAATCCAGGGTACATTTATTCGAGAGAAATAGCTGAATCTGAGTAAAAACAGCAAAATTTGTGGCATTTCAACCTACCCTATTCCCATCCTCATCCCCTTCCCAGTTCCACAATAGCTTTGAAGATCAGTGGACCTCAATCAAAGTAAAAACAAGAAGCTGGGAAAACAGTAGAGGGAGCAAAATGCAGTTAGAGCTTCTTCAGAGTTTCATGCCCAGAATTACTCTGCTACTTAAACAAGAAAAACACTCAACAAGAAAAGAAAACTATAGACCAATAAACCTTGCAAATATAGATTCAAAAATCCTCAACAAAATGCTAGTGAATGAAATCCAGCAACATATAAAAAGGATCATACACCATGACCAAGTAGGATTTATCCAAGGAATGGAAGGTTGGTTCAACATATAAATATCAATCAATATAATATACTATATTAATAGAATAAAGGACAATTACTTCATGATCATCTCAATAGATACAGAAAAAGCATTTGACAAAATTAAACATCCTTTGTGACAAATATGCTCAACAAATTAAAAATAGAAGGGAATTTTCTTACTCTCTATATTAGGCCATTCTTGCATTGCTATAAAGAAATAACTGAGGCTGGGTGCAGTGGCTCATGCCTGTAATCCCAGCACTTCGGCAGGCTGAGGTGGGTGGGTCACCCGAGGTCAGGAGTTCGAGACTAGCCTGGCCAACATGGTGAAACCCCGTCTCTACTAAAAATACAAAAATTAGCTAGGCGTGGTGGTGCATGCCTGTAGTCCCAGGTACTCGGGTGGCTGAGCTAGGAGAATCGCTTGAGCCCAGGAGACGGAGGTTGCAGTGAGTTGAGACAGCACCACTGCACTACAGACTGGGTGACAGAGCAAGACTCTGTCTCAAAAAAAACGGAGACGGGGTAATTTAATAAAACCAAACACCGCATGTTCTCACTCATAGGTGGGAATTGAACAATGAGAACACATGGACACAGGAAGGGGAACATCACACTCTGGGGACTGTTGTGGGGTGGGGGGAGAGGGGAGGGATAACATTAGGAGATATACCTAATGCTAAATGACGAGTTAATGGGTGCAGCACACCAGCATGGCACATGTATACATATGTAACTAACCTGCACATTGTGCACATGTACCCTAAAGCTTAAAGTATAATAAAATAAAATAAAATAAAAAAAGAAAGACGTTTAATTGGCTCACAGTTCTGCAGGCTGTACAGGAAGCATAGCAACATCTGCTTCTGGGGAGGCCTCTGGAAGCTTATAATCATGGAGGAAGGCTAAGAGGGAGCTTGCATGTTACATGGTGAAGGCAGGAGCAAGAGAGCCAGTGGGGAGGTACTACACATTTTTAAATGACCTGATCTCATGAGAACTCACTCTCTATTGTGAGGACAGTACCAAGGAGAATAGTGCTAAGCCATTCATGAAAAATCGGCCACCATGAGCCAATGACTTCCCACCAGGCCCCACCTCCGACATTGTGGCTTATATCTCAATGAGATTTGGGCAGAGATACACATCCACACTATATCAGCTCCCTACCCTTTGCTCATTACCACTGTTCCTTTTATTGTCTCTATGTTTTGCCTTTTTCAAAATGTCATATAATTGAAATTATACAGTATATAGCTCTTATGAGAGCAATATAGTGTGTCCCTGCCCAAATCTCATATTGAAATATAATCCCCAGTGTTGGAGGTGGGGCCTGGTGTGAAGTGATTGAATCATAGGCATGGATTTCTCATGAATGGTTTACCACGGTCCCCCTTGGTACTGATTGGCTTCTTTCTTTGTCCATTTTTAATTGGGTTGTTACTTTATTATTCAGTTGTAATGCTTCTTTATATATTCTGGATATTAGTCCCATATCAGATATACAGTTTGAAAATATTAATATTTTCTCCTATTCCATGCGTTGTCTTTTTACTTCCTTGATAATGTCCTTTGAAGTGCAAATATGTTTAATTTTGACAAAGTCCAATTTATCTATTTTTTATTTGGTTGCTTGTGCTTTTGGTGTCATGGCTAAGAAACAGTTGCCTAGTCCAGGTCATGAAAATTTATACCAGATCATTGCCTAATCTAAGATCATAAAGTTTTATACCTATGTTTTCTTCTAAGAGTTGTAGTTTTAGCTCTTACATTTAGGTCTTTGATCTGTCTTTAAATAATTTTTATATATGATATGAGGTCAGGATCATGTGTATGTGCAGTTGTCCAAGCACCATTTGTTACCTGACATTGAAGAGTCTTAGCACCCTTATTGAAAATCAATTGGCCATAAATGTATGGCTTTATTTTGGGGCTATCAATTCTACCCCATTAATCTATATTACTATCCTTATGCCAATACCACACACTTTTTTATTACTGTACCTTTGTAGAAAGTTTTAAAACTGGGATGTGTGATTTCTCCAACTTCGTTCCTCTTCATTCATCTTTTTCATGATTGGACATTTCCGGGTCACTTGCATTTCCATATGAATTTTAGAATCAGCTTGCCAATTTTTAAAAATGAAACCAGTTGGGATTTTGATAGAGCTTGTGTTGAATTTGTAGATTAATTTGTAGTATTTCTACCTTAACAATATTAAGCCTTCCAATTCATGACCATGAAATGTCTTCCCATTTATTTATGTTTTCTTTAATTCCTTTCAACAATATTTTGTGGTTTTCCATGTACAAGACATACTGTTCTTTTAAAAAAATTATTTCTAGCTATTTTATTTTTTAATGCTATTATAAGTAGAATTGTTTTCTTAATTCATTTTCAGATTGTTCATTGCTACTGTATAGAAATACAAATTATTTTTGTATGTTGATCCTGTTTCCTACAACTTTGCTGAACTTGTTTATTGGCTCAAAGAGTTTTTTTGTTTGTTTGTTTTTTGTTTTTTTTGAGATGGAGTCTTGCACTGTTGCCCAGGCTGGAGTGTGATGGCATGGTCTCAGCTCACTGCAACCTCTACCTCCCAGGTTCAAGCAGTTCTCCTGTCTCAGCCTCCCAAGTAGCTGGGATTACAGGTGTGCACCACCATGTCTGGCTAGTTATTATTATTTTGTATTTTTAGTAGAGACGGGGGTTTCACCGTGTTGGCCAGGATAGTCTCGAACTCCTGACCTCAAGTGATCTGCCCGCCTTGGCCTCTCAAAGTGCTGAGATTACAGGTGTGAGCCACTGCACCCAGTCTCCAGCTCTAAGAGTTTTTAAAGCATTCTTTGTGGTTTTCTTTTTCTTTTATTTTTGAGACAGGGTCTCACTCCGTTGCCCAGGCTGGAGTGCAGTGGCACAATCTTGGCTCACTGCAACCTCTACCTCCTGGGTTCAAGTGATTCTCATGCCTCAACTTCCTGAGTAGCTGGGATTACAGGCACAGTCACCATGCCAGGCTAATTTTCATATTTTTAGTAGAGATGGGGTTTCACCATGTTGCCCAGGCTGGTCTAGAACTCCTGGCCTCAAGTGATCTGCCTGCCTTGGCCTCCCAAAGTGCTAGGATTACTGGCATGAAACACCATGCCTGGCCTCTTTGTGCTTTTCTTTTTCTTTTTTAAAAAATTTATTTGTTAATGTTTTTCTATGCACAAAGTTATATTATGTGAAAATAGAGTTAGTCTTCCTTTCCAGTCTGGATGGTTTTTATTTCTTTTCCTTGCCTAATTGCTCTGGCTAGTGCCTCTAGTAAAATGTTGAATGGAAGTGGTAAAAGTGGATAAATAAATATTGGAATATAACTCATTAAAGTATAAAATAAATATCCATGTGTTCATACTCATATAAACAAATAACTAATTAAATAAATAAACAAGAAGAGACAAATCTCCTGTGCAGAAGAATTCCAAATAATTTATGTAGATAATCTACTCTCAAAAAGGTGGAGCTTAGCTCCTCACTCCTTAAGTATGGGCTGTGCATAGAGACTTCCTTCAGAGTACATTACAGAAAATGAGAGACAAAGAGTAACTTCACAGTGGAGAAGCTGGATGAACACTACTTCAGCCAGGTGATACAAATCAACATCGACAGTGATGAGTCATGCTCACAGTAAGTACCCTCACCCCTGTCTAACAATGAGAAATCTGATAAATCCCAATAGTGGGACATCCTAGAAAACACCTGCCCAGTACTCATCCAAATTGTCAAGGACAATATGAGAAACTGTCATGCCAAAAGGAGCTTAGGGAGACATGATGGCTAAATGCAATGTGTTATCCTCAATGGCATCTTGGAACAGAATAAAGACATCATTAGGTAAAAGCTGAAGTATGTTTTTTTGAGTTGGGGGTCTCACTCTGTCACCCAGGTTGGAGTGCAGTGGCATGATCACAGCCCACTACAGCCTTGAACTTCTGGGCTCAAGGGATCCTCCCACCTCAGGCTTCTGAGTATCTAGGACTACAGGTGTGAGTCACCATGTCCGGCTAATTTTTTAAAAAATCTTTTTGTTGTAGAGATGGGGCTCTTGCTATGATGCCCAGGCTTGTCTTGAATTCTTGGCCTCAAGCAATCCTCCCACCTCAGCCTCCCAAGGTGCTGGGATTACAGACATGAGCCACTGTGCCTGGCCTGAAGTATTTTTTAATAAATAAAGTAATTCTAGTAACTTAGTAAAATAACTTCAGTTAATAATACTGTATTAATATTTACCATTAACTATAGAAAATGAACCTTATTAATGAAAAATGTTAATAATAGCAGAGACTTGGAGCGGGGTATATGGGAACTCTCTGTAATATCTTTGCAATTTTTCTATAAATCTAAAGTTAAAAATAAAGTTTTTTCAAATGGACAAAGAATTCAAATAGGCATTTCTCCAAAAATATATATACAAATGCAAATAACCAGATGAAAATATCCTCAGCATCAATAGCCGTTCAGAAAATACAAATCAAAACGAGATACCACTTCATACCTAATAGGCTGGCTATAATAAAAAAGATGGAAAATAATCAATGATGGCAAGGATGTGGAGAAATTGGAGGCTTCATATTTTGCTAGTGTAGTAAAGTAAAATGTAAAACGGTGCTTTGGAAAATAGTCTAGAGGTTCCTCAAAAGTTTAAACATATATTTTCTATAGATCCAGCAATTACACTCTTAGGTATGTACAAAAAAGAGTTGAAAACATATGTCCATACAAAAACGTGTACATGAATATTCATAGAATTATTATTCATAACAACCAACATGGGGAAAAACACAATTGTCCATCAATTGATGAATGGATAAACAAAACATGGCAGATTCTTACAGTGGACTATTATAGAGTCACACAAAGGACGGAAGTACTGACACATGCTGCAACATAAATGACTCTCAAAAACATTATGCTAAGTAAAAGAAGCCAGAGGACAGTTGTGGTAGCTAACAACTGTAATCCCAAAACTTTGGGAAGCTGACTGGGGGAAGATCACTTGAGGCCAGAAACTCGAGACCAGCCTGGGCAATATAGCAAGACTCCACCTCTACAAAAAAATAAAAATTAAAAAGTAGCTGGGTGTGGTGGCACACATCTGTAATCCTAGTTACTCGGGAGGCTGAGACAGGAGAATCCCTTGAGCCCAGGAATTTGAGGTTAGTGCAAGCTTCAATCATACCACTGCATTCTATCCTGGGTGACAGATTAAGACTTTGCCTCTAAAAAAGTAAAAATAAAAATAAAAAATGTAAAGGGCCGGGTGCAGTGGCTCACGCTTGTAATCCCAGCACTTTGGGAGGCCAAGATGGGAGGATTGCTTGAGTCCAGGAGTTCAAGACCATTCTGGGGAACGTAGTGAGACCCCCATCTCTATAAAGAAAAAATAATTATCAAAAAATTTTAAAAAGAAACCAGACACAAAAATAAATAAGTAAAAATAAACAAAAAAGAAAAAAATGAGAAAAAAGCAAAAATTAGAAAAAAAAGCCAGACACAAAGGCCATATATTGTATGATTCTCATTATATGAAATGCTCCAAATAAGCAAATCCACAGTGACAGAAAGTGGATTAATGGTTGCCTAGGTCTGGGAAGAGGAGAGAAGTGAAGTGTTACAGACTAAATGTTTGTGTCCCCTACAAAATTCAGATGTATAAACCCTAATTGCAATGTGATGGCATTAAGAAGTGGGACCTTTGGGAAGTAATTTGATTATGAGGGTAGAGGCCTCACAAATGGGATTAATGTTCTTATAAGAAGAGGCCACAGAACTAGCTAGCTTCCTTTCCTACCTTGTGAGGATACATGTGAGGAAGCCAGCAGTCTGCAGCCTGGAAAAGGGCCCTTGCTAGAATGTGACCATGCTGGTACTCTGGTCTCAGACTTCCAGCCTCCAGAACTGTGAGAAATAAATTTCTGTTTTTTTATAAGCCACCTCTCTGTGGTACTTTGTTATAGTAGCTCAAACTGACTAAGACATGCAGTGACTGCTCATGAGCATGGGGATTGTTTTTGGGGTGATTAAAACGTTCTATACATAGAAAAAGGTGACATGGCAGGGCGCAGTGGCTCGGGAGGCAGAGGCAGGAGAATCACTTGAACCTGGGAAGCGGAGGTCGCAGTGACCCAAGATTGCACCACTGCACTGCAGTCTGGGCCACAGAGCAAGACTCCATCAAAAAGAAAGAAGAAAAGAAAAGAAAAAAGAAAAGTTGATGGTTTGTAGTGTAGGACCTAAAATTAAGGTTCAATATTATGTGCTGCTTTGACGTCTGAAATGGGAGGGAGGGTGTGGCTCTAATGGTTCAACTGGGAGCATCCTTAGGCAAAACTGCTGTAGCAGATTTCAGGTCCCCACCAGTCTGTGGAATTATTCAAACAAGCCATTAACATCCTTTCTTGGAAACCAAGGGTCACTTTGCCCTCTTGATACTACAAAACCTACCTCCCACCTCACCCACTTGATCTCTCACTCTGTTCCTGAGTATAACATCTGTGTGGGCCTGTATAGCATGCTGTGTCATTCTATGGGCTTTGAGTATCTGTGATTAATAAACTGCTATCAATCTGGCCATCCCCATAACCCTAGGATGGGACTCTCTCCCTTACCAATGGGTGAAGAGCAGGCAATCAAAACATGGTTGCACATCTTTGTGAATATATTAACAACCACTAAATTGTATACTCTAAAAAGGGGAATTGTATGTTATGTGTATAACTCGATAAAAAATATATTTTTTTGAGACAGTCATGCTCTGTTGCCCAGGCTGGAGTGCAGTGGCAGGATCTTGGCTCACTGCAACCTCCGTCTCCCGAGTTCAAGCGATTCTCGTGCCTCAGCCTCCCCAGTAGCTGGGATTACAGGCATGCACCACCACGCCCTGCTAATTTTTGTATTTTATGTAGAGACGGGGTTTCGCCATGTTGGCCAGGCTGGTCTCGAATTCTTGGCCTCAAGTGATCTGCCCTCTTTGGCCTCCCAAAATGCTGGGATTACAGGCATGAGCCACCATACCAGGCCTGCCATGTTCATTTTTAATTCTGGGACTTCATTTACCTGGAATTCTCAAATCTTAGCCATCCTTCAAAGCCAAATCAAGATCTAGCTATATGAAGCTTTCCTTGATCTCTTATTGCTCTGAACACCAACATAATTTGTCATCTGTAGACACAATTTTTTCATCTTGTTTTTTAAAACTGATTTTTTACTGGGCCAGGCGCGATGGCTCACGCCTGTAATCCTAGCACTTTGAGAGGCTGAGGTGGGCAGATCACTTGAGGCCAGGAGTTCCAGACCAGCCTGGCCAACATGGTGAAACCCCACGTCTACTAAAAACACAAAAATTAGCCGGGTGTGGTAGCGCACGCCTGTAATCACAGCTACTCAGAAGGCTGAGGCACGAGAATTGCTCGAACTCAGGAGGTGGAAGTTGCAGTGAGCCAAGGTTGTGCCACTGCACTCCAGCCTGGGTGACAGAGCCAGACTCCGTCTAAAAAAGAAAAAAAAAATTAGCTGGGCATTGTGACTGGTGCCTCTAATCCCAGCTACCAGGAAGGCTGAGGCAGGAGAATCGCTTGAACCCAGGAGGTGGAGGTTGCAGTGAGCAGAGGTCAGGCCACTTCACTGCAGCCTGGGCGACAGAGCGAGACCTTGCCTAAAAAAAAAAAAAAAAGAAAGAAAGAAAAGGAAAGAGAAAAGAAATGAACACGGCAGATTTGATGCACAGTATGGAAACTCATCTGACTAAATTGCATGATTGCTTTAGGAGTTATCAGAGAATAAGACTGGCTAGGTAGGTGGAGGAAAAATTAAGGCGGAGCTTGAAAGATAGCAGAGTTTTGTCTTCATCCTATAAATCCAGATTTTTATCAGAGAATTGACATGATACAGAGACAAGAGAGGCAGTATATAACCTAGTAATTAAAGAGCATAGGCTCTAGAGTAAGACAGACCTAGGACTCAATTGTGGCTCAGACTATTTTCATCATGACTACTGTACCTTTACCATTTCACGGGTTTGAAGCTATTATCTTTGAATCCTGGTATGGCAAGGCATCATTGTCACTTTCTCTCATTGACTGTGCTAGCATTCTCCCACCTCCTACTTGTTCTAAGTATTCTTTTATTTTTTTAAATCCAGGACTGAGTGAGCAACCAGGACCCAGAAAAGCTTGCTAGCATAATCCTCAGTTACATTTAAAATACTTGGAAATTTTCATTGTTTTGAAATAGTTTGATTTGAACTAAGCTAAAATTTACCTTCCATTGGTTTTCTATGAAATAATGTAAACAAAATGATATGGTGCCTCAACGTATTAAGAAATTAACTTTGTGAAGACTTTAGCATGTGTATTGTTTTATTTAAAAGGTAGGGCTACATATAAAGAGCTCTTTATTTTTTATTTTTATTTTTCTGAGACAGAGTCTAGCTCTGTCACCCAGGCTGGCGCGCAGTGGTGTGATCTGGGCTCACTGCAACCTCCCGCCTCCTCGGTTCAAGCAATTTTCTTGTCTCAGCCTCCTGGGTAGCTGGGACAACAGGTGCAGGCCACAATGCCTGGCTAATTTTTATATTCTTAAAGTAGAGACGGGGTTTCACCATGTTGGCAGGCTGGTCTCAAACTCCTGAGCACAGGTGATCCGCCCACCTCGGCCTCCCAAAGTGCTGGGATTACAGGCTGAGCCACCATGCCCAGCCCAAATAGCTCTTCATTAAAGGAAGCCTAGCAATAAACCTTTTCAGAAAGCCTATGTTAATTAAATATAAAATGCTAGCAACTATATTACTAAAACTGCATGAAGTTATAAAAATGCATTTTAATTGTGTTTTATATAATTATGATGTATAAGGCAGCTTTTGCTGCTGCTCATTCCTCTTCTACTTCTCCTTCCTCTTCTTGTTCTTCCTCTTCTTCTTCCCCTCCCCCTACTACTTTTCCTGCCCCTCCTAACTATGACCTTGTTAACTATTTTTATGTTTCAGGAAAATCTGTCAATCATCTGCAGGATGCATGGAAGTGGGTATATACAGAGATTCTGTTATAGGAATCCAAGAGTAATGTTAAAAGACGCTATAGATTCTATACATTCTAGCCCACAAAAGCTGGCTTGCTTGGCATGGCTTTTACAGGTTTTACTTAGGACTGAGGCACTAAATTTGCCTCCCACTAACAGGGCTGGAACAGAGGTATAACAAAACTAGTGAAAACTACAAGACATAAGAAGATGTTCCACCCTCCCTAGAGTGCAGACAAGCAGCTGAAGACTGACCCCTGTGCCAATAAAGGAGCCAGAATGAAAACATAGGAAGAAATGGGCAAAGACCCAGAAGAAGTTAGTGTTAAGAGAAACCAGGTAAAGCCTGTTAGATATTATAGTGAGATCAGGAGAATGAGAACTGAAAAGGTTATTTGAATTAAAGGATTAGGCCACTGCCTTACAGCAATGTTGTGGGCGGGTAGAATCTAGATTGGAAGAGATCAATGAGTAACAAAAGGGAACTTTGGAGAAATTTGGCAGGAAAGGAAAAGATGGACTAGCAGTTTGTGGAGAGAGTGGTATTAGGTTTTCTGTTTTGTTTTTGTATTTTATTTTTACTTTTCCTTTTGTTTTTGAATTTTTAAAGATCTGCATACTTGAATGAGTTTCAGGCCAAGGTAGAGGAGTCAGTACTAAATATTTAAGGTAGGAAATCATTTCAGTACAAATAATAGAAGAGATGGGGTCAAGAGAGCACAGGTTATTAACACTGGTATTGAGGACAGACACATGCTTTAAAGATAGGAGTAATGGGATAATTATGATGATGATGATGATAATGATGATACTGATAGCGAAGATGTATTGAAGAAACTGTTCTAAGAGCTGTACATGGATTATTTTATCTAATCCTTACACTGATCCTTTGAGGATGAGAAAACTGAGACAAAGTGAGGTGGTAAATTGTTCAATATCACGCAGCTAGCAAACATAAATGCAGGAATTAAATCAAGGCAGGAATTAAATTAAGGAGGTCTGACCTCAGACCTCCGCTACTAAGAGAAATACAAATAAGACACAAATATATTTTGAATTGTGGAATTCATGAGGACAAAGTGAGATAGACAGGAATTGTATGCAAGACTTGAGGAGAGTGGAAGAAATTTGGAACAGCTACTTGTAGTCAATAGGGGAGGAATGGAAAGACTGCAATGTGGAGAACATAACTGAGGTGGAGAGCATAAATAAATAATATACCGTGACCTTTACCTGTTTGTAACTTTCTCTAGCAGGGTCCCAGGAGCAAAGGTAGAATTTGATGTTGGGGGTTAGGGAAGTCAAGGGCAAGGGATTCTAAACCCATTACTAAGTGCATTATTAAAACATTTGCTGGAGTGATGTTAGTGAAAATAGCAAAGGAAGGAACTACAAAATTCCACTCCTCCATTAAAACAATGAAAAACTGACAAAAACGGTTAGACTCAACTATTTCAGAACTCTGGAAATTAACCAAAGTCTTGCAACAACCTGGGAAGCACATATTCAAAAACAGTGGCTGAATCTTAGAAGAGTGAGCTTTGTGATATTTTAATGTGTCCTATTCCACTCCCTCCTCCCTAGCTCAGCAGTAGCTTTGAAAATAAAAAGTTACATTCCTAGTACTGAGGGGAGCAGAGAAGAACTCATTCTCCTCAAACTGTCATTATTTGATTTGTTCAGAGGCTCCCTGGACGACTGGTTTGAAAAGCGTGCCTTTATCAGGAACACAGTGCTAACAGTTTTTCCCCAGGGGATGTTTCTCAAAAACATTCAGAGGCAAATGTTTCTTTTTTTTTTCTTTTTTCTTTCTTTTTTTTTTTTTTTTTTTTTTGAGATGGAGTCTTGCTCTTGTTGCCCAGGCTGGAGTGCAATGGCGCAATCTCGGCTCACTGCAACCTCTGCCTCCCGGGTTCAAGCGATTCTCCTGCCTCAGCCTCCTGAGTAGCTGGGATTATAGGCACCTACCACCATGCCCAGCTAATTTTTTTTTTTTTGTATTTTAATAGGGACAGGGTTTCACCATGTTGAAGTCATGTTGAAGTCATGCTGAGGTCAAACTCCTGACCTCAGGTGATATGCCCCCCTCGGCCTCCCAAAGTGCTGGGGTTACAGGCGTGAGCCACTGTGCCTGGCCCAGAGGCAAATGTTTCAATGGCATGGATGTCTTAGGTATCTAATGAAGCGTTTTTATCCAAAATGTATAAGGAACTCAACTCAATAGCAAAAGAACAAATAACCTGATTAACAAACGTGCAAAGGATCCAAATAGATATTTTTCCAAAGAAGACATACAAATGCCCAACAGGTATATGAAAAGGTGCTCAACAACACTAGTCATCAGGGTAATGCACATTGAAACCACAATGAGCTATCGCCTCACACCTGTTAGAATGGTTATTATCAAAAAGATAAGCAATAATAAGTGTTAGTGAGGGTTTGCAGAAAAGGGAACTCTTGCACACTGTTGGTGGGAATGTAACTTGGTGCAGCCACTATAGAAAACAATATGGAGATTCCCCCCAAAAATGAAAATAGAATTACCATATGATCTGTCAATCCCACCTCTAAGCATATATCCAAAGGAAAGAAAATCAGTATCTCAAAAAATATCTGCACCCACATGTTCATTGCAGCTTTATTTACAATAGGTAAGATATAGAAACAACCTAAGGGTCCCTCGATGGATGAATGGATAAATGAAACTTGGTATATAGTGAAATATATTTAGCTATAAAAAAGCTATAAAAAACTCACATTCATTTAAGCAGAGAGTAGAATCGTAGTTGCCAGGGGCTGGAGAGTGGGGAAAATTGGGGAGATGCTCACGGAAGGGTACAAACTTTCAGTAAAAAGATGAATAAATTCTGGAATGTAATAGACAGCATCATGATTATAGTTAATAATACTGCATTGTTTCCTTGAAATTTACAAAGAAAGTAGATTTCTTTTTGTGTCTTCACCACATACACACACATATACACAATGGTAACTATACTGATTGAGGCGTTAAATAATTTGTGATAATAATTTCACAACACATACATATATCAAATCATATTGTACACCTTGAATACATACAATTTTTATTTGTCAATTATACCCCAATAAATCTGGAAAAAAGAAAAAAAAAACCAGAGAAAATGAATGAAACCAAATTTTGGTATTTATCACCAAAACTTAGAAACCTTTAGCTAGACTGACCAATAAAACAAACAAACAAACAACAAAAAAACAGAAGAATGAAATGACTAAAATCAGAATAAAAGAAGACACATTACCACCAACCTATATAGAAATAAAAAGTATTATATGGGAATAGTATGAACAATTGAATGCCAACAAATTGGATACTCTAGATAACATAGACAAATTCCTAGAAACACAAGACAGACCCAAGAAGAAATAGAAAATCTTTATAGACTTGGAACAAGTAAAGATATTGAACTAATAATAAAAATTTTCCCACAAAAAAAAAACCCTCAAGACCAGACAGCTTCAAGAGTGAATTCTACCAAGTGTTTAAACAAAAATTAACACCTATCCTTCTCAAACTCTTCTAAACAATAGAAAAGAAGGAGCGTTTCATTTTTTGTTTTTTTTTTTTATTTTATTTATTATGCTTTAAGTTTTAGGGTACATGTGCACAACGTGCAGGCTAATTACATATGTATACATGTGCCATGTTGGTGTGCTGCACCCATTAACTCATCATTTAACATTAGGTATATCTCCTAATGCTATCCCTCCCCCCACCCCACCCCACCACAGGCCCCGGTGTGTGATGTTCCCCTTCCTGTGTCCATGTGTTCTCATTGTTCAATTCCCACCTATGAGTGAGAACATGCGGTGTTTGGTTTTTTGGAAGGAGCATTTCTTAACACATTTTTATGAGGTAAGTATTATCCTGAAACTAAACCCATATGCATCACAAAAATAAAACCAATGACCAATATCCTTTATTATTATTAAAGCAAAACACTAAACAAATTACAATACTAGCAAAATGAATCCGGTAACATATAAACAGAATTATATAATAATATGATGACCAAGTGGGATTTATCCCAGGAATGTAAGGTTGATTTAAACACTCAGCAATCTAGGAATAGAACTGAAATTCCTCAACCTGATAAAGAGCATGTATGAAAAACTCATAGCTCACATCATACTCAATGGTGAAAGACTGGAAGCTTTTCCAAAGGAATCAGTAACAACACAAGGATGTCTGCTCTCAATACTTCTATTCAACATTGTTCTGAAAGTTCTAACGAGAGCAATTAGTCAAGAAAAATAAAAGTCACTCAAATTACAAAAAGTAAAACCATCTTTGCAGACGATTTTTTGTTTGTTTGTTTGTTTGTTTTTTTTAGACAGGGTCTCACATTGTCACCAAGGCTGGAGTGCAGTGGCGCAATCTTGGCCCACTGCAGCCTAGTCCTCCCTGTCTCAAACCATCCTCCTACCTCAGCCTCCTGAGTAGCTGGGAACACAGGTGCTGGCCACCATGTACGATTAATTTTTGTATTTTTAGTAGAGACGGGTTTTTACTATGTTGGCCAGGCTGGAACTCCCGACTTCAGGTGACCTGCCCGCCTTGGCCAAGTGCTGGGATTACAGGCACGAGCCACCGAGCCCTGCTGACACAATCTTATATATAGAAAATCTTTTTTAAAAATTTAGGGCTAATAAGCTGGGCGTGGTGGCTCATGTCTGTAATCCCAGCACTTTGGGAGGCCGAGGCAGGTGGATCACTTGAGGTCAGGAGTTTGAGACCCTCCTGGACAACATGGCTAAACCCCGTCTCTACAAAAAATACAAAAATTAGCTGGGCATGGTGGCAGTCGCCTGTAGTTCCAGCTACTTGGGAGGCTGAGGCAGGAGAATCTCTTGAACCCGGGAAGTGGAGGTTGCAGTGAGCCGAGATAGCGTCACTGCATTCCACCCTGGGTGACAGAGCGAGACTCCATATCAAAAAAAAGAAAAAAAAATAGGGCTAATAAATGATTTAAGCAAAGACGCAGGATACAAGGGCAACATACAAAAATCATCATTTATATTTATATACACTAACAGTGAACAATCTGAAAAAGAAATATTAAAAAATTATAATTAAAATATCCGCACTGCAGGTGGAGCTCATTGGCTCATGCCTGTAATCCCAACACTTTAGGAGGCTGAGGCATACCGACCACTTGCGGTCAGGAGTCAAGACCAGCCTTGCCAACATGGCGAAACCTCGTCTCTACTAGAAATACAAAAAATAAAAATAAAAATAAATTAACCAGGCGTGGTGGCCCACGCGCCCCTGTAGTCGCAGCTACTTTGGAGGCTGAGGTGGGAGAATCACTTGAACTCGGGAGGCGGAGGTCGCAGCGAGCAGAGATTGAGCCACTGCACTCCAACCTGGGTGACACAAGAAAGAAAGAAAATGAAGGAAAGAAGAAGGAAGGAAAGAAAGAAGGAAAGAAGGAAGGAAGGAAGAAAGGAAGGAAGGAAGGAAGGAAAAAAATAGCTGGACATGATGGAGGACTAGCATTTCTCAATTTCAAAACGTACTACAAACCACACTAATCAAAACAATGTGGTACTGGCATAAGGATAGACATATAGATCAATGGAATAGAATTGAGAGTCAGAAACCCATACATCTAAGGTCAACTGATTTTCAAAGAGATGTCAAGACCATGCAATTGGAAAAGAATAATCTCTTCAACAAATGGTGCTGGAATACTTGGATACTCACATGCAAAAGAATGAAGCTGGGCCCTTACCTCACGCCATTTACAAAAAATAACTCAAAATGAACCAAAGACCTAAATATAAGAGCTAAAATTGTAAGCCTCTTAGAAATAAACAGAGGGCGGGTCGCGCGCTCGGTGGCGCGTTGTGCGCGTGTGTGGAGTGCCCTGCTGCCCCCAGCTGGAGGGGAACTAGTCTGCTCCAGGTGGCAAGCTGCGTGAGCAAGCAAGCCAACATGGACCGCGACTCGTACCATCACTATTTCTACGACTATGACGGCGGGGAGGATTTCTACCGCTCCACGACGCCCAGCGAGGACATCTGGAAGAAATTCGAGTTGGTGCCGCCGCCCTGGGACTTGGGTCCCGCAGCCGGGAACCCAGCCCTCAGCTTTGGTCTCCTGGAACCGTGGCCGGTAGGGTGCGCTGGGGACGAGACGGAATCCCAGGACTACTGGAAAGCTTGGGACGCGAACTACGCCTCCCTCATCCGCCGTGACTGCATGTGGAGCGGCTTCTCCACCCAGGAGCCGCTGGAGAGAGCGGTGAGTGACCTGCTTGCCGTTGGCGCGCCCTCGGGATACTCGCCCAAGGAGTTCGCCACCCCCGACTACACTCCCGAGCTCGAAGCCGGCAACCTAGCGCCCATCTTCCCCTGTTTGTTGGGCGAGCCCAAGATCCAGGCCTGCTCCAGGTCTGAGAGCCCAAGCGACTCCGAGGGTGAAGAAATCGACGTGACAGTAAAGAAGAGGCAGTCTTTGAGTACGCGGAAGCCAGTCATCATCGCGGTGCGTGCAGACCTTCTGGATCCCCGCATGAATCTCTTCCACATCTCCATCCACCAGCAACAGCACAACTATGCTGCCCCTTTTCCTCCAGAAAGCTGCTTCCAAGAAGGGGCTCCAAAGAGGATGCCCCCAAAAGAGGCTCTAGAGAGAGAAGCTCCAGGGGGAAAGGATGATAAGGAAGATGAAGAGATTGTGAGCCTCCCACCTGTAGAAAGTGAGGCTGCCCAGTCCTGCCAGCCCAAACCCATCCATTATGATACTGAGAATTGGACCAAGAAGAAGTACCACAGCTACCTGGAGCGCAAGAGACGGAATGATCAACGTTCGCGGTTCTTGGCCCTGAGGGACGAGGTACCCGCCCTGGCCAGCTGCTCTAGGGTTTCCAAAGTAATGATCCTAGTCAAGGCCACGGAATACTTACATGAACTGGCGGAAGCCGAGGAGAGGATGGCTACGGAGAAAAGGCAGCTCGAATGCCAGCGACGGCAATTGCAGAAAAGAATTGAGTACCTCAGTAGCTACTGACCAAAAAGCCTGACCATTCTGTCTTAAAAAGACACAAGTTTTCTTTTTGATCTCCCTCTCCCCTTTAGTAACTTGTACATTTTTGTTACAGCAGGACACTCTGGACAGTAGATTGCAGAATGCATTGCAGCCAGTGCACAAACAATATAAAGGCTTGCATTCTTGGAAACTTTGAAACCCAGCTCTCTCTCTTCCCTGACTTATGGGAGTGCTTTGTGTTTTCTGGCACCTTTGGCTTCTCAGCAGGCAGCTGACTGAGGAGACTTGGGGTCTTCCTGGCTCACTATCTCCAAAGAAAAGGCTGACAGATGGTATGCAACAGGTGGTGGATGTTGTTGGGGGCTCCAGCCTGGAGGAAATCTCACACTCTACATGAACTTTAGGCTAGGAAAGGATGTCTCTGGGGTGATGCAAGGACAGCTGGGTGTGGACGCTCTCCCTGCGGCTCCATTTTTTTCCAGGAGACACACAAGCTGCCTTGGGTGAAAACAAGCTCAGAGACTTGATCAACGTGGACCATTACCTCACTGTCAGACACTACAGTAGCTGAGGAGTTGGAAACCTTACATATATGTATATATGTATATATATATGTATGTATATATGTATATATGTATATATATATGTATGTATATATGTATATATGTATATATATATGTATGTATATATGTATATATGTATATATATATGTATGTATATATGTATATATTATGATGTTGGCTGACCCCCTTCCTCCCACTCTCAATGCTGTGACTCAGAACATTTAAGAGAACTTCGTCTGTAAGTAATTTGTCTTAAAGCCCTCTGGGCTCTCTTCTCTGAGTGAGGGAACTTTCTGTCTTCACAAGGGACTTTGTCTCATTCTGCCTCTGTTATGCAATGGGTTCTACAGCACCCTTTCCCGCAGGTTAGAAATATTTCCCTAAGACACAGGGAAATGGGTCTTAGCCTGGGGCCTGGGGAAAGTTCCCAAGCCCTGGCTCATGAACTCAATCCCTGCCCAGGTGTTTTCTGAGGGGCCCTTGAGGCCCAATCTTTTCTCAAGACAGGTGTGAGGCACCTTAGAAGGGAGAACTGTAACACTTTCTCTTTCGCACCTGCCTCTCATCTCAATCCTTGACTGATGAATTTGAAGTTCTACTAGAACCATGAAAACTTGTTCCTTTCGTGCATCTCCAAGGAGCTTGCTGGCTCTGCAGCCACGCTTGGGCCCTCGCACCAGCCTGCAATGAGTCAGATGTCTGTCACAGAATCTGGGCCTCTCTGAAGTTTTCTGGAGAGCTGTTGGGACTCATCCAGTGCTCCACAACGTGGACTTGCCTCCTGGTGTGTTTTAAAGGATCCTCCAGGAGCTCTGCTTAGCCAATCATCATGATGGATTTTTTTTTTTTTTTTTGAGACGGAGTCTCACTCTTGTCGCCCAGGCTGGAGGTTAATGGCATGATCTCGGCTCACTGCAACCTCTGCCTCCCGGGTTCAAGCGATTCTCCTGCCTGAGCCTTCCGAGTAGCTGGGATCGCAGGCGCCTGCCACCACGCCTAGCTAATTTCTGTATTTTTAGTAGAGATGGGGTTTCACCACATTGGCCAGGCTGGTCTTGACCTCCTGACCTCAGGTGATCCACCTGCCTCCATGATAGATTTTGCCCCAGCTGGACTCTGCAGCTCCACGTGGAATCCAGGTGCTGCCTCCAGTCTGGGAAAGTCACCCAACCCCGCAGTTGTCATGTGGGTAACTTCTGAAACCCCTAAGCCTGTCCTGTGAGAAGGACCAGCCTCTCCAGAACTCTGCCTAGGACAGCAGGTGCCTGCTTGGAAGTTGGGAGGATGGGGAGTGGTAAGTCCTATTATATGTGGCTCTGGAACACCAGCTGCTACTTCCAAATCTATTGTCCATAATGGTTTCTTTCTGAGGTTGCTTCTTGCCCTCAGAGAACTCCAGGGGATGTTTGGAAATAGCCTCTTTACCCTTCTGGAGCATGGTTTACAAGAGCCAGCTGACTTTTGAAACTGTCTATGGAACAGGTTAAGTGTAGGTTACTGATGTTTCACCTGAATACCTTGTATTTTATAAGCTGCTGTTTGGTATTATACTGGGGGAGAGTATTTTTTATATTTTTTTTTGGGTTTTGTTTTTGTTTTTGTGTTTTGAGACGGAGTCTCGGTCTGTCGCCAGGTCGGAGTGCAGTGGCACAATCTCGGCTCACTGCAACCTCCGCCTCCCTGGTTCAAGCGATTCTCCTGCCTCAGCCTCCTGAGTAGCTGGGATTACAGACATGTGCCACCACACCCACCTAATTTTTGTTTTTTTTAGTAGAGTCGGGGTTTCACCATGTTGGCCAGGATGGTCTCAATCTCCTGACCTCGTGATCCACCCATCTTGGCCTCCCAAAGTGTATATTGTATTTTTGTATGCCTTTTGCAAAGTGGTGTTAACTCTTTCTGTACAAGAAAAAAAAAACCTCTTGGGTAATTCTGTTAAAAGGGTCTGAATAGCTTGTGTTTTATAAGCTGCTGTTTGGTATTACACTGAGGGGGAGTATTTTTTACATTGTATTTTTGTATGCCTTTGGCAAAGTGGTGTTAACTCTTTTTGTACAAGAAAAAAATACTCTTGGGTAATTCTGTTAAAAGGGTCTAAATAACTTGTGTTTTATCAGCTGCTGTTTGGTATACTGGGGGGGAGTATTTTTTATATTGTATTTTTGTATGCCGTTTGCAAAGCAGTGTTAACTCTTTTTGTTCAAGAAAAAAACCTCTTGGGAAATTCCGTTAAAAGGGTCTGATTTATTTTGAAAAGCACGTTTACCTGAAATTTTGTATTTAGTTTTGATTTCTGATTGCCTGATTGTAAAATGTTGCCTTTTGGGACATCTTCTAATAAAAGTTTCATCAAACATGTTTTTTTTTAAAAAAGAAGTAAACATCTTTATGACCTTGAATGTGGTAATGGATTTTTTTTTTTTTTTGACAAGGTCTTGTTCTGTTTCCCAGGCTGGAGTGCTATGGCACAATCTCGGCTCACTGCAACCTCTGCCTCCCAGGCTCAAGTGATCCCCCGACCTCAGCCTCCCAAGTAGCTGGGACCACAGGCTCGAGCCACCACGCATGGCTAGTTTTTGTACTTTTGGTAGAGACAGGGTTTCACCATGTTGCCCAGGCTGGTCTCAAACTCCTGAGCTCAAGTGATCTGCCCACCTTGGCCTTCCAAAGTGCTGGGATTACAGGCGTGAGCCACCACACCTGGCCTAGTAATGGATCCTTAATAGATATGACGAGACCACAAACAACAAAAGAAAAAATACATAAATTCAACTTCAACAAAATTAAAACTTTTTCTTTTTTGAGACAGAGTCACTCTTCTCACCCAGACTGGAGTACAGTGGTGCGATTTTCGCTCACTGCAACTTTCCACCTCCCAGGTTCAAGCAATTCTCATGCCTCAGCCTCCCAAGTAGCTTGGATTACAGGTGCCCGCCACCACACCCAGCTAATTTTTGTATTTTTAGTAGAGACCGGGTTTTGCCATGTTGGCCAGGCTTGTCTCGAATTACTGACATCAGGTGATCTGTCCACCTCGGCCTCCCAAAGTGCTGAGATTCAGGTGTAAGCCACTATGCCCGGCCCAAAATTAAAACTATTAAGCACAAAGATACATCAAGGAAGTTAAGACAACCTACAGAATGAGAGAAAATATTTGCAAATCATATATCTGATAAGGTTCTAGTATACATATTATGTAAAGAAGCTGTACAACTTAACAACAAAAAAGACAAACTGATTTTAAAATGGGCAAAAGACTTGAATAGACATTTACTCAAAGGAGATATACAAATGACCAACAAGCACATGAAAAGAAGTTCAACGTTGTTAGTCATTAGGGAAAAATAATTCAAAACCATAATGACATAACACCTAACACACACTAAGATGGCTATAATTAAGAAAAAAAACCCAGAATATAGCAAGTGTTGGCAAAGATGTGGAAACTGGAACCGTCATAAATTGCTAGTGAGAAAGTAAAATGATGCAATTGTGGAAAACAATTTGGCAGTTTCTCAAAAAGTTAGACATACAATTACCATATGACCCAGCAACTGCACTCCTAGAGAAATAAAAACATATGTCCACACAAAAATTGCACATAAATGTTTATATCAACATTATTCATGATAGCAGGAAAAGTGAAAACATCCAATTATCCATCAACGGATGAATGCATAAATGACATGGGATATAATAGGATTTGGGTCTGTGTCTCTACCCAAATCTCATGTCAAATTGTAATCCCCAATGTTGGAAGTGGGGCCTGGTGGGAGATGAATGCATCATGGGAGAGGATTTCTCCTTTGGTACAGTTCTTGTAAGTGAATTATCACAAGATTTAGTGGTTTAAAATTGTGCAGCACCTCCCCCCACTTCCTCCTGCTCTGGCCATGTGAAGACATACCTGCTTCCCCTTCACCTTCTGCCACGATTTTAAGTTTCCTGAGGCCTCCCCAGCCATGCTTCCTGTACAGCCTGCAGAAACCATGAGCCAATTGAACTTCTTTTCTTTATAAATTACCCAGTCTCAGGTATTTATAGCAGTGCGAGAATGGACTAATACAGAAAATTGGTACTGGGAAGTGGGCATTGCTATAAAGATACCAGAAATGTGGAAGCAACTTTGGAACTGGGTAATGGGCAGAGGTTGGAAGAGTGTGGAGGGTTCAGAAGACAGAAAGATGAGGGAAAGTTTGGAACTTCCTAGAGACTTGTTGAATGGTTTTGATCAAAATGCTGATAGTGATGTGGACAGATGTTACCAGAAAGGGGTCCTGATCCAATCTCCAAGAGAGGGTTCTTGGATCTTGTGCAAGAAAGAATTCGAGGGAAATCCATAAGGTGAAAGCAAGTTTATTTAGAAAGTAAAGGAATAAAAGAATGGCTACTCCATAGGCGAAAAGAGGGATATAAGTTCTCACTTTGGGCCAGGGTTTCAGGCTTTTTGGCTTAGGGGTGGGGCTTCGCCAGGGACCTGTCCCTGTCTTCCTAGAATTTCTCTGCCCCTTGCCTTTATCATTGTATCATAATGAACAGTGAGAATGACCAGAGGTTGCTTTCGTCACCATCTTGGTTTTGGTGGGATTTGGCCGGCTTCTTTCCTGCACGCTGTTTTATGGGCAAGGGCTTTGTAACCTGTATCTTGTGCTGACCTCCTATCTCATCCTGTGACTTAGAATGCCTAACCTACTGGGAATGCAGCTTAGTAGGCCTTATCCTTATTTTACACAGCCCCTATTCAAGATGGAGTCACTGTGGTTTAAACGCCTCTGACATATTTCCTCTTCCCTTTTACAAGGGAACCCTTAATCCTAACAGTTGTAGAGGGAAGAAGATCCATCTTCTGTAACTTCTTCAGGCTGAATGGGGCAATGATATTCCAGCCTAACTCTTAGGGTCTCTTGTATTCAGGGCAGAGAGGAGCTCATTCCGAAAGTGTAGGTATGGCGAGGGCCATTCATAACTCAGTTCTGACAAAAGGTGATATCTGGAAGATTAATAAGTGTTCAGTTTAAGAAAACATTCAGTAAGCTTATCCTGCATTCCTACAAAAAGAATAAAACTGCAATATATTCCACAACAATAAAACAAAATAAGTCAAATTATTCCAAGTAAACTAAATAAGGCTTTCCATGAACTGGACAATTGTTGGAACCAAGCTGATGTGAGGTTGCTTGCCAATTACAACGTGCCCAGAATTAGAATACTGATCCAGATTTTTACATTACCTATACCTCTTGTTTCTTCTGAGCCACAGCAAGAGATCACTGGTTGGTTCACAGAAATAAGCAGGGTCTGTCTAAATTGCAGAAAGAAAATGCAAAAACAACTGACACTAGAGTCTAATAACAGATGTACCATAGTTCTTGAAATGTGATTTTTTCTCTCTTCAGTTTCCTATTTTTACTAAAGACAAATTATGGTAAGACCAATTTGCTTTATTATACTTGGCCTGATTATTTGTATAAACTACAGCAAGAATAATTATTTAAAATTTTTTTTATTACTTTTTATTATTATTCCATGAAAATCATGTTCAAGACAGAAAGCCAAATTTCACCCTTTGCATTAGCATAACATTGATGTTAAACCCAATTCTTAATAAAACCTTATAGAAAAATCTATTCAATTTTAATGTATGACCATAAGGCAAGATTCTCATAAATCTTTTTAAATAACCCTTTACCATTTTCTGTTACAGAGCAGATCAGTACTCTAAGAAAGCTCTGTTGTGCTTTTATTCCAATGTTCAATTTACAGAAAAACTGAATAATTCTTCTTTAACTTTAGCCAATAGGTTCACACACAGAATTTCTTTTATAAGATTAATTTTTCACAAACCTTCCACAATTTGTTCAAACCTTCAGCTTTATCCTATCTAACTTAAAACAATCTTTTAACCCTCTAAACTAGGCCCTCCAAAATTCACATTCCCTTGCCTTCTTATAATCTTTTACCAAAAATACATTTTACTTTCCTTACACACCTTGCATGTAAAACTGTTTTTTCAGTAGCCTACTAAAAGGCATTACAGTTTTTATTGTTATGACAACATATTTAAGTGGTTACTTTTCTTTACGCTAATTAATTAGAGCTCATTCATATATAAACATTACACATACAACACATATAAATACACAGAAAGATAGAAGATCCAGTAGTTGCAAGATTTTTCATTTGCTATTTTCCTTTTTTAAAAATTTTTTTATTTTACTTTAAGTTCTGGGATACCTGTGCAGAACGTGCAGGTTTGTTACATAGGTATACATGTGCCGTGGTGGTTTGCTGCACCTATTAACCCATCATATAGGTTTTAAGCCCCAAACGCATTAGGTATCTGTCCTAATGCTCTCCCTCCCCTTGCCCCCGACCCCCCAACAGGCCCCGGTGTGTGGAGTGTTTTACTTCCAATTATGTGGTCAATTATGTGAGAAGAATGTATATTCTGTTGATTTGGGGTGGAGAGTTCTGTAAATGTCTATTAGGTCTGCTTGGTCCAAAGCTGAGTTCAAGTCCTGAATATCCTTGTTAATTTTCTGTCTCGTTCATCTGTCTAATATTGACAGTGTCGTGTTAAAGTCTCCCACTATTATTGCATGGGAGTCTAAGTCTCTTTGTAGGTCTCTAAGAATTCGAGATTTAATTTCTTCCTAATTCCAAGATTGTGCCACTGCACTCCAGCCTGGGTGACAGACCGAGACTGTCTAAAAAAAAAAAAAAAAAAAAAAAAAAAAACAGACACACAAAATATAAAAAGCAAGAAATTAATACATACCACCAGAGAAAATTACCTTCACTAAAAGGAAGACTAGAAGGAAAGAAAGAAAGAAGAGAAGACCACAAAACAACCAGAAAACAAATAACAAAATGGCAGGAGTAAATCCTTACTTGTCAATAATAAACATTGAATATAAATGGACTAATCTCTGCAATCAAAAGACAGAGTTGCTGACTGGATGACAAAACAAATCCCAATGACCTATTGCCTAGAGAAAACACAGCTCACCTATAAACATGCACAAACTAAAAATAAAAGGTTGGAAAAAGATATTCCATTCAAACGGAAACCAATATAGCAGAAGTAGCTATATTTATATCAGACAAAATAGATTTCCAGACAAAAACTACAAAAACAGCTAGATGGTCATTGTATAACAATAAGGTGTCAATTCAGCAAGAGGATATAACAATTGCAAATGAATGTGCAGCCAACACTGCAGCACCCAGATATATAAAGCAAATATTATTAGAGCTAAATAGAGAGATGGACCCCAATACAATAATAGCTGGAGACTTCAACACCCCACTTTCAATACTGGACAGATCATCCAGACAGGAAATCAATGAAGAACATTGGACTTAATCTGCACTACAGACCAAATGGACCTAATAGATATTTACAGAACATTTTATCCAATGGCTGGAGAATACGCAATCTTCTCCTTAACATGTAGATCATTCTCAAGGATAGACCATATGTTAAGCCATAAAACAATTCTTAAAACATTCAAAATATTTGAACTAATATCAAGTATCTTCTCTGACCACAATGGAATAAAACTAGAAATCAATAACAAGAGGAACTCTGGAAATTATAAAAACGCATGGAAATTAAACAATATGCTCCTGAATAATCAGTGGGCCAATGAAGAGATTAAGAAGGAAATTGAAAAATTTATTGAAACAAATGATAATGGAAATACAACATACCAAACCTAGGGGATACAGTGAAAGCAGTACTCAGAGGAAAGTTTATAGCTATAAGTACCTACATCAAAAAAGCAGGAAAACTTCAAATAAACAACCTAATAATGTATCTTAAAGAACTAGAAAAGCAAGAGCAAACCAAACCCAAAGTTTGTAGAAGAAAAGAAATAATAAAATAAGAGCAGAAATAAAGGAAATTGAAATAAAGAAAACAATACAAAAGATCAATGAAACAAAAAGTTATTTTTTGGCCAGGCGCGGTGGCTCATGCCTGTAATCCCAGCACTTTGGGAGGCCGAGGCGGGTGGATCACCTGAGGTCAGGAGTTCGAGACCAGCCTGACCAACATGGAGAAACCCTGTCTCTACTAAAAATACAAAATTAGCTGGGCATGGTGGCATGCACCTGTAATCCCAGCTACTTGGGAGGCTGAGGCAGGAGAATCACTTGAAACCAGCAGGCAGAGGTTGCAGTGAGCCGAGATCACACCATTGTACTCCAGCCTGGGCAACAAGAGTGAAACTCCGTCTCAAAAAAAAAACAAACTTATTTTTTGCAAAGATAAACAAAATTGACAAACCTTTAGCTAGACTAACTACGAAAAAAAGAGAAGACCCAAATAAATAAAATCAGAGATGAAAAAGGAGACATTACAAACGATACTGCAGAAATTGAAAGGATCATTATAGGTTTCTATGAGCAACTATATGCCAATAAATTGGCAAACCTAGAAGAAATGAATAAATTCCTAGACATATAATGACCTACCAACATTGAGCCATGAAGAAATCCAAAACCTGAACAGACCAATAACAAGTAGGGAGATCAAAGCCACAATAAAATGTCTCCCAGCAACAGCAAAGAAAAACGTGAGGCTGGATGGCTTCGCTGCTGAATTTTACTAAACATTTAAAGAACCAACACCAATCCTACTCAAACTACTCCGAGAAATAGAAGAGGAGGGATTACTTCCAAACTCATTTTATGAGGCCAGTATTACTCTGATATCAAAACCAGACAAAGACGTATTTTAAAAAGCAATAGGCCAATAAACCTGATGAACATTGATGCAAAAATCCTCAACAAAATACTAGCAAACAGAATTCAACAGCACATTAAAAAGATCATTCATCATGACCAAGTGGGATTTATCCCAGGGAAGCAAGGATAGTTCAACATATGCAAATCAATCAATGTGATACATCACATCAACAGAATGAAGGACAAAAACCATATGATCATTTCAATTGATGCTGAAAATGCATGTGATGAAATCCAACATCACTTTATGATAAAAACCCTCAATAAACTAGGTATATAGAAGGACCATACCTCAACACAATAAAAGTCATATATGACAGACCCACAGCTATTATCATACTGACTGGGGAGAAACAGAAACTTTTCGCTAAGATTGGGAAACTTTTTGCTAAGTGAGAAGGATGCTCACTTTGACTACTGATATTCAACATAGTACTGAAAGTCTTAGCTAGAGCAACTCAGACAAGAGAAAGATATAAAGGGCATCCAAATTGGAAAGGAAGAACTCAAATTATCCTTGTTTGCAGATGATATGATTTTATATTTGGAAAAACCTAAAGACTCTAGCAAAAAGACTGTTGGAACTGATAAATAAATCCAGGAAAATTGCAGGATATAAAATCAACATACAAAAATAAGCAGCATTTTTATATGCCAACAGCAAACAATCTGAAAAAGAAATCAAAAAAGTAATCCCATTTACAATAGCTATGAATAAAATTAAGTACCTAAACATTAACTTAAATAAAGAAGTGAAAGATCTCTACAATGAAAACGATAAAACACTGATGAAAGAAATTGAAGAGGACACCAAAAAAATGGAAAGATATTCCATGTTTATGGACTAGAAGAATCAATGTTGTTAAGATGTCCATACAGCCAAAACAATCTACAGATTCAATTCATTCCATGTCAAATTACCAATGACATTCTTCACAGAAATAGAAAAAACACTCCTAAAATTTATATGGTACCACAAAAAGACCCAGAATAGCCAATGCTATCCTGAGCAAAAAGAACAAAACTGGAGGAATCACATTACCTGACTTCAAATTATGCTACACAGGTATAGTAGCCCAAACAGCATGATACTGGGATAAAAACAGACACAGACACATAAGCCAATGGAACACAATGGAGAACCGAGAAACAAATCCATACATCTACAGTGAACTCATTTTTGACACAGGTATCAAAAACATACATTGGGGAAAGGACAGTCTCTTCAATGAATGGTTCTGGGGAAACAGGATATCTATATGCAGAAGAATGAAACTAGACCTCTGTCTCTTGCTTTATACAAAAATAAAGTCAAAATACATTAAATACTTAAATCTAAGACCTCAAACTGTGAAACTCCTAAAAGAAAATATTAAGGAAACTCTCCAGGACATTGGACTGGGGAAAGATTTCTAGAGTAATACCCCTCAAGCACAGGCAGCCAAAGAAAACATGGACAAATGGGATCACATCAAGTTAAAAAGCTTCTGCATAGCAAAGGAAACAATCAATAAAGTGAAGAGACAACACACAGAATGGGAGAAAATATTTGCAAAGTATCTATCTGACAAGGGATTAATAACCAGAATATATAAGGAACTCAAACAACTATATAGGAAAAAATCTAATAATCCAATTTAAAAAATGGGCCAAAGATTTAAATAGACATTTCTCAAAAGAAGACGTACAAATGGCAAATAGGTTTATGAAGAAGTGCTAAATATCACTGATCATCAGAGAAATGCAAATTAAAACTACAGTGAGATATTGTCTCACCCCTCTTCAAAAGGCTTTTATCCAAATGCTAGTGAGGATGTGGAGAAAAGAGAACCCTCATACACCGTTGGTGGGAACGTCAGTTAGTAAAACCACTGTGGAGAACAGTTTAAAAGTTCCTCAAAAAACTAAAAATGGAGC
This sequence comes from Homo sapiens, assembly GCF_000001405.40. Classification (NCBI taxonomy): domain Eukaryota; kingdom Metazoa; phylum Chordata; class Mammalia; order Primates; family Hominidae; genus Homo; species Homo sapiens. Next base: position 107,284,869 of record NC_000023.11, read on the forward strand.
TCCATATGATCCAGCAATCCCACTGCTAGGTATATACACAAAAGAAAGGAAATCAGTATATTGAAGAGGTATCTGCACTCTCATGTTTATTGCAGCACTATTCACAGTAGCCAAGATTTAGAAGCAACCTAAGTGTCCATAAACAGATGAATGGATAAAGAAAATTTGATATGTACAGACAATGGAGTACTATTCCGCCATGAAAAAGAATGAGATCCTGTCATTTGCAACAACATGTGTGGAAACAGAGGTCATTCTGTTAAGTGAAATAAGCCAGACACAGAAAGACAAACATTGTATGTTCTCATTTATGTTTTCACTTATTTGTGTTAGTCAAAAATTAAAACAATTGAACTCATGGAGATAGAGAGTAGGATGGTTCCAGAGGCTGGGAAAGGTAGTGGAGGTGGTGGGAAGAAAGTGAGGATGGTTACTGGGTGCAAAAAATTAGTTAGAAAAAATGAGTAAGACCTAATATTTGCTAGCACAGCAGGGTGACTATAGTCAGTAATAATTTATTTGTACATTTAAAAATAACTAAAAACATATAATTGAATTGTTTGTAACACAAAGGTTACATGCTTGAGGTGATTGATACCCCATTTACCCTGATTTGATTGTTATGCATTGTATGCCTTTATCAAAATATCACATGTATACCATAAATATACATACCTACTATGTACCCACAAAAATTAAAAATTGAAAAATACATTCGTAGACATAGAAAGTAGAATAGTGGTTGTCAGGGGCTGGAAGGAGAATGAAATGAGCAGTGACTGCTTAATGGGTACAAAGTCTGGGTTTTTTGGGGGGTGTTTCTGCATTCGATATTGGTGATTGTTGCACAACTTTATGAATATACTAAAAGGCACTAAATTGTATGCTTGAAAGGTTACAATGATGAATTATATGTGATGTGAACTTTATCTCAACGTAAAAAGGTTGTGTAGTATAGGCATATGGATAGACATATAAATAACTGAAATACATAATGAGATCAAATTGAGAGTTCAGTAATAAGCCCATACATTTGTGGTCAACTAATTTTCAACAAGGATGCCAAGACCAATCAATGGGGAAAAATAATCTTTTCTAAAATGAGTTGTCTATGACACCACTAAGCATGAATAACAAAGGTAGGTTGAGGATTGAGGTCAGTGGCACCAAGGAAAGAGAGAAAAGTTTTTCAGAAGGTGGTCCTTGGATCACTGGATTCAGAATCAATTGAAGGGTCTATTAAAATCTCAATTCCTGGACCCTTTTACTGAGTCAAATTTTCAGGTGTGAGCCCCAGGAATCTGCATTTTAACTAGCTACCTAGATAATTCTAATGCATACTAAATTCTGGAAACAACTGATATAGAGGTTATCAGCATGGGTTTCAGGAGAGAAAGAAACTGAGTTCAAATTCCAGCTCTGCCAATTAGTAGTTCTACCTTCTCTTCTGAGGTGTCACTGCCAACTCCCTGCACTCACCTGTGTTATCCTACCTCACATAATTAGTTCTTACCATAAGAGGCCCAGGTTGGTTACTTCGTTAATGATAGTAACCACAATGTAAGTGAACAAACTCAAGCACAAAATCTTAATATGAAACCTATGTCCTTCTTACAGCACTATCCTATCTTTTTTGTCCCGGCACCTCCAACAATGCCCTACACCCCAGGTCTCGTGCTGTCTGCTCATCTTCCTGTTAGAGATGACAGACATGAAATCAGAGAAAGCTTCATAGAAGGGGCTTCAAACAGAACTGTGCCTTGAAGAACAAGGCAGGATTTCCACATGCAGAAACAGGAAGGAAAGAATGTTCTAGAAGGAGGCAATGACATTAATGTGAAGTTAAAGAGGGCAGTTGCTACATGCTTTGAATTTATTACTGGGACCAATCAGGGCACTAGGCCTGGATTACTTTGTCGTTGGTTTACCAGTTTCCCTCTAACCTGTAGTTTTAATTCATCTTTCTGACCAATCAGGGAATTTGGCCTTGCTTACTTTGCTGTTGATTGACCCTCAGCTTCCTGCCCTTGTAGCAATCCACTCCAGTGCAAAAATTCCAAGTGCAAATTTGTTATCCTTCCTGACATTTCCAGCCCAGCTGTCCTTTCCCAGTGCTTCTAATACTCCTCTGAACCCCAGCACTTATACCTCTCCATAACCCCTCATAGTTACAGGAGAGGTCACATCTACTTGGGGTAGGGGACATGAAATCAGGGAAGGCTTTACAAAGGAGTCTGTGTTTATGTCAAGTTTTGAGGGAAGAAGCATGGTATTCCTAGAGATGGAAGAAAGAGGCATTTCAGAAAACAGGCAATGATATAAATTCATTTTTTCAAAAATGTTTGTTGAGCGCTCCATTTTCTCCAATCAATAATGCAACACAATTATTTTAAGCACCTTCTAGGTGCTGTGCTAGGCTCCTAGATACTCATTCATTTGCTCAAATTCCTCTTTAGCAAAACTTATACCACTTACCCACCCACAGATGTTGTAGCTGATGGAAGTATGCTTCAAGGACCACCTGCATGACTCACCTGAGTGGCTTATTAAACATGCAGATGGAAGTGTACTACTTTCTGTATCTTTGTTGCATACAGTGCTCCAGGCCCTAGTTAATTTTTATCTTCAAAGCTACTAAGCTTGCCAGGGAACTACCTTCAGGGTATCAGGCTTATCGTTCTCTCCCCGGACCCACTACCACCCCCAACTTCCCAATTACTACTCATTATCATATCTTTTAAAAAAAATTGGTAAAGCATATGTAACATAAAATTTTCTCTCTTATTTTGAGACAGAGTCTCACTCTGTTGCTCAGGCTGGAGTGCAGCAGCGTGATCTCAGCTCACTGCAACCTCCACCTCCCAGGCTCCAGTGATCCTCCTGCCTCAGCCTCCCAAGTAGCTAGGACCACAGGCACCTGCCACCATGCCCAGCTAAGTCTTTGTATTTTTGGTAGAGATGGAGTTTCCCTGTGTTGCCCAGGCTGGTCTCAAACTCCTGAGCTCAAATCCACCTGCCTCTGCCTCCCAAAGTGCTGGAATTGCAGGTGTGAGCCACAATGTCTGGCCCAAAACTTTCTATTTTAACCATTTTAAGTGTACAATTCACATTGTTCTACAACCATTACCACAATCTATTTCTAAAGTATTTTCATCACTCCAAACAGAAATTCTGTATCAGTTAAAGAATAACTCCGCACTTGCCCCTCCCCACAGCCCTTGGCTACCTCTAATCTATTTTCTGTCTCTATAAATTTGCCTGTTTTAAACATTTCATGTAAGTGGAATCATACAATATTTGTCCTTTTGTGTCTGGCTTATTTCATTCAGCATAATGTCCTCAAGGTTCATCCATGTCATAATGTTTATCATAATTTCCTTCCTTTTTATGGCTGAATAACATTTCATTGTATGTATAATATTTGCCACAATTTGTCTACCCATCCATCCACCAATGGACATTTGAATTGTTTTCACCTTTTGGCTATTGTGAATAATACTGCTATGAACATCAGCATATCTGTTTTGAGTCCCTGTTTTCAATTTTTTTGGGCATATACATAGGAGTGGAACTGCTGGGTAATATGGTAACTTTATGTTGAACTGTTTGAGGAACTGCCAAACTGTTTTCCAGAACTGCTGCACAATTTTCCACTCCCACCAACAATGTATGTGCATTCCAATTCTCCACTTCTCCACCAACACATACCCCAAACCATAAATAACATATATATTGAAAATATACTTTTACTTAGGTAGTTGGCCCTCTTCACTGTGACTTATTTGAAACTAAATGTTGTATCCTTGTATCCTTAATCGTACACACTTCAACTATGAAATCTAGGGTGAAGAAACTGGAATGGATCTCAAGCTACGGTGACAGTGCAGCAGAAAATGTTTGAAAGAAGTGGAGATGATTGAGGAAAGAGAGATTGGTGTCCTTTGACACCCTTTCATGGGCTGAATTCCAATTTATTCCGGTGACAGCATCTGCAGTCATGATAGAAAGGTTAACATTTCATAGATCACTTAACTATGCTGCCCATTGAAGCGAAGAGGTCAGCAGACTGGGAAGAAATGACACTATGCCACCCACATTCTGAGTGGTTCCTTTTAGCTGATTATTTTAGAACTTTTTGGGTGATACAATTTGGCCATTTCTCCCTATTTTTAAAGTACTCAAGCAATTTAGGCATTTAAGTGTTCTTCCATCTGTAAGAGGTTTAATCACTTAGCCCTGAATTTTCAATCTTCTTGAATCAATTGAAGCTTTACAAAGTGTTCCTTTTAGCTAAGGTTGGAAAGAGAACAAAAGGAGCTGAGCCAACCCTATTATTTGGGATCAGAGTTAGTGCGGTAAATTGGGCTGCCACCAAGGCTTTTTCCTGTGTCGTCTAAAAGTGTGGCCTGGGAACTACCTGCATCAGAAACAGCTGGGGGTGTTATATTAAAATAATTCACCCCAGAACTAGCATGAGCAATCATTTGGGGGTTTCCCAGGACTGAGGGGTTCCCCCGGACACTAGACTTTCAGTGATAAAACTGGAAAAGTCTTGAACAAACCAGGATGGGTGGTCACTCTGCTTCAGACCTTCTGAATAAGCATCCCTGCTTTTGTATAAAAACTTAAGTTTGAGAACCAATACAGTGGCAAAAGCACTCCATCTTCACTCCTCACTGAACTTCACCACCACCCCACCATCCCCTCCCTTGGCTGCCCCCAGCCTGCAGCTCATTCTGGAACTGCTTTGTCTAACTCCTTTAACTGTTACTTTCTTCCATTATTACATGTAGGCAGCTCTCTCCCTTCATTTGGAGGGCAGTGCTTTTAGGGCTACGCCCTAAAAATAGTCGAACAAGTAACAGACTCATGGTTGCTCATGTCTATGTGCTAGGAAAAATGAGGGCATGAAGAAGTTTATTTCTTCATTTATTCATTTATGAACATTTATTGAGCACCTTTCTATATACCATAAGTTGCTCAGAAACGATCCTAAGATTAGGTGTGAACATAGACATGCATGTAGGAACATGTCTGGCATGTTTCAGCATATAGATGGAGAAATACCCAATTTCCAAGAGCTACGACTATTTGAGAATATTCATTAATTCAGCAAATATTTACTGAGGACCTTTTATGTGCCAGCACTGTGCTAGGCACTGGGATACCATAGTGAGCAAGATAGTCAAGGTCCCTGCTCTCATGGAGCTCATGTTCTAGTACAGAAAGACAGGTAAACACAAATATATAATGACAGGTGCTTTAATAAGTGCCTTAAAAATAGACAGGGTGGTGTGTTTGAAATGGACAGTCTACTTTTGATTAGCTGGTAAAAGAGCGCCTCTCTGAGGAGGTGACATTTGGGCCAAGATATAAATCATAAAAGTCCAGTCATTTGCATACCCAGGGGAGAAATGTTCTAGGCAGAAGGAATAGGTAGTGCCTGAGCCTAAAGGCAGGAAGGAGCTTGGCATGCGAAGAAATGCTGACAAGCCTGGTGTGATGGGAGTGTCAGGAACAATGGAGAGAGTTGGGAGAAAGGAAGTTGGAGAGGTAGGCAGAGTTCAGATCATGGAGGCCTTGTAGGCCTGGGTCAGGGGCTTGGCTTTTATTCTTGTTCTGAACACTGGTTCAGGGAAGATATTGGATGGTCTTAAGCAGATTTGCATTTTTAAAATCTCTCTGATACTTCTGGAGAATAGACTATAATAGAGTGAGAGTGGAAGCAGAGAAACCAGTTATGAGACTACTGCAAGAAGACAATATGAGAGAGGGTGGTGGCTTGAAGTAATTTGGTGGGGAGCAGAACCAAGGACAATTCTGTATGTATTTTGGATTTAGGGCTACCACGTTTTGGTGATGGTTTGGATGTAGGGTATAAAAGAGAAGATTCAAAGGTACTCCCAAGTTTCTTAACTTGGATGAATGATGGGATTATTTACTAAAATGGGGAAGATTCAAGGAGAAGGGACTTGTGGGGGTTGGGGGGGTGATCAAGTACCACGAGTTGTTTTAGACATGTAAAAGTTGATATGCCTAATAATATTCCAAATTGAGGCATCACATAGTCAGATATACATGTCTCAAGTTCTGCGGGATATCAGAGTCAGATATATTAATTAATTTGTGGGTCAATAGCACATAGGTGATATTTAAAGCCTTGGGATTGCATGACATTATCTAGGGAGAAAATGTAATGGAAACGGGGAAGAGGTTCCTGTTCTGAGCCCTGGAGCCTCCAACATTTAGAAGTCAAGCAGAGGATATGAACAGACACTTCTCAAAAGAAGGCATTTATACAGCCAACAAACATGAAAAAAAGCTCATCATCACTGCTCATTAGAGAAATGCAAATCAAAGCCACAATGAGATACCATCTCACACCAGTTAGAATGGTGATCATTAAAAAGTCAGGAAACAACAGATGCTGGAGAGGATGTGGAGAAATAGGAAAGCTTTTACACAGTTGGTGGGAGTGTAAATTAATTCAACCATTGTGGAAGACAGTGTGACAGTTCCTCAAGGATCTAGAACCAGAAATACCATTTGACCCAGCAATCCTATTACTGAGTATATACCCAAAGGATTATAAATCATTCTACTATAAAGACATATGCACACGTATGTTTATTGCAGCACTGTTCACAAAAGCAAAGACTTGGAACCAACCCAAATGCCCATCAATGATAGACTGTATAAAGAAAATGTGGCACATATATACCATGGAATACTATGCAGCCATAAAAAGGGATGAGTTCATGTCCTTTGCAGGGACATGGATGAAGCTGGAAACCATCATTCTCAGCAAACTAACACAGGAACAGAAAAGCAAATGCCACATGTTCTCACTCATAAGTGGGAGTTGAACAATGAGAACACATGGACGCAGGGAGGGGAACATCACACACTGGGGCCAGCTGCGGGGTCGGGGGCTAGGGGAGGGATAGCAATAGGAGAAATGCTTAACGTAGATGACGGGTTGATGAGTGCAGCAAACCACCATGTCACATGTATACCTATGTAACAAACTTGCACATTCTGCACATGTATCCCAGAACTTAAAGTATAATGTAAAAATTTTTTTTTAAAAAAGAAGTCAAGCAGAGAACAAGGAACTAGCAAAAGAGATAGAGGAGCCAATGAGGTAGAAGATAAACCAGGAGGACAATGTAGTGTCACTGAAGCCAGAAGGGGAATAAAAGGAGGATCAAGGAGAGAATACTATTATTCCCATTTTGCAGATAGGGAAATTGAGGCATGGGAGTGTAATTGGCTTGCCCAAGGTCACGTAGCTAGTAATGGAAGAGCAGAAAGTGAAATCCAAGCAATTTGACTTCAGAGTCTGTGCTCCTAACCACTACCCCAGTGAGTGGCTCTCAAACTTCAGTGTTCATCAGAGTCATCTGTAGAGCTTATTAAGACACAGATTCCTGGGCCCTACCTCCAGAGTTTCTTATTCAGAATGTCTGAGGTAGGGCCCAAGATTTTGCATCTTGACCAAACTCCTAGGTGATGCTGATGCTGCTGGTCTAGAGACTGCACTTTGAGAATTACTGTCCTACCATATACTACCTCTTCTGTGGAAAAAAAAAAGGCTTGTGATAACATTGTTGATATTGCTTGCTTTTTCCAATGGGCTTTGAAAGATTCTCCCTTAGTTTTCAGGGGAATAATTACTCTACCACCCTATCCAGAATTATCTGAGCAAATAAACCACATTTTTGATTAGTTGAGCTCTAGGGCCTGAGGGATGTGGTTGGAACTGGAAAAAAAACAAAAAACAAAAAACGGATAAGCCTATAAACTCCTTGTTGGTTTCCCCACATCTACGGTGGCCCACATGGGCTATTACTAATACCACTCAAGGGCTAAGAAGGCAAGAAAAGACTGCACTGTAGTCTAGGCTTAGGAGTCAAATAAAGGTGAGACTGAACCTTCAGATATCTCTTGTCAATAACCACATTCCTCCACTACTCTGTCAATAGTCTTCTGTTTTAGCTTTACAAAGGCACCAGGTAGCAAAAGCATGCAAGGCACTGGGAGGCAAAAGACTGAAGCAATGGATCCTAGACTTAGATACCTAAATAGCCCATGGGCATAAAGCTGGAAATGCAGGTCCAAGGAAAGTAAGAAAAAGAGTAATAGAATAATAATAAACAAGTACTTCTTGTATGTTAGGCACTTGACATGCATTATCTCATTTAATTCTTACAACAGCCTATGAGATAGATACTATTTTTATCCCCATTTTACAGGTGAGAAAACACTCAACCTAAGGCCATAGCTAATAAATGACAACCTCTTGATTCAAACCTAGATCCGTCAAATTCCAAAGCTCTTATTCTTAACCAACACTCTCAAAAATGACTGGAATACAAGACTTTTCTAGACTACTTCCTGGTAGATAACATGCATGAGAGTGGCATAGTTTAAAGAAGGCTTGCCCTGGAAAATGAAGTGAGGCTGCCAGGTCAGATTGAAATAGGCTGGTCGTGCAATGGCCTGGGCCAGTGTTGTCAACATTGTTGTTATGTTTAAGTCACCAGATTTGTAAAACAGTCAACCAATAAGAATGCTACAGGTGGGAATAAGTGTGTGAGATGAGAGACATGAGAAGATAACCAAGAAACACTGTGTGTGATGCATGTAACACGCAGTTGCAAATTGGGAGAAACTGAATACCCATAGGCATTTAAATGAAAATATTAATGGACAAAAAGGTCAGTGCTGGAGAGGGGACATCTGGGGGAAGCAAGTAAATTAAATTCCTCTATTAAAATAAGACTTCTCATTGGAGAACTCTGGAGTTGAGAAACTTCTCTTTTTTTCTTTTCTTTTCCTTTTTGGTTTTTCTCTGTCTTCTTTTTAAATTGAAATTTTAATTCAAACTGTAGATTCATATGCAGTTATAAGACACAACACAGAGAGATCCCTTGCACACTTTTCCCAATTTCTCCAAATGGTAACATCTTGCAAAGCTATAGTATACTACCACAACCAGGATCTTGACATTGATATAATCCATCTATTTTATTCAGATTTCCCAAATTTTACCTGTACTCATTGTCTGTGTTGTGTGTTACATTCTATACAATTTTGTCACCCATGTAGGTTCATGTATCCACCATCGCAGTCAAGATACTCAACAGTTGGAACATCACAAAGATCCCTCATGTTGCTTTTTATAGCCAAACTTATCTCTGCCTCACATTATGTCTAGTCCCTGACTCCTGGCAACAACTTTCTTCTCCATCTCTATATTTTTGTCATTGCAATAACGTTATATGAATGGAATCACAGACCATGCAACCTTTTGTCACTCTGGCTTTTTTTCACTCAGCATAATTTCCCTGGAGATTCATTTAAGTTGCTGTGTGTATCGATAGTTTTTTTTTTTTTCTGCAGGGTGGTATTCCATAGTATAGATGTACCACAGTTTGTTTAACCATTCATCTGTTGAAGGGTATCTGGGTTTCCAGTTTTTCTCTTGTCTTAGTCAGTCCAGGCTGCTGTACCAAAGATTCAGTGGCTTATAAACAAAAAAAATTTATTTCTCACATTTATTGAGACTGGAAATCTGAGATCAGACAGCATGATCGGGTTCTGGTGAGGGCTGTCCTGCAGGTTGCAGACTGCTGACTTCTGTTGTATCCCCACATGCCAGAAAGTGGGCAAGAGAGCTCTCTGGGGTCCTTTACATAAGGCATTGATTCCATTCGTGAAGGCTCTATCCTCATGACCTAATTACCACCAAAAGGCCCCACCTCCTAATACCATCACCTTGGGGATTAGGATTTTAACATATTAATTTGGGGGGAGATAGGGGAACACAAATGTAAAAGTTGCCATGAACATTTTTATACAGGTTTCTGTATGAATATAGTTTCATTTCTCTGGGATAAATGCCCAGGAGTGCAATTGCTGGGTGATATGGCACTTGCATTTTTAGTTTTTTTATGAAACTGCCAAAATGTTTTCTAGAGTGGCTATATCATTTTACATATTTACCAGCAATGAATGAATGATCCAGTTTCTCTACATTCCTACCAGCATTTGGTGGTGTCACTATCTTTTATGTTAGTCATTTTGATAAGTACGTAATGGTGTTAATCTTTTATTTTTAGAAGAGGTAAACCAGAGAGGAGAAACTATTTTGAATTTCTTGGAAATAAGATCTCCTATTGTTTCAGTTTAAGCTCCTCCTAACTGGTTTTGCCTGGAAAGCTGTTTTGAACTTTTACACTAAATGATCTTCTCCATTCATCTGGGAGCCAGCTTCCCTAACACCACAAAGTAATTACCAATCTTGTTCTATGCCTAAAGAAAAGCTGAGATAGCTATGGATTCATTTGAGGAAGCAGAACAAGCAGGCACAGAAGGGGTATAAGAGGTAATTTCGGTGACAATATTTGCAAATAATTACTTTTCCATTTTGTTTTATAGTCCCCTTTGAAGGGAACAGCAGTCTGATTTAAATATCTGAGGAGAGAATTGAGTCATAAAGGTGGTATAATGAGAGTTGATTATGCACATCTACTCCCAACTTTGTGTTAAGTGACCTTACATTGATATCTTGAAATCTGCCATGGTGGGAATGAAGCAGGAGAATGGGGTCTGGAGGCAGGGAACCTAGGGCCCTTTCGTGTGGACTTCCTAGAACTAAACTGAAAGGAAAACCCTAACTATCCACGCCTAGAACTAAATTGAGAGGAAAACCCTAACTATCCACGCCTAGGTAACAAAACGACCAGAGGCTACTCCCTTTGCAAAGCCCCACGTTTTCTGCCCGGCAGATGGGAAATTCAAAGTACTTCCGCTTGGTTGCTTTTTGCAACCAATCAGACGTGTGTATAGGAGTGTAACTTTGTAACTTCACTCCAGCCTCTGATTGGTTACTGCCTGCAACCAGTCAGACTGATAGCCAGCCAAGTCTTCATTTGCATAGAAGTGCAATTCATAACTTCACTTTAGCTTCTGATTGGTTGCTTTCTGCAACTAATAAAATACTCAATGTCTTCATTTGCATAGAAATGCAACTTCATAACTTCACTTTAGCCTCTGATTGGTTGATTTCTGCAACTAATAAAATACTCAATGTCTTCATTTGCATAGAAATGCAACTTCATAACTTCACTTTAGCCTCTGATTGGTTGCAACCAATCAGATGTTTGCACAGGAGTGCAACCTTTGTAACTTCACTTCAGCCTCTGATTGGTTGCTGTTCACAACCAATCGGACTGATTGCAGGCCACCACTTCATTTACATAAGGTGAGCACCAAGTGGCCAATGAGAAACATCCAGGGGATATTTGGACCTGAGAAGATTCTGTATTTGGGCCCTTGAGCTGCTGCTCTGCCACTCCCACACTGTGGAATGTACTTCCTTTTTCTTTTCTTTTCTTTTCTTTTCTTTTCTTTTCTTTTCTTTTCTTTTCTTTTCTTTTCTTTTCCTTTCCTTTCCTTTCCTTTCTTTTCTTTTCCTTTCCTTTCCTTTCCCTTCCTTTCCTTTTCTTTTCTTTTCTTTCTTTCTTTCTTTCTGTCTTTCTTTCTTTCTTTTTTTGATGGAGTCTTGCTCTGTCACCCAGGCTAGAGTGCAGTGGCGTGATCTCTGCTCATTGCAACCTCTGCCTCCTGGGTTCAAGCAATTTTCCTGCCTCACCCTCCCAAGTAGCTGGGATTACAGGCACCCACCACCACGCCTGGCTAATTTTTGTATTTTTGGTAGAGACAGGGTTTCACCATGTTGGCCAGGCTGGTCTCGAACTCATGAACTCAAGAGAGCTGCCAGCGTCGGCCTCCCAAAGTGCTGGGATTACAGGCGTGAGCCACTGTGCCCGGCCTGTACTTTCATTTTTAACAAATCCCTGCTTTCGTTCTTTCCTTGCTTCATTCTTTCCTTGCTTTATTGCACGTTTTGTCCAACTCTGTTCAAAATGCCAAGAAACTGGACGACTTATAGTCAAGACCCTCTACTGGTAACAGGAGTATTTACACCACAGAAAATGGCAAACACTACAAATTATAGCATTTTTTTTTAACCCAGGAAATTGGTTCATAAACATTTAATAGTTCACTTCTGTGCATTTCTTTCCAAAACATATTCTCTATCATTAAGAAGGAGATGAGGAACTATCAATTGTGCACCAACTAAATTTGTTAGCTGATATAATTTTTGTAACAACTTTGTAAGGTATATGTTATTCTACCCATATTGTAGATGAGGAAACTGAGACTCAAGACATTAAGTATTCTATCAATGTTGTGTACGAAGTAAATGGCAGAGCCTAAATTCATTCTTGAGTCTAAGACAAATACAAATCTTGTCTTTGCACTATACCACATTGGCTCTGTAGGGGGGAGGAAACATTAATGTCAGAAAGAAGCAGTGAGGCAAAACTTTAAAAAAAATTTCCTTGACTTTAATTAAAAGAAAAGAAAGTTAATCAAAGAAAAAAAATGTCTGTCCTTGGCATTGTGTAGCACATTAGCTTGTATTTACATGTGTATAGTCCAACTGTGGTGGGCATAGTAACTATGGTTTTTGTCTTCCACATACTCTTTCCTACTTCCTTTCCTCTGGTTCTGCTAGAGAACAATTCCCCCTTTCGGTGTGACCCTAACTAAGCTATAAATCACAGTGCTCTGGCCGCTCCCAACCACAGGTGTGGCCAAGCCAATTAGGATCTTCTCTAGGAAACTTCTACTGAAGCTAGAGGAAAAGAGATTTTTTTTTTCCTGCTTGCCTTGCTTACCTAGGACATTGTGAAGCTGGGAATCAAACAGCATCATCAGAATTCTGCCTGTCTTGACTCTATTCTTTTCACATGGTGGATGAGATGGCCGCCTACAGTCCCAAAATACTCCGTAGACTTCCCAGTTATGTGAGCCAATAAAATACCCTCCCCCATCTCTCTCTCTCTGTATGTGTATGTGTGTGAATAAACTAGTCTGAGTTGACTTTACATCATTTGTAATCAAGAGTTCCATCTCCTTTGTGACTACTCCAGCTCATTATTCCTTTCTTCCTACAAGTTCTTACAACACTTATTTATAACAACTCTGTTCAATAGAAAGTATGAACCATATATACATATAATTTTAATTTTCTAGTAACCATATTTTTAAAAGTAGAAAGAAATAGGTGAAATACATTTAATAATATATCTTACTTAACCCAATATATTTTTTAAGTATCAGTTAATATATAATAAATATAAAAATTCTTAATGAACTATTTCTACATTCTTTCTTTGTCCTAAGACTAAAATCTTGTGTGTATTTTACATTTATAACTCATCTCAATTCTAACTAGTCACTTTTCAGATATTGTTAAAGGAAAAAAATATTTAATGACACTTGTTAAAGCATGGTAAGGAAGAATTTATTCAGGACCATTGTGATAGATATAGGGACCACGAAAATGGGATTTTGCAGTAGGAGAGAGAGATTGGGTTCATTCTGAATACAGCATGGGCTAGTGAATTTTATAGCCAAGGAGCAGGGTGTGGGGGTGGGGCGGTCAGTGGATGGAAAATTACTAAGAGGAAACATCAGGGGTGAAGGGGATTCTGGCTAAACCAACCTAACAGGATTCTTGCTGAAGGCAGGCCAGGGTGATTTGACATCATCTGGGGGATGGTGGAGGAGAAGAATGGTAGGAGGTTCTTGCTAAACAGACTTAGCAGGGTCCTTTGCTAAAACTGGGTTTTACAGGGAAGTGCATAGATTGACTTAGGAGAAGGTTCAGGAACCTGACTAAAGTTGGCCAAGCAGAATCTTTGTCACTACTCAATAGCCACATGTGGCTAGTGGCTACAGTACTGGACAACACAGATTTGTTCTATACATACTGGCATCTAATAACACATCATCATATATTACTACTTGAATGTTTCATGTGTAAATGTCTAATCTTCCCACTTAACAAATAATCTCCTTCAGAACAGAAATAATGCTTTAAAATTCTTTTGTGGCCCTCAAATTTTAGCATGGTGCCACACTAGTAGTAGGTAATATTATGAATAAATGATTTCAGTTAGCTTATTCAATGAGCAGAGGATTGTAATTCACACACTAATAAAGAAATGTGGCTGATCGGAAGAAACATATTGCAAGTCCACTGTAGAAATGTCATGTATCTGCATATGACTGTAGTAAAGTGTATTTCTGAGAGCAAACTATCACACTCTAGGCAGAGGAGACAAGGACCAAAGTGATAAGAATGCGTTATGATTCTCAAATGAAAAGTGCTAAATTCAAAGTGTAAAACTAGTATCCTTTCCCAGTACCACTTCCTATTGCAAATGAAAATGCTAAAATGCAGGATGAGTGATTTCTACCTCTGGTAACATGTAACCAGCAAAGAATTAACATCTGAGCACAGAGAGAGGATCTTTCTTTTGCCCTCTTATATAGCCACTTCTTTTTTTTAACGGCAGGTGGACAGTGAGGGGTGGAGGGTTGGGGAAAAGGTGAGGGAAATATAGGAATCATCTTACAAGCTTTTCCCACAAGTATACATACACCATCCTCACCCCAATGTGTATGCATACTTCCCACTGATATAATATCAATGTCTCATCAGAGTCCAGAGGGAGTCCCAGATATCAAGAAATTTTACTGGACTTCCCCCAAAGCCCACATACCCATTCAGCTTCTGAGGGGCTTCAGATCAGTTAGTCATTCATCCTTTCATTCATTAATATATTGGGTGTACATTACATGCCAGGCACAATAAAGGCAAAAGACACAATGTTTTCTTTCAGAGTTCAATCTATTGTGAGTGTACTGGCGAGGTGAGTTGGCAATAATGGCTGGGAGGATTCCTAACTGTAATGATACAGTATAGACACTATAGAAGGAGTATGTACAAAGTGCTACCACGGAATGCTATACAGCAGTTGTAGAAATGAAATGTATTCATGGAAAAGTCTCCCTGCCTATTATTTAAGGCAGTGATTCTCAAAGTATGGTCCCCGGACCAGCAGCTTCAGCTCATCTGAGAACTTTTTAAAAATGCAAATTCTTAGGTCCCACCCCAGACCTCCTGTATCAGAAACTCTGGAGGTGGAAACAAGAAATTTGTGCTTTAACAAGTCTCCTAGGTGTTGCCGATGCATGCTGATGTTCGAGAACCACTGGTTTAGAAGGAAAAAAAAGTTGCCAAATGAAATGTACAGCATGATAGTATTTATTTTTAAAATAGTACGTGTTTAGGCTGGGCACAGTGGCTCACACCTGTAATCCCAGCACTTTGGGAGGCTGAGGTGGGCAGATCACTTGAGGTCAGGAGTTCAAGACCAGCCTGACCAACATGGTGAAACCCCGTCTCTACTAAAAATACCAAAATTAGCTGGGCATGGTGGAGCGAGCCTGTAATCCCAGCTACTTGGAAGGCTGAGGCATGACAATCACTTGAACCTGGGAGGCAGAGGTTGCAGTGAGCCGAGATCGCACCAGCGCACTCCAGCCTGGGTGACAGAGTGGGACTTGGTCTCAAAAGAAAGAAAGAAAAAAAAAACCTACGTTTCATGTATATTTGCATTGCATATGCATAGAGGAATTCTAAAAGCAGATATATCAAGTTAGTAACAGGGGTTACCTCTGTAGAGGGGATTAGGATTGCAGGGCCAGGGGATTAGGCAAGTACACTAGAAACGAAAGAGAAACATTAAGTCTTCCCAGAGGAGGCAGCCTTTGAAACAGATTTTGGGGCTAGCCTACTCCTTGCTCTCCATCCATCCCTATGGCTCTCTCATATCTAGTACATAGTTCAAATTCTCATATTCTTGTCCTTCCAGATGAAGGGGGCATTTCTAGAGAAGCTGCAATTTGGTTTCTGAAATAGGATGGACCACTCACTTTCCCCTCAAAACTCAAGCCTTAGAGAAATGACTAAGCTGAGATCGTGAGCTGAAGATTGAAAAGTCCCGGGAAAAAAAAAAGTGAGTGACTGCCCTTCCAAGAGAAAGCAACTGCCCTCCACCTCATGTTTTAACAGTAATGTAGATCTGAGCAGCATATTAGGGTGGATGAAAAGCATGAAGCAAAGATCATTATTGATTCACCCTGAGCCAGGCTCATTCAAATTCAAGATGGAAAAGCCCTAGAGAGCCATCCAGGTCCTTGTCTTCCAGTGTCCAGTAACAAACCATTTTGGGAAAAAGGCCATGCCCTTTAGAAGGCCCAGCCTGCATTCTATTGACCTACTCCCTTTCACAGTCTGTTTTGGATCTTTTTAGCTGAAGAGACTGGTGAGAGGTGACAGAGGAAAAATAACAATAGTAAGATTTACCCAGAGTCCCTGGCATGAACATGGCCTTTTCAAGTTATAAAGATAAATAACTCTCTAAGCAGCATTCTGGGGAGTTTGTTTCCAGTAAAGTGAATTTGAAGAGAGAGGAAAAATAGTCACATTAACCTCTGACACAGCTTTCCAGGCAAAAGCTTTCATAACTAAGGGCCAATAATATGATGGCAAGATGCAGTCCTGTAGAATGGGCCAGGTTGCCCTATATAATCAAAAGGGGTAAGGAAACTAACAGGCTGAGGAAGTATCCCTATCATTAATAATCACTTTCTGACAGCCTGGATACTGTAGGGGTGGACTGATGTGTCCGAGAGATAACCGACTTAATAGGCTGCGGAGGAATGGGCAAGTGCAAAGTTTCTGCTGCTTGTTGCAAAGTCTGAGATAGAGAAGCAACACTTCATGTGCTGGGGAGTTTGATTTTGAATCCAGGGTTGTTTGAGCTAGAAGAGCCTCTAGAGCTTTTGATATAGCAAGAAGTAGCTCTGGATTAACAGAGAACAGTAGGACTTGAAGATAGAATGGGTTCTCTTTGAAAGATAATTCCCTCCATTTGGGCTAAGAATTTTGCTTTGTTTGTTTGAAGTCTTATTTAGGATACTTGTTCTCTGTTGAAGCATGTGAAAGCTCGTAGCTGAGCTCGGAGAACTAATGATCACTCAAATGATTTGCATTGACATAGAGATGCTGGAAGAATTCCATCTATCTTTTGAGATAGAAGTTTTTATCATTTAAAAAATATTTTAAAAAATATTTATTGGATACCTTCTACATGCATAGCACTGTGTTGAGAGCTATAAAAAAACACAATGAACAACATGCCAAACACATTCTCAAGGAGGTTATGGTACAGTTAGGGAGGGGCAGTGAAGGATGAGTTGAGTTGGAATCCATGAAAAGTTAACACTACAATGGTACAAGAGTGATTTAAAATTTAATGCCAAATTAATGACACAAGCAAAGAGTCAGGTTAATGATGGGTAAATCTTTGTTCATTGGATAAATCAGGAAAGCTTTAGGGAAAAAGTAGGAAATTAAGTGTGGTCTTATAAGCAAAAAGTACCTTGGGCTTTTTGGGTGTGTGTTTTGGAGGCTTTCTGTGAAGTTAAGTTATAAGTGGTGGCCATTGGTGATTGACCTAGGACAAAATTATGAAGAAAGAAGTTGTTTTTCCTGCCTTCTCATCCTCCCCGACCCTAGGCAGGGTGCTAATACTGTTCAGGTTGCTTAGAAGATAAGTAATGATACCCAAGTTGCTGTCCTCTACTTAATCCAGTTGACCTGTTCTGAGTCTCATTTTTCTTAAGATGTACCTTCTCCTTAGAAACCAGTTAGAGCAAAGGTGGTAATGATCCATAATGGTTTAGCATGACCTACTGTGCTAGACTGCACCGTTTAATTTCCACAACAACCTGATGAGATAAATTCTATTCTTCCTGCTTATCAGATGAGTACACTGAGGCTAGAGGGGCAAAGTAAATTGAACAAGTCAAATAAAGGCACTGGGATTTGAGTCCAGGCTTGTCATATGATACCATTATTTCAATGACTTATCCAACCCAAAAAACTACATACACTTACAGATTTATAATTCTGTTTCAAAATTAAAGATTCAGGTAATAACAATGAAAATGTCAGAGTAAGAATCTCCAAGAGCCCATCTCTCCACAGAAAGAGTGAATAAATGGGCAAAAGCTATCATTAACTTTATTGGAGCTCTGGAAACTAATCAAAGGTGTATAGCAACCAGGCCAAGGTTTAATCAAGATGAAGGTGGCTGAATATTGAAAGGAGAGCTTTGTGGCATTTTTATTCACTAACTAACCTAACCACTAAGCTAACTTAACTGAGACTTTAATCGCCATAAACAATAAAGAATATAGACTTTACAAAATTAGTTTAGAAGTCACTAAACAAACAAGAGCAACCACAACAAGCAGCAACAACAAGCCATGGAAATAAGAGACAACATGATTTCCAAAGCTGCCACATCATAATATTTAAAATGTACAGTTTTCAACAAAAAATTTCAAGGCATGCAAAGAAACAAGACAGTAGAGCCCATACACAAGAAAAAAATTAGTAGAAACTTCCTGTGGAATCCCCAACATTGAACTTACTAGAAAAAAACTTTTAAGTCAACTCTCTTAAATATATTCAAATAGATAAAATAATATAAAAATCAAAGAAACCATGATAATGATGTCTAGCAAATAGACAATATGAATAAAAGACAGAAATTATAAAAAGGAACAAAATAGGAATTCTCAGGCTAAAAAATACAATAACTGAAATTTTAAAAATCACTAGAGGGGTTTAACAGCATACCTAAACAGGAGGAAGAAAGAACAAGTGAATTTGAATACAGGACAATTGAAACTACCCAGACTGAGCAACAGAAAGAAAAAAAGAATGAAGAGAAATGATCAGTGCCTCAGAGACCTGTGGAACACCAGCAAGGATATCTACAATGCATAACAGTAGTCCCAGAAGAACCTAAGAGAAAACAGGACCAGAAAAAAATATTTGAAGAAATAATGGCGAAAAACTTTGCAAATACAATGAAAGTCATGAATCTGAATGTCAAGCTCAAGAACTCTGAGAAGGAGAAACTCAGGGATCAAAACTAAGACACATTATAAACAAACTGTCAAAAGATAAAGATAATTCTGAAAGCGCAAAAGAGAAGCAAGCCATCACATACAAAGGATCCTTATGATTAACAGCTCATTTTTCATCAGAAACCACAGATGCTGGAAGGCAGTGGGATGGCATATTCAAAGTGCTGAAAGTAAAAGATTATCAACCAATAGTTATATATATGGCAAAGCTATCCTTCAAAAATGAAGAAAAATTAAGACATTTCCAGATAAACAAAATCTTAGGAGTGCCATTGGAAGGCAGACAGCAAATCTAGAGAAAGCTGGGAGCTCAAACAGTGGGTAAGAAGCAAAAAAGAGCAGGGTAGGTGGGGGAGAGACTGGAGGCTATGCTTTGATCAAGGTCCATGGGTATTATTCCTTAGGCTTTCCCATGGGAGTTCTAAATTGGCTCGTTTAAAGAAAGCACAAGCAAAGGGGGGGAACTTATTTGGATGACTCTGGTGTTGACCATTAGGTTTTTATCATGGTTAGCAGCTGTGGCATGTGCTGGGTTTAGGGTCAGTGAGATGAGGAAGAAGCAGGCTGTATCATAGACAACCACATAGGGAAGTTTTTACTAGACCAAAGATGACAAGGTATGATTGGGTTTCAAACAACTTGTGTCAGGGCTAAAAATGGATACTGAGGCAGCAACAACGTTAAATAAACTTATGACAACAACCATGAGACTTTTCCCCCAGGAAGGAGGGAAAGGAGTAGAGTGTTATTTCAATGTTGCAGCCTTTCAGCACACTGTTTTAGGGAAAAGGGTTGGACAGCTTACTGCAAGTCACCATGTCTCTGCAAGATTGGAAGAAGGTGCACAACACTGACAGTCCTTCCCCAGGAGGGAGGGAGGGAGAGGAGTGGAGTGTGCACGTCCATAGTAAACGTTTGAGCGGCTCTCAGGATCTCTAGCCAGACTGATTGGTGAAGGTCTTTCTCTGTCAAAGTCAGTCAACAAAGACTGAGAGAGGTGGATGTTTCTTCAAATGTACAGACACCAATGCAAAGCACAAGGAACATGAAGTATCAGGAAACCATGCCACATCCAAAGAAAAAAATAAATCTCTGCTAACTGACCCTAAAGAAATGTAGATCTACAAATCGCCTGACAAGAATTCAAAATAATCATCTTAAAGCAGTTCAGTGAGTTACAAGAGAAAACAGACAACTAAATAAAATTAGGAAAATGATACATGAACAAAATGAAACTATCAATAAAGAGATTAAAACCATAAAAATAAGCAAACAAATTCTGGAGCTGAAGAATACAATAACTAAACTGAAATTTTTAATAGAGTATCAACAGCATACTTAAGCAGAGGAAAGAATCCGCAAACTCAAAGAAAGATTATTTGAAACTAGTGAGAGGAACAACAACAACAAAAAGAATGAAAAGGTGTGAAGAAAACCTAAATGACTTATTAGACACCATCAAGTAAACCAGTATATGCAATATGGGAGCTGAAGAGAGAGAAGAGAGAAAGGGGCAGAAAGCTTATTTAAAGAAAAAAGGCTGAAAACTTTTCAAGTCTTGGGAGAGAGAAATAGGCACTCAGATTCATTAAGCTCAAGCACCCCCAAACAGAACCAACCCAAAGAAGATTACACTGGGACATATTATAATCAAATTATCAAAAGTCAAGGACAAAGAAAGTGTTTTTGAATACAGCAAGAGAAAAGTGACCTGCCACTTACAAGGGAACTTCATGAGACTATCAGTGAATTTCTGAGCAGAAACCTTGTAGGCCAGGAGAGAGTGGGATAATATATTCAAAGTGCTGAGAGAGCAAGAAAACCAATTGCTAAACAAGAATACTGTACCTGTAAAACTGTCCTTCAAAAAATAAAGGAAAAATAAAGACTTTCCCAGACAAACAAAAGCTGAGGGAGTTAATCACCACTAGACTTCACCACTAGACTTGCCTTACAGGAAATGCTAAAGAGTTTTCCAAGTTGAAATGAAAGGGGGCTAAACAATGACACAAAAAGCATATAAAAGTATAAAACTCACTGGTAAATGTAACTTTATAAGCAAATACAGAATACTGTAATGATAGCATGTAAATCACACAATTTTAGTATAAAAGTTAAAATAGTTATTGAGTTATTAAGGATGACTATAATTACAAAAAAATTTTAATGAATACATAATACAAAAGCTGTAAATAATATAAAGTGGGGAGAGTAAAAATATAGTTTGTAAAATGTGATTGAAGTTGTTATTAGCTTAAAATAGACTGTTATAACTATAAGATGCTTTATGTAAGCCTTTTGGTAACCACAAAGAAAATACCTACAGAAGATACACAAAAGAGAAGTAGAAAGGAATGAAAGCATATCACTACAAAAAAAATCAATGAAATACAAAGGGAGACAGCAAGAAAGGAAAAGAACTACAAGACAGACAGAAAACAATTAACAAAATGGCAATAGTAAGTCCTTCCCTATCAATAATTACTTTAAGTGTAAATTGATTAAATTTCCCAATCAAAAGACAGAGAGTGGACGAATGGTTTTTTAAAAAAGATGCCATCATACACTGTTTATAAGCAACTTACTTTAGATTTAAAGACACACATAGGTTAAAAGTGAAGGGATGGAAAAAGATATTTCATGCAAATGGTAAACAAAAGAAATCAGGGTGGCTATACTTAGATGAGACAAAGTAGACCTTAAATCAAACTGTCAAATGAGGCAAAGAAGTACATTATATAATAAAGATAAAATGACCAATTTATCAGGAAATATAGATGCACCCAACATTAGAGTAACACACATATAAAGCAAACATTGGCAGAACTTAAGGGAGAAACACACAGCAATACAATAATATTAGGAAACTTCAATACCCAACTTTCAATAATGGATAAAACATCCAGACAGAAGATCAGTAAGGAAACAACTGACTTGACCAATACTATAGAGCAAATGGACCTAACAGACATCTACAGAACATTCCACCCAATAGGAGCAAAATACACATTCTTCTCAAGTGTGCAAAGAACATTCTCTAGGATAGATCACATGCCAGGTCAAAAAACAAATCTTAACAAATTTAAGATGATTGAAATCATACCAAATCTCTTTTATGACCACAGTGGAATGAGACTAGAAATCAATAAAAGAAGGAAAAGTGGAAAATTTACAAATATGTGGTATTTAAACAATGCACTCTTGAACAATCAACTGGTCAAATAAAAAATCGATAGGGAAATCAGACAATATCTTGAGACAAATGAAAATGAAACAAGCAGCAAAAGCACTACTAAAAGTTTATAATGATAAACTTCTACATTTAAAAAGAAGAAACATCACAAATAAGCAACCTAACTTTATACCACAAGGAACTAGAAAAATAAGAACAAATTAAGCCCAAATATAGCAGAAGGAAGTAAATAATAAAGATTACAGTAGAAACAAACAAAATAAAGAATAGAAAAATAATAGAAAAATGAACAAAACTAAAAGTTGGCTTTTTAAAAACAAATAAATAGACAAAACTTGAGCTAGACTAAGAAAAAAGAAAGAAGACTTAAATAAAATTAGAAATGAAAGAGGAGATGTTACAATACTATATTGTGAGGTTAAAAATTGTAAGAGGGTGGGTCTCATGTGTTACTACCACAAAAAAAGGAAGGCATGAAGAAATTTTTGGTGATTTTGAACATGTTTATTGCCTCAATTGTGATGATAGTTTCATAGATATATGCATAGGTCCAAACTCATCAAATTGTATACATTAAATATTTGCAGTTTTTGCACGTCAATTATACCTCAATAGTGTTGTTTTAAAAGCCCAAAGCTAACATCATACTTAATAGTGAAAAATAAAGCTTTCACCCTAAAGTCAGGAACAACACAAGAATGTCTGCTCTCACCACTCCTACTCAATATTATACCAGAGGTTCTAATCAGGGCAGTTAGGCAAAAAGAAATAAAAGTCATCCAAATTAGAAAGAAGGAGGTAAAACTATCTCTATGTGCAGATTACATAATCTTACATATAGAAAACCCTAAGAAAAATTCATACACAAAAACTACTATTAGAGCTAATAAATAAATTCAGCAAAGCATCAGGATATAAGATTAACATACAAAAGTCAGTTACATTTCTATACACTAGAAATGAACATACCTAAAAGCAAATTAAGAAAATAATTTCATTTATAAAAACATCAAAAAATAAAATACTTAGAAATAAATTTAACCAAAAAGGTGTAAAACTTGTGAACTAAAAACTGCAAAACATTGTGGAAATTAAAGAATACCTAAATAAATGGAAAGACATCTCATGGTCATGGATTGGAAGACTTAATATTATTAAAATGACAATGCTACTCAAAGGAGTCTAAAGACTCATTGCAATCTCTGTAAAAATTCCAAATGCCTTTTTATAAGCATAAAGGGATTCTAACATTCATATTGAATTGTAAATGACTCCAAATAGTCAAAACAATCTTGAAAAAGAAGAGCAAAGTTGGAGGACTCCCCCTTCTATACTTCAAAATTTACTATAAAGCTACACTAATCAAAACGCTGTGGTACTGGCATAAGGATAGCTATATAGATCATTGGAATAGAGTTGAGAGTCCAGAAATAAACCCATACATCTATTGTCAATTGATTTACAACAATGGGACCAATACCCTTCAATGTGGAAAGAAGCATCTTTTCAACAAATGGTGCCAGGACAATTGAGCATTCACATGCAAAAGAATGAAGCTGGACTCTTAACTCACACCATATTTATTAGTCAGACTTCTCCAGAGAAAAAAAACCAATAGGATGTATATATGTATATTTAGAAAAAGATTTATTATAAGGAGTTGGATCATGCAATTATGGAAACTGACAAATTCCAAGATCTGCAGGGCAAGTCAGCAATCTGGAGACCCAAGAGAGGCCAATGATATAGTTCCAGTCTGAGTCTGAAGGACTGAGAACCAGGAGAATTGATAGTGTAGATTCGTTCTGAAGGCCAGCAGGCTCAAGACCCAGGAAGAGTCAATGTTTCAGCTCAAGTACAAAGGCAGGTAAAAGCTGAACTCCCAGTTCAAAGGCAAGTCAGGCAGGAAGAGAAAGTCAGCCTTTTTTCTATTTGGGCCTACAACTGATTGGATGAGATCCACTCATATTAGAGAGAGCAATCTGCTTTACTCAGTCTGCTGATTTAAATGTTAATCTCATCCAAAAACACCTCAAATAGACACCCAGAATAATGTTTGACCAATTATCTGGGCACTTTGTGGCTCAGTCAAGTTGACCCATAAAATTACCATCACACCGTATAAAAATTAAATCAGAATGGATCAAAGGCCTAAAATGTAGGAGCTAAAACTATAAATCTCTTGGAAGAAAACTTAAGTGGAAATATTTGTAACCTTGGATTTGGTAATGGATTCTTTAATATGACATCAAAAGCACAAGCAACAAAAGAAAAAACATAGATAAATTAGAACTCATCAAAATTAAAAACTCTTGAGCATCAAAAGGCATTATCAAGAAAGCTAAATGACAACCCACTGGATGTAAAAATATTTAAAATAAAGGTCCAGTATCCAGAATACATAATATAATGCTTACAACTCAACTACAAAAAACAACCCAATTTAAAAATGGGCAAAGGATTTTAGTGGACATTTTAGTAGACATCAGAAGATATACTAATGGCTAATAAGCACATAAAATCATTAGTCATTAGGGAAATGGAAAGCAAAATGACAATGAGATACCATTTCACATCCACTAGGATGGCTATAATTATTTTTAAATTTCTATTTTATTTTAGGCCGTATGAGGTGGCTCACGCCTGTAATCCCAGCACTTTGGGAGGCCCAGGCAGGTGGATCATCTGAGGTCGGGAGTTCATGACCAGCCTGGCCAACATGGTGAAACACTGTCTCTACTAAAATACAAAAATTAGCTGGACATGGTGGCATGGGCCTGTAATCCCAGCTACTTGGGAGGCACGAGAATAGCTTTAACCCAGGACGCAGAGGTTGCAGTGAGCCAGGATTGTGCCACTACACTCCAGCCAGGGTGACAGAGTGATACCCTGTCTCAAAAAAATTATTTTATTTTATATTCAGGTGCACAATCCCTCTACTGGGTATCTACCAGATTACATGTGCATGTTTGTTACCTGTGTATATTGTGTACCGGTGGGATTGGGCTTCTAGTGTACCCATTACCCAAATAGTTAACGTTGTACCTGATAGGTAATTTTTCAACTCTTTCCCCCCTTCTTCCCTCCCTCCCATTTGAAGTCCCCTGTGTCTATTATTTTTATCTTTATGTCTAAGTGTACCCACTGTTTAGCTCCCACTTATAAGTGAGAACATACAGTATTTAATTTTCTGTTCCTGAATTAGTTCACTTAGGATAATGGCCTCCATCCCCATCTATGTTGCTGCAAAGGACATGATTTCATTCTTTTTTTTATGGCCGAATAGTGTTCCATGGTGTATATGTACTATATTTTCTTTATGCAGTCAACTGTTAATGGACACTTCAGTTGATTCCATGACTGTGCTATTGTGAATAGTGCTGTGGTGAACAAACAAGCACAAGTGTCTTTTTTATATAATGATTTATTTTCCTTTGGTAAATACCCAGTAGTGGGATTGCTGGGTCCAATGGTAGTTCTATTTTTAGTTCTTTGAGAAATCTCCATGCTATTTCCCATAAAGGTTGAACTAATTTACATTCCCACCATCAGTGTGTAAGTGTTCCCTCTTCTCCACATCCATGTCAACATCATTTGTTTGCTTTTTTACTTTTTAATAAAAGCCATTCTCACTGCTGTAAGATAATAAATCATTGTGGTTTTAATTTACATTTCTGTGATTATTAGTGATGTTGAGCATTTTTTCATGTATCTGTTGGCTGCTTGTATTTCTTTTGAGAAATGTCTATTCATGTCCTTTGGATGGCTGTAATTTTTTAATGACGTTACCAAGTGTTGGTGTGGATGTGGAGAAATTGGAATTCTCATACATTGCTAGCAAAAATATAAAATGAAACAGTCAGTACAGTCACTGTGGAAAACAGTTGGATAGTTCTTCAAAAATTAAACATACAATTACTATATGATCCAGCAATTTCAGTCTTAAGTATATACCCAAGGGAAATAAAAATATATACCCACACAAAAAATTATGCAAGGATGTTATAACGGTATTATTTTAATAGTCAAAAATGGAAACAGCCCAAATGTCCATCAGTTAATGAATGAACAAAATGTCCATATAGTGGAATATTTAGCCATAAAAAGGAATGAAGTACTGATATATGCTACAACATCAATGAACATTAAAATCATTATGCTAAGAGAAAGAAGCCAAACACAAAAAGCCACATACTGCATGATTCTATTTATATAAAATATGCATAGGTAGTGATAGCAGATTGGTGGTTGCAAAGGGCTGGAGGAAGTGGGGAAAGGGGAATAACTGCTTAGTTGTATGGATTCATTTTGGGGGTGATCAAAATATTCTGGAATTAGTGCTGGTGGTTACACAACATTGGGAATGTACTCGAAACCACTGAATTATACACTTTAATATAGATAAAGTGGAGAATTTTACGTTATACAAATTTTGCCTCAATAAAAAATTCAAAGATTTAGGTAATTCTTATAGTCATATAGCCAAGACAGTAGACTTTATGGGGAATCTTACCAAATATGGAGAGGATGGAGCATCAGCACCATCGTATGTCAATTATCTAGGACAGGGCTTGGTAATCTGCAGCCTACAGGTGAATTCTGGCCAGTAGCCTGTTTTTATAAGGCCTGTAAGCTAAAAATGGTTTTTATATTTTTTAAAGTGGTTAAAAGCAACAAAAACAAAGAAGGTTTTGTGATGGAGAACTTTTGAGGGCAACAAAGACTAAAATATTTACTATCTGGCACTTTACTGAAAAAGATTATTGACCCTTATCTATGGTGATGATAAACAATAAGCTCTTACATTTATAGCACACATTTCAGTTTACAAGGCACATCCATTTTTCTCTCAGCTGACTTCCAGAACAACCTTGTGAAGTAGATGAGGTGTTATTCCTCTCCACAGAGGGGGAAACTTGGTGAGGTTAAGCCACTCATATCCTTGCTCTATCACTTGATAGAACTCAGATGGTCTGAATGTGATTCAGTGTTTTGACCCTATAGCCCACTGACTCTCTCAACACTTTGGAAGAACTACTAAAGGCTCTGTGAAAATGCAATACGATTTCAACTTAACAGATCAACCCAAAGTTGAGAAAAAGGCCAAGAGAGCTTTGGCTAACTATCTCTGGAATTGCTCCTTCAGTTTTATATCTCCTCTGACAATGGTCATATATTTTTCTAAATGAAATGCCACCCATATTGAAGGGCTCAGGAACTGTCAAGCCAAAATCTTTCAAGTGCCGTAGAGTTGGACAGTTTGCTATACTTCAAACACATCGGGTCAAACAATATAATAAAAATTGACTCCTTTGTGATATGTCCCTTTATAGGAGCTGTGATATTCACTATTTCCCCTAATATCTTGTGTCCAACCTGCAGTTTCAGCCGTGTTATGGACAGCATATCATCCAATTGCTATCCTGTCTTCCCACCAATTTACCAGGTGTCATATTTCCCTAGCCTGAAGTAGCTCTGCAATGTATGTTGGGAAAAGCATGGGGGAGGTTGAAACTAATTCGGATATTTCTTAATAGCCCGTCATCCTGGCCTTCTGTGCATAAGAAAAGGCCCTTGGCACCAGAGTGGCCAATCAGCAGCTTCAAAAATGGGCTCCCCACCTTGAGGTCATTGTTCTCTCCATCCACCCTCCATCCCACATGTGCCTGGCTGAATATAATTTCATGCACTGCTCCTACCTGATCTGTAATCTTCTCCAGTCAATTTTGGATGATAGTCTCATATGGAGGGGAAGGAGCACTGAATGCACTGTTGATTCAGGTGCTCAAGGGCTGTGAAGTAAATAGCTGCCCCTACTGGAGTGACTGTAATAGAATTGTGGGGGATTTATAATTATATCCTTTCATACAATTCAGTTAATTAATCAGCTCTTCCCACACACTGCCGTTAGGTTCCTCTCACTAGGTAGGCCATTTTACTCACAGCATGGAACTCCTCCATTCAGTTTTCTTCCTGACCTCATCTTGGGGCTCCTTTTCACTCAGGGACCAGCATAACCTCTCCCCAGACGCTCATTTCTAAAATTTTCAGGTCTTTGCCTTCTTTAGGGCTCCCAGATAGATGCCAGATTACTGTTTAAGTCTTTGTGTCTTGAATGTAATCTATGTGGGTGGCCAAACACCCCTGGATTTTTAGGAAACAACTTCAATTCTCCCACCTAACATTTCAATTGCATCCATGGACTGGATGCTAGCTTAATTTTGTGTACCTATTGGGGAAATAATTTTAAACCTTTCCTCACTTCCACTACTGGTCCCTGATCCCCTTGCCTGTAATACCCTGGATTTTAAGTGTCCTTTGGGGACAAACAATATGAATAGCCCCCTTCTTCTACCTAGGCAGCCCCAATACTTTGGACTTTTTATTTTCTTCTTTTATCTGTGAAGACCTCATCTTATCAGCATCGCTAGTACATCTGGCAGTCCATTCCCTTAGATTCCTGGCAGTTTGCAGCTTCCATCTGGACCTCCTCCTTGTTGCCTTCTAAATCTACTTTCTCTCTCTGGGCTCAACTCTCCATGTTTACTGTTCCTAGGCTATGAGTCCTAGGGCTGCCTTCCTTATCCAGTGCTGCTGCCTCTGTTGGGGACTTGGGATTGAAATGGCCTCCATGGTTCTGTCCTCTCAAAAGTCTCCCTAGTTGGTGATATTGTTCTGTCTTGCTTAGGAGTCAGCAGAAGCGTGAAGCCTTGGTTCACTCTAAGCAAAAAGCTTAACTCCTGATAGAATATTCCAGTGGGACGGCATTCCAATATCTCTCCTAAGGTTTATTTAAGGAAAATTCCACATACAGAACCTCACAGGGTACATAGAATATGTTATGGTGGAATTGTAATTGCACCTATATTGCTACAAATCCTGTACTTGGCAGAGAGGAGCTGAGAATGAGACCTGGTTGCTATGTGTTTTCTCTGCAGTGATTTATCAAGAGGGGAAAGTAGATGCTCTGTGGACTACTGCCTGCTTAGCCCTTTTCTCTTCTAAACTCCTGAATCTTAGGGAGTTGAGGTGGAGTTTTCAGCACAGATTATTGACCACTAGCAGTGAGCTTGAAAGCTAATTACACCTTAATAATGAAAGCTTATTCTAGGCCATTTTGCTGACTACTCTTCTTTCCTCCTCGTCTTTTAAGTATACAGCTGGGATGAATTCTGCATTCTTCAGCTTAAAGATCTTTTTTTGAAAAGGGGTATGGCTTCCAAGACCTGCCCCAACCATCTGTAAATTAACTTTCTAGAGGATACACTAGAGCCTTAAGTTGGTTTTTCACTCCCTTGTGAATCAGTACATCATTATACTAAGTGTTGCTGGAGTAGCAGAATTCAGTGATAGCTTTTAGTTTTGTGTTGCAGATGAGAATCTTTGTTTCTATGTATAATTATCCTGTGACAGGCTAGTTATCTTTTAGAAATGTAAATCAAAACTCATCACTCTCTCACTGAAAACCCTCCAGTGGCGTTCCATTGTACTTTGGAGAAAATCCAAACAATTTTCCATGGCTTACAAAGCCCTACATGCCCTAGCCTCTGCCTTCCTTTCTGATTTCATCTTGTACCATGCCTCCAGCACTTACATATTCTTTAGCACCACAAAATGTTCTGTTTTATAACCACATATTTCTACCTCAGGGACTTTGCACCTGCTGCTCCTTCTGCCTGGTACACTGTGTCCCTACATCTTTACATAGCTTGCTCCTTCTCATCATTCAGCTCTCAGATCAAATGTCACTCTCTCATAAATGCTTTTCCTAACACTCAACACCCCCCAAAAAATATTTTCCTTCAAGTCACTTACATTTATGTCACCCTGTTTTATTTTCTTCACAATAGCTACGAAAATCTAGAAATTATTTTAATTGCTTATGTGCTTATCATCTGTCTTCCCCCAGTACAATGTAACTTCCATGAAAGTACAGGTCTTGTGTGTCTTGCTCACTACTATATCCCCAGCACTGGGCACATAGTAGGCGCTCAATAAATATTTGTTAAATTAGTAAATGGATGTCACAAGATGCTAGTCCCTAGCTCACTGTCAGTTTTGCTAAATGACTAATGGTGATTTGCTGTCATATACCTTTCGGGACTATAGTTTTTGAAATATAGCAGTTCCTGAATATCTGGCTGTAGGACTTTGGATAATTCATTTATTCAAGCATTTTCTAAGGGCCAGGCACTATGCTAAGCTCTGGGAATATAAAAATAAATAAGACAATAGCCTCTGCTCTCAATAATGTATACTCTTGTGGGGAAAATGGACATATAAATAACTGTAGTACAATGGGCTGTTACAAGTTTGAATTAGGTGTTGTGGTAACACTAAGGAGAAAAGGTCCAACTCTTTGATGTTGGAGCAGAGATGGCAGTGGTTCAAGAAAGGAGTCTGATATAATTTGGATGTGTGTCCCTGCCAAATCTTATGTTGAATTGTAATCCCCGGTATTGGAGATGGGGCCTGGTGGCAGGTGATTAGATCATGGGGGTGGTTTTTCATGAATGGTTTAGTACCATCCCTTTGGTGTTGTCCTCATGAAAGGGAGTAAGTTCTCATGAGACCTGGTCATTTAGAAGTGTTTGGCACCTCCCACTCTCTCACTGTTTTTACTGCTCCCTTCATGTGAAATGCCTGCTCCCCCTTTGCCTTCTGCCATAAGTGGAGGCTTTCTGAGGCCTCTCTGGAAGCAGATGCCTCTATGCTTCCTATACATCCTGCAGAACTGTGAGCCAACTAAACAAACCTCTTTTCTTATAAATTATCCTGTCTGAGGTATTTCTTTATAGCTGTGCAAGAATGGCCTAATACAGAATCTTAGGGGAAGTGAGAGATATTTGAGCTGGATCTTGAAAAATGAATCAGTTCATTGGGAAATGAGGGCAGGAAAACAATCTAGCATTATGGCATATTGGAGAGAGAGAGAGAGCATGGACTATCCTGGGAGTGGTAAGCTGAAAAGTACGTTAGAACACAGAGTGATTGTGGAAGATGAAGCTGGAAAAAAGGTAGAAATCTGTTGAGTTGAAATTAGTTCCCATCTCAACAGGAAGGGGACAGATTTCTGATGCTCTCTATACACACTTTACCCCCTCCCACAAAAAGCAAATGCAGTTGCCATCTGAGAGTTAAACTAGCAAAAATCCACATGTAGGATATATGGTTAGATATCTGTGGAAATTAACCAAGAAGTTATCTGTAAAAGTGGGACTAAAAATTTTGGGAACACTCAAAACTCTGTTCAAGGTCATCTAGGACAAACCTTAAGGAGGCAGGACTGAAATTCAATTGTAACTTTCTGAGTGGGAACCAAGTTAATTGTGTTATACACTACTTGGAATGAATAGAAAGTAGTTGGCCTGCTAAATGCAAAGAAATGACAGTTACCAGCCAAGCTCCATCCAGGAGAATGATCTTGGCCAAGTGAACCCAACATGATGGGTTCCTTGGCAAGGCTGGCCCTATAGTTGATGAGAGTGCTTCAAGTTGTCTTAGCTGAGAGACCATTCTTAAGATGAACTAACTCCCTTGTGCTGATTTTATGCTCACCAAGCAATCTTTTGATAATTTATTTGGCTCCCTACACAACTTGTCTACAGGGAAAGAATGCACTGATCTGCTTAGTCAAGCATTTTGGCCTTTTTAACAATTGTATTTCTTGTAGTAAATTAATAAATTGGCATCCTGGCAAATACATACGTGTGTGTGTGTGTGTGTGTGTGTGTGTGTGTGTGTGTGTATAATGCCTATATATATGGGGATAGACAGATACAAATATACAAATACAAACATTTTAGAAAGTCTCTATATATCAAACAGGCATGTAAGCCTGCTTAAGTTGACTTTGCTTTATTGAATGTACTCAGTCTGGGCTCTGTTCTTCAGCCTCGCAGTTCAGGAAGCCAGTTTTGTTTCTACTTAGAGAGTCCAGCCATCTCCTGCAAGGGTTTTAGAAGCAACCAACTGGCATTCTCCAGGTGACAGAGGCCTCTGTATTGCTGTGTCCTGCACTCCAAAGTTTATTCGTGGGACAGTGCTTGTTTTCAAATATGCCACTCGTATTGAGGAGTTCAATTTGAGAGAGGGTGATCACTGCCATAAAAAACTGTGTGGACAGAAAATATTATTGTTTTTTCTTATTTTCAGTTCCCAAAAGTGGACCCTGAGGAAAAGATCTGGAGAGAGGTGGCTTATTTGGGAGGTGATCTTAGGAAACACAAAAAGGAAATGGTGAAAGTGTAACGAGGGAGGAAAGTTAATAGTGTGTTAATGAGATGCTTACCCTGTGGGCAACTGGGACTCAGTCCTTCTGGAGACTCTCTGAGAAACTGTGTGGAACACTCTTAGAATCATCCCACTGGAGGATGGAGAGTCTGTGGTATTTATCCATGGACTTCCATCCCCATTGATTGAAGGTTAGCTCCAGTGGCATCAACTGTCCTGCACTTCCAGGTTGCAACTGACTGTAGCAAAGTAAGCTGCCACTGTGCTTGAGAAAACTCTGAAGCAAAAAAGAGAGACTAGCAACTTGAGGTAATGCTGGAAACTGCAGATGCAGGTAAAATCAGTGGGCCAGGGGAACATGGGGTGGGGCATCACCAACAGCATTTGGTGCATTATTGGAAATAAATATGATAGACCTTGAGACCCCAATAGACAAATGAGCAAAGGATATGAACTGGCAAATTGTGCACACAAAATTTAAATGGCCACCAATTACATTTTCAATTTAAACTTGGTAGTAGCCAATGAACTCTAAATAAAAATGAGATGCTGTCTTTTTTGCCTGCCAAATTAGCAAACACTAATTTTTTTTAATTAATGAAAACCATGTGAATTAGGGTCCACTAACTGTGTTAATTAGAGTATACTCTTATTCACTACAGGTAGGATTGTAAGTTGGCACAACCTTCTGAGAAACAATTTTTCGATATAGCAAGCCATCAAACCATGTTTTTAAATATTCAATGCCATTGAAAATGCTCATTATATAATATTAATTTAAAAATCATAATGTAAAACTATACATACAGCGTGATCCCAACTACTTCCTCATCAGAGATAATATGTATTGTAAGACTCTGATTTATTAATAGCTTTGGTAGAAAGAAAAAAACAGCATATTTAATATACCAAAATTTTATTCTGCTGATGGTAACATACCTATATATCCATATAATTATATACCACTTTCTTCTTAAGTAACATCACCAAAAACAGAGTCTAAGCTTTCTTCACATTCCAGACTCTAAAGATTCTTCTGAATTCCTTTTGACCATTGGCAGGGATGCAGTGTACTATGCTGACATGTTGCTGCTTTTCATAACCTCCCCTTGTGATAATGTGACAAGAAGATTATCAAAGCATGTAGAAGAATCCTGGGGGTTTATCCACATTTCCTATTTGGCTAAACTCATTGTTAATATTTTTTCCTTTTTTTCTTTTATTTGTCTTGTTTTTCAATTCAATTACATGAGCCAGAAATCAATCACTTTCTCTTGAAAGTCACCAAGAAACTGTTGATGGATAGACGTTCAGTGCCTGAGTGATAGTCCCTCACAATGCATGCAACGGTCACACCAACCTTTCCTAGCTTTGAAATTTTTATGATCTATTCCAAGAGATTTGGCAATTCCTACTGCCTTTAATTGCATTGTCTGGAGTGTGACAGGCAATATTCTGCAGACACAATAATTTTTCATTTCAATGATGCATCATAGTGTAATTTTTAGAAGACATTTTAAGTGACAATTAAGGAGAAAGCCAAATTTAAGTTAAAAATTTAACCATGATGGTTCTACCAATGCAAATAACTCAACTGAAGTGACAACATGATGTACAGATAACGTCTCAGTACAGCTAAGTCTGCATGCTTATAAGCAATGACAACAATATCACAGTAGATTCCTCTGCCTGGCCATTCGCAAGTCATTTTGACATCATTATAAGATGCATCCTGATCTCAGAAATGAAGAATATGTGTATTAGAATGCAGGAAATATGGTATAAAATACGTACACATATGGGTATATAGACACAGAAAAAAGACAAAAAGGAAATGCACCACAATGATTACAGCAGTTATCACTGAGTGGTGAAACTGCAGATTATATATATTTTTGCTTATCTTCAGCTTCTAAATGTCTGCAATAAGCTGGCCTTGCTGTTAAATTGTGAAAAACAATTATTTGTATTTTGAAAGCTCTTGCTCCCTATTGAGAGAAAAAGAGGTTGGAACAGAGCAAAACAAGGTTGAATCTGAGTCAACTCAATACTTGAAGGATCATAGTAATCTTTGGATCTTCCTGGCCCAAAAGAACAAATAGCCAAGTACTCGCAACTCAGATTACTTAAGGTGAGAAAACAAATCAGAAACTCTAAGGCTACATTTGTCACTCAAGTCCAGTGTCTGTTTTTTTAACATAATTTTGACAAGTCTCTCATCTTTCATATTTGTTTTCTCACCTGTAAGTGGGGAGAATTCCTTCTACTCTTCTTCTTCCTGGTAATGACAGGAATGGAATTTAAAACCATA
The DNA here is from genome assembly GCF_000001405.40 of Homo sapiens. NCBI lineage: Eukaryota > Metazoa > Chordata > Mammalia > Primates > Hominidae > Homo > Homo sapiens. The sequence goes on from NC_000023.11 coordinate 107,319,536, forward strand.
AACAAAAATCATCGTCAAATACTTCACAGTCTTGATTCTGTCCCCACAAGCAATGTGAACATCTTAGAAGGATCTCATTAGATAATTTCATCAGAATGTGTGACTGTGTGTCTGTAGTGTGTGTGTGGGGGGGGGGGATGATAGGGAGATATTAGTGATCAGAGAGCCATTGGGCTGACAACCTGTTTTAGGGGCTTGAGGGAGATGCCAGGTCTTGAGTAATTTCTGTCACTGGGCACAGGCAAATGAATTCTATACTGGTAGCCCTTGGGGACATTATCCAGCTGAGAGAACTTAATTTCAGGTAATCAACATGGTCCTAGTTGCCTTCTACTTGTTGATGGGGAGAAGAGCCGGGGAAATTTGCTCTACCTTACACACTCCTGCTAAATCTTACTCTCAGGCCTGATTCCTAAAGCAAAGTGGGTGACAGGGAGATGAGGCTATGAATGGGGAGATTTGGCTAAAGGCAGCAGAGCTGCAGTGTAATGTGATGTGAAGTAGCAGAGCTCACAGCACTTCACCCAGTGTAGCCCACAGGAAATATGCATTGGAGAGTTGCAGTACCTTCATTCATTTAGTCTTTCCAACAGCAAGAGGTTGGGCACAGTGAGGTTTAGAGGGGCCTGGACTGCTAGGTTTATGTCTAGCACAGTATAAACAGCTGAAAAGCAGTAGCTGCTATTATTCTCACCAACATTATCATTATTTCCACCACAGAAAGGGCCTTCTGATCAATACCTCTTCCAGTCCCCTGTCTAGGCAGTATTTCCCATCACCCTCTTCCTTTCTTGTGCACTGTCCTACTCTGGGGAGCTTAAATCATTCCTTTGAGGTAAAACAGTGAAGACTCTATTACAGTTCAGGGGTTTTCTGGGAGATGAGCTGCCTTAAGCCTCTCATTCATCAGTAACTTTCCAGAGTGAGGAGACTGGGCAGCTGGGGTGGGGTCCTGAGAACTGTGTGACTCCAAAAGGAGGGGTTGAGAAATGAAGTCACTGGGGGTACTGAGCCTCACAAAGTTGCCTCAGATAAGACCAATCTGTAGTGTAGGTAGCAGGGTAGTGGAGGGGGACCCGAACCAAGACTGAAACTCAGGCTGGCTCACTGCCCAGGCCTATAGGGATCAGGAGTGGGAGAGAGAAAGGCAGTGTAAGTCAGGAGAAGCCTCTTTAGCCTCAAAGCCGAGAAGACCCCAACTTTTGGGAGGAAGAGTTGATCCAGACTGGTAGAAAGAATATATGCTTCCCTTTCCTGGGCTCTCCAGTATTGTGAGGGGAGGTCTAAGGAGGTGTGTGAGTGTATGACAAGATGGAGAAGGACGCTTATACTCACAAGCAGCAGGCTGGGCACTACTTTGGACAAGCCGACAGAACACAATAATTGATTGCCTTCTAGCTACAAAATCAAAATGGCTTTTGATGTTCAGCCATTCATTGCTGTAACTGGAATAATAACACAATTCATTTTAGCTGCAGCCCCGCAAATGGATGGCTTTAATAATGGTTAATTTGGGATGATGAATGTGCCATTTGGGGGTGACATTACTGCTGAATAAGAAGAGCACACAAGAGACAGAGGGAGGAAAGGAGGAGCTACATAAGACTAGCCATGTTTGCTAACTTCTGAGGCTGCCAGGCCTTCAATTCCACTCCACAAGTATTGATTTAGCAAGTACTTACTTCCTAGCTAGCACTGGGCTGAGGGTTGGAGAGACTCTCAAGAAATATATGATTAGGATAGCCATGTGTCCTGGCTTCCCAGGGACAGTCCTGGTTTGTGATGAGACCTGGGGCAATTATTATTAATAGCACCTCTTCTCACTCTCAAAAGTGTCTTGGTTTGAATGGTAAGTTATATTGTCATTCTGCATGGCTCACGCTCTGCTTTCCATGAGAACACAGCTTTTCTGGGGGAAGACAAGTCTTATTTATGCACATAGAGCCATTATAGCATATTAGGAGACAGTATGTAACCAAAAAATGAACCAAAAAAGCTCAAGCACCCAAATCAATGCTCATAATTTAAAAATTGGTGATGGTCATGGATTTAAATATCTTGAAGATAACATTCACATGCATGTAAATGAATCACCACAATATACTACTCACTTGATCTTTACGATAACCTCATCTTATAAATGAGCCACTAGACACCAAGAGAAAGGAGTCAATTGCTCAAGGTCACAGAGCTAGTAAGTGACAGAGTCCATATTTGAATCCAGAACCATTTTAACTTAAAAGCCACCTATATTTCGCCTTTGGAACAGATATTAGTGCTGCCTGGAGTGATCAAAAAAGCTCATGGAGGAAGTGAACTACTTCCAAAGAATGAATCCACAAGTAAAAGTGAATAGAGTTTAAAAAAATGAAAGATGTAAGCTAGGAAAGAGACAGTGAAGAAATTAAGTGTGGTGGGGTTAATCAAGGACAATTTGCGAAGGAGGTGAGTTTTTGCACTACATTTAAAATTACTGATGAATATGATGAATATGGATTTACATAGATGAAAGAAGGGCTTTCACATGTGTAGAGATGACAAACTCTGAAGTCAGGGTGCTATTTACTGGGAATGGGCAAGTGGATGGGAATGAAGTAAACAGAAGATGACAATCACATTAGTAGGGTTTTATTTCTTAAACACAGTGGTAAATAGGTGCTCATCATACGAGTCTGTATACTTTGCTTGTATATCTTATTATTTCATGATAAAATATTTTTAAATGACAGAGATTGATCTTTCCAGGTGGGGGAAATGTATTAAGTAGGACATAGAAGCAAGGACAATAGATGTCTATTCTGGAGTCATTTTAACCAGAACCCTTATGTCTGGATTGAGCATTCATAGTCTCCCTTGTGGAGTGACCCACTGCCATTTCTTCCTCCCCAAGCACAGCACATGTTGAAAGCCTTGCTCAGCCCTCACTCTTGTTCGACTCAAAACTCTGCACCTCTGGAAATGCCCATTTACTGCCTTCTAAAAGATGTGCTTAGATGGCCTGTCTGTCTTCCTTGCTGTCAGGCGTGGTGTATCGGCGTGTTTACTACTTGTGGGATTTAGTGTTTAAACAAAAGCTTTGTACCCTCCCAAGAGATTGGCCTCCTGATTGGCAGGTGGGGTCAGAAGTACCCTCTTAGCCCTTCTCCAGTATAGTGAGAAGTGTTTGGAGCCAGACCTTAGTTGGAATCCAAGTCTGGCTCTCATAAGCTGTGTGACATTAGGCAGGTCACTTAAGCTCTCTGAGCCTATTTCCTCCTCTTCTGATGGTCGTTTCAAGAAGGAAATGAGATAATGTAGGGGAATCGCCTAGCAAAAAGCTTAGTAGAGCTTGATAAATGTGAGTTCTCTTCCCTCCTCCCTTTGTTGAAATGGCTGAACCTAAACATCAACCAATGATTAGTTTCAAAAATATTTTTGAAGAATAAATGTTGTATGTAATTTGGTAGCTTTTTTGCCAAACCTTCACTCAAGAAAAATCAAGTCATTCTGAATTCTTAAGCTGGCACCAGATGAATTCCCAGTCTCTGTTCAGACTGCTCCCTGGACTGCGACTGTCAGTGTCCAAGGCCTCTAGGACCTAGTCATAAAAACATGAGAACATAGACACCTTTTTATTCCCTTTGCCAAGAAGCATCAGCCAGCATCACCTGAGAACTTGCTGAAAATATACATTCTCAGCCACCATCAGCCCAGACCTGTGATCAGAAACTCTGGGAATGGGCCCGGTAATCTGCGTGTTACCCAGGGTGATTGTGATGCTTGCTCAAGTTTGAGAACCATCACTGCTCTAGGGCTCAGGGCTCCTCTTGGGCCATGTGCCCCAGGGTTCCCTCCACCACCCTCTCCCCACCCGAGAAGAGGGAGGCATGACAGTAGCAGCTAGAGAACTCTAGAAGAGGTTGAACTTTTGCCAGGAGGCCTGGAGGTGGCCCGTGCTCTTTGACAACTGTAGGAACCTCAGGAGCAGGTTGTGGAGCTCCGCCCAGAGCCCTGCCTATCAGAACTAGAACCTCCTCCAGGTCATGTGGCACAGTCCCTGCCTCTGCACAAGGCCTCGCAGGACCAGAGACCCCTGACCTTCACGCCTACTCTGCACAACCCCTAAAGCACTGGTTCTCCAAGTGTGGTCCCAGACCAACATCAGCCCCACCTGGAAAGATGTTGATGACAGCGGTGTGCTGTCCAGAGCGGCTGCTGCCATTACGCCACGGCTGTGGAGAGGGTGTGGGGAAGACGCAGGCAACCCGCCCCCGCCCACCCTCCCTACCTCCCCCGCAGCCTGCCGCCCTGGGGGCTGCCTCAGTGGAGCTGGGCCAGGTCACCCGTCAGCGACGGAGCTATGTGGTCTAGCAGAGAGGGGCCCCGAGGCGGAGCTGGGCCCAGGGTGGTGCTGCGCTTGCACATGGAGCACGAGAGGCAGGAGGGGTGCAGAGCTGGGACCGTACTTCGGGGCCCGGGGCTGGAAGTAGGAGCAGTGCCCGCTTTGGGGACCCAGCCAGTGGTGCAGCCACTGTGCCCACCTTGCCGAGGGTGCCAGGTTCCTGTGCCCTGGGAGGAGGCTCTGGGCGAGGCCACCTGGGACTGCCTCCCCAGGGTCCGCCCAGCATCCGAGTGACTGTCGAGCCTGACAGTCCCGACAGCCAGGGCCGAGGCCCAGGGCCTGTGGCCGCGATCTGCTCCCGGAGGCGCCCCGCCCCCCGCCACGCCCAGATAAAGCCACGAGCCAGGTGAGGGGGACCCCTGGGGCACACCTGAGCAACAGGGCTGTGGGGAAAGCTCGCGGCAACGTCGCCCCTGCCCTGGATGACACCCCGGGCCCAGCGAGGACCTGAAGCCCCTGCCTCAGGCTGCGAGGGGGCACAGCCGGTGTTGCACACTCCAAGGACCCGGCAGGAGCTAGGAGCAGGCAGCAGCCCCACCCAACCCCTCTGGGTGCAGCAGCAGGCGCCCAAGTCAGGGCTGTGGACCCAGACCTCTCTGCCCTCTTGAGGGCCTGGGAAGGCTGCCCCTCCACCCTTGCAGGCTTGGAAGTGCCTGCTCCTGCTGCCTGGCTTTTCCCCGCTGTTGGCACCCACTCCAATCTCCGAGCAATGTGGGGGCCAAGCCTTGGTGTTCTCGCAGCCTGGCCAGGGGTGCATGTACTGGGGCCAGCGCTGACATGCCAGCGCCCTGCTGCCTCAGACTTCTCCAGAATTTGGGTGCAGACGCGCACAGGAGGGGACGCCAAGGTGGGGGCTGAGAGCAGCTCCGCGCTGGCCTGCAGGAGCCCCTTGGCATAAGCAGGCTGGGCACCATGGACAGCGGCAGGAGGCCGACCGGCTTCTGGGCTGAAGGGGGCGGGTCCTCAGTGAGGCCCCATCTTCAGGACAGGGTGTGCCTGAAGGCTGGGGGCCGGGCTGCCAGGCCGGCAGACCAGAGTAGGGACTTGTGGTGCCTTCTCCGGGCCCGCCTATGGTCACCCATGGACCAATCGGTGTGCACTTCCTCCCCTCTGAGGCCCATGAAAGCCCTGGGATCAGCCAGAGCAGAGCAGAGGAAGGAGAGACGATGGGACAACCAGCTGCCGAGAAGAGCTACCCTCTCTGCTGGGAGCTGAACACTTGTGGGGACGACCTGCTTGCAGAGAGGAGCTACCCTCTCTGCTAGGAGCTAAATACTTGATGGGACACCCTGGCTGCGGAAAGGAGCTGCCCCCTGCAGGTCTTCTCTGAGCAGTTCTATTGCTCAATAAAGCACCTCTTCATTTTGCCCACCTTTCACTTGTCTGTGTACCTCATTCTTCCTGCAGGACAAAAACTCGGGACCTGCTGAATAGCGAGGCTAACACAAACAGGGCTGAGGCATGTCCCTTGCTCACTATGCTGCGGAAGAAGAGAAAGAAAGAAGAGCTACAGCCTTTCAGGGAGCCTAGACCTGGGAGCTCCCCAAACTAGGGCTGTGACTCCCTCTTTGGGGCCCTGTGGTTCCTGGCATCTCTAATCTTCCAGGTGCCAACATGTTCCCTGGTGCCAAGCATGGAAGCTGCTTGTAGTGCGCCTGGTCTGGTCACAGCCTTGCAGAGAGCTGGCACCCATGCTGGCACCTGGAGCTGCCCGCCCCACTGCAGCAGCTGGCGTGTCTGAATGCACAGTGGCTGGACCCCATGCTCGCTCGCACACCCTTCACCACTCCACACCTGACTCACCCTTGGCAGGCATGGGGCCCAGGCTGGTAGCATGAGCTGAGCGCCCCTGCCAGGCCAAGTAGGTGAAACAAGCCCATCAGGCCCAAGCAAAATTCAGGCAAAGGCGCCACTGGCCACAGAAGTTTCCAGCCAGAACGACGACACCCCAAAGATCCCTTAACAATGTTAGAAACACAAATTCTCAGGCCCCACCCCAGACCTACTACAGGTGATTCTGATACAGGCTCAAGTTTGAAAACTACTGGCCTAGATTTTGCAAACAAATTTAACTTAATTTGCCTTTTAGGCCAGATGCTGTGGCCCATGCCTGTAATTCCAGCACTGTGGGAGGCCAAGGAAAAAGAATCATTTGAGGCCAGGAGTTTGACAGTAGCCTGGGCAACATAGTGAGACACTCCTGTCTGTACTAATAACTAACTAACTAAATAAATAAATAAATAAATTAGCTGAGTGTGGTGGCATGTACCTGTAGTCCCAGCTACTCAGGAGGCTGAGGCAGGAGGATTGCTTGAGCCCAGGAGGTCGAGGCTGCAGTGAACCATGATTACAACTGCACTCCAGCCGGGGCAACAGAGCGAGACTCTGTCTCAAAAAAAAAATGCTTTTAAAACCTTCCCATTCTCTGGCTACTTCTTTACTACACAGGAGATAAAAAGTAAGACAAAGACTTGCTGATGAGAGGATCTAGAAAGCCATGCTTCCTAATTAGGAGAAACTCCCTTTCCACTCTTCTGTTTGGATTTGTCTGTTCTGTCCATTCATTTTAAACAGGACCTGTGGCTGGTCCTACTTGATTTGTACTTGGTACTTATTTCTCCAATAGCTTGTTGCCACTGGTAAAAGCCTTGGCACACAACACAGAACACTTGGACTGTAATACAAACAAGCATTTCGAACAGAGATTTAAACCACTTTCATGACAGCCACTGACATGGCATGTTTTACAGCTGATATCAGTTCCAGTTGTGAAGACTCAGGGATTTCAGAAAATAAAGAAAATAAGGGGCACAAGTGGGGAGGCCTATTCCCCAGCTGGCAGACAAATTAGAGATCGAAACAGATCCAGGGAGCTCAATTAGTCAGGCTTTTTTATAGTGAAGGGGACAAGGGACGGGGCTTGGGCATGATTCAGCTGAGGAGCCCTCGCTGAGGAAGGAGAGGAGTGGGACATGGCAGGGCTGGCTGAGGGCATGGATAGGAGACACCGGGGCCTTAAGAGAGCTCTGTGGGTGAAGCCCGGGAGGGCAGAGCAGAGCCAGGGTCTCAGGACTAAAGTCTGAAAGTGTGGCCTGATAAAGGACTTCCCTCCCCAGCCAGAGTGATGGCTGCATGAGAGCCAAGTGGGCAAAGTTGTGTCCTGAAAACAGAAGCAAGCCTGGGGGAGAGGTCAGAGCTCACCCTGTGTACCTGCCAGTCTGAGGGAGAGCAAAGTGCTAGAGTCTCCTTCACTTCCCTCTCAGCACCCTTGCGCCCCAACCAGGTCTGTGTGCGCCGCTTCCCTTTTCCCACTTGGAAGGAAACTATCACAGAGGCCAAGATGAACCCCTGGGACTCCACACCACTGTCCAGCTCAATGCCAAGCATAAGGCCTTCCTAAAGAAAGCTGCTCTCCTGCTTGAGTTTTGTTTGTTTAAAAGGAACTCTCCCTGTCTTTCTCTTCCTGGAGTCTCCTCAGGGGCTCGAGTGGACCTGTCCCAGGACAGGGGCCTTGGCTCAGCACAGAGCATGTGGGCTCAGTGGTTTCTGTTTTCCCATCTTGACAAATCTGGGCAGCCTGCCTCCTGGTTCTTACCTGACAAAGATCTCAGAGCATCTCAGGGGGATGGAAGGGGAAGTCCCAGCTACCATAAGGGATGAAGTGACAGGCAGGGGAGATCTATGATAGGGAGAAGGGAGCTGCAGACTAAGCAGGCATTCTGTTAGCTCACTACAAGCTGCTGTCCCTGGGTGTTTTTCCTTTTGGTGCCAGCTGGCCACAGGTGCCAGCCTTCTGCAGTGAGTGCGCACTGGGTGTGCAGTGTTCAGAGGGAAGAAGGCACTTGTCTTGCCTATGCACAAAGGACTAGATGAGTAGCTTGTTAGCTCATCCAGGTGGGGTCCCTGAAGTGTTTGTGTGTGTTAGGGATGGGAGGATGGGGGCAGTTACATGATATTATACCAAGGTGCTTCAAAGTTGCTTCAAAATGCTACAATTCCCACCATTGGATCTATCCTTTGGATTAAAGCATTATGAACTTAAAGGGATAACAATCATTTCCTAAACTTCTTAGAAAGAATTAGTAAATGATGTCAGTGGATAGGTTCTCCCCCCTCAACTCCGAACTCCATGGGGAAAGAACCTTCAAAAGAGCTCCTCTGCATGAACAAGTTCTTGAGATAAGAGAAAGGCTAGGTGTGAAGAATGGGCTGTGGCCTAGAAAAGGTAGACTTGAGAGAGGGAGGAAAATCAGAAGGTTCCAAGGGGTACTTATAAGGAGTGGGGTGCACCAAGGCAGGGCAGGAAGCATGGGCAAGGGAGCAGGTGGGAAGGTTGTTAAAGGCAAGCCTTTTTCCATGGCCTAGAGGAAACAGCATGGACCAGATCTCCAAGGGCCTGAGATCTAGCTTGGCTGTTCCACTTAAGGGCTCGCTGATTTTGGGTAACCTAACTTTTCTGGGCCTTGGTTTCTTCATATGCCAGATGAGAATGGCAATCCCTATTCTACTTGTCTCATGGAGTTATTATGGAGTTATTATAAGGCTCAGATAAAAAAATGAATAAAAAACTTTATGTAGACTATACAAGGCAGTATGAATTTATCTTGCAGTCTTGCCCAGGGCTATCACTTATTGAAAGTGAGCTTATGAAAATGAGCAACTCCACATTGTAAAACATGATACTAAGTGTGAATGTTTTGCCTGGTTTTTGATAGGCATGAGCCAAGTCTATTAGTATTCTTGGGTGTGAGGTTCCAGCATTCTCTAGCTTTACCTCCTGATAGCCTCAACTTTCACCAGTCAAGTCCTAGCACTGTTTACAGGTCCTGGTGGCATTTTTAAATGCTTTCAGTGGAGGGCTCAGACTTGATCTTTGTAGGAATCTATGTGTCCATTCCCACTCCCATCCTTTCTGCTGCAGCCCCCTCCTAAAGACTTCTTCTTTGCCTTTATCATATTACCTTGGCCACATTCTCAGCCTAACTTCTTGAAGATTTTCTGGAAAATTGGGAGACTAACTCCTTTGGGTGACTAAGTACCGCAACTCCAGTGAGCACTGTTTACTTCATACACCACAGTGTGAATGGCACCCCCTGGATTTATGCCACACGATCTCCTGGCTTGCAGCATCTAGTGACCTCCCTACCCCAGCCTGTCCCTTCTTTAACTTGCTAACTTATCTTTCTTCTAGACTGAGCTCTTGCATCTTCTCCTCCTCTAGGAAGCCCGCTCTCGCCCCTAAAGCCAGCTGAGTGGCCCTCTGCATGTACAGCTCCCAGTGCCTCTCTCTGTCATAGCGCTGGTCCTACCATACTGTCATGGTCTGGTAACTTGTCTTTCTCTGCCACTAGACTGTATGCTCCTTAAGGGCAAAAGCTATGCCTTGTCTCTGTCTCTGTTGCCACCCCTGCCCAGGCCTGGTCAGTAGTAGGCCCTGAGGAAACAGTTGCTAAATGAACGAGGACTCTGGGACATTGGGAACTGTACCACTGGAGAACTTTGAGAGTGCAACTAGGACTTCCCTGCTTCACACCCAAAGGACACTGTGCTTATTTAATTACTTGCGTGTGGGGGAGTTCAAACAGATGTTATAATAGCTCACTTAGCAAAGGACAGCTATGAGGGTTTTCTTTTATTAACTAAATAGACAGCACCCATGTGGAATATTAAAAGCCAGATGGCACAAATTTCATTTTGTATATATCTGAAAGAGAAGCACTAGGTGCCAGCATTGTCCTGTTCAGCCTTAAGTCCAGTCTCAAAAGATTCTCTCTACCCACTTCTGGGTGGAGGCAAATGCATGGAGTCACTCAGGTTCTTGTTTACCTACCCTGGGAGACTAAGCCAGCTTCACTCCACACCATTTCCCACCTACCACTGTTGGGAGAAAGCCAAGGGAAGATGAGGGTTGGAGACTGTTATGGCCGGAATTGTGTCCCTCTAAAATGCACATGTTGAAGCACTAACCCCCAGTACTTCAGAATGTGACTGTATATGGAGGTAAGGTTTTTAAAGAGATAATTAAGTTAAAATGAGGCCATTTGGGTGAGTCTTAATCCAATCTGACTGGTGTTCTTATAAGATGAGGAAATTTGGGCACATAAGAGACAGCAGGGGCATGCAGGCACAGAGGGCAGCAAGAGGGCAGCCATCTACAAGCCAAGGAGAGCAGCCTCAGAGGAAACCAACTCTGCCAGCACCTTGATCTTGGACATCTACCCTCCAGAACTGTGAGAAAATCAATTTCTGTTGTTTAAGCCATCCAGTCCTTGGTATTTTGCTATGGCAACCTTAGCAAACTAAGGCAGGGTCCATTAATAGGTAAACCTTGGACTCCAGTTCAGCCTTCGAATGCCTAGGATAACCTCAGACCCATCCCTGAGCCTGAATCTTCTGGGCATCTACTATTGTGCTCCTCCTCACACCCTCACCCCAGGCCCACTGTCCATTTCTTCATAGTTTAATTCATTTCTCTTTTTCCTTCCTTCATTCACTCCTCATTGAACAGTTTCTGAGGTGCTGCAAGGTATATAGCACCCTGCCCTAATGAGCTTAAAGTCTTATAACTGGTACATATCTACCTGTAAGGTTAGAGATGAACTAGGTGTGTGGCATCACTTCTAGTTGGGGTGATTGGACTAGTCAGTGAAGGAGGAGAAACATTATTCTGCATTAAAAAAAGATCTAGGGCTTGCAATGCAATATGGTGTAGCAGTTAAGAGCTCAGACTCTGAAATCAGACTGCCTAGGTATTGCAGTTAAGATGTTCTCTGAGGCTACATTGTCTGGGTTGGAATCTTGTGCTTCTTAATAGCTAAATGACTTTAGTAAATTACTAAACCTCTCTGTTGCTCAGGTACTCCATCTGTAAAATGGGACTAAATATAATACCTACCTCATATGGTTATATTAGGATTTCATGAGTTAATACACACAAAACTCTTAAAACAGTGCTTGGCACATAGTAATCACCAGGTAAATTTTACTGTTATAGTATTTAGGGACAGAAGACCTGAGTTTCAGCCTGTCACTACTAGTTATGTATCCTACAGCAAGTAAGTTCTGCCCCTGCTGACTACCTGACAAGGTGCTTGGGAGGATCATGTAAGATAATAAACATTTAAGGATATTTAAAACTGTGGATATTATTATTGCTATTGAGTTGAGCCTTAAAGGATAGTAAAGATTTAACATGAAAGCTACCATTTACTAAGCACTTAGCCAAATGCCAGGAGCCAGGCTATGTATATATACTGGAAGCAGAAGAGGCAGATAGTCTGCCTTCTAGCTCCTTGGCTCCTAGAACACAGGCGCATGCAATATGTTTGGCCGAGTTGATGTTTCTGTCCAGGATTTTGAATCTTAGAGGAGTAGCAGAAAGACAGAGATGAGTCAGAAGTCTATGGATGGTGCCAGTGACATGGTAGCATCAGCAGTGGCATTTTAGCTACGCTGGCCCTGAGCCAGTTAAGGGTCACCATAGTACCTAACCATTTTATGAACTGGAAAGCCAGCCTTTCAGTTGATTCTGTGAATAATTTGCTATTCTTTCAATAAATCACTCTTCTGAATACAACTAGAGGATTTTTTGTCATTTGCAATAAGACTGAATAATATTTTTTAAAATGTTTGTATTTCTCCCAATACTCTGGTGTTGGGATTATCTCTATTTAAGGATGAGGAAACTGAAACTTGGGGGAGGGGGTGGGCAACATAACTTGCCCAATATTGCCCTGAAAGTAAGTGAGAGGGCCTGGACTTGACTCTGAGTATGGACTTACCACTACTTGCCTATACTTTGCTGGAGGGAGAGATTGGTGAAAAGCGTGCCAGGTGGAAGGAATCCTCCAGTCAAGCACAGATGTAAGACAGCACAGGGGTGGGGGTTTCAGAGAAGGGTGAGTTCCAAGATGGGAAAGGATAAAAAGCTCATGCTGGGATGGTAAGAAACATAATTGGAAAGAAGGCTTGGGATCAGCAGTGTGGACTTCATTTGTCAGATAGCATTGAGCCACTGAAGACTTTGGGCTTTAAGAGGCAGCTATGTTAGCCTGTGTGGGAGGGGATAGGAACTTAACTGGGAAAGGCAGAGAGAAATTTTGTGGAAAGAATAAGCAATTCTTAACTAATTAATGATAATTAGTGAGGAAGAGCCTAGTGACTGAAAGGCTGTTGACACCCTTGACAGAAATGGAGAAGCCTGGCCTGGGAGTGGTTTGGGGGTGACAGGAGGATGGAGGAGCAATCTGTTCAGGGTGGCATGCCTTCTTTCTGCTTCTACTAGGATTGGGCTTCCTTGAGTCCAGGCCACACTGTCATAATTTCTAGCCTTTCAGCCCCTTATTTCAAATCCTTACCATTTGTCTTTTCTCTATGTGGTTAGGGAAGCCAAGACCCTGGGACTGGTTGATAGGACTCTGGTTTCATTCTGGGAACTGCATCATTACCCACAGATGTGTGAAGCAATGGCTTGTTTGAAAATTGGAATCCTAGCCCAGTGGAGTCAGTCCCCTCTCTGGGCCCCCACAGCCCAGTTATGGTTATTAATAACTGGTGGTTCTCTCATCCCTAGTTCCAGCAGCCCAGCAGGACCTCATCCTCTTACAGTCTGCTGCCCTTTTGCTACAGCTGGCCAAGCAGATGATCCTTTAGCTTGCATTTCTAGCTATCTCTGGGGTTTTTTGTGCCCAGCCCTTGACGTGGCTCTGCCAGCCTTTGTGATTCTAGGGGAGAGGAAAGGTGGATGAATCAGGTCCCAGCCCTCTAGCTAGTTTCTCTGAGTTATATTGAAGTTTATTTCAACACAGTCTCTCTCTCTCTCTTTCTCTCTCTCTCTCTTTTCCCATCTCCTCTATCCTCTCTCTCTCTTCCTCTTCTTTGTCTCGCTGGCCTATCTATTTTTGCCTCAGCTTCCTTTCTCCTCCTTCTTCTTTCATGCATTCTGATATGGTTTGTTTGTGTCCCCACCCAAATCTCATCTTGAATTCCCACGTGTTGTGGGAAGAACCTGGTGGGAGGTGATTGAATCATTGGGGTGGGTCTTTCCCCTGCTGTTCTTGTGATAGTAGATAAGTCTCATGAGATCTAATGGTTTTAAAAATGGGAGTTTCCCTGCACAAGCTCTCTTTGCCTGCCGCCATCCCTGTAAGATGTGATTTGCTCCTCCTTGCCTTCTGCTGTGATTGTGAGGCCTCCTCATCCATGTGGAACTGTAAGTCCATTAATCCTCTTTCTTTTGTAAATTGCCCAGTCTCAGGAATGTCTATCAGCAGCATGAAAATGGACTAATACACATTCCAACAAAAATTTTACCCCTACTGTGTGCCAGGACCTATGCTAGGTATTGGAAATCTATAGATGAGTGAGACACAGGCTCTACTCTCTAAATAACTAAAAAAACACTTGTAGGGAGGTTATGTGATGGCAGAAATAAGACCAGGATATCAGGAGAACATGCGTTATTGAGATTGGAAATGGGAGAAGACAGGGGAAGTTTCCTGGATGAAGTTATACCTGAACAGAATCTGAATTATCCTGGCAGAGATTGTGAGAGAAGGGCTGGGAGGAAGGTATTACAAAAAGAGGGAGTCAACATAAGCAAAGACATAGAAGCAAGACACAACATGCTGAGTGAAGGGAACCAGCAATGTGGTGATGCTGGGATGCAAAATGAAAGGTAAGTCATGGCGTCGGATCAGCTGAAGCAGAAGGAAGAGCAGGCCCTTGCATGTTATTTTAAGAGCTTAGTCTTTATCCAGTAGATGATAGAACAGTGGTCCCCAACCTTTTTGGCACCAGGGACCGGTTTAATGGAAGACAATTTTCCACAGATGTGGTGTGCAGGGATGGTTTCAGGATGAAGCTGTTCCACCTCAGAAGCTCATCAGGCATTAGAGTCTCGTAAGAAGCATACAACCTAGATCCCCCATATGTGCAGTTCACAATAGCATTCATGCTTCTATGAGAATCTAATGCACCTGGTGATCTGACAGGAGGTGGAGCTTAGGCAGTAATGATCACTGTCCTGCAGCTCACCTCCTGCTGTGTGGCCCAGTTCCTAACAAGCCACAGACTGGGACCGGTCCTGGTCTGTGGCCCAGGCGATGGGGACCCCTGTGATAGAGGGTCACTCAAAGATCTAAAACAGCAATGAAGAATGGTCATGTGTGTTTTTAGAAATACAGATAACTTTATCAGTGTGTGAGGGATGGGTTATAGGGGGACAAGACCAGAAAAGGGCAATCCTGTTGGGAGGCTGTTGCTGCTTTTCAAGTGAGATGATGGTGGCTTAAACTGGAGCAGTAGGTATGGAAAGGAGGGGACTGAATTAAGAAAAAATTAGTAGGTAAAATCGGCAGGGCTTTGTGATCAATTGGATATGAATATGAGATATGGTTTAGCTCTGTGTCTTCACCCAAATCTCATCTTGAATTGTGATCCCACATGTTGAGGGATCTGTAATCCCCACGTATCGAGGGAGGGAGGGGATTGGATCATGGGGGCAGCTTCCCCCATGCTGTTCTCCTGATAGTGAGTGAGTTCTCATGAGATCTGATGGTTTCATAAGGCAGTTTTCCCTGCTCTTGCTCACTCTCTCACCTGCCACCTTGTAAGACGTGCCTGCTTCCCCTTCTGCCATGACTGTAAGTTTTCTGAGGCTTCCCCAATCATGAGGAACTGAGTCAATTAAAACTCCTTTGTTTATAAATTACCCAGTCTCAGATAGTATCTTTATAGTAGTATGAAAACACACTAATACAATATGTGTGAAGTAGCTATCAACAATAACATCCAGATCTTTATCTTGGGTAGCTATGTAGATAATAATAATAATAGCACTAATGAAGATGGTAATAGGAATAGTGGTGCCATCAACTGTGATAGCAAATTCAGGAGGCAGTGCTAGTTTAGTGGAAAATGGACAATTCTCTTTTGGACATGTTGAGTTGAAGGAGCCCATGGAGCATACAAGGGAAGATACCTAGCACCTAATTTGAATAGTTTAAAGCTATGGGGAGGATCTGTGATAAAGATTTAGATTTGAGATTATACTAAGGATATTAGTCATAGCCTCCCATGATCATACCATTTCTAAGGGAACTTGCTGCATGCACTGACTATTGCCCATGCAGCCATAGTTTGTTCTACACAATCCATCCTATCTGGCTTGGCTACAGCTGATGGAATCTACCAGGTCACTGACCCAAGGGCAGTCAATCTGTAAGTTGACCACAGCCTGATGATATAGATCTGGTGAAAAAGATGAACTGGGTTATTTAGAATCCCTGTCTCAGGATTTTGAGCTAAGAACTACAGAGACTCCAGGCCAGTTAACAATGGGAGTCAAAGCTGGAAGATTGTTGAAAATTGGGACATGACAAGCAGAGACCATTTGAAGCTGAGGTAAGAATGGGATGGAAATGATAGGAAAGCAAAGGATGTTTGGTGGCAGAAGAATGGAATAGACACAGGAGAAAAAGACAACAAAGAGAGAGACAAAGAAAGTGAGCACATAGCCCAAGGAAAAAACAGAGAGACTTTTTCATTCTCAAGGCTGCTTAACTATCTAAGTGTTCTCATCTCAGTCAGTATAGTCTCAAATGAAACCCAGCCATCTGAGGATAGTTTGAGTGAGTTTTTTTTTCCAACCAAAAGAGGAGTCACCCACATGAAATCACTCAAGGAGAAACTAGTGCATGATAAAAGCAGTGAGTTAAGGAGAGCAGTGGGGAATACTAACAGTGAACAGGTAACTAGAGGAAGCGGGACCCATAGACATACAGAGGGATGGACATAGGGTACTACCAAGAGAAGAGGAGGCCGTGGAAGTCAAGAGATCCTGTTTGTTTTTCTTTAAAGAGAGAGTGATCAGAAGTGTCAAAAACTGCAGAGAGGTCTGATAAGGACTCTGAGCAGTGCCCACTGGGCTAGAAATCAGTAGGTAACTGGTAATTTTGGTGAGCGCATTTAGCAGAGTGTTAGACGAGAGACAGAAACTAGACTGCAGTTGGTTAAGAAGTGAGTGTAAAGTAAGAATGTGGAGCTAGCCAATGTAGAATACTCTTCTGAGAAAATTACATGAGAAGGAGAGGAAAAGAGACTGAATATTAGCTAGAGGGGACCAAGAGCCCCAAAATGTTTTGCTTTGTGTTTGCTTTGTTGTGGTTTTCTGTTGCTTATTTTTTTATAAGAGAGGCTTGAGTTTTTACGCTTAGAGGAAAAACATAGTTGAGTTGAGTTGAAAGAGAGAGAGAGAGAGAGAAGTCATCTGACTGAGCAAGATCCTGGAGGGTCCAAGACCTAGATTAACTAAAGGTGTTGGCCTTAAACAGAAAGATGGCACCTTACCTTCTGAAACTTGAAGAGAAAAAAGGAAGGATGGGTCTGTATGAAGATGAGATAGTAGTTGGTGGGAGTGGGAAGTTACAGAGATCTATCCTGCTGGCCTCAATTTTCTCAATGAGGTAGGAGGCAAAGTTTCCTGCCAAGAGTGAGGGAAGCAGGGTCAAGTAAGGGGCTTGAGGAAAGAAGTAAAAAGTTTGGAAGAGTCATTGAGAGGATTGTGAGAGGGGTTGGACCAAGGACAAGTGAAAGGATTGATGAGTGGGGCTGCAAGCCCAGCTGAAGTTAGGAAGTGGAAATTTGTAAAGGCCACAGTCTTCATGATTGTGGGATTTGCATCCAGTAGTGCTTAGCTGTTCAAACGTAGGAGCAGAGAAGGTAGTGTTGTGTGACTCCACAGTTGGGGTTTGGGTGGGTGGATGTGGCAGAAGCATAGGGTGCCAGCAAACGGAGGGGAAGCTGAGCAGGGATTTGGGTGCTCAGCTATAGGTTCCTGCTTGGTATGGAAGGAAGAGGGAACACGAAGGGACTAACCGACTAGGAGAATGGAGGAATCACGAGACTGAAGGTTGCTGTGAGGTAGAAGAGCAGGTGTTAGAAGGCTGGGAGGTGGGAAACAGCCCAGCATTTTCCAGTAACTGTTCCTTTTGACTGAATCATGGGACAATAGTGGAGACCCAGAAAAGTGAGGAGACCTAGAGAATGAGGAGGCCAGAGAGATAAGCAGGGCTTGATGTAGGGAGGTCTCATATGCCACTATTTGAGCTGGATGTTGCAGAAGAGGCAGAAGCAAGGCAAGCTTACAGAGGTAGTTTTACAAAGTGGCTTATGGAAAATAATAGACTTCTGGAGCCCTGTTGGGTCTTTTCCTGAATTCTTGTACTCTCTTCTGATGATTTTAAAGTTTACTTTCCAATTCTAAAAGTCAGTGGCGCAAATCCACCCCTCCTCCTCCCTGTATAAAATCTAGGTAGTGAGAAAGTTACATTAATTCTTATCCCAAGGAGAGTCATCTGTTTTGCATAGTTGAAAGAGCCCTAAATTGTGAGTCCAGAGCCTTGGATTCTAGTCCTAGGTCTACCACCAATGAACTGTACACATCTCCATCTCTCTGGACTTCTTTTTCATGATCTATAATGAGAGAGAAATATTACCTGTCTTGTCTATTTCCTAAGGTTGTTGTGAGGGTGAAATGAAGTCATAGATGTAAATGCACTCTGCAAAGTTAAAAGTGTATGGTGAGCAGAATTGATGCTTATTACTGGGATCTGGCCAGGTTTGCCTTGTGTCCTTCTTCTACGTCTTGTGACAGCAGAGTCTACTTCCTGCTTCCTTCCCTCATTCCCAGTCCCCACATGCCTGTAAGTTCCCAGAAGTCAGACCTGCCCTGGTGGGAGCTGAAGGAACAGTCTCAGCAGCTCTGTCTGGGATGATGAGCCAAGAAATCAAAGACTTTCTTTGCCAAGGAAAGTGTTTTCTTTGCTTGTTTCTTCCTCTCCAATAAATCTGTCTGCCTCCACCATTCCATGATGAGGCTGATTGGCCTTGCCCTTGGTAAGTACCAGCTCAGCATGGGGATGCTGCAAGATTTGATGCCTCCCTTTTCGATACATGTTTAATTCATTGTTGCAAAGACTTGGATAGGTAAAACACTAAGCTCCCTCTGACTGGGCTTCCTGGAGAGAGGGATTCCAGCAGCTTTTAAAGGAAATGTCAAACCATTAAGAGTTCAGGTTTCAAGCAGCTTAATGCTTTATAATGTTTTGGAATGAATGTCTCATGGATTCTTAATGCCTGGGTTATTTAGAATTGAAAATAACTGATTGGTTAGTCAATCTGATAAACACAAGACAACTACAATCAACTCTGGAGAAAGATGAATTCATTTAACTCATTGCTTTATGGCTTTCTCCCCACCAAATCTGTTAGCTGAGTTACTAATCAATCAGTCAATAAGAATTAGGCACCAACTGTATGCTCAGCTCTATACAGGTTATTACAAAAGCCATATCAAAACAAACCAATAAAAACAAAATATATATTTCATACTGCTATGGGCTGAATTGTATCCCCCCTCCCAAATTCATATGTTGAAGCTTCAATTCCTAGTGCCTCAGAATACAACTAATAGGGCCTTTAAAGAAGTAATTAAGTTAAAATGGGGTCACCAGGATGGGACCAAAATCAATATGACTAGTGTCCTTATGAGAGGAGATTAAGACACAGACAGAGAGAGACAACAAGATACAGACATGCACAGAGATGACCATGTGAAGACACGGAGAGAAGGTGGCTATCTGCAAGCCAAGGAGAGAGGTCTCAGAAGAAACCAACCCTGCAGATACCTTGATCTTTGACTTCTAACCTGCAGAACTATGAAAAGGTACATTTCTGCTGTTTAAGCCACTCAGCCTGTGATATTTTGTTATGGCAGCCCCAGAAAACTTTTGTGTATATATACACAAAAAGTTTGTGGAGCTTGCAGTAAGATGAGAAAGAACCCACATGTAACACTTTACTACTGCTGATAGTATCTGGGAGGATGTATAGATATAGACTTTCTCCAGAAAGACTTTTCTATCACCAATCAGAATTAAAATACAAAGCTCAAAGAATATTAAAAGTCCCTTGACTTTTCTAAAACTTCAGGTCCTACTACACACTTAGGGCATCTAGAAACAGCATGGGATCTTTATCTCTGTAGTTTATCTGCTCTCCCACATACCCCTGGGCCTTTTTCTAGCCTGCTTCTCAGCCCCAGATTCCTGGCTCTATCAGGGAGAGGCAATGTGTGATCCTTTAGGTCCTGTGAGTTTCTTAAAGACATTTCATGTCAGTAGTTGTTAGACTTCAGAACCACCTAGAATGCCAAATAAAAATGCAGCTTCCAGGACCTCACCTTAAAGGTCAGGTTCACTAGGTCTGCCCAGGGCCTAGAAATCTGCATTTCAGGTTTAGTAGGTCTGGTCAGGGTGTAGAAATCTGCACTCAATTTTTTTTACTCTGAGGTATACATACAAAGGAGCGTACAGATAATTTAAGTAATAACAATAAAATGAACGTCCATGTACCGACCACGGAGCTTAAGAAATAGAACATTTTTCTGTGTACCCTTTCCCAACTGCATTCCCCTCTTCTTCAAAGAGGCAAACTTTACCAAATTTTACGATTATCACTTCTTCACCTTTCTTTAGTGTTTCCCGCATATGATTGTGTCTCTGAACAAAAAACAAAAAAATCCTGTTTAGCTTGCTTGTTGGAGGACTTTGTATAATGGTGTTATACTGTGTATATTCTTTAGCAACTTAATCATTCAACATTGTTTTTGAGATGCATTCATGTAGATGCATTTAGCTGCAGTTTACTTATTTTCACTGCTCTACAGTATTCCATTGCATGAATATACCACAATTTATTTATCTATTCTGTTTGTGGTCATTTGGGTTGTTTCTAGCTTTTGTTTTGTTTTGTTTTGCTATTATAAATAATACTGCCATAAACATTCTATATATGTCTCTTGGCACACAGAAATCTTCATTTTTACCCAGCTTCCCAGATTGAGGCTAATGTAAATGGCCCAAGAAACACTCACTTTGGTCCTTCACATTCTTCAGAGTGATACATGTACAACATAAAACTCTCTTGCTAGTATTGATTTCATTTTGAAGCATGACTTTAATGCTTTATTTTGGAGGGGAAAAAATCCTCTGAATCTTCACTTTTACTTACAAAAATTCTGCTCCTAGTAAAGGGGTAAGGGACAAGAAAAGAAGGAGAGAGTAGGGGGAGTGCGAGGAAACATCCATATGTCATCTGTGCTGCATTAGAGAAGAAACCCATATGTTACAAGTATTCAACTATGTGATACAAATGATCAATGTATGGATACTTACGTATGGATATTTTAGAGGCAGCAATCAACTCTAGGCACATAATAGTGTCAGCTTATTCATTCAATGATTAAAAACTCAAGGTAGATTGAAATAGTTAGGAAAGACTTCCAGAAGGAGGTGGGACATAGAGTGGGCCTTGAAGGATAGACAAATTGGATTTTGGCACAAGAAATTCACAAGGTGTCAGCTAACAGCTAGAGTTGGCTTAAGAGAAAGGTAGAGGGACAACAAGGCACATTGGAAATGTAAATGGGCAGAATGAGTGGGGGTGGGGTGTTAAAAATTGCAAGTACAGTCCAACAAAGGCCTGGCAAATCTAGTTCAGTTTTAGGAAAGCACTGAAATCCCAGGGGAATCCTACCTGGGAACCAAGAAAGAGGGAACAGCTTTGGAAGTACAGGGTGAGAACCATGAGAACATCATAATAAGGGTACTATGCAGGAAATAAAGAATAAAAAAGTGGTCATGGGTCAAGGATCCAGGATAACAGGACAGCCAGAAATAAAGAAAGAAATAATTCAGATCCAGTATAGGGTTCCTCACAGGTATCAAAGACTTCTCCCCACTTTCCTAGATATAAAGGAGTCTATGTTATACTATCTCTCTTCTACATACAACCTTCTATAGCGTCCATCTCCATTTTAAGTGGAAGACCTCACCTCCCACCTCATTGAGAAAAAAGAGAATTAATTAAATGGGAAATTTCTCACTTTCCCATCACCACATTTACCATCTGTACTCTTGCCTTCTGCTATGTTGAATGAACTGTCCCCTGTTAAAGGCCATCGCTTCCACTTGTTTACCGGATCCCATTTTAATCAGTTAGCATTAGGTTTATCTGAGAGCAACAGTGGTTTTAATAATAGTGGCTTAAACAAGAGAGTGTATTTCTCTTATACATAAAAGACCAAAGGTAGGCAGTTCAGGGTTGATCTGGTTACCCTGCTCCACAGAGTCTTCAGAAACCCAGGCTTTTCTCAACTTACCACATCCCTTGGGTGTGGCCAAGGTCCAAGATAGCAGCTTGAGTTCCAGCCATCACATCCAAATTTCAGGCAGTAGGATGGAGAAAGAGACAAAAGATGGGACAAAGGGCATTATGCCAGCTATCTTTCAAAAAAGTTTCCCAAGAGCTATCACATGATAGGAGACATAACTTCTGGTTACATCTTTTTGGCCAGAGATAGTAAAGTTACAAGGCTGTATTGAGCAGCAAGAAAGGCTAGAAAGTATAATCTTTATTCTAGTAGGCCATGAAGCCAGCTATAAATTGGGAATTTTATTATTGTGGAAGAAGGGGAGAGAAATATTAGGGGATATCTAACAGTCTATGCCACAACATAACTTCTTCCCTTCTTAAGGACTTTTGCTCTCTCCACTAAGTAATTCTTATCAGCGTACAAACTTGATTTAGCATTTATTAACCCAAAAATAAACTCTTATTTATCCTACTATCCCTCCAGCTTCCTCCCCACATTTCTGCACCCACCAACAGCAAACATTCTCCGAAGTATTGTCTACACATGCAATCTCTTCTTCCTCATCTCTCATTTATTCTTCAGTCCACTCCAGGCTGGCTTCCATACTCATCAACTCACTGAAACCTCTCTTCTCAAGATCCCCAGAGCCCTGTATTTTGCCAAATTCAGTTTTCACATTTCAGTCCTGATTTTAACAGCTCTGTCACCAGCATTTGATACAGATGATCTCTAATACTTTTCTTTAAAAACTATTTCTTTAAAATCTTTCCCCCTTTGGTTTTGTTAATACCACACTTTTACTAATCTGGCCACTCCTTCTCAATGTCCTCTACCTGAACTCTAACTATTGGAGTTATCCATGCTTAGTCCTGAGCCTTCTCTTCTCTTTCTCAAATTGCTCTTTAGGTGGTTTCATTCATTCCCTCGGCTTTAAATACTATCTTTATGCTGACGATTTTCAGTGAAGACTCTAAAAAGACTCTAAAATTAGGATTCATAGATCTACCTGACCATTTAAAACCGCCACTTGGATATTTATTAGACATGTCTAACATAGCACATGCAAAACAGAACTCTTGACACCCTCCCTCCACCCAATCTGTTCCTCTCCCATCTTTCCCATTTTAGAAAATGACATTAACATATGTCAGAAACCTGAGAGTCATCGTTGATTCCTCCTTCTCTCACTTCCCAAATTCAATCCTTCAGTGAATCCTGACCATTCTATATCCAGTATGAATTTCTAATTCATCCACTTCTCCCATCTCTACTATTACTACCCTAGTCCAAGGGACCATTATCTCTTGCCCAAATTGTAAATTAAGGTAATCTTTTAAAAATGGAAATCAAATTATGTGACTCTCCTTATCAAAATTCTTAAATGCTTTTCCACCACATCTAAAATAAAATTCAAACTTTTCAGTCTGTTCTGCAAATCTCTGCATGATCTAGCCCAGTGGTCTAAATGACTCTTGCTCCATTCTCATTTCTCCTACTCTTCTCCCTTCAGCTGACTATGCTCCACCCATATTGGCCTTCTGTACTTGCACTATGTATCATGCTCTTTCTAGCCTCAGAACTGTTTCATTTATAGTTCCCTTTGCTTGAAACGCTCATTCACTGGGTTCTTCCCATGTCTAGCTCCTTTTCAACCTTCAGGACTTGAATCACATGCTACTTCCTTATAGAGGTGTTCCCTGACTACCTAATCTGAAGTCGTTCATACTATTTTCTATGAGTTTTTTTTCAACGATATTGTCACAATGTACAAGCCATGAGGTCAGAGACCTTGTCTTTCTTATTTGCCACTGTATTCCAGCACCTAGCATAGCTCCTAGCAGTATGCCTGTCACTGGGCTCAAAAAATACTCAATAACTGTTTGTTGAAATGATGGATCAACAAATGGAAGTTATCTAAATCCTCTTTTAATGATTGAGAGGGGAGAAGGAAAGTACTATGGAATGAGTGAAGCTGGAAGGGCCAGCAGGCCTGCCAGTCCAAGGCCAGAGCCAGACTTCGGGTCCTGAAGGTACAATTACGTAAACTAAAAATAAAATCCTAAGCCCCCCAACTGACTGAACGGACCCCCTCTTGGCCAAGAGGATGGCAGAGAAACCTTTAAAATGGAGTTCCTTTCCAAAGGACAGGCTAATAATATTTTTTAAAATAAAAATAAAAATAGAAAACTAAGTTTCTGGCCATGATAAAAAAGGAGGTCAAACATGCTTCATTACACTCCCTCTCTTTTGCAGTTTATTCACAATTGACCAGCATTAATGTTAAAATAGAGATCATAAGACTGACAAAATGGACTCTTTGAAACAATAAGATAACAAATTATAAACAGAACCTAAGGCCATGCCATGCAAGGGTTAAGGCACACACCCCTACAGGTCACTCTGACCCAGTATCTTCTGGCTTGCCCTCACAACCTGACTCTAGCATAACATCACATGATGCTTACCAAACCCTTATCTTAAATTGAACATTCTTTTCTACTGACTCCAAGTATTTTTGACAAAGCTTTATTCCTTTAACCAATTGCAAATTTTAAAAATCTCTGAATACAGAAAAATAACTAATGGGTACTAGGCTTAATACCTGGGTAATGAAATAATCTGCACAACAACCACCCATGACTCAAGTTTACCTATGTAACGAACCCTCACATGTACCCCTGAACTTAAAAGTTTAAAAGAATCTCTGAATCCACCTATAACCTGTAAGCCCCTGCTTCAAGATATCCTACCTTTTCAGGCCAAACCAATGTATACCTTCCATGTATTGTTTTACATGAAAGTTATACATTCCTTTATATGGAAGGAATGTATTCTTTGCCTGTAACTCCTGCTTCCCTAAAATATATGAAACAAAGTTACATTCTGACTGTCTCAGGAGCACTTACTCAAAGCTTCTTGGGTATGAGTGTCCCTAGCTGTGGTCACTCATATTGGCTCAGAATAAACCTCTTTAAAATATTTTACAGTTTGGTATTTTTCCATCAACACTAGAAGAAATGTTGTACATACATACTTGAGCCAAGACTTTGAGAAGAATAGAACCACTAGATGGCAAAAGGCAGATTGTAAAAGAGTATAGAGCCAAGAGTCAGAGGCAAGATGGAAACCAAATTGGAAAAGAAGTGAGTGGGCTGAGGCAAATGAAAAGGGACCCAGAAAATAGGCAGGAACATTACTGGAGAGAAGGAGAAGTTGCTGCCCAACAATAAGCAAAATTATTGACCAAAAACTGAGAGTTTAACTTAGGCTAAAGACCATGCAATATGCAAGCGTGGGTGATCTTCTCCAGCAGTCATGAGGAACAGAAAAGGTAGATTGCAGGACTGGCTTTGGATGGAGGCTTGTAGGAAAGATGAAGCGAAGCCCATGAGCAAGCACTGAAAGAGTAAGAGAGCTGAAAAAATGGGTTCTTATATTCTAAGAATGAAAATTGAAGTTTAGAATTTCAGAAGTAAAGCAGTTCAGGGCGATGATGACTTCCACAGTGTGGCCAAGGCAGTGGGTAAAATGGAGCAGAGCTAAAGATAACTTGAGATGAGGGGGTCCTGAAGCCAAGAGGCCAGGAGGAGGTTAGGACTTCCATATGAAACCCTCATGCTAATGATAGGATTTGGGTGTAGAGGAGAGCACCAGAATTTTCTGTGAATACGGGATTATAGCCATGATGCCAATAAATGCTAACAGTGAGGACACATAGAGGATAAACGGTGTAAGTGTCAAAGAAGGAAAGAATGTTGCATGAGGGTAAAAGCATGGCACTAGGAATATGCTGGTACTGTCTCTTGCTCTCAGGCTATGGGAGAAAGAACAATTCCCATAGAAGAGGGCTCCAGGTAAAATATATTCATCTGGATTGTCCCCAAAGCAGACTCTGAGATATGAGATTTCAGCCAGCATAAGTAGTTTGGAGATGATCACAGGAAATACCCAAAAGGAGTATTTCCTTTTGGATATAAAGGGGACTGAGCCAATAAAGGGGCGTGTTATAAATCAAGTTACCACTGTGGGTAAGTGGAGCTTAATTATGCTGGGGAATTCCAGGAGGTTGTGTAGAATATGAATCTCAGAGTTATCCCACTTAAGGGATCAACTACTCCTGTCAGTCATTGATTCAGAGCTGTCCTAGGGAATTTGTTAATCCCCTGTAACTTCTGACTTCCTATGTGTGCAGGCAAAGAGGGCTCTGGAGGCCAGAGAAAAGCCTCCAGGAAAAGACGCAGGTGCTGGCAGCTGGAAGTCAGGCTACATGGACAGAAATGATGAGGGCCAAAGGGATATGGGTAGAGCACCAATAATATCTGCTATAGGAAGAAATGGGCAAGGAAGGGGTCAGGATTCACTCAGGGCAAAGTGGAGGGACCATTCTGTAAAGAGAGTGAAAGTGGCTGGGCTTGGTGGCTCACACCTGTAATCCCAGCACTTTGGGAGGCTGAGGCATGCAGAACACTTGAGCTCAAGAGTTGGAGACCAGCTGGCCAAAATGGCAAAACCCTGTCTCTACAAATAATACAAAAATTAGCCGGGTGTGCTGGTGCACACCTGTAGTCCCAGTTACTTGGGGGGCTGAGGCAGGAAGATTGCTTGAACCCGGGAGGTCGAGGCTGCAATGAGCTGAGATCGTGCCACTGCACTCCAGCCTGGGTGACAAGGTGAGACCCTGTCTCAAAAAAAAAAAAAGAGAGAGAGAGAGAGAGAAGGACCTCATTTACTTCGGAATGGACATTTAAAAATTACTTTATTAATTCTTTACTTCAGTGTGCAAATTCCTTAACACTTGACAATGCTCAAGCGATATTCAAATTTCCCCAATTATCCCAGAAATGCTCTTTACAGCTGGTTTGTCCACATCAGGATTCAGTTTCAAATCATGCAGTCATCTTGTTATGTCCCTTCAGTCTCGAACTAGAGAACATTCTTTTTCTATTTCACGTTAAATTGACTCATTGAGGAAATCAGGCCAGTGGTTCTAAAAAATGTCCCACATTTTATATTTGTCTAAGTGCTTATTTGTGGTGTTATTTAGCTTGTTTCTCAATCTCCTGTATTTCCCAGAAACTGCACATTAGACCAAAAGGCTTGATACATTCAAATGAAATATCTTCGGCTAGAGCACATCCACATGACATTGCATCACATACAGCAGAATGTCAGAAGACACATAGTGTCTGGTTGTCCCGCTGTTAGTAATGCTATGGTTGACAACTAGATCTGTATGATGGCAGCCAGACCCATTGTACAGTTGCTTTCCTCTTGATGATGAGAAAATAGTCTGCGTGTTGTTACCTTGGCACCATACAAATGTCCAGGTCCCCATCAGCTATTCACCTAATAGTTTTAATCCCACTTGATGATTCTTGTCTGAATCAATGAATTCATGACAGGCTTAAAAACGATTTTTAAATTCTATCACCCTATCTCTATTTCCAAGCCAGTGTTGTTCAGGAAAGTAGAATTTACCTTGTTCAACCAGGGCAGCCCAGTGCAGTGGGTATGAGCATGGACATTAGAGCCAGAGGGTCTGGATTCAAATCCTAGTCCCACCTCTTGCTAGCTATGTGACTGTCACTTAACCTCTCCATGCCTCAATTTTCTTATCTATAAAATGTTGTGTTATGATAATTAAATTAAGTAATACTAGTAAAGCAATAATAATAAAGCATGCTGCCTGGTAAGCACTATGTAAGTGTTAAATAAACAAAAAGCAAAACTATGCCTATTTGATTATATTGAAATATAGTCCTTACTGGAAAGGCAGAATAAATGCTTAATTCTTTCCCTTTAATTACCAATTCTCAAAGTAAGGATTTGGTTTTATAGCTGCCACAAGGGGTGACAAATAAGTGGAAAGAACATTAAAGAGCTCAGGGAAAGATTTGGGAGGGAGGAGAGCTGGGAGAAGAGCCCAGAATGAGGACACACAGAGCAGCATGAGGCTGGGAGAAGGAGAGCACTGGAAATAGCTTTCTTTGTCTTTTTTATCCATTTTACAGAGCCTCAGTCAAAATCACACGGGGCCAGAGAAACTAAAGAAAATAGGAAGTAGCTCCTATTTAAAGGATAGTTGTTTGGCATTCACACAAATTTGCAAAAAAAAAAAAATCTTTTTATTTGTCATTAGAATACTATTGCGTTATCATAATATATATTAAGTATAATATAAAATCATAAAAGAAGTTCTAAAATTTACAAAACAAAACTTTGAATAAAACAACACAAAATTATTCTAGCCCTATCATCTTGATTTATTAAATAAAATAATGAGCCTACGTTTGGTGATCCACATAAAAATGTCCCTAGGCAGTGCCAGCTTCATGAGCATAAGGCCCGGTGCAACTGGGGGCCCAATGCTCAGAAGGGTCCAACTGGTTTAATGATCTACTATTTTGAAATTCTGAATAATTTTTAAACAAATAGTAATAATTATATGTTATTAACAACACAATAATAATATAATATGTTTATTTACAATAATTACACTTATAACATCATAATAATAACATAATTTGCAATGGTTTCTGCAAATTATGTAGCTAGGGCATCTCTGGGCCCCTACCCCTGACCCCAAGCCAAGCCACCAGCCTGCACCCTCCAGTGCAGCAGTATGTGGATAGCCCTTTGCATGTCTAAGCTTTCACCTTTTCTTTCTTTCTTTCTTTCTTTCCATTTTTTTTTTGTGTGTGTGTGTGTTTTGCTCTTTTTGCCCAGACTGGAGTGCAATGGGGTGATCTCGGCTCACTGCAACCCCCTTCTCCTTGGTTCAAGCAATTCTCCCGCTTCAGCCTCCCAAGTAGCTGGGATTACAGGTGTGTGCCACCATGCTTGGCTAATTTTTGTATTTTTAGTAGAGATGGGGTTTCACTACATTGGCCAGGCTGGTCTCGAACTCCTGACCTCAAGTGATCCACCTGCCTTGGCTTCTCAAAGTGCTGGGATTACAGGCGTGAGCCACTGCGCCAGGCAGCTTTCATCTTTAACTCTCCTTTGGGTGCCCTAAGCCTTGCTCTTCTTACTGACAGCTTTCTGATTTGGTTGCCTGTGTGGCTAATTTCAGTCTCTGCACCCTCCTAGGGTTCCTTTTCCTTTTCAGAACCGCTGGTGAAAGGCACTGCTCTGTGGGCAGTGCTTCCTTCCCACCCCCAAGAACACAGTTTCGCCAAAGCTGTGAGGATTGTCTGTCTTGTCCTCTTCCCCCTCAGTCTGAGCATTCTGTGTATTGCTTGTTGCTTGTTACTAAAATAAGACACATGGCCAAGAAAAGAAAAGAAACCACCCAGGCTCTACCAGGCAAGCATTTTATCAACATGTGGACCAGCTTAGCTCTGAGGCTCTTGGACAGTTAAATAAAGGTGAGGGCTGGGTTGGAAAAGAAGGGAAGCAAAACGAGGAAACTCTGAAAAGGATAAGATGACTCAGTCTCTCTCCCTCTTCCCGTAGGAGGGTACCTCCGTCTCTATGTCAAACAGATGTGGGGCTAATTCTTAACGAGCTCCAGGGAAGGCCATGTCGTGGAGTTTTTAATTATAAAAGATTTAAGATATTTTGCCCATTTACAGTTTATTTTCTGTTGCCAAACACCTTTCCACAAATGATCAATATCACTTTTAAACACACTAAACTCTAATGTTTATTCTTTCCCCATCTATCATCCCCTACACCATATTTAACATATGCTTGTTCCTGCATCGACTCTGCTGTGTCTGTATACATCAGCATTCTCATATTTGGATGAGCCTTTATGTCTAAGATCGTGCATTTGCCCTTTCCCCTTTGATCCACTCTCTTTCCTTACCTTGAAACAAAAGGAATTTTTTATTAGGGGTAGCATAGTTTCCAACAGTGTATTTTGTCTGTTCACCTTATTTTTTTAAGTAAAAGGATGATTGCATAATGACAGAAAAAGCAATAGTAGTAGTAGTAATAGTAGTGGTAGTATTGAGTGTCTCCTATGTGCAAGTCACTGTTCATGCACTGCTTATCCTGATGACAACACTGTGATTTGAGTTTTATTGTCCCCATTTTACAGATAAGAAAACTGAGGCTCAGAGGTCAAAGGAGTTTGGCCAAAGAAGTTACCTTTTAAGTGACAGGACTGAGATGTTAATGCCACTCTGTTGACACCAATGCTTGGTCAACCCGATTACCCCAGTATCCTCTCTGTATATAAAAAAGAGCCTATAACATCCTCTTTTGTCTTCACAAGATCCCATTAGCTCTGTAGCCATGGCACTCCACTCTTTATATTCAGACACAAACTGCTGGGGCGCCCCGGCCCCTCTACCCTGTGCGTACCCTTCTTTCTATCATGTTATGCATTAACTTTCACAAGCTGCTTGTTATGTAATGCGTTCCACAAGACATCTCTGCTTTGCCCTCAATCTTACATTCCCTGAAGCCTCTTAAAGATCTGTTTAATGTCCTCATCCCCTCATCTATCAATTTCAATTTTATAGGCTTAGCCCTCCTTTGATATTTCTCTGTATATCACTTTCTCAGCCTCCCCTTTTAGGTCATTACCCTTTCTTTTCCCCAGTACCTTTTCTTTGTCACGTCCTATTCACAGGTCACTCTTTCCCAGTACTATATATCTTGCTTTAAGTGACATGGGCTTCTCCTATTCATTTTTAGTGTTGGCAGAAGGAATTTGAAGTCTGCCCCCCAGTTGTCCTCTTTGGGTATCTTACTTTGAAACACAAAAGCATTAAATTGTAAATCAATTCTGCATTGATCAAGGCTGGCCACCGTCCCCACTGCCTGGCTGTGACCTCTGAATGCTGAAACTATGAGTTTTCTTCTGTACTTGCTCTATTGTTGTACAAGGCCAAGAAAAGGTTCTCATCAACGAAGCTACACACCCTGTTGGCAGGAATCAGGCAGAAAAGCTGGCAGCCAAATCTTCAGTTCTACTTTTCTTTTCTAATGATAATTTTAACCCCTCTAATTTGCTTCCTTTTTAAATTTCCCCCCTCCTATTGCATCTTATCCTCCTCCCAGGTGCAGTCATAGAATTCTTATCCTTCACATTTACATTTTTTTCTCTCCTTTCCTCTTATTCTGCTCACTTGTCCCTTTGGTTTGACTCTCGTCTCAATTTTTACTTGGATTATTCTTTTAGTAGCTTTAAAACAATTCAACAAGCACTTATTGAGTGTCTACTATGTTCCAACTACTGAACCAAGTGCTAGTCCTTGCCCTCAAGGAGTTCAGTATTTCAATGTGCTTTAAACACTTGTGTTACTCCAGGGAGGGAAAAAGAGGGTGATTAAACCAGTCTGTTAGTTGGTCATCGACATATACATGAAGTTCAAGAAAATGTACAAAATGGCTTTTACTCTCAGTCTACATCACTTATTCTAACCAATAGGAGTCAATAGTACATGTAGTTATCTTGTTTGTTGGAATTTTTTTTTTGCTTTGTAATTAGTATATTAAGGAGACAATACATTTCAAGAATTGCTTAAATTCTGATACCCAGATTTAAGCATGTAAACATATGATGAGACTTTTAAACATACAGTTAAAGCTATTCATCATAATTTGCTATGCTAACAACATTAGTTACTTTGGAGCATAAGTCAAATGGTTTAAAGTAATCCTGTAACATACCTAAAGAATACCTTCCTATATTACCCATACAAATTATTTCTCCATGTAAAGTTCTTTTCATTTTAATTTCTACATTACCCAGCTCTGAAGTCACTACTCAGGTTTATCATGGTCCACAGACAAGAAGGGGTGCAAATAACAAATACTGGTCAAGATATATATGGAGATATATATATGTGTGTGTGTGTATATATATATGTGTGTATATATATGTATATATATGTGTGTGTGTATATATATATATATATATATATGGATGGCACAGCAGAAGGAAACACAATTCTGGAAGTGCAAGCCTTCAAGAAGCAGCATTATTATGATAATCCTCTCCTACAGAAAGGTATCATTTTTATCACTGATGCCACAGGACAAATTATATATTATGCCATCTTCAAGTAACAGCTGAGGCAATAGAATAAATGCAGAGGCATTACAATGAATCCCACTTAACACAAAGAACTATACAGATCAAAACTTCTCTACATATTTTTTTTTCCTCATTGCCAGTTAAATACAGAGTTTTACTTTCATAGCTTAACAATGAAGGGTCATACACTGAAGCCAATACACATACCTAGCATTTCAGTCTAAGCTTGTCCACATACATAGCTGAAGTCAATTACAAGGTTTGGCCTATAAATGCTAGGGGAACTTCTTTGTAAAGTAGTCTTTACAGGTATTAAACTTCATCTTGCACACCGAAGTCATCATACATACAGGGCAAAGTCAGAGCTTTTACATTTGCATTTATTCTTCATTTAACTTTTTAAAACACTACTATAGTTGAATATTAAACAAAAACAAGAGCAAGTAGTGAGCATGTTATGATCACAGTCCTTCACTCATTTACTACTGCACATAAAATGCCACCAGTGGGTGTTATTCACTGGCCCATTAAGAGGTCTGACACCGAACACCACCTCTGGGATGATGTTCATCATCCTCATATGCTTCTCCATTGTAATGGTGCCATCTTTCCTGATTTGGATCAAAGTCCACCAGTTCTACTTGATCCATCTCATCAGTTTCTTCCACTTCCTTCCTCTTGGGTAGGAGTTTTTCCAGCAAAGACAGTTTATCAGGAGAGAGAAAGTCATTCTCAGGCAAGTTTACCTTGAATTCAATGATTAGGCGACCCTTTTCATATGGCCTAGGATAAATTGGCATTCCTTCATTTATTACACACTTGATATCTCCATGCTTGACAATCTGACCTGGATGAGAGGTGATGACTATGGTTCAGTTGTCAAGAGTAGATATTGGCTTCTGGAATGCTTCAACCAGCTGTATGTCCATACACATGAAAAGGTCTTCTCCTTGTCGAGTAAAAACAGCATCGTCCTTCTGATCTAACACAATGATAATATCTTCTCCCTCCAGTCCTGGTTCTTGGTATCCTTCACCATGGAATGTTATCTTCTGGCCATATTTCATGCCTTTGTCAATATGAAATTCTAGAATCTTCTTCTCTCGAAGTATCTTCCTTCCATTGCAGCTTTCACATCTATCTTTAGGACTGATCTGCTCCCCATGGCCCTGGCACTCCACGCACACAGACTGAATTTGCTGAACCTTTCCAGGTCCTATCTGATGAATTCTTATTTGCATTCCAGTACCTCGGCAATTGGGACAGTACTCTACTCCTCCTTTCTTACCTCCTCTATCTTCACATTTGTCACAAATTGCATTCTTTTGCAGAGCCAGTTTTCTTGTTGCACTATTATATAAGTCTTCTAGGGTTACTGAGAGCTGATGTACAACATTTTTACCTCTCCTTTCTCTGTGCATCCTTCCTCCTCCTCCAAAAAAACATATCAAAGATGTCCATGGGGGAGCCAAAACCGCCACCTGCTCCATCCTCTTTAATTGTCTGTTCTCCTCCTTTGTCATATAATTAATTCCCTTTTCTTTGCATCAGAGAGAACTTCATATGCTTGAGAAATCTGTTTAACTTCTCCCCTTCATTTGGATTCTTATCAGGATGGTACCTCAAGGCCAGTTTCCTATAAGCCTTTTTCAATTCTTCCTGAGTAGCATTGATTGGGTTTGACCCCCAAAACATCATAGTAAGTGGTTTCTTTCACCATCCACCATCTTCTGCCGGTGAGCAGGCTGAGGCCAGTGTGTGAGGGAGCAGGAAGGAGCCCGGAGATGTGTGCAGCTTGGGCAGCTACCACTTCTCTGCCTCCTGCCTCTCACGGAGCATTCTGGAAAATTCCCGGATTTTTTTTTTTTTTTTTTGACAGAGTCTTCCTCTCTCGCACAGGCTGGAGTGCAGTGGAACAATCACAGCTCACTGCAGCCTCAACCTCCTGGGCTCAAGAGATCCTGCCACCTCAGCCCCACGAGTAGCTGGGATTACAGGCGCAGGCCACCACACCTGGCTACTTTTTAATTTTTTTTTTTGAGATGAGGTCTCCCTATGTTGCCCAGGCTGGTCTCAAACTTCTGAGCTCAAGAAACCCCTTTCTATTGTGATAGCTTGAATTTTTGCCAGGTCCTGGTTGGGGAAATCCTGAGAAAAGAGATATATTTCTCTCTTTAAATTATTGGAAGTGTGATGTGCTCTGCACGGTGATGGTTGGGATACTCCTTGTTTCTCAGGGTTCTTTTTGTCCTAATACTTTGCATCCCTTTGTTTGACATATATTTTTTTCCTAACCTCTTCACATCTCGACTTAGATGACTAATAGGCATCTCAAACTTAACAGATTCCACACAAAATTCATGATGTTCCCAGTCCCCTATCCTGTGCCTCTCCCATTCTTTCCCATCTCAATAGTTGTCACCCTGATTCACTTTGTTGCTCAGGCCAAAACACTTGGAGTCATCCTTGACCGTCTCTCATACTCCATGTCCAATTCACCAGCATAGTCTGTTAGCTTTAATTGGCTTTATCTTTAGAATACATACTGAATCCGTATACTTTTCACTGACTCCATTGCTCCCATCTTAGTTGACACCACCATCATCTCTCACATAAACTAATGCAGTAGTTTCTCAGCAGGGCGCAGTGGCTCACGCCTGTAATCCCAGCACTTTGGAAGGCCGAGGTGGGAGGATTGCTTGAGGCCAGGAATTTGAGAACAGCCCGGCCAACATGGCAAAACCCTGTCTCTACTAAAAATACAAAAATTAGCTGGGCATGGTAGCATGCGCCTGTGATCCCAGCTACTCAGGAGGCTGAGGCACAAGAATTGCTTGAACCTGGGAGGCAGAGGTTGCAGTGAGCTGAGATCGTGTCACTGCACTCCAGCATGGGTGACAGAGTGAGACTCTGTAAAAACAAACAAACAAACAAAAAACAATAACAAACAACAACACCAAAAAATATCTAATGTAGTAGTCTCCTCTGTGGTCTTCCTGCTTCCACTCTTATTCCCTATGGTCCATTCTCTACACAGAAGTCAGAGGGAGGCTTTTAAAAGGTAAACTGATCCTGTCAACCCCCAGATCAAAACATTCTAATGGCTTTCCATCACAATTAGAAAAAAATACAAAGTTCTGAGCCTAACCTTCAAGGCCTTCCACAATTTGGCCCTTGGCTACCTCTCTGGCCTAGTATCCCACCATTCTTCCTTTGCTCACCTCATTTTACTGGCATTTCTTGCTTTTTCAAACATGTCAAGCAGTTCCAGGCCTTTGCACTCTCTGTCTCTTTAGCCTATAATATTTTCTCCTCAAGTACACACGTGACTCATATCCTCACTTCATTCAGGTCTGTGCCCTCCAGAAGACCTTCCTAGACCATGCTGCCTAAAACAGCAACCCCACTCTATTACTTTCTATCTTATTTACCTGCTCTATTTTTTTTATAATGCTCATGAGATTATATTATACATTAATTATTTGTTTGCAATCTATTTCAAGCTTCATATAGACAAAAATGTTGCCTATTTTATTCATTTCTATATTCTTGGCTCCTAGAACAGTGTTTGGCACATCATAAGAACTCAACAAATATTTGTTAAATGAACAAATGATATGTGAATAGGGCTCAACATGGCAGCCTAAACTGTACTCTCCCAAAGATTCATATTCATCTTGTGTGTATCTGGAGGGTCTAGGAGGCAGGTCCACTAGGGAACTATTTGTTTAGGAGCCTAAGGGGCCTCTCAGGAAAGATACATACTAATGGAAGAAAGAATAGCCATATAAGGAGGGTCCTCCTAGACCTCAGGATTGAAAGAGAGAGAAAATTTTCAATATAGCTCTCATGTTGTAATTAATCAGGACATTTAAAAATAATTAGTAACAGAAACTGAATCCAACCCAGCTTTTGAAAAAAAAGGCACTATATTGGTGCAAAAGGCTAGGAAGGAGAGTGGAATGCTCAAAGGAACCAAGCCTAGGGATTCAACGTTGTCAGAACTGTGTCCGTATTTTATCTCTGCTTGCCTCTGCATCTCCTTTCCCATTTGTCTCACTCTCTTGATGTAGACTGGTCTTCTCCATATTGCAGGAAACACAGCTGCCGTCAGCTACAGCTTAGCAAAGAAAATTTCTACCTCCCAGAGTCCATTCATCTATCCCAGGGAACAATTCTGATTGGCTTTCCTTGGTAATGTGCCTATAATTTGGTCCAATCACTGTCACTAGGAGAATGGATACTCTGTGTTTGTCCAGGTCTACTTCACGTGCTTACCCTTAAGGTCAGGAGTAGAGTCTATCATGAACAGAAGGGGAGAGAGAAAGCCTGCTGGGAAGACCAAAAACAAACAAATAAAACAAAACAATACCTACCAGAGGACACTATCCTGCTTATCTTCTGATTCACCTCCCAGATCTCATACTAAGTCCTAAGCAGAGAGAGCTTTGTAAGAATAAGTACCAATTTAAAGGACTATTTCACTAAAATCTCTGTGGGGCATTGAGTACACAAAGCCACATCAGAAGCATTGGTTTTAGTAGTTTCAGTTGGGTAGGCGGCAGCTTGTGACAGCAGCAGCAGCAGCAGCCACCTCATTGTATGGATGGTTTTGTTATGGGCATTAGAAGAGGATTATCACCCCAGGGAGCTAGAAAAGGAACAGAGGAAATGCTGGAAGCCACTGGGGAGGCAAAGGGGTTTTGTTAATGAACCTTGGGACAGACCTCTGGGAGACTTGCAGAAATAGTTGGGTTGGTGGAAGACTTTGAAGAGGGGCCAATACAGGCAGGGGCAGAAACAGAGAAATTTCTATGCGAGATTATGTTGTGAACTCGATTTTATTTTCAGCCTGTTTCCCAGCTCACAAGGACATCCACCGGCCACAGAAGTGCAAGGAACAGGGACAGTAAATTACCCAGTGATGCCCGGTCCCCTAGACGGCTAGCACTGTGCTGAAGTCACAGAAAGCTATGAGACTCTGACTCTCTCGGGAAGCTGGAAAACAGGGCAGAAAGCAGATTGGTACCAGTTCTAGGTTCCACTGATACAGGCTGGCTGGCTATGATGTGGCTGCACCTAGCTGTTCTGATTCAGGAGACACTTTTCCCACTCTGATTTTCTCTCCACCTATTTCCCTCTTCCTGGCTTGAAGCCCAGCCAGAGACCAACACCACTATTAGAATGGGCTTCTCCTGACACTGCCTTCTGCCTGGCTTGGACCTCTGCAGCCTCACTCTTGCCTATCTTTTCAGACTCCAGACCTTGTCTGTGTCCTCCAGTTTGGCTTTACACCCTGGATTCAGACCTTGGTTTCCCCCTCATAACGCACTTTTACTAGCTCCCTGGTCATTCGTTCTAGCTTCCCTATTTGCCTGCTGGCCCAGCCTGCCTGTGAGTCCTGGCATGTGTTGTTTGGCAGCCACCCATGACCTAGCATTGACAGCACCATTCCACCTTACTCCTCTTGTCACTTGAATTGCTTTCTCTACCCACCCTTAGAATATAAAGATGCTGCTCACGTTGATACATAATGTCTTCATATTTCAGCAGCTTGTCTGGCTGAAGGAACCTTCATAACCTCCTCTGACAATCCATTCCACTGTCTAGTCACCATGATAGTCAAAGTTCTTCCTTCTGTCATACCATTTAGTAGAAGCCTGAGTGCTACTGAACAATAATCATTCTAAATGTCACCCACCCGGGAGAGATGAGAACAATGATCCTCAGAGTATGCACTGCTTGGGATGTGCCCAGAATGTAGAAACACCTGTTTGGAATGGAACCAGTGATCCCCTGAACATATGTCACTGATAGGCCCAGGGATCTATAAGAGTCACTCCCAGAGCTTATTGGAGTAAAGTGTGGAACCAGTGGGGTGACTCTGTGGTTCCTGGCTCTTGAGGAAGAAACTCTTAAACTGAAGGTAGAGAAAGGCAACCTCCTGTGGCTGGATGGAGGCAGTGAGATTGCCCAGTTCACGCAGTTTGTAAATGCCCAGTCTAGTGCCAGGCAAAACAAATTCCCATTTATTCATTTTTCCTTCTCTCCATCTTGACTGTCACTGTCCCCCTGCCCAAATCCAGGCCACCCAACTCTTCCTGCTTAGATTACTGCAATAGCTCCTAACTGATTTCTGTGACATCACTCTTGCTCCCTTCTATTCTATTTTCCCCACAGCAGTGAGGAAAGATCACAGAGTAATCTTTTACAAATGTAAATTAGATCATGTCACTCTCCTGCTTAAAACCCTTCAAAAGCTCTTCATTCCACTTAGAATAAAATCCAAACTCCTTACCATGGCTTATAAGGTTCTACAGGATCTGGCCTCTGCCCACCTCTTAGACCTTTCTGGTCTACCTTGCTTTCTATGCTCCTGACACATTGAATTTATTTCATTCCCTCCTACATGCTGATCTCTTCCTTTTCTGGAGTGTCTTTCTTTACACGTGTGGTTTCCTCTGCCTGGAATACCCTTTCCTAGGCTTTTCTCAAGGCTGGATCCTTCTCAGTTTTTAGTTCTCAGCTAAAATGTCACCTCCTTTAGAGAGGCTTTCCCTGCCCACACTTGCTAAAGAAGTTCTCTCCAATCTTGTTTAATTCCTTCTTTGGCACTAGTCACAATTACAATTGGTTGATATGTCTATTATTCATTCAATTTTGATCTTCTTTACAAGAAAGTAAGTTCCAAGACGTCAATGTCATGCTATCCCCAGCCCTATCACAGTACTTGGCACATAATAGGCATTTAATAAATATATGCTGAACTAATGTTTTTAATAGTAAGTACTGAATATATATTTCTTGAGTGAATGGGTAAAAAGTAGAAGGGATCCCATAGACATAACAAAGAAAATAAAGGAATATTCTCAACAACTCTATGCCCACAAATTTGATAACTTAGGTGAGATGGACCAGTTTCTTAAAAGACACATCTACATTTTTCCTTACACAGGGAAAAACAGGTAATCTGAGTAGGTCTACATCTGTTAAAGAAACAGAATCAATAAGTAATAACTTTCCAAAACAGAAAGCACTAGAACCCGATGGGCTCACTGGCAAATTCTACCAAATACTTTAGGATGAAATCATACCAATTCTCAACAATCTATTCTGGAAAACAGAAGCAGAAGAAACTTCCTAATTCATTCTATGAGGCCAGCATTACCCTAATATTAAATCCATACAAAGACATTACAAGAAAGGAAAACTACAGACCAACATTTCTCATGAATATAGATGCAAAAATTCTCAATAAAATATTAGCATATCCAATCCAACAATGTATAAAAACAATAAGCTATGAGCAAGTGGGATTTATTCCAGGTATACAAGGCTGGTTTAATATTCAAGAATCAATTAGTGTAATCTATCACATCAACAAGCAAAAGAAGAAAAATTATATGATCATATTAATAAATGCAGAAAAAGGATTTGACAAAATCCAATGACCATTCATGATAAAGACACCCAGAAAACTAGGAATAGAGGGGAAATTACTCAACTTGCTAAAGGACATCTACAAAAACAGGGAAGAAGTGAAGAAGGAGAGGGAGGGAGGACTGGAAGACTGGAGGGACAGAGGGAGAGAAGGAAGGAGGGAAGGAGTGAGGAAGGAAGGAAGAAGGGAGAGAGGGGAGGGAGGGAAGACAAAAAGAAGGAAGGAAGGAAGGAAGGAAAGTAAGGAGAACAATTAATGAAGAAGCAGAAGTCATTTTACAGCTGACTTTGGTGGAGTAGATACATTCCATTAAAGTGTGGCATAATTGAATGTCTCTGGATTCATAGACCCTTTTATCCCATTGGAAAAGAGATGGCTAGCACATTCACACTGCAGTTTTAGTGACTGATACTATGTGTTCGCCCCATCAGAGCTATTTATAATTACCTAGGGATTCTTGGAGTCATGTGTTAGGAAGAAATCAGACTTGTGTGAGAATTCCAGGCACTAGTGAGTGCTGGGGCCAGTGGGGAAAATTTCCCCCAGGCTGTGTGTTCAATCTCGTCTTCTAAGCCACAGGAAACTGAGGAACAATAGAAAGAGGAAAATGGACAAGCTCCAATTCAAGAGTTTCTATTTTTGTGCTTAATTGGTATATTTCTGAAAGATGGCTTAGGAGGGAGATAAGCTGTGTGGGCCAGATAGGAGAGAATAAGACCTAGTTCTAGTCTCACAGCCCTCACATAGTTGGCATTATTTTCAGCCAGAGTCATGGTTGTAGGCTGAGGCAATGGCAGAGGTTAGATGGGAAAGTGTCCTTAGTCCCTCATTATTTCCATTGGCTTTTCCCTCCCCACTCTTTAACATGCACAAATGAAGTTTTAATGTTAAGCATAAACAAAAGCAGCTTTAGAAAACATCATGCTGAGTAAAAACCTTTGCTTGCTTTGCCAACACAGCCTCAAAGCAAAATCCCTACTTCCTCCCCCTTCAACCAAAGGGTTCCCCACAAACCCCAGGGTTCCCCACAAACCCCATTTATATAGACATTATGAAGCTGTCACAGGCAGGAAAGAGCCAACTTCATTGACTCCAAGGGAAGAAAGTTGTCCCTAGAGTGGCTTGTGAGGGTGGGAGGGGGGAGAGGGGAGAGGGAGGGTAGTGGTAATTGCCCTACTCCCTAGTGGACTTGGTGTGGTTCATTCTTTACTCAGCAGAAACTATAGTCTGAATTTCCCTCATTATTAAATTTTACACAGCAGGGACCTCTCCTGTGCCCCAAGATGTCCAGGATCTTCTCAGAGCAACCTGTGAAAAGTGCTGGCAAGATCTCAGTTCTTCCCCGAAAGCAAAGTGTGACTGAAACCAAGGCTCACTGTGTGCTGAGTTACTTGCAAGGGTTGCAGACCCAGATTTGTTCCAACGCCGGTGGTGTGGAATCTGGAATCAATTTTTTTTTATTTTTAAATTTTATTTATTTATTTATTATTTATTTTTGAGACGGAGTCTCGTTCTGTTACCCAGGCTGGAGTGCAGTGACACGATCTTAGCTCACTGCAACCTCCACCTCCCAGATACAAGTGATTCTTGTGCCTCAGCCTCCCTAGTAGCTGGGATTACAGGTGTGCATCATTATGCTCGGCTAATTTTTATATTTTTAGTAGAGACAGGATTTCACCATGTTGGCCTGGCTGGTCTCAAACTCTTGACCTCAGGTGATCCACCCGCCTTGATCTCCCAAAGTGCTGGGATTACAAGCGTGAGCCACTGTGCCCAGCCAATATTTTTTTTAAAGTGTGGTTAAAGGAGTAGCATCCTCAACAACACTTGGAATGCTTGTTAAAAACCCAAATTCCTGAATTCTACCCCAGACCTAGTGAGTCTGAGTGGGAGTGGTGGTGAGGGACCAGGAATCTGCATATAAAACAAGCTCCCCACGTGATTCTGATGTCCAGTCAAGTTTGAGGAACACTCTGGGAGTGGAGGATAAACTGTGTGCTTTTAAGGGCCCTGAGGACAGGGATCCAAACTGGTCAGGCTGAGGCCATCAACTCTAAGGCTAGGCCTGTCTATAGCAGTCAGAGGGTTGCTTAATGCCCTAAAACAACTGAATTGTCCTTTATTTCTAAAACTTGCCCTTTTTTGACTGTCAGGAGATGAAATATTCCCCCCTCTGAGTTTGATCAGGTACTATACCACCTCTGCCAACAGTTGGCACTCTATCTGCACACCCTACCCAGTTCAGACTGGGTTTTGTTTTGTTTTTCTCTCTCTC
This sequence comes from Homo sapiens, assembly GCF_000001405.40. NCBI lineage: Eukaryota > Metazoa > Chordata > Mammalia > Primates > Hominidae > Homo > Homo sapiens. Next base: position 107,360,839 of record NC_000023.11, read on the forward strand.
TCTCTCCAAGCAAAATCTTGGTGCACCTCCCAACTGGTCAGGGTCCCTTCTCCTGCAGAGGCCCCCTCCTGCTGTATGTCAGTAGGAGGCCCAATTCTGGAACTTGCTCTGTGGGACTGCACTGGGGAGAATTTGTTGTAAAGCTCCTGCAGGGGCTGATCCCTCCCCACCCTTGCCATCCAGACCCCAGGGGAGGGCATGTCAGTGTTAGAAGACATAGTCCTAGTTTCTCTCAGATTTTGAAGTCTGTAAAGTGGTGTGGACTCCCTCAGGCTATAAGACAAGTTTATAAATATAAGATGTTATCTCACTGTTAAACAGTACTACAATTGGGTTTTATTTGAACAAATGAATCAGCTTTCTTCACGCTACTGGAAGTTCTCAAACGAGGTGCCAAACTTCATTTTTAGTGCCTGTTGAATAAACAGCACACTCAGCTGCCTTTCTCCTAGCAGAAACTTTCAGCTTTGCAATTCCAGTCACCTCTCAATTCTGGTGGACCCTAGGTAGCCAAAAGCAGTCAGCCTCCTTTTTCTACCTGACAGAGTGACAGCTCTGGCCCAGGGATTTCATTTCCAGTTCATAGGCCCACAGGCAGCTTCAGGTTGGCATAGTCCTAAGTCATTCTGATAGAAACATCAGAGCATAACAGATGCTTCCTGGATTAGCTTCACAGTTTCTTTAACCCACCACTCTTTTCTGTAATCGTCAGGACTACCATGTAGGGTCGGGCAGGTTGGTCAATGCATGACATCCAGCTGAGGAAATGAGGGTAATTCTAATGTGTAATTTTAATGTGTTGGTCAGCTGTTTCCCTGATGAAGGGGTCTCTAGGTGTGTCTCATAAGAGGACCAGGCTGCCTTTGATAGCTCAACCTCCATGGCAAGATAATGTGGTGGAGGGGAAGTAGAGACCCACTCTGACGTAAAATACCTGTGCAACCCGAGTAGTCCTCTCATTCACATCTCCAGGCCTCCACTTCCTCATCTGGAAATGGGGGAGTTGGAGTAGCTGATTTTTGAGGAGTGCTCCTGAGATGCACAACTCCAGGGGGCACCATTTACATTGTCCCTGAATGAACGTGAGGTGTAAACTGCCTCCATGGCCCCAATTAGATGATGGCAGAGCTAATTGTTCCCCCTTTTGATGTGTCTAAGCCAAATGCTGTCCTTCTCTTCAGGGTCTCTCTCACATCTGAGGCCAGTTGGCCCAGCTCTCCATCTTCTTGGTACACAGTACTCATCCCTTCCACACCTTCATTTTATATCCATTGTGCTATACATAAACTCTTAATATTCTCACTTATTTATTTTCCTTATTAGACTGATTTCTTCCAAGAGAGCCTCCGCTAGAATATAGAATAGGCTTTTTTTTTTTTTTTTTTTTTTTTGACAGAGTCTCACTCTGTCGCCCAGGCCGGAGAGCAGTGGCACAATCTCAACTCACTGCAACCTTCATCTCCCAGGCTCAAGTGATTCTCATGCCTCAGCCTCCTGAGTAGCTGGGATTATAAGCGTGCACCACCACACCCGACTAATGTTTTTGTATTTTCAGTAGAGATGGGGTTTTGCCGTGTTGCCAGGCTAATCTTGAACTCCTGGCCTCAAGTGATCCATCTATGTTGGCCTCCCAAAGTATTGGGATTACAGGCCTGAGCCACTGCGCCTGGCCAGGCTCCTTTTACTACCCATCTTTGCATGTTAGCCCCACTGCCCGTCCACCAAGTCCCCCACACCTGGAGTCAATGTGGCTTCTTTAGCCAATTAGAGGCTTTTAAGTGTGTTTGGTCCCCGCTTCCCTCTCTTAAAATTTAACTTTGAAGAAAAAGGTTGGGGTGGGGGTTACCTGGGAGACCACTAGAAATCACCCATTTCCCATCTAGTCTCCCCTTCGGCTCTAAGAGGTCCTGTATTGATACCCCCTCACTACAGAGGTAGAGGGGTGGAGGGGAAGAGATTAGCTGATATCTAATATCTCTTCTGTTTCTGGCTTCCCATGAAAACATCCTCGTTGCCCTTAGTAACCAGCGATGCATAAATTTATGAAAGCATCTAACCCTTTTAAAAAGGTATTTATACATACTTTCAGCTTATACTAACTCTTGAGGATAATGAATTCCATACATTATTTGTTTCCTGTTGCATAAAATCACATTGATTTGTGTTTCCCTAAACATACCTCTTTCAAAACCTCAAGTGAGCTCTGAAAGAGTCTCCGAGATTTAGTGACCACATCTACACTCACTATCTCTATAGGCCTTCCCCAGCTCTAATCTCCCTGCATACAGAGATCTGGGGCAGACGTTCTTTGTATAAGAGGAGGAATAGGTCTTCCTGAAGAAATTCAATATTTGGTTGACTGCCTTGACCACAGTGCTAAGTGGCTTAACTGGCTTTTAAAAAAATCCTCAAAAAAAAAAAATCCTCTATGGAAGATTGCTTATTTCAACCTTTTGCAGTCATCCCTCCCCAATTTCTTCCCTCTTAGCTAGTGTTGAAGTGGGTTTTGAAAAGGAGGAAATATACCCCAAACAATTTAAACAGCCCTCATAGATCTTGAAGATCCTTTCAATATCTATATTTCTTCCTTCCAAGATCTATAGTTTCTCCTATATCTTGAAAGGTTCTTTGGCTGCATTCCAAGAACACTCAATTCTTAGGGAGGTGGTGTTTTCACCTGAGAACCTAGAGAAGCATGTAGCCTAGGGGATAATGACAAGATCATCCACTGTGTTAGTCCATTTTGCATTGCTGTAAAGGAATATCTGAGACTGGGTAATTTATAAAGAAAAGAGGTAGATTTGGCTTACGGTTCTGCAGGCTGTACAAGCATGGTGCTAGCATCTTTTCAGCTTCTGTTGGGCCTCAGGAAGCTTTTACTCATGGCAGAAGGTGAAAGGGAGCCAGAATGTCACCTGGTGAGAGGGGGAGCAAGAGAGAGAAAAGCGAGGAGGTGCCAGGCTCTCTTAAACAACCAGATCTGGTGTGAGCTAATAGAGTGAGTATTCACTCACTACTGCTAGGACAGCACCAAGCCATTCATGAGGGATTTGCCCCCATGACACTAACACCTCCCACTAGGCTCCCCTCCAACATTGGAAGTCACATTTCAACATGAGATTTGGACGGAAAAATACTACCAAACCATATTATCCACCATCCAGAAAAGATTCCTCATTAGAACATGTGCAGTTGGGGGCCGGGCACAGTGGCTCACACCTGTAATCCCAGTACTTTGGGAGGCTGAGGCAAGCAGATCACTTGAGGTCAGGAGTTCGAGACCAGCCTGGCCAATATGGGGAAGCACTGTCTCTACTAAAAATACAAAAATTAGCCAGGAATGGTGGCATACTCCTGTAATCCCAGCTACTTGGGAGGCTGAGGCAGGAGAATTGCTTGAACCCAGGAGGTGGAAGTTGCAGTGAGCCAAGATTGTGCCACTGCGTTCCAGCCTGGGCAAAAGAGCAAAACTCCATCTCAAAAAAAAAAAAAATAGGAGAGGAGGAGCCAAGATGGCCGAATAGGAACAGCTCCGGTCTACAGCTCCCAGCGTGAGCGACGCAGAAGACGGGTGATTTCTGCATTTCCATCTGAGGTACCGGGTTCATCTCACTAGGGAGTGCCAGACAGTGGGCGCAGGTCAGTGGGTGCGCGCACCATGTGCGAGCCGAAGCAGGGCGAGGCATTGCCTCACTCGGGAAGCGCAAGGGGTCAGGGAGTTCCCTTTCCGAGTCAAAGAAAGGGGTGACGGACGCACCTGGAAAATCGGGTCACTCCCACCCGAATACTGTGCTTTTCCGACCGGCTTAAAAAACGGCGTACCACGAGATTATATCCAGCACCTGGCTCGGAGGGTCCTACGCCCACGGCATCTCGCTGATTGCTAGCACAGCAGTCTGAGATCAAACTGCAAGGTGGCAGCCAGGCTGGGGGAGGGGCGCCCGCCATTGCCCAGGCTTGATTAGGTAAACAAAGCAGCCGGGAAGCTCCAACTGGGTGGAGCCCACCACAGCTCAAGGAGGCCTGCCTGCCTCTGTAGGCTCCACCTCTGGGGGCAGGGCACAGACAAACAAAAAGACAGCAGTAACCTCTGCAGACTTAAATGTCCCTGTCTGACAGCTTTGAAGAGAGCAGTGGTTCTCCCAGCACGCAGCTGGAGATCTGAGAACAGGCAGACTGCCTCCTCAAGTGGGTCCCTGACCCCTGACCCCCGAGCAGCCTAACTGGGAGGCACACCCCCCAGCAGGGGCACACTGACACCTCACACGGCAGGGTATTCCAACAGACCTGCAGCTGAGGGTCCTGTCTGTTAGAAGGAAAACTAACAAACAGAAAGGACATCCACACCAAAAACCCATCTGTACATCACCATCATCAAAGACCAAAAGTAGATAAAACCACAAAGATGGGGAAAAAACAGAACAGAAAAACTGGAAACTCTAAAACGCAGAGCGCCTCTCCTCCTCCAAAGGAACACAGTTCCTCACCAGCAACGGAACAAAGCTGGATGGAGAATGACTTTGACGAGCTGAGAGAGGAAGGCTTCAGACGATCAAATTACTCTGAGCTACGGGAGGACATTCAAACCAAAGGCAAAGAAGTTGAAAACTTTGAAAAAAATTTAGAAGAATGTATAACTAGAATAACCAATACAGAGAAGTGCTTAAAGGAGCTGATGGAGCTGAAAACCAAGGCTCGAGAACTACGTGAAGAATGCAGAAGCCTCAGGAGCCGATGCGATCAACTGGAAGAAAGGGTATCAGCAATGGAAGATGAAATGAATGAAATGAAGCGAGAAGGGAAGTTTAAAGAAAAAAGAATAAAAAGAAATGAGCAAAGCCTCCAAGAAATATGGGACTATGTGAAAAGACCAAATCTACGTCTGATTGGTGTACCTGAAAGTGATGGGGAGAATGCAACCAAGTTGGAAAACACTCTGCAGGATATTATCCAGGAGAACTTCCCCAATCTAGCAAGGCAGGCCAACGTTCAGATTCAGGAAATACAGAGAACGCCACAAAGATACTCCTCGAGAAGAGCAACTCCAAGACACATAATTGTCAGATTCACCAAAGTTGAAATGAAGGAAAAAATGTTAAGGGCAGCCAGAGAGAAAGGTCGGGTTACCCTCAAAGGGAAGCCCATCAGACTAACAGCGGATCTCTCGGCAGAAACCCTACAAGCCAGAAGAGAGTGGGGGCCAATATTCAACATTCTTAAAGAAAAGAATTTTCAACCCAGAATTTCATATCCAGCCAAACTAAGCTTCATAAGTGAAGGAGAAATAAAATCCTTTACAGACAAGCAAATGCTGAGAGATTTTGTCACCACCAGGCCTGCCCTACAAGAGCTCCTGAAGGAAGCGCTAAACATGGAAAGGAACAACCAGTACCAGCCACCGCAAAATCATGCCAAAATGTAAAGACCATCAAGACTAGGAAGAAACTGCATCAACTAACGAGCAAAATAACCAGCTAACATCATAATGACAGGATCAAATTCACACATAACAATATTAACTTTAAATGTAAATGGACTAAATGCTCCAATTAAAAGACACAGACTGGCAAATTGGATAAAGAGTCAAGACCCATCAGTGTGCTGTATTCAGGAAACCCATCTCACGTGCAGAGACACACATAGGCTCAAAATAAAAGGATGGAGGAAGATCTACCAAGCAAATGGAAAACAAAAAAAGGCAGGGGTTGCAATCCTAGTCTCTGATAAAACAGACTTTAAACCAACAAAGATCAAAAGAGACAAAGAAGGCCATTACATGATGGTAAAGGGATCAATTCAACAAGAAGAGCTAACTATCCTAAATATATATGCACCCAATACAGGAGCACCCAGATTCATAAAGCAAGTCCTGAGTGACCTACAAAGAGACTTAGACTCCCACACATTAATAATGGGAGACTTTAACACCCCACTGTCAACATTAGACAGATCAACGAGACAGAAAGTCAACAAGGATACCCAGGAATTGAACTCAGCTCTGCACCAAGCAGACCTAATAGACATCTACAGAACTCTCCACCCCAAATCAACAGAATATACATTTTTTTCAGCACCACACCACACCTATTCCAAAACTGACCACATACTTGGAAGTAAAGCTCTCCTCAGCAAATGTAAAAGAACAGAGATTATAACAAACTATCTCACAGACCACAGTGCAATGAAACTAGAACTCAGGATTAAGAATCTCACTCAAAACCGCTCAACTACATGGAAACTGAACAACCTGCTCCTGAATGACTACTGGGTACATAACGAAATGAAGGCAGAAATAAAGATGTTCTTTGAAACCAATAAGAACAAAGTCACAACATACCAGAATCTCTGGGACACATTCAAAGCAGTGTGTAGAGGGAAATTTATAGCTCTAAATGCCCACAAGAGAAAGCAGGAAAGATCCAAAATTGACACCCTAACATCACAATTAAAAGAACTAGAAAAGCAAGAGCAAACACATTCAAAAGCTAGCAGAAGGCAAGAAATAACTAAGATCAGAGCAGAACTGAAGGAAATAGAGACACAAAAAACCCTTCAAAAAATTAATGAATCCAGGAGCTGGTTTTTTGAAAGGATCAACAAAATAGACCGCTAGCAAGACTAATAAAGAAAAAAAGAGAGAAGAATCAAATAGACACAATAAAAAATGATAAAGGGGATATCACCACCGATCCCACAGAAATACAAACTACCATCAGAGAATACTATAAACATCTCTACGCAAATAAACTAGAAAACATAGAAGAAATGGATACATTCCTCGACACATACACTCTCCCAAGACTAAACCAGGAAGAAGTTGAATCTCTGAATAGACCAATAACAGGAGCTGAAATTGTGGCAATAATCAAGAGTTTACCAACCAAAAAGAGTCCAGGACCAGATGGATTCACAGCCGAATTCTACCAGAGGTACAAGGAGGAACTAGTACCATTCCTTCTGAAACTATTCCAATCAATAGAAAAAGAGGGAATCCTCCCTAACTCATTTTATGAGGCCAGCATCATTCTGATACCAAAGCCAGGCAGAGACACAACCAAAAAAGAGAATTTTAGACCAATATCCTTGATGAACACTGATGCAAAAATCCTCAATAAAATACTGGCAAAACGAATCCAGCAGCACATCAAAAAGCTTATCCATCATGATCAAGTGGGCTTCATCCCTGGGATGCAAGGCTGGTTCAATATACGCAAATCAATAAATGTAATCCAGCATATAAACAGAGCCAAAGACAAAAACCACATGATTATCTCAATAGATGCAGAAAAAGCCTTTGACAAAATTCAACAACTCTTCATGCTAAAAACTCTCAGTAAATTAGGTATTGATGGGACGTATTTCAAAATAATAAGAGCTATCTATGACAAACCCACAGCCGATATAATACTGAATGGGCAAAAACTGGAGGCATTCCCTTTGAAAACTGGCACAAGACAGGGATGCCCTCTCTCACCACTCCTATTCAACATAGTGTTGGAAGTTCTGGCGAGGGCAATTAGGCAAGAGAAGGAAATAAAGGGTATTCAATTAGGAAAAGAGGAAGTCAAATTGTCCCTGTTTGCAGATGACATGATTGTATATCTAGAAAACCCCATTGTCTCAGCCCAAAATCTCCTTAAGCTGATAAACAACTTCAGCAAAGTCTCAGGATACAAAATCAATGTACAAAAATCACAAGCATTCTTATACACCAACAACAGACAAACAGAGAGCCAAATCATGAGTGAACTCCCATTCACAATTGCTTCAAAGAGAATAAAATACCTAGGAATCCAACTTACAAGGGATGTGAAGGACCTCTTCAAGGAGAACTACAAACCACTGCTCAAGGAAATAAAAGAGGATACAAACAAATGGAAGAACATTCCATGCTCATGGGTAGGAAGAATCAATATCATGAAAATGGCCATACTGCCCAAGGTAATTTACAGATTCAATGCCATCCCCATCAAGCTACCAATGCCTTTCTTCACAGAATTGGAAAAAACTACTTTAAAGTTCATATGGAACCAAAAAAGAGCCCGCATCGCCAAGTCAATCCTAAGCCAAAAGAACAAAGCTGGAGGCATCACACTACCTGACTTCAAACTATACTACAAGGCTACAGTAACCAAAACAGCATGGTACTGTTACCAAAACAGAGATATAGATCAATGGAACAGAACAGAGCCCTCAGAAATAATGCCACATATCTACAACTATCTGATCTTTGACAAACCTGACAAAAACAAGCAATGGGGAAAGGATTCCCTATTTAATAAATGGTGCTGGGAAAACTGGCTAGCCATATGTAGAAAGCTGAAACTGGATCCCTTCCTTACACCTTATACAAAAATCAATTCAAGATGGATTAAAGACTTACATGTTAGACCTAAAACCATAAAAACCCTAGAAGAAAACCTAGGCAATCCCATTCAGGACATAGGCATGGGCAAGGACTTCATGTCTAAAACACCAAAAGCAATGGCAACAAAAGCCAAAATTGACAAATGGGATCTAATTAAACTAAAGAGCTTCTGCACAGCAAAAGAAACTACCATCAGAGTGAACAGGCAACCTACAGAATGGGAGAAAATTTTCGCAACCTACTCATCTGACAAAGGGCTAATATCCAGAATCTACAATGAACTCAAACAAATTTACAAGAAAAAAACAAACAACCCCATCAACAAGTGGGTGAAGGATATGAACAGACACTTCTCAAAAGAAGACATTTATGCAGCCAAAAAACACATGAAAAAATGCTCATCATCACTGGCCATCAGAGAAATGCAAATCAAAACCACAATGAGATACCATCTCACACCAGTTAGAATGGCAATCATTAAAAAGTCAGGAAACAACAGGTGCTGGAGAGGATGTGGAGAAATAGGAACACTTTTACACTGTTGGTGGGACTGTAAACTAGTTCAACCATTGTGGAAGTCAGTGTGGTGATTCCTTAGGGATCTAGAACTACAAATACCATTTGACCCAGCCATCCCATTACTGGGTATATACCCAAAGGACTCTAAATCATGCTGCTATAAAGACACATGCACACGTATGTTTATTGCTTCATTATTCACAATAGCAAAGACTTGGAACCAACCCAGATGTCCAACAATGATAGACTGGATTAAGAAAATGTGGCACATATACACCCTGGAATACTATGCAGCCATAAAATGGATGAGTTCATGTCCTTTGTAGGGACATGGATGAAATTGGAAATCATCATTCTCAGTAAACTATCGCAAGAACAAAAAACCAAACACCACATATTCTCACTCATAGGTGGGAATTGAACAATGAGATCACATGGACACAGGAAGGTGAATATCACACTCTGGGGACTGTGGTGGGGTGGCGGGAGGGGGGAGGGAGGATAGCATTGGGAGATATACCTAATGCTAGATGACGAGTTAGTGGGTACAGCGCACCAGAATTACACATGTATACAGATGTAACTAACCTGCACAATGTGCACATGTACCCTAAAACTTAAAGTATAATTAAAAAATAAATAAATAAATAAATAAATAAATAAATAAATAAATAAAAGAACATGTGCAGTTAGCAAACCTATTACAAAGAACAAAGAGTGCTCTTAAGAAAAGAGAACCAGGCTGGTATACAAAGGACTTGTGCCTGGTCCTGTGCAAGACTGTTGGATTGCTATGTGCCTCTCTATTACCTCTGTTTTTCCATCTTTCTTATGGGAAAGTATGAGGACAAATGATAATGGCAAAAATAAATACCTCCTTTTAAAGAGGATGGCTAATGGAACACAGAAGAAAGATTCTTAATCCTGTTGAGGCCTTGATCGATTGACCTGCTAGATGCTCTAATAGAGGGAGAAGAAATTGCTGGAGAGGTAGGAACACAATCTAGGATGGAGGAAGGTAAAATAAGCATAAAAGGAAGGATAGGAAGAAGAATATAAGAGGTCTGGCAGACACTGAAGGGCTCCCTGCTGTGACCCCTCTCTGGCATCCTCCCAAAACATCAGTGAAGGTTATCCGGACTTGCTGAATACTGAGTATGAGCAGATTTCTTTTGGAAATCAAAGAGGAACTAAGGTTGTGCCTGGTGACCCAAGGGAAACAAAAACACATGCAGATGCAGAAGCCAGAAGCAGAGTAGGAAGCAGAGAAAAAGAAGCCTTCAAAATTACACACTTCCCTTCCATCACACTGAGCTGCTCCTTGTGGCCTTCAGTGTTGTAGGCCTGCCAAGAAACTATGGTCAGGCCTACCCACTTGGTCAGATTTCCCTAATCTGAAATCTCCAGGAAGACAGCTTGGGGTATCACTCCTTTTCCTTTCAGAAGCCACCACCCTTCCCTCCCCACTCCACACGCACACCTGGAGCTCTGTTTAAAGAAAGAATTAGAGAAGCTTAGGGCAAAAGACTCTGTAACACCCTTTCTCTTGCACAAATGTGCACACTGGCCTTAGTTTACTTAACTAAGGGAAGCCAGTCAAGGGATTCTGTGTCATAATAAAATGAAGTGAAATAAAAGTAAAATAAATGAAAATAAATAAGAATCAGCAAGCTCAGACAACATGCAGATTAAGCTATTATTTTTTAAATGCCACTTCACAAGTCCTCAGAACCTCTCAATGAAGCTCATGTGGTTTTCAGATTTTGAGGCACTTCTCCCTTGGATCCATCCTTTTCTCCTACAGATTTGGCTAGTGCTGGCGTCAGTGGTGCAGGATAGATGGACCAATATTTATGAGGAAATCTCCCACCTTGCTCCATGGAACAAACAGGTCACTGAGCAGCAGCCAAAATCTGCTGCTGCACAGAGCTTAAGGCCTGGGCCCAGTGATCCTGTTGGCCTCTCCTTTCCTGGGTACTGTGAATCAGGTGCACCAGCAGCATTTCTTCATGCCAGGGCTGAGACATTAAAATTAAGTAGTGCAACTATGTCTGCTACAGAAATCAAAGGGGAAGGGCAGTCTCAGACAGGAAGGACTCAGTAACAGCTTCAGCTGTCTCCATCTGCCTCTCCTCCACCTCCACAGGCTTTCCCGAGAATCCTGAGCTGAGATGAATGCTGCCACCCCGACACCTGGCCTCTGAGAAGCCACTATTTCCCTATCTAAGCTGGCCAGTCGTGGACAAATCCCTCAGTTCCGCAGAGATGAGGTTGGAATTAGAAGTCAAATGCAAATGCATAGAAATGGAGGAGTTAACAGCACAGGCATCTTCAAGCGAATCCACAAAAATTTGTTCAGAGCTTATAGTCTACCCAGCCCCAGTTCCTTTTCCTCAGTAAAGCCTTACTTTGCACAGAAGGTGAATGTTAGGTCAAGGCACTCAGACTTCCTGCCCAAAAGTCTTTTGAGTTTGTCAGCAGCAATTGCATGAGGAAAAGACGATGCCTGCACAGAAAAGAGGTAAGGACATTTACATGTATATATGATCCTTAATCAAATGTATCCACTACCACCATAAATGAGCACCAGTACCTTGTGATAATGCCACCAGTTGAAGTGGGAAATATTTTTCATTCTTACAGTTAAGGGCCCAGCTGACTCAACTGGTTTGGCTCTGTTCTCCAGCCTGTGTGCAGCCTGATTTGCACTTGGATTGGCTGATGGATAGACATCATCAGAGCTCCTTGGCCAGTTTTTGGTTTTGAGCTTTACCTCTGTGGCAGAAGGATTAATCTGTTCAGAGAGAGTTTGTTTTTGGCTTTTGAAACAGCCATACTCCTCTCCTCTGGGAATGATGGGTTGTTTCAGAAATGGGAGCTTTAAAGAAAGCTCTTATTGGATCTGGACTTGGGCCACTCCTGCAACCATTTGTTTCATCTGGCCCATCACTTTGTTTGCTGCCACCTACAGATAGGAAACATTGCCTAGTACGGAAATCTGCAGGCCCCTTGCATCCAAAGTGCTAGAGCCTACCTTCTGGAAACTGATGTCTACTGATGATTGCAATATTGAGACATGCACAGATGATGCATAAATGCTGTTAACCTGTGAAAAAGAGCCACCCTAGACCTCTGGACTGATGGGGGCCTGAATAAGGTACTAAATGTAATCTGCCTACACCAGGAAACCCAACATATAGCCATGACTCAAAAATGAGCCATGCAGAGCTGAGAGCTGTCACCAAATTTTAGAATGTAAACATTCCATAATCATTGACAAAGAGGAAAAGCTCAGTAAGTATTTTCAGTGTATCTTCTGGGAAACTAGCAGAGAGACATGTCTACAAAATCTACCTTGAACCCCTCATGTGAATTAGGCAATACCATAACCGGTCAGCAGGAAGGACAGTGTAATATAATAGTTAGAAGCTTAGGCTTGCTGTGAGACAGATTGGGTTCAAAATTCTCTTGAAGCATTGACCAAGATTTCTTTTTGGAAATCAAAGAGAGAGTAGGGTTGTGTCTCACTTACTTAACTTACTCAAACTCTCTGAGTCTTCATTTTACCATTTATAAAATGGGGATAGTAATAGTACTACCTGTTGGGAGTTTCAGATAAGATAATGCATGTAAATATTTAGCATAACTCCTGGCACAATGTGAGATTCACTAAACATGAATTATTACTGTTTACAAGGTTCAGGGAACCCATGAACCCATAGCAGATTTTGGTCACTGCTTCTAATGCCAAAGAGTATGACTTTTTAGGCCTCCAGAATTCCAGTTTAGACTGATATCCCCCAACATAGAAACACAGTACGCAATCACAGGGAGACTGGATTTTCAAATTAGATCTGGGGATGTATCAACCATGGTTCTCCAGAGAAACAGAAAAAATAGGATATAAAGATGGATCATAGACAATAAATAGATATAGATATGGACAGAGGTATAGATAGAAATATAGAAAGAAGGCTGGGTGTGGTGGCTCATGCCTGTAATCCCAGCACTTTGGGAGGCCGAGGCGGGCAGATCATGAGGTCAGGAGATCAAGACCATCCTGGCTAACACGGTGAAATCCCGTCTCGACTAAAAATACAAAATATTAGCCGGGCATGGTGGCGGGTGCCTGTAGTCCCAGCTACTCGGGAGGCTGAGGCAGGAGAATGACATGAACCTAGGAGGCGGAGGTTGCAGTGAGCTGAGATCGTGCCACTGTGCCACTGCCCTCCAGCCTGGGCAACAAAGCGAGACTCCATCTCAAAAAAAAAAAAAAAAAGAAAGAAATATAGAAATAAATTTATTATAAGGGATTGGCTCCCGTAATTACAGAAGCTGAGAAGTCTCAAGCTCTGCAGTTGGCAAGCTGAAGACCCAGGAGAGCTGACTGTGTAGTTCCAGTCTGAAAGGTGGCCAGCTTGAGACCCAAGAAGAGTCAGTTTTTCAGACTGAGTCCAAATACAAGAGAAGACCATTGTCCCAGTTCAAGCAGTCAGGCAGGAAAGGGTTTCCTCCTACTTGTGGTAGGGTCAGCCTTTTTGTTGTATTCAGGTCTTCAATCAATTGCATGAGGCCCACCCACAATAGGGAGGGCAATCTGCTTTAGTTAGTCTGCCAATTCAAATGCTAATCTCATCGAGACACACCCTCACGAGCACACTGAGAACAGGATTTGACCAAATGTCTCCATATCCTGGGGCCCAGTCAGGTTGACATATATAATAAAATTAACCATCACAGGGAACATATGCTAAACCCTTAGTAGCCAAAGTGTGGTCTATAAACCAGCAAGCAGCACCACCATTTCCTGGGAGCTAGTTAAAAATGCAGAATCTCAGGCCCCACCTCAGACCTTTTGAATCAGAATCTAAATTTTAACAAGATTTCCAGATGATTCATATGCACACTGAAGCTTAAGAAGTTCTGAGCTAAAACAAAAGCTGTGATTCCCAAAGTGTAGTTCTTGAAGAACCAGTAGCATCAGCATAGGTGACAAAAGGCTTGTTATAAATGCGGATTCATGAACCTTAACTTAACTGACTAAGCAGCTATGGGAACGAGGTCTGGGAAACTTTTTTAACAAGCACATTAAATGTTGAGAAACACTGAGTTACAGATAGACTCCTCCATAAGGATCAAATAAGCTGAGGCCTGAACAATAAGATGTTCCTTCAAATCAATGGTTTGGTTTTTTTAAGCTGACAGATTTGTCTCCACCATTCTTCTCTTCTCTGAGCTCTTTGATGCTTATGACCTTGTTTCCAGTCACATATTTGGGGCATTCAGCCAGGAGGTCCTGCTGGGTATCCCAGATGGTTCAATTTTCCATCAGACTCTAAGCTCCACAGTCACCATTCTCACCTCCCAAAAATGACCAGTCCCCACAAGAGATTTTTGACCTGGCCCAGAGAAGGTATTGGAGTCAGTACTGGAGGAAGAAAAGTATCTGGTATGGAGAGTGGATGGGAGCTGAAAGGATTCTAAGACCCTCTCACACCAGAACTCAATCTAAATTATTTCCCCCAACACACACACACACACACACACACACACACACACACACACACACACACGATGGTTATCTTTCCCCTGAATAAAACTGAATGGTTTGATTTTGACCCTGGGCCCTCCCACACATATTCAGGTGTAATCCTATTAACAGAGTTCATCCTGTCTCCTGCCTTTTTGTAGAGGAAGGCAGCAATTTGAGTGATCTGTAAATGTTTGGATCTGGGATTACATTTTTATTGGCTCATAAAAGATACAGGACTTTGCAAGACTGAGAATTTTTCAAGGACTTTGTTGTTTTAAGTATAAGATATATTGTTGTTGTTTGTAGGATATTGCTTAGAAATTGCCTTGATATATTTTTGACAACTGGTGTATGTAAATGTGTATATGTATTTACAGGCATGTATGTATTTACAGTCATGTGTCCACATTTCTTCAAGAATACTCATTATTATTTTGCACCACGAGTTTTTTCTTTTCTTTCTTTCTTTCCTTTTTTTTTTCTTTTTGAGATAAGGTCTCACTCTGTTGCCCAGGCTGGAGTGCAGTGGTGTAACCTCGGCTCACTGCAGCCTTGACATCCCAGGCTCAAGCAATGCTTCCACCTTAGCCTCCCTAGTGGCTGGGACTACAGGCATGTGACATCAGGCCTGGCTAATTTGTGTATTTTAGTAGAGATGAGGTTTCGTCATGTTGCCCAGGCTGGTCTCAAACTCCTGGGCTCAAGCAATCCACCTGCTTC
The DNA here is from genome assembly GCF_000001405.40 of Homo sapiens. Taxonomy (NCBI): domain Eukaryota; kingdom Metazoa; phylum Chordata; class Mammalia; order Primates; family Hominidae; genus Homo; species Homo sapiens. The sequence continues at coordinate 107,375,979 of NC_000023.11, forward strand.
AGCCTGCCACAGTGCTGGGATTATAGGCGTGAGCCACCACACCTGGCTACTCTTCTTGTTATGCACTCTTTTTTAAAAAATTATACTTTAAGTTCTAGGATATATATATGGAATGTGCAGGTTTGTTACATAGGTATACACGTTCCATGGTGGTTTGCTGCACCCATCAACCCGTCACCTATATTAGGTATTTCTCCTAATGCTATCCCTCCTCTACCCTCCCCCCACCCCCTGACAGGCCCCAGTGTGTGATGTTCCCCTCCCTGTGTCCATGTGTTCTCATTGTTCAACTCCCACTTATTAGTGAGAACATGTGGTGTTTGCTTTTCTGTTCCTGTGTTAGTTTGCTGAGAATGATGGTTTCCAGCTTCATCCATGTCCCTGCAAAGGACATGAACTCATCCCTTTTTATGGCTGCATAGTACTCCATGGTGTATGTGTGCCACATTTTCTTTATCCAGTCTATCATTGATGGGCATTTGGGTTGGTTCCAAGTCTTTGCTATTGTGAATAGTGCTGCAATAAACATATGTGTGCATGTGTCTTTATAGTAGAATGATTTATAATCCTTTGGGTATATACCCAGTAATGGTATTGCTGGGTCAAATGGTATTTCTGGTTCTGATCCTTGAGGTATCGCCACACTGTCCTCCACAAGGGTTGAACTAATTTACTCTCCCACCAACAATGTAAAAGCATTCCTATTTCTCCACATCCTCTCCAGCATCTGTTGTTTCCTGACTTTTTAATGATCACCATTCTAACTGGCATGAGATGGTATCTCATTGTGGTTTTGATTTGCATTTCTGTAATGACCAGTGATGATGAGCTTTTTTTCATATGTTCGTTGGCTGCATAAATGTCTTCTATTGAGAAGTGTCTGTTCACATTCTTTGCCCACTTTTTGATGGGGTTGTTTTTTTCTTTTAAATTTGTTTAAGTTCCTGGTAGATTCTGGATATTAGCCATTGTCAGATGGATGGATTGCAAAAATTTTCTCCCATTCTATAGGTTGCCTGTTCACTCTGATGATAGTTTGTTTTGCTATGCAGAAACTCTTTAGTTTAATTAGATCCCATTTGTCAATTTTGGCTTTTGTTGACATTGCTTTTGGTGTTTTAGTCATGAAGTCTTTGTCCATGCCTATGTCCTGAATGGGATTGCCTAGGTTTTCTTCTAGGGTTTTTCTGGTTTTAGGTCTAACGTTTACATCTTTAATACATTTTAAGTTAAGGGGTCCAGTTTCAGTTTTCTGCATATGGCTAGCCAGTTTTCCCAACATCATTTATTAAATAGGGGATCTTTTCCCTGTTGCTTGTTTTTGTCAGGTTTGTCATAGATCAGATGATTGTAGATATGTGGCATTATTTCTGAGGACTGTGTTCTGTTCCATCAGTCTATATATCTGTTTTGGTACCAGTACCATGCTTGTTTTGGTTACTGTAGCCTTATAATATAGTTTGAAGTCAGGTAACCATGATGCCTCCAGCTTCATTCTTTGTTCTTAGGATAGTCTTGGCTATACAGGCTCTTTTTTGGTTCCATATAAAATTTAAAGTAGTTTTTTCTAATTCTGTGAAGAAAGTCAATGGTAGTTTGATGGGGATAGCATTGAATCTATAAATTACTTTGGGCAATATGGCCATTTTCATGATATTGATTCTTCCTATCCATGAGCATGGAATGTTTTTCCATTTGTTTGTGTCCTCTCTTATGTCCTTGAGCAGTGGTTTGTAGTTCTCCTTGAAGAAGTCCTTCACATCCCTTGTAAGTTGGATTCCTAGGTATTTTATTCTCTTTGAAGCAATTGTGAATGGGAGTTCACTCATGATTTGGCTCTCTGTTTGTCTATTATTGGTGTATAGGAATGCTTGTGATTTTTGGACACTGATTTCATATCCTGAGACTTTGCTGAAGTTGCTTATCAGCTTAAGGAGATTTTGGTCTGAGATGATGGGGTTTTCTAAATACACAATCATGTCATCTGCAAACAGGGACAATTTGACTTCCTCTTTTCCTAATTGAATACCCTTTATTTCTTTCTCTTGCCTCATTGTCCTGGCCAGAACTTCCAACACTATGTTGAAAAGGAGTGGTGAGAGAGGGCATCCTTGTTTAGTGCCAGTTTTCAAAGGTAATGCTTCCAGCTTTTGCCCATTCAGTATGATATTGGCTGTGTTTGTCATAAGTAGCTCTTATTATTTTGAGATACATTCCATCAATACCTAGTTTATTGAGAGTTTTTAGCATGAAGGGGTGCTGAATTTTATTGAAGGTCTTTTCTGCATCATTTGAGATAAACATGTAGTTTTTGTCATTGGTTCTGTTTATGTGATGAATTACGTTTATTGATTTGTGTATGTTTAACCAGCCTTGCATCCCAGGGATGAAGACCACTTGATCGTGGTGGATAAGCTTTTTGATGTGCTGCTGGATTCGATTTGCCAGTATTTCATTGAGGATTTTCGTATCGAAGTTCATCAGGGATGTTGGTCTGAAATTTCCTTTTTTTTGTTGTGTCTCTGCCAGGTTTTGGTATCAGGATGATGCTGGCCTCATAAAATGAGTTAGGAAGGATTCCCTCTTTTTCTATTGTTTGGAATAGTTTCAGAAGTAATGGTACCAGCTCCTCTTTGTGCCTCTGGTAGAATTCGGCTGTGAATCCATCTGGTCGTGGACTTTTTGTGGTGGGTAGGCTATTAATTACTGCCTCAATTTCAGAACTTGTTATTGGTCTTTTCAGGGATTTGACGTCTTCCTGGTTTAGTCTTGGGAGGGTGTATGTGTCCAGGAATTTATCAATTTCTTTTAGATTTTCTAGTTTATTTGCGTAGAGGTGTTTATAGTATTCTCTGATGGTAGTTTGTATTTCTGTGGGATCAGTGGTGATATCCCCTTTATCATTTTTTTATTGTGTCTATTTGATTCTTCTCTCTTTTATTCTTTATTAGTCTGACTAGCAGTCTATCTATTTTGTTTTCAAAGAACCAGCTCCTGGATTCATTGATTTTTTTGAAGGGTTTTTTGTGTCTCTATCTCCTTCAGTTCTGCTCTAATCTTAGTTATTTCTTGTCTTCTGCTAGCTCTTAAATTTGCTTGCTCTTGCTTTTCTAGTTCTTTTAATTATGATGTTAGGGTATCGATTTTATATCTTTCCTGCTTTCTCCTGTGGGCATTTAGTGCTATCAATTTCCCTCTACACACTGCCTTAGTTGTGTGCCAGAGATTCTGGTACGTTGTGTCTTTGTTCTCATTGGTTTCAAAAAATGTATTTATTTCTGCCTTAATTTCATTATTTATCCAGTAGTCATTCAGGAGCTGGTTGTTCAGTTTCCATGTAGTTGTGCAGTTTTGAGGGAGTTTCTTAATCCTGAGTTCTAGTTTGATTGCACTGCCGTCTGAGAGACTGTTTGTTATGATTTCCGTTCTTTTGCATTTGCTGAGGAGTGTTTTACTTCCAATTATGTAGTCAGTTTTAGACTAAGTGCGATGCAGTGCTGAGAAGAATGTATATTCTTTTGATTTGGGGTGAAGAGTTCTGTAGATGTCTATTAGGTCTGCTTGGTCCAGAGCTAAGTTCAAGTCCTGAATATCCTTGTTAATTTTCTGTCTCATTGATCTGTCTAATATTGGCAGTGGGGTGTTAAAGTTTCCCACTATTATTGTGTGTGAGTCTAAGCCTCTTTTTAGGTCTCTAAGAACTTGCTCTATGAATCTGGTGCTCCTGTATTGGGTGCATATATGTTTACAATAATTAGCTCTTCTTGTTGCATTGATCCCATTACCATTATGTAATGCCCTTCTTCATCTTTTTTGATCTTTCTTGGTTTAAAGTCTGTTTTATCAGAGACTAGGATTGCAACCCCTGCTTTTTTTTTCTTTTGTTTCCTTTTGCTTGGTAAATATTCCTCCATCCCTTTATTTTGAGCCTATGTGTGTCTTTGCACATGAGATATGTCTCCTGAATACAGCACACCAAAGGGTCTTGACATTATGCACTCTTTTTAGGCCCTGGAAATTGTGAAAATAAAATAATAATCTTAAAGGAACTGCTAGGCCATGGGGGCCATTAAATAAGTGGGAGGGGGAAAGTAGAGGTGCTGTGCCCTCAAAGTTAGTAACAAGTGCACCCCAAGTGTGAGGAGATCTCAGGGACTCCAAGAAGGTGGATAATCCCTTTGCCTATAGGTTTTGACCCCTACTAAAATGAAAATATTCCTGGAATTTTTACTCTTTAGTTATCAGTGAATAACTAAGTACTCAGAATGGATATACAAATATCTCAGAATGGACATACAAAATCCACTTTTTCAACAACTATTTTTTTAGTTTGTCGGGCAAAGGTTAAAGGGAAAGTTAGAAATACAAGGGGGAGAAGGAATTAAAAAGAAAAAAGCCAGAGAGGAATTGGAATAAGGAAAAAAGCGGGACTTGGTTCTTAGGCTCCTTCTTGTCTGGAATGCTCGTTCATTCAACAAGTTTTTTTTGAGTACCTACTATTTGTGAGATACTAGACATTAGGCACTAGAGTTAGAGCAATGAGCATGAACAGACAAATGAACAAAACAGACAAAAATCTCTATCCTCATGGATCTTACATGACAGCGCAGAGATAGGTGATAAAGTAACAGTGAAAATTTATGGTATATTAGATTGTTGTAAACGCTATGGAAAAAATACAGCAGGATATGGGGAAAGAGATGTCAGGAGTTGCAATTTTTAAATGGAGGAGGGGCATAGAAGGCCTTGCTGAGAATGTGGCATTAGAGTTAAGACTTAAAGGAGGTGAGGGAGTAAGCCAGTTGAATGGCTGCAGGAAGAACTTCAAAGGCAGAGGACAATAGCAAGGATGAAGGTCCTGAGATGGGGCTCTGGTTGTCATGTCTGCAACAAAGTGCAAAAGTCAGTGTGATTGGAGCAGAGTAAGCAAGGGAGAAAGCAGCCAGAGAGAAGTTTGGAGAGGGAAGGGCAGAGCAAGAGATCAGATCATGAGGACCTGGTAGGCCATTGGAAGGATTTAAGCTTTCATTCAGAGTGAGGGGGAAAGCTGTTGGAAGATTGTGAACAGTGCCAGGTTTCGAGTTTATGAGGCCATTTCATATACACACACACCACACGCGCACACACACACACACACAAGATCAAAAGATCAAATAGTTCATAAAAATATGAACTGAAAAGCAAAACTCTCCCGTTCGTCATCCCATGTATACTCACCAGATCCTTTCTCCAAAGAGATACTATTTTCAGTATCTTGAATAAATTTCAAGAAAAAAGTGTATGATATACATATATGGAGAGAGAAAGGGAAAGAAAGAAAGGCATATTTCCTGTTTTTATTTACACAAATGAGATCATATTTTTACACAGTTCATAGCTTCAAGTTTTATCCAAATTGGTCCATATAGATGTATCTCATCTCTTTCTTTTTAATGGCTGCATAATGATAGTGCATAAGTATATTATCATTTATTAAAGCAATTCCTTATTGATGGATATTTAGGTTGTTTCTAGGGGTTTTTCTCATGATAAACAATGGCTGCAATGAATATCCTAATAAATGCCCCTCTAAGCGCAACAATAATAATAACAGCTAATGCTTATTGAGCACTTACTATGTGCTAGGTACTGCGCTAAGCACTTTACATGCCTTATCTCATTTTATTTTTACAACAACTCTATGAGGTAAGTACTCTTATTATCCCCATTTTGCTGATGGGGAAACTGAGGCTTAAAGAGGTTAAGGATCTTTCCTAAGATCACAAAGCTAAGTTGTAGAGACAAAAATTGAATGTAGACAGTCTTATTCCAGAGCCTGTGCTCTTAATCACTATGCAATATAAGTAGAATTGCTAAGTCAGAGAATATGTACCCTAAAAATTTTAGTAGCTGAATTGCCTATTCCCCTATACTCTCATCAACAGTGGATATTACCAATCTCTTTAAAAATTTGCCACTATGCTTGGGAAAAAAAAAAAGCATCTTGCTGTTTTGATCTGCATTTATTTGTTTACAAGTAAGGTTGAACTTTAAAAATATGTGTATTTGCCATTTGTATTTCTTTTTTTTTTTTTTTTTTGAGACAGAGTTTCACTCTTGTTGCCCAGGCTGGAGTGCAATGGTGCAACCTCGGCTCACTGCAACTTTTGACTCCCGGGTTCAAGGAATTCTCCTGCCTCAGCCTCCGGAGTAGCTGAGATTGCAGGTGTCCACCACCATGCCCAGCTAATTTTTTTTTTTTTAATTCTTAGAGACAGGGTTTTACCATGTTGGCCAGGTTGGTCCTGAACTTCTGACCTCAGGTGATCCACCCGCCTCAGCCTCCCAAAGTGCTGGGATTACAGGCGTGAGCCACCATGCCTGGCCTGTATTTCTTTTTATTTGAACTGCCTATTCATATCATTTGCTCATTTGTCTCTAGGTTGTTGGTGTTTTTCTTTTGATTTTTTTGAGCTCTTTGGAAATTAAGGAAATTTTAAGTGTTGCAAATATCTTGTAGTTTTTCATTTGCCTTCTGACTTTGTTTCTGTATTTTTTTGCTGTGGCAAGGTTTTAAATTTTTATGTGGTCACATTTATCCTATTTTTAAGGTTTTTGAACTTATGGCCTGCTTAGAAAGGCCCACTCCTCTCCAGGATTGTATATATTTAAATTCCCCATTATTTTCTTTTAACACTTTTAAGATTTCATTTTTCATGTTAAAATGTTTGATTCATCCGTAATTAATTCTGGTGTAAAAAGTTAGTTTGAGAATTCAGCTAGCTTGTTGTACAGGTATAATTTTTGAATAATTCATCTTCCCCCCTCTGTTGATTTGATATGCCATCTTTAAAATATACTAATTTCCCACATGTGTTTAGGACTGTTAATAGACGTTGCTCTATTTTTCTCTCCAGAACCCAACTGTTTTAATGTAGCATCATAACATGCTTCAATATCTAATAGGCCTTATTCCTCTTTAATGCTATTTTTCAGAGTTTTCTTGAATTTTATTTATTCTTTTCTCCCTGGGTTTCAGTTTCCCCTTTTGCCTTCTCTCCCCCACCAAGAGCAGCAGCTATTCCCCTAGTTTATCCATACTGTCTGAGTTCTGTTCATTTGTTCAACAAATATTTACTGAGAATTGCCAATTGACAGATACCTTGTTAGGGACTATAGATATAAAAGTAAATAAAGACACAGTCTTTGTCCTCACAAAACTCACAGCCCACTGGGGGATATCTGTATCTGTAACTCAACAGATAACTACAATGCAATTTAGTTACTGCATTTCCTGAAAGATACATGAGTACTGTGGGTCCCTGGCAGAAAAGTAACTAATCTAGACTTTGGAGGAGGTAGTACATGAGCTTACCCTTGAAGGACTAGGAGTAATAGGAGTAAATTAGATAAAGGGGAAAGAAATGGGAGCATGTTTCAGGGAAAGCAAGCCTCTTGTGCAAAAGATCAGAAACTTGATAAGTTCAACAAACCACAAAGAGTAGTTAGTTGTGGCTAAAGCGTAGGTCATGTGGGAAGTGTTGGGGTGGGGTGAGAGATGTGACATATGGCTGGGGATGCAAGAGCTGGGTCACGTGTGGAGGGTCTTGAGCGCTGTGCTAAGTAGGCTGACCTCTACCCAGTAAGCAATAGGATTGCATTGATGTGTTTTAAGTACAGGAGTGGTATGATCTCATTCTCATGTTAGAGAATGGTTGCAGGGTGGAGAATGGGTGGCAAAAGGGGGAAAAAATAGGACTAGGGAGATGAGTTAGGAGGCTTGTGTAATAAAGTAATGCAGGTAAGAAATGAGGATGACCTGGACTAGGGTAGTGATTATGGATGTGAAGACAAGTAGATGGTTTCGAGAGGTTTGAAGACGTTAGAATTGACATGAAGTAATGATTAGTTGGACTTGAGTGCTGAGAGGGAGGTATCGAGCATGACTTCTAGGTTTAATGAGCTAGGATAAAAAGGGAATAGACTTGGGAGGAATGTGAAAAATCAGTGTGTACTGAGGAGTTCCCAGTATTATGAACCTATTCCTCATCCTGCATCAAATTGATCTATACTGTGTCCCAGGCCCTCAAGAGCTCTGTCCTCCCTTTCTAATTTACTCTAAGGCTTTACAAGCTAGTTCTTATTTCCATACACAGGAAGCATTTTAATTTGGCAGCTATTTTTAAGGCTTTCATCTATATAAGTGATTCTAATAATGGGAGTTTTGTGCAGGCCAACGGATAAAGAGATTTTAGCAGAAAGGCTTCAAATTATACCGTAGTCCCCAGGTTACTCCCCAAAGCAGGTCCTGGTACTGTGCTCTCCTAAAGGCAGATCTGGTGTCAGTGTAAGGTGGAGGAAGGAGAGATGTGGACCTTGGACTGGTCAGAGGCTGGCCCAGACATCAGCAAAATTAGGTCACGTGGCTAATTGGAACAATCTGTCTTCCCTGGTCTAGTCTCCCACATGTCGGGCTCCCTCTGCCCCAAAAAGAATGTGACCTTAGGGTTCCAGAACAAACAGTCCTGGGAGACAGGGAGTTATTATATGAGCCCATCATTGAGCCCTTGAAACCGTGCGCAGCATTTACTGTGGAAAGAAAACTGGCATTCGGATTCTAAAGGAGGGGGAAGAGCAGCCTGACATCAGAGGAGAGGGATTCACGTTGTCATGGCAACCATAAGAGTTATACTGTATTGTTTGTACCCAGAATTTAAGAGATTATCCTTGGGCTAAAAAAAAGGAAAGTGTCACCCCTTTCACTTCAACATCACCATCACAGGACACCTGCCACCTTCCTGTGAGGGATTTTTATTTGTTCACTCATCATATGTCACTTGGGTATTTATTGATGTACTAATCTGCCTTCCTCCATTTATTTCTCTTTCTTTCCTTCCTTCCCTGCATCTGACCAGCAGAGCCAGAAGGGGCCATTTGTCTTCCCACAGATGGTGCCAGTAAATCAAACTTCTGGCTGGTGGAAATTGGGGCCCTGGAAAACCTCCCAAGTTGGGAGGCGTCCTTCCTACGCCTTAGCGCTGCTTCTAGTCTGCCCTGATATAGTGGGGAAGTGTGAAGTGGGGAAGGGAGGACCTCTGGCCTCTGGGAAAAGGCTGTCTGTCCAAAAAGATGACAGAATATCAAGCACCCATGGAACCACAGAGGTCATTTTCCCAGCCCAAACCCATATTGGGTTATTGGAGAACCTTAGCCTTATCTTTCCTGAGATGACATAGTTTCAGTCTGTGGTCACTAGGCAGGGAGCTCACTCAAGTTAATAGCGTTAAAGGTGTCAGAGCAGTATTAAGGACTTGGAAAATGAAGAAACACCATTTTAGAATCTTTACACAACTCAGCAGGCATTTCCTCATCACCACGTGTTTCTTCTCACGTCACAGAAGGTAAACTAAGATAGAAAAGATACACCTGTCCAGGTTAAAGGAAACTGAATCAAAGAAGGATCTGGAAGCAACACAGTGCTTATTAATTCCCTCGCTCGAGTTAACCCCTCCTCCCATCGATAACACTGACATCACCTAGCTTTTTAATCCCGTGGTCTAATTGGCATCCTGTTTATTAAGCTTTAAAAATCCTTTTCTTTCTTTCCCCTTCCTGGCTCAGTAACTCTCACTTTGGAAATCTCTGAAGATTTTAATTTCCCGAAGAGCCTGTTGTCATCTCTTACAGTAAGTCTTTTCATTTCACCTCGTGTAAGTATATTAGCTGGTTTAACGGCTTAATTGCGATGAAGAAGATTAAGTCCGAGTTTAATAAGCATTAAGAGTAGAACAACATCTTTTATTTCTTCTGGCTTCAATAACCATTGCATTTGGCTTTTTATCTTTAAGGGAAAAGTTCAGATGACCCAAACAGAGGGAAGGAGGTGGGCTAGAGGGAAGGACATGTTGTTTAGCTGGCCTTTTCTGAAGTCTGTAGTTGCTGCTGCTGCAGCGGCAGCAGACAAATGGTTGGAAGGTAAGGGGTTTGGATATGATCCGGGAAAAACGCAAGATGAAGCAGGCAGCAAGGGAAGAAGGAGCGCCACCAACCTCTTCCCCAGTTTCCAAATGGGCTCTTTACTTCTACCAGCATGAGTGGCCTCAAGAACACTTTGGATTCTCTAAGTCTCCTGGAATGGGTGTAGACAGATCTTTTTTTTTCCTGTTAGTACAGCTAACACCAGATTAGCATTTTTCAAAAAGAACTTGACTAGAAAATGAAGGGAAACACAAAACTAAAAAAAGAAAATGCAAATGCATAGAAATGAACACAGATTCTAAGATAAAGTCTAGCCACAGATTAACTCGACTGGCATAGACTACCACTCACCCACATGTGCACACATACACACACATATACACATCTGGTCCTTTCTCCTCCTCAACCCTATCTGTGGAACTCTGCCTCAAACCACTCCCCCTCCCTTTCAGGCCTTGAGTGTTTCTCTTATGTATTGCAGTCTTGGTTCTCTCCTCTATTACATTCCTTATCCCTCTGTTTTCTGATGACCTCAACACGTGTTTGTCTCTTTCTAGTGGACTGTAAAGCTCTGAAAAGACGGGGACTAATCATAATCATCATGGTACCCACAGTATCTGGCATGTGAAATCATCCATAAATGATTGTGGAACTGAAGTGTACCAGATTAGTTCTCCACAACCTAGAATCATGACTATCCCTGGAAAGTAGCTCCTCTAAAAGCAAGGTTCTGAGAGCAGACAGTGCTTTACACTCTAAGCTTAGATTTGTTTGACCCTGTGTAAACAGTTTGGGCAATTTAGAATAGTACTGCCTTACAATTGTATAGGACTCTGTGGTTTTCCAAACATGTTTCACACAATATCTCAGTTGATTTTCCTAACAACCCTGTAAGGAAATAAGACTTAGAGAGGTTAAATAACTAGCCCAAACTGATAGAGCTATATAATAGTAGACTTAGAACTAGATCCGTGTCTTTTAATGCGTAATCCAGTTGTACTTCTAGTTTGATATGCTGTATCCTCAGAGACCTTTCTTGGTTGGGTCATCAGTAACCTCATGCAACAATGCGAAGGCTTGCCTCCCTTTATCCTCTCAGTCTTTCACCCACCCAATATGCACCAGCCCAGCCAGTAAGAGTGTCCAGCAATCATCCTGGAGCAAGCAAGTAGAAGAACCTTGCTAAATCATAACCAAGTGCCACGAGACCCAGCAGTCTTATTCCTAAGAATGTATCCTAGCAAATCCCCCCAAACCAGAATAACTGTTCTTTAAAAAGGTGTGCTATCTAAGCCAAACATATCTGTGAGCAGAAATCAGCCTGTGGGTTAGCAGTTTTCTACCTCTGAAATAACTGGACAGGTGTGGAAAGATGTATGCATAAGGGTGTTCATAGAGCTAGGTTACAGTGGGAATATGCTGGAAACTACCTAATATCTAACAATAGGGGAAGAGGTAAAAAAATTAAGGCACAATCATACTATGGACTGTCGTGAAGTCAATAAAACAAATAATTTGATGTTCATCTATATTTATTGACATGGAAATATACACATGGCACTGTAAAGCTTTTTAAAAAGCAGAATAAAAATCAACATTATATGGTAACATTACTCTTCAGAAAACAGTCTGGAAGGGTATTTTTAAAATGTTAACAATAGTGGAATGTGTGACCTTGAGATTGATGGAAAAATACGTGATCTTCATTTTTTCTTACATGTATTTTTTTGCAGTAAACATACATTACTTTTGCCTTAAGAAAATATATAACACATAATTTTTAAAGGAGGAACTGAATGCTAACCCTTACATTTATGGTCAATTGATTTTTGACAAGAGTAAAAATTTTGGCTCAAGAATAGTCTTTTCAACAAATATTGCTGAAACAACTGAATATTCACATGCAAACAAATGAATTTAGACCCCAATCTCACACCATATACAAAAATTAACTCCAAATAAATTCCTAAATATAAGACCTAAATATAACAGCTAAAACTATAAAATTATTTGCAGAAAACTTGTATGAAAATTATTAATTCTTTGGGCTTAGAGCACTGTCTTCCCCATTGATGATTTTTCAAAACTGTAACTACCCTCAGACAGGTATATAAATAGGTTGTTTTAGACCTTGATCTATAGCAAACAATACTGTGTGTGTGTGTGTCTGTGTGTCCGTGTGTATGTGTGTGTCTGTGTGTGTGTTAAGGAAAGGTGCACACAGAGGATGAAGGAGCCCTCCACCATCAGTCTTTTCCTGCTTCACACTGTGGCTATTAGCAAAGTGCTGTTTTCTGAGCTTGTTGGGCCAGGAGTTTATTTTCATAAGAAAAAAGCAGTGAGGGGTAACCTAGACTAGCTGCATAAAAAGGACCTCAGCTGAAATCTGCTCATGAGCAGAGGTAAGATCTTTCTAAGCTATGCCTGTAATAGCACAGCCTTCCCTATTCGTTCCCTGAACGGTAGGCATCTTGGCTTCCTTGTAAGTAGAGTTGCTCTGTCTCCCTCCACCCCACACTTATATTAATGTGTCCCTTTGTATTAAATTGGATGTTGCCTCTGGCTACTTCACTTTTCTAGGTAGGCACAATTTTAGTTTATCTTAGGTCAAGTTTCCTGGAAACAGACTCTGATAGAGAGATTTGCATACAAGAGTTTTATTAGGGAATACATTTGGGATCAATGCCTGTGAGGAAGTGAGGGAAGCAGGACTTGGAGGAGGGAGAAGTTAAAATGGAAAGCTCCAGCTGCTCCCACGTGGAGCTCTGGAACTGGAATGGCCTTTCAGAGTTGTCTGAAACTGAGGCAAGGAGTGTGAGTTTTTGTACTCTCATTGGATGCATGATGCTTACCACCTCTGTCCTTCATGGGAGGACATAACCATGGACAAGGCCACCTTAGGCTAAGAGCAAGTCCCTAAAGAGGGACACAGCTGTGAATCATCAGCAGCCAACACTTCCAGCAGCTGGAGGAGATCTAGGTGGTGCACTACGATACCCATGACAAGTTACCTGGCCAAACCTCAGAGAAAGCTTTCAGAACAGGTTGCTGTGAATCCTTTCACCTCTTTTCCCACATTCTTTCATGGCTAGAATTGACAATTAGGAAGAAAGTTACAGGACTCCCAGATTTTGGATGTGAGCAACTGAAGAACTTTTTTTTTTTTTTGAGTCTCAGTCTGTCACCCAGGCTGGAGTGCAGTGGCACCATCTTGGCTCACGGCAACCTTCGCATCCTGGGTTCAAGTGATTCTCCTGCCTCAGCCTCCTGAGTAGCTGGGATTACAGGTGTGTGCCACCATACCCAGCTAATTTTTGTATTTTCAGTAGAGACGGGGTTTCACCATGTTAGTCAGGCTGGTCTCAAACTCCTGACCTCAAGTGATCCACCTGCTTCCCAAAGTGCTGGGATTACAGGCATGAGCCACTGCACCCAGCCCAACTAAAGAACTTGTTAAAAAGTCCCTGATTTGAGAAAATGGATGGATGTTGGTGCAGTTTATTGAGATGGGTAAGAGAAAAGCTTAGGGTAGAGAGAAATCAAGATTTTAGTCTTGGACAAGCTAAGTTTGAGATGTCTGTGAAGCATCCAAATGCAGATGTAAATTAGGTAATTGAATATATGAGTGTGGAGCTTAGAGAAGTCTAGGATATTTCGGTTACTTGGGATTTAGGATTGTGTTGAAAGGCATAGGAATGAATGAGATCATTTAAGAAGGGAGTACAGAATAAGAAGAGAAAACCTAGAACTGAGTCTTCATGGAATCTTCAGCACTTAATGGCTGGATAGAGGACAAAGAGGAGACAGAGATGGAGTAATCAGAGAGGTAGGAAGAATGCCACAAGAATACTGTGTCACAAAAGCAATGGGAAGAGAACGCTTTAAAGAATGAAGAAGTGTTTAGCAGAATTAAATATTGCTGGGCTCTTCATGGGCTAGAATGTATGGGGAAAAAAGAAAAATAAATAAATAAATAAATAAATAAATAAATAAATAAATAAATATTGCTGGGAAGTGAAGCAAGTTGAGAATAGAATTTTTTCCTTCGGATTTAACAACATGAGAAGCCATTGGTGATCTTTGTGAGAGCTCATTTTGGGGAATTTTGGGGGCAGAAGGCCACATTGGTGTGGGTTGAATAATGAGTAGAAAGTGAGGCAATAAAGGCAGTGAGTATAGAATATTCAAGAAACTGGTTGTGATTAAGAAGGGGCAAAGAAATATGGGGCAGTTAGCTGAAAGGGTATGTGAATTTGAAGAATTTGTTTGCTTATCTGCTGGCTTACTTGTTTTTGGAAATTTTCATTGAAGTGTAACATACATAAAGAAAAGCACAAATCAGGTGTACAGTTTGATGAATTTTCACAATCTGAATACAATCCGTGGAATCAGCATCCAGATAAAAAAAAGAACACTCCAGGAGTCCCCTTGTGACCAGTTCAGTAACTAGCCCCTACAAGGGTAACCATTATCCTAACTTCTAACACCACAGAGTAATGTTCCTTATATTTGAACTCTAATAGAGTCATCCATTATGTGTTCTTTTGTGTCTGGCTTTTATCACACAGCATTGTTTGTGAGATACATCCATATTACTATGTATAGTATGTAATACTATGTAATAGCATTGCATTCATTCTCATTGTAGCATATTATCCCAGTGTGTTAATTTATCCATTCTACTGCTAAAGGATATTAGGGTAGTTTCCAGTTTGAGGTCATTACAAGCAGTACATTCTTGTATGTGTTTCTTCTTTTAAATACTCAAATGAACCTTGAATGTATTTCAAACAAGTGATTTTTCACAAAGCACTCAAACTTTAAAAAACATAGCTTTGTAAAAAAAATACACAAATCTTAAAGACTATCCTATGATCTGATTTTGTAAAATAACTTCACGAATATCAGAGCAATTTATTAAGATTGTAAATATTCATAAGATGTTTCTAGTTATATTTCCATATATTTGAATGTTACAGTGAAAGAGCTGCTCAAAACCTAATCCCCTCTGTAAATCTCCAAATGATTTTCCAGCTTCAAGTAATCCATAAGCCCATTTATGGCCACATTCCTTAAATGTTTGCTACGACATAAGCCAGCAGTTAAGTACTGGAAAGAAACTTCGATTTCCAGGACCTATGTGGATAGGCAACAAGTCAAATTCAAACATCTTATTTTTTTAAAAAAGTTTTATTGAGGTGAAACTTACATAACATAAAACTAACCATTTATTTATAAAAGCGAACAGTTCAGTGGCATTTATTGCATTCATGATGTTGTGCAACAATCACCTCTGTCTAGTTCCAAAACATTTTCATCATCCCAAAAGGAAGCCCTTTGCCCATTAAGCAGATTCTCTGCATTCCTCCTTACCCCCTCTCTCTGCCCCTGACAACCACCAACCTGCCTTCAGTCTCTATGGATTTGCCTATTCTGAATATTTTGTATAAGTGGAATCATACAATATGTGACCTCTTGTGTCTAGCTTCCATCACTTAGCATAGAATTTTTAAGGTTCAACCACACATTGCAGCATATATCAGTACTTCATTCCTTTTCATGGCTGAATAATATTCCATTGTATGAATGTACCACAATTTGTTTATTCATTCCTTCATTGACAGATATTTGAGCTGTTTCCACTTTGGCTATTGTGAATAATACTGCTGGAACCTGAGTGTACATGTATTTGTTATAGTACCTGTTCTCAATTCTTTTGGGTATACACCTAGGAGTGAAATTGCTGGGTCATATCATAATTCTATGTTAATCTTTTTAAGAAACCACCAAACTTTTCTGCATAGTGGCTCAACCACTTTACATTACCACCAGAAATGTAGAAAATCTTCTGCAATTTAAGACAGTCTCTCCACATCCTCTCCAACACTTACTATTTTCTGTTTTGTTTCCTTTCATTTCTTGGTAACAGTCATCCTAGTGAATGTGAAAACCTCATTCCAGTTTTTATTTAAATTTCCTAATGACTAATGATGTTGGGCATCTTTTCTTTACATGTGCTGTTTGGCCATTTATATATCTTCTTTGGAGAAACGTCTCTTCAAATTATTTGCCCACTTATAATTAGGTTGTTTGTCTTTTTGTGTTGAGTTGTAAGAGTTCTTTATATTTTCTGGACACTAGACCCTTACTAGATATATGGTTTACAAGTATCTTTTCCCATTGTGTAGGTTGTCTTTTCACTTTCTTGATAATTTCTTTTAACGAAATCGAGATAATCATGTGGTCTTTTTCCTTCCTTCTATTAATGTGGTGGTTTACATTGATTGATTTTCCTTTGTTAAACCACCTTTGCATTCCTAGGATAATTCCACTTGGTCATGGAGAACAATTCTTTTAATGTGCTGTTGGATTCAGTTGGCTAGTATTTTCTGAGGATTTTTGCATCTATAATCATAAAGGATATTGGCCTATAACAAACATCCTATTTGAAAGGGAAAAAGAAAAATGTAACAATGCTTTTTAATCAAGAAACAGAATAGGGAAAGTCAAAAATCACATAACAGCAATATAACCTTGAACAATATTTTGTAACATTGGAAAACTTAATTGTCCATACATCTTGCAGGGAAATTTCTTTCAAGAAGGACCTTAATCTATTCAATATATTAAAAACAACTAAATTTTAAGTTCAAGACATTTTAAAGAAGAGGAAACAGTGCCACAGAAGATAAGTGATTTGCATGTGGTGACATTTATGAGAAGCAGGAATTGGCAGTGTTATTTTCTAACCACTCACTTTCCACTACACCACTCTATCTTTTACTACTAATCTCCAAGACTTTGGCTTCCTTACCAAAAAATCCATACCACCAAATTTTCCCTTGCTTCTAACTGCAAAAGTGTTCTGCAATTTAAGCCAATTTCTCCCCTGTACATTCTTTGGTAAGGCTAGAAAACAGTCAGTCAGGATTTTTTTTTTTTTTTTTTGAGACGGAGTCTCGCTCTGTCACCCAGGCTGGAGTGCAGTGGTGCAATCTCTGCTCACTGCAAGCTCCGCCTCCCGGGTTCACGCCATTCTCCTGCCTCACCCTCCCGAGTAGCTGGGACTACCAGCGCCCGCCACCACGCCCAGCTAATTTTTTGTATTTTTAGTAGTGACGGGGTTTCACCGTGTTAGCCAGGATGGTCTCGATCTCCTGACCTCGTGATCTGCCCCACCTCGGCCTCCCAAAGTGCTGGGACTACAGGCATGAGCCACCGTGCCTGGCCCAGTCAGTCAGGATTTTATTATAAAAACCTTTCATAGCTGGGCACGGTGACTCACACCTGTAATCCCAACACTTTGGGAGGCCGAGGCCAGAGGATGGCTTGAGGCCAGGAGTTTGAAACCAGCCTGGGCAACACAGCGAAATTCCATCTCTAAAAAAATATTTTTTTACACTGGTTTTCATCTCTTTATTACCTCATAGAATTTTTAAATTTTTTAACTTTTTATTTTTGGGGTATATAGTAGGTATATATATATTTATGGGTTACATGATATATTTTGATGCAGATATGCAATGAGTAATAATCACATCAGAGTAAATGGGGTATCCATAACCTCAAGAATGTATCCTTTATGTTACAAACCATCAAATTATACTCTTAATTATTTTAAACTCTACAATTAAATTATTTTTTACTATAGTTACTCTGTTTTGCTAGCAAATACTAGGTCTTATCCATTCCTTCTATTTTTTTTTGTACCCATTAACCATCTCCACTTTCTCACCATCCCCTACTACCATTCCCAGCCTCTGGTAACCATCCTTCTACTTTATCTCCATGAGTTCAATTGTTTTAATTTTTAGTTCCCACAAATAAGTGAGAACACGCAAAGTTTGTCTTTCTGTGCCTGGCTTATTTCACTTGACATAATGACCTCCATTCCCATCCATGTTGTTGCAAATGACAGGATCTCATTCTTTTTCATGGCTGAATAGTACTCCATTGTGTATATGTACCACATTTTCTTTATCCATTCATCTGTTGATGGACACTCAGGTTGCTTCCAAATCTTGGCTTTTGTGAGTAGTGCTACACTAAACATGGGAGTGCAATCTCTTTGATATACTGATTTCCTTTCTTTTGGGTATATACCTAGCAATGGGATTGCTGGATCATATGGTAGCTCTATTTTCAGTTTTGTGAGGAGCTTCCAAACTGTTTTCCAAAGTGGTTTTACTAATTGACATTCCCACCAACAGTGTACGAGGGTTCCTTTTCTCCACATCCTCACCAGCATTTGTTATTGCCTGTCTTTTGCATATAAGCCATTTTAACTAGAGTAAGATGATATCTCATTGTAGTTTTGATTTGCATTTCTCCAACGATCAGTTTTATTGAGCACCTTTTCATCTGACTGCCATTTGTATGCCCTCTTTTGAGAAATGTTTATTTAGATCTTTTGACCATTTTTAAATTGGATTATTAGATTTTTTTTCCTATAGAGTTGTTTCAGCTCTTTACATATTCTGGTTGTTAATCCCTTGTCAGATGAATAGTTTGCGAATATTCTCTTTCATTCTGTGAATTGTCACTTCATTTTGTTGATGGTATCCTTTGCTGTGCAGAAGCTTTTAACTTGACATGATCTCATTTGTCCATTTTTGCTTTGGGTGCCTGTGCTTGTGGGGTATTACTCAAGAAATCTTTGCCCACTCCAGTGTCTTGAAGAGCTTCCCCAAAGTTTTCTTATAATAGTTTCCTGGTTTCCGGTCTCATATTTAAGTCTCTAATCACTTTTGATTTGGTTTTTGTATATGGTGAGAGATGGGGTCTAATTTCATTCTCCTGTATGTGGATACCCAGTTTTCCCAGCACCATTTATTGAAGAGACTGTCCTTTCCCCTATGTATGTCCTTGGCACCTTTGTCAAAAATGAGTTTACTCTCAATGTATGAATTTATTTCTGGGTTCTCTATTCTGTTCCAATGGTCTATGTGTCTGTTTTTATGCCAGTACCATGCTGCTTTGTTTACTATAGCACTGTTGTATAATTTGAAGTCATGTAATGTGATTCCTCCAGTTTTGTTTGTTTTTCTTAGTATAGCTTTGGCTATTCTGGGTATTTTGTAGTTCATATACATTTTAGGATTGTTTTTTCTATTTCTGTGAAAAATATCATTGGTATTTTGATAGGGATTGCATTGAATCTATAGATTGCTTTGAGTAGTATGGACATTTTAACAATATTGATTCTTCCAACCCATGAACATGGAATATCCTTCCATTATTGTGTCCTCTTCCATTACTTTCATCAGTGTTTTATCATTTTCATTGTAGAGATCTTTCATTTCTTTAATTCCTATGTATTTAATTTTACTTGTAGCTCTTGTAAATGGTATTACTTTCTTGATTTCTTTTTCAGATTGTTCACTGTTGACACATGGAAATGTTACTGATTTTTGTATGTTGATTTTGTATCCTGCAAATTTACTGATTTCCTTATCGGTTCTAATAGTGTTTTGGTGGAGTATTTGGGTTTTTTTCCAAATATAAGATCATATCATCTGCATAAAAAGGATAGTTTGACTTCTTCATTTCCAGTTTGGATGCCCTTTATTTCTTTCTTCACTGGGAGACTTTATTACAGCTTCTACCTCATCATTTGTTATTGGTCTGTTCAGATTTTGGATTTCTTCCTGGTTCAATCATGGTAGGTTGTATGTGTCTAGGAATTTGTACATTCCTCTAGATTTTCCAATTTATTTCCATAGTAGTACCAATGATCTTTTGAATTTCTGCAGTATCAGTTGTAATGACTCCTTTTTCAGCTCTGATATTATTTGAGTCTTCTCTCTTTTTTTCTTAGTCATTCTGAATAATGGTTTGTCAATTTTCTTTATGTTTAAAAAAAGTTTTTGTTTCGTTGATCTTCTATATGTTTTCTTCATTTAAATTTCATTTACAATCTTTCTGCTATGATCTTTATTATTTCTTTTCTTCTACTAATTTTTCTAATTTTACTAGTCATGCATTTGAAATTTTACTGATTTTACTAATCATGCATTTGAAATGTTTCATCTTTTTTATGTAGGCATTTATGGCTATAAACTTCCCTCTTACTACTGCTTTTGCTGTATCCCATAGGTTTTCATATGTTGTGTTTCCAGTATCATTTTGTTCCAAGAAATCTTCAATTTCCTTCTTAATTTCTTCATTGACTCATTGGTCATTCAGGCGCATATTGTTTAATTTCCATGGGTCTGTAAAGTTTCCAAAATTCCTCTTATTTATTTCTAGTTTTATTCCACTTTGGTTAGAGAAGATACTTAATATTGTTTCAATTTTTTTAATATTTTAAGATTTGTTTTGTGACCTAACATATGTTCTATCTTTGATAATGATCCATGTGCTGAGGAAAAAAAATGCATATTTTGCAGTTGTTGGATAAAATGTTCTGTAAATGTATATTAGGTCCATTTGTTTCATAGTATAGATTGTCTCGTGTTTCTTTGTTGGTTTTTTGTCTGGAAGATCTGTCCAGTGCTGAAAGTGGGGTGTTGAAGTCTCCAGCTATTGTTGTATTGGAGTCTGTCCCTCTTTTGCTCAAATAATATTTGCTTTATATTTCTGGGTGCTCCAGTGTTGGGTGTGTATATATTTAGTTGGTGTTCTATAACCTTCTTGTAATTGGATGTTGATATCTTTCTCTAGGTTTAGACAAAGTCTTCTTTACTTTTCCCCCTCTTCTCCTCAAGTAGAAGGAAGCGGTCTTTTTAGGAGCTGTGAGCTGTGCTCTCTGGAGTTCGGGGACAGGTGGTACAAGCACTCCCTTAGCCACCCTGGCTGGTGTCCCAGTAGGTCACATGTTCCCCAAGTCCACTGGTTCTGAGTCCAGCTCAGTACTATGACTTGCCTAGGAGTTGCAGTTCTTGTGACCTAGACTACTTTCAAGTTTTTTTTTAGGGCCGCAGACACCTTTAGCCATTAGTGGTGAGGCTTGGTGGAACTCAAGTTCCCACCACTGGGACGGGCAATTCCCCTCTGGCTAGGGCGCATCTAAATGCTCCCTCTGTGATTGGGCGTCAGCTAAGTTCAGTGCAGTTTTGCTTTCTGTTGTGACAGGGCAGCACTGAATTCAATGCAAAGTCTCATGATTGCTGTGCTCTCCCTCTCCCAAGCAAACAGATCGTCTCTCAGTGATAAATGGTTACTGTCAGGGGGTGGGGGACGAGTGGTGACAGTAATCAAGATTATCTCTCCTATCCTCTTCAGTGCCTATTTCAGCAGTATGAAGTTAAAACCAGGTACTGTGATTATTTACCTGAATTTTTATTCTTATGGAGGTGCTTTTTTTCGTACAGGTAGTTGTTAAATTTGGTGTTCCTGAGGAGCAGATGATTGGTGGAGACTTCTATTTGGTCATCTTGCTCCACCTCCTCTCCAAAATATATGTATTTTTTAGTTAGCTGGGTGTGGTGGTGCATGCCTGTAGTTCTAGTTATTCTGGAAGCTGAGGTGGGAGGATCCCTTAAGTCCAGGAGGTCAAAGCTACAGTGAGCTATGATGGCACCGCTGTACTCCAGTCTGAGCAACAAAACAATACCCTGTCTCTAAAAAAACAAAAAAACCTTTCAGATACTTGAAGTACAATTATCCATGTGTCCAAGTTCTTTAATATTTTCTTTGTTAGTGTTATTTCCTAAGCTTTTCAAGCTACAACATCCTGGACTGGTACATGCTTTCTACACCTCTCAAGGCTAATATACTATCTTAATAAAGGTGAGTTCACAGGATAATCTGAGCAGCTGTTGATTGTGAAAGTGGATGTGAGATTTTAAAGTTTGAAAAGTGACATGAAAATACCAAACCTATTTGAAATGTTCAGGTTGAAATGTTCAAATTAAGAGTAATGTTGAGAGACAAGAGAGTAAAAACATGTACAATAATGGTTTAATTCACATGCATGAGTCAATCATATTAGTAGGTGGGTGGTACTAGAAGTGGGTGGAAATAGGATGGTGAAAATGAGGGAGAAAAACCAACTATAAAAAAATGTGCCAATTCAAAGTTCAGAGGAACTGTAAGTGAATCAATTTGTATTCCTGCAAAATAATTTACACAATGATCTGTCACATATCAAGCTTAATATGACATTCTGCCTCTGGTATCCTTATGAGGAAGTGTCAAAGAGCCCAACATTTCAGTTTTTTTCATTGGTAATTTCAAGCTCTGTAGCACTGTGGTTCTATTGTATTTTGTCCTTTTGAATTTTTCCCACATTTCCCCACTTTTGGTGGTTCTTTCTCTTTGTTTTTACTCCCCACAGCTGAACTGCTTCCTCCTGCCCACCCCTCTTTGCAACTGTGGAGCCCCACCCTGGCCACTGTGCTTCTCCAATGGCCTTGACCACCACTGCAGCCACCATCTAAAGAGAATTGAGAGATTCCTCTCACTTCCCCTTTTTCAGGCTCCCAAGTGCTGCAGCAGCAATAGTAGCCTTGTACATATTTTTTGGTAAACATAGTTGCACTTCTGTTGAGTTTATACTTAGAATTGAAACCATTAAGTAATGCAGTATGGATATATACTCTCCTTTGAAAGATATTGCCAAGGAGTTTTCCAAATTATTGTACCAATTTATAATCCTACCAGTGATGAATAACAATTCAAGTTTCTCTTCATCCTTGCTAAACAGTTGGCATTGTCTTTTTTTTTTTATTCTTTCATTTTAGCCATGCTGATGAAAATGTAGTGGTATCTTACTTTGGTTTGCTGTTGTTGTCCATGTCTTTCTTTTAATTATTTTGAAATAATTGTAGACTCATGAAAAAGTTACAAAAATAGTACAAAGCATTCCAAGATACCCTTCACCTAAATTCCCCTCATATTAGAATCTTATTTTTTTAAGACAGTGTCGCACGCTATTGCCCAGGCTGGAGTGCGGTGGCTGGCACTATTACAGCTCAAACTTCTGGGCTCAAGGGATCCTCCTGCCTCAGCCCCTCAAGTAGCTGTGACTACAGCAGTGTGCCACCATGCCAGCTAACGTTAACATCTTAAACACCCATGGTTCAGCTTTAGCAATCATGATATTAATATTGATCCAATACAATTAACTAATTTACAGGCCTTATTTGAATTTTGTCAGTTGTCCCACTAATGTCTTCTTTCTGGTCCAGGATCCAATTGCATTTAATTATCATGTCTCCTTAGTCTCCTCCAATCTGTGACAATTCCTCAGTCTTCATCTTTCATGACTATGGAGGGTTAAATAATGGCCCCAAAGATGTTCATGTTCTAATCCCAGTCTTATATGACAAAAAGGACTTTGCAGATACTATTAAGTTAAGAATCTTAAGATGGGGTGATAACTCTGGATTGTTCAGGTAGCCCCAATGTAATCACAAAGGTCCTTAATAAGGGGGAAGGCAGGCAGGAGAGAAGAGTCAGTAGTAGGAAATACAACAATGGAAGCAAAATGGTGGAGCAGTGTAAGGAAAGGGTCATGAACCAAGGCATGCAGGTGGCCTCTAGAAGGTTAAAAGAAAAGGGAATTGATTCTCCCTTTAGAGACTCCAGAAGGAATGCAGCCCTGCTGATGACTTAACTTTAGACTTCTGACTTCCAGAACTGTAAGAAAATGAATTTGTGTTACTTTAAGCCGCTATGTTTGTGGTAATTTGTTACAGCAGCAATAGGAAACTAATACAATGACCTCTATACTTTTGAAGAGCACTAGTCAGTTATTTTGTAGAATGTCCCTAATTGGAGCTTGTTTGACATTTTCTCATGATTAAATTGAAGTTATGCATTTTTTGGCAAGAATATCACAGAGGTGATATTGTACTCTTCTTAATGCATCATGTCAGGGGGTATGTGGTGCCAATATGCCTTATTACTGCTGATGGCAATCTTGATCACTTGGCTAAGATGGTGTTTACTCGGTTTCTCCACTATAAAGTTGTTATTTTCCCTTTTGCAATTGATGAATTTTGCGGGGTAAATACTTTGAGACTATACTAATATCTTTTTTCTCTTTACACTTTTGCCCACTAATTTTAGCATCCATCAACATTTCTTGCTTGCAATAATTATTACTGTGATGTTTGCCTAATGATAATTATCTATTTCCGTCATCCTTTATACACTTATTAATTGGAATTCTTCTATAGGAAAAAGCTATCCCTGGCTTTTCTAGAATGGAAGGGGAAAAAGAAAGAAAGAAAGAGCTATCCCTCTCCTAACTTTATTTAATTATTTATTTCTATCAGAGTGGACCCGAGTATATTTCTTTTATTCTACCAGTTATAATCCATTATTTACTTTGTTGCTCAAATTGTCCCAGATATGGCCACTGAGAACTCCCTATAGTTGCCTATTCTATAAAGATATTCTCCTAAATTTTTTTCTGAAAGCTATATTGTTTTACTTTTCACATTTGTATCTGCAAACCATCTGGAATTCATTTCTGTATATGATATGAAGAAAAGGTCAACATACATTTTCCTTTGTATGGATACTCAAGTAATTATTTACTGAAAAGCACCAATTATTGAAAAGACTGTCATTTCCCCCACTGAATTGCAATGTTGTCTTTGACATAATGTATGTGTGGATTTGTTTGTAGATCCTCTGCTCCATTGGTCTACTTGTCTATCCTTGTGTCAATACCATATTAACTTAATACTTGTAGCTAGATAAAGCTTGGTTTCTGGTATTACGTCTTGTTTTGTCCTTCAAATTTGCCTCAGTTATTCTTGGCCTTTTACATTTCCATATAAATTTTTGAGTTGGCTTGTCAATTTCCACAAATAAAAAAATTCCTGTTGGAATTTGGGATTGTCTTGAATCTATAGATCAAATCGGTAAGAATTGATGTCTTTACAATATTGAGATTTACAATTTACCTATTTATTTAGGTCTCATTTACTTCCTCTCAAAAAATGTTTTAGAACTTTCTGTTTAGAAGCCTTGTACACTTTTTCTGGTTTTGCTCTTAGATATTGGATGTTTTTCAATGCTATTTTGTTTTTGTTTTCTAGCTCGCTTTTAGGAATAAACCCATTTGAGAATACAGATATTTTTCATATTTTCTTCCCATAATGACAAATAGAAGAAAAACTGACAAAGGGGAGTTTTATAATTTTTAGATGAAGCAGGATGTGAATACAAAGAGAAAGATAACAGCATTCCAGACTGATGATAGTGAAACTGATTATGTAAGTGAAATTTCAGATTGTGAATCTTCTTCAGACGAAGATATCTTAGATGAATTTTTTCAAACTCAAGAATTGACGAGTGAAGAATGTTTATAAAGACAAAAAAGAATGACAAAACAAAAAAGACACAAAAAAGAATAACAGTTACTTAATAGGACTTTTTTTTTTTTAGATGGATTCTCGCTCTTGTCGCCCAGGCTGGAGTGCAAAGGTGCGATCTCAGCTCACTGCAACCTCTGCCTCCTGGGTTCAAGTGATTCTTCTGCCTCAGCCTCCAGAGTAGCTGGGATTACAGGTGCCCACCACCACACCTAGCTAATTTTTTGTATTTTTGGTAGAGACAGGGTTTCACCGTTTTAGCCAGGCTGGTCTCAAACTCTTGACCTCAGGTGATCCACCCACCTCGGCCTCCCAAAATGCTGGGATTATAGGTGTGAGCCACCACACCTGGCCAGAAGTACTTTTTATGCAGTATTTTGGACATGGAACTGAACCAACACTTTTTGCTAAAAGGCCATGTGACCACATTCTATGTTTTTATGATGTTTTTGTGACAAAATTTACTTGATACAAAGGCAAGAGGATCACTTGAGCCCAGGAGTTAAAGACCAGACTGGGCAACAAAGCAAGATCTTATCATTACAAAAAAAATTTTTTTTAATTACCTGGGTATAATGGCATGCACTTGTCATCCTAGCTACTTGTGAGGCTGAGGCAAGAGGATCGCTTGAACCCAAGAGTTTGAGGCTGCAGTGAGCTATGATCACACCACTGGACTCCAGCCTAGGCAACAGAGACCCCATCACCAAAAAAAATTTTTTTTAATTTTTAAAGAAAGAGAGTATACTTTCTCTGTTGAATTTTTGTAGTATCTTTGTCCAAAATAAGTTGAATATATATATATATATATATATATATATATATATATATACACCTAACATTTAGATATGTTGAAATTATATATTATATATATTTATTTGTACATATGCTATTTTGTTCCACAGATCTGCATGTGTATTCTTACATCAATACCACATTGCCTAGATTAGTAGAGTCTAATAGTAAGGCTTAAGGTAGTGGGGAGCTGCGGAGGAAGTGGGGATGGTTAATGAGTACAAAAAAAATTAGAAAGACTGAATAAGACCTACTATTTGATAGCACAACAGGGTGACTATAGTCAATAATAACTTAATTGTACATTTAAAAATAACTGAAAACATGTAATTGAATAGTTTGTGACTCAAAGGATAAATGCTTGATGGCATGGATCCCCCATTCTCCATAATGTGCTTATTTCACATTGCATGCCTGCATCAAAACATCTCATGTACCTCATAAATATATACACCTACTATATACCCATGAATATTAAAAATTTTAAAATAAAAACGTTAGAAATCAGGTAGTATAAATACCACGATTTCACTCTTTCTCAAAATCATTTTTGATATTTTAGGTTCTTTGAATTTTCATACAAATTTTAGAATCTTGTCAATTTCTACAAAAATATGCTAGGATTTTAATTGAGATTGCCTTGAATTTATAGGTCAATTTTCAGAAAACAGACAATGATAGGAGTACAATTAATTTTTATATATAGATCTTGTGGCCTGGAATCTTGATAAACTAACTTATTTTGCAGAGGAAGTAGCTTTTTTTGCAGAGGAAATGAAGGGAGAGACTATATACCGTTCTGTCAAGACATTTGGCTGTGGTAAGGAGTAGGAGAGAGAGTAGTTAGCCGAAGGGTAATGTCAATTTGAAAGTTTTTTATTATTTGGCTGGATGGTTTTCTTTTATTTTTATTTTTGCTCTATTGTATTAATGAGAGAGTTTTAAACAGGTTTAAAAGCTGAAGGACCCAAGAGAGAAGAAATACTTTAATATAGAACAGAGAAAATATGATCAAATCATCAATAATTTAAGGAGGGTATAGAATTTTTGTTCTGTAAAACACACCCTTCCTTACCAACACACATAAACATGGACTTCCCTACCCTTCATCCTTCCAATAGAGTCATGTTGCAATTATTATTTAAACTGATGTTTGTTGTTTACATTATTATGACTATGTCAATATCTATCACTGCTGAGTCAAGTTATACTACGATTATATTTCTTCTCTTCTACGTCTCTTTTCTCCCTAAAGTTAGTTTGTCCCTTTTAAAAAAGTGTTGATTTTTTATTTATCACCAATATTCCTTAAATTCCCCTTCCCCAAATACTTTTTCACATGATCAAAGGAATCTAGAATTCTGTCAGTTTCATATTTTTAATGGAGAATCTGTCCTACAGGCCTCAATTCTTTTGATCCACTCTGGACTGATTGCCCTCTAGGCTTGCTGCACAGCTACCATCTTAGTGCTTCCTTTCATTCCCCTGCTATATAATGGATTTCCTATTTCCTGGGTCCCAAACAGTCCTGCCTCTTGGAGCCTTTCCTCTAGTCACTTCCTAAGAAAGGATATATGGGAGGTAAGTTTTCTTAGATCTTACTTGTTTGAAAATGTATTTATTCTAAGCTAAATCTTGGTTAATAGCTTTGCTAGGTATAAAATTCTTATTTAAAAATAATTTTCTTTTAGAATTTTGAAAACATTTTTTCATTGTTTTCTAACTTCCAGTGTGCCTACTAGAAATTCTGATGCCATTCTGGCTCCCCAATCCTTTATATATAACCTGGATTTTTTTCTGGAAGCTTTTAATATATTTTATTTATCCCTTATGTTCTCAATGTTTGTGATGATTTGCCATAATGTAGCTTCATTTTCATTAATTGAACTGGGCACCTGTTGGACCTTTACAATCTGGATATTTATGTCCTTAATTAATGGGAAATGTATACCATTTCTTTTATAACTTCCTACTACCCATTTTCTCTCTTCTTTCTTCCTAGAACTCCTACTGATTGAATTTTGGTCTTCTCAATTGACTCTCTATTTTTTCTTATCTTTTCTCTCCAATTTTCCATGACTATCTTTTTGCTTTCCTTTCTGGGTAAGAGCCTTATCTTACAACTTTTCCAATGATTATTTAACATCCAATAATACTGTTTTAAATTTCTAATGGCTGTTTCTTGCCTTATATTCCTTTTTTTAAAGGATCCTATTTCAGTTTCTTGAATAAAATAATTTATCTCTTTTTGGGGGAGGGGGAATGAAGAGAAGTGAATTAATGGGTTCGAATATACAGTTTGGTAGAAGAAATAAGACCTAGTGTTAAATAGATCAGTAGGATGACTATATTTTATAATCGATTGT
Organism: Homo sapiens; assembly: GCF_000001405.40. Lineage (NCBI taxonomy): Eukaryota > Metazoa > Chordata > Mammalia > Primates > Hominidae > Homo > Homo sapiens. The sequence goes on from NC_000023.11 coordinate 107,404,366, forward strand.
ACATTTCAAAATAGCTAGAAGACAAGAATTTGCATGGCTGTAGCATTAAAAAAGATATTTAAGGTGATGAATATCCCAAGTATATTGATTTGACCTTTATAAATTATATGAATGTATTAAATTATCGCATGTCTCCCCCCGCCAAAAAATACCACAGGCTAGATGGCTTAAACAACAGAAATTTATTTTTCACAGTTCTGGAGGCTGGAAAGTCTAAGACCAAGGCTCTGTCCAATTCAGTTTCTGCTAAGGGCTCTTTTCCTGGCTTGCAGATGGCCACCTTATTGCTGTGTGCTCACACAGTAGGAGGAGAGAGAGAAAGAGAGAGAGAGAGAGAGAGAGAAAGAGTGTGTGTGTGTGTGTGTGTGTGTGTGTGTGTGTGTGTGTATTTGTGTGTGTGTGTGAGCTCTCTGGTGTCTCTTCTTATAAGGGCACTTATCCTATTGGATCAAGGCTCTACCCTTATAATCCCATTTTACCTTAGTTACTTTCTCACAGGCCCTATGTCAAACTACAATCACATTGTGGGTTAGGGCTTCAATATATGCATTTAGGGTATACTCAGTTCAATCCATAGAAGGGGCATTATCTCACAGCTGCCTAACATATACAGGATCAAGAGAGGTTTTATTAAAAATAATTATAGGCAGTGTGCAATGACTCATGTCTGCAATCCCAGTGCTTTAGGAGGCTGAGGCAAGAGGATTGCTTCAGGCCAGGAGTTTAAGATCAGCCTGGGCAACATAGCGAGACCCCATCTCTACAAAAATTTTTTAAATATAGAATTAAAATTTAATTATTATATATAATTAAAAATGTGTCTTTGGAGTTATAAATGAACCCAAGATCCAAAGAAACCCTACAAAGTTGTGAGAGAGATGTACTGACAAAAGCACCACTTCCTTTAACTAAAAGAAGCTGAGACTTTCCAAAATGGAAAGAGGCTTCTGGACCATCAAGTTTCTATGGACAAGAAGCAGACTAAGAAAGCTACTAAGGTACAAATATGGATCATTTCTTTTGGAAAAGAAAAGATATCTCAGAGTGCAGAGCCAAGAATTACGGAGAACATTGAACTGGGGAATGGGAACCACTCCCAAAAAACAGAAGTAGGTCCTAATTACACTCCTTGTCCCAAGAAAAGGAAGTCCTGACAACATGTCCCAGTCTAGATTTCAGAATGCCTTCTACTTGCTTCCTGTTCCTCTTATTTTTGAAAGGAAATGTCTACTGAAGCTACCCTGTTCCTCTCACCACTGCATATTGAGGTGTGATGAGGACATGTAAATTTTCATTTCAGTGCACAGGTCTTTAGATTAAGAGGAGTCACATAGGAGGTTCAGTACCTGAGGTGTCTCATTCACATCTGGACTCAATTAGGTAAGAACCTGGACTCCACATCTGAAACCATAATAAAATGAGAATTTTGCTGGGGAGGAGGTGAGTACATTTTGCATCTGGAATGAATGTAAATGATTGTAGCAAGAAAGAAGACTGTTCTGTTTGCAAGAATGTAGATTGTTTGCAAACAGTGGATTGCAGCAGAAGCAATGTGACTTCAAGAAGCCTTTCAGTTTTCACTCTTGCCATCTAGGAACCTTGGAACCTCCATGAATAGAAGCCCAAGCTAGCCCCCTTGAGGACAGGAAACTAAATAGATTGAAAAAAAAAAAAAAGGCCCAGCTGACAGGTACTACCAACTGACGGAATGTGAATGGGACCATCTAGGACCATCCAGCCCCAAGAACATCATTAGATTACTGCAGTCACAATGAGCAACCCTCAGCAAGATCAGCAGAACTTCCCAGCTGAACCTAGAGCAAATTCCTCACCCACAGAATCATGAGCAAATAAGAGTGGTTGTTGTTTTAAGGCAATAAACAAGAAGAAAAAATGTTTTATCTCTCTAAGGAAATTAATTATTGAGTTTTTAAAGTTTTCTGTTCTATGCATTGTCCCTGTTTTCTTAGAGTTTTTTGTTCTCTTTGTGTGTGTGTGTGTGTATGTGTGTGTGTGTGTGCTTGTGTATGTATTTGTGTGCTTTCTCTCTTTCACATTAGAGTCTTTTCCCAAATGCCTGAAGATCCTCTACTACCTATTTGTATTTTTAAATGGAAGTATTTTTAAGTCTTACTAACTGGTAGGCTTCACTATAGATGATTGGGCAGGAACCCAGAAATTCCATTGGAAGGACAATTATCAACACAAGAGATCCTTGTTTTGCATGATCCCAATTTGCACAAATTTTAGTTAACACCAGTCCCCCAACAGCACAGTTCAAATTTCAGTTATCACAGAATATTAACTGCAAGGAATACCATAAAGTACAAACTTTGCGGCTAGATCTTCAGCCCATGAATAATTATGTAAATAAGTGTATATAACTATGTAATAACTATGTAAATAAATAAACATGTGCATCAATACCAAAGTCTATAGGTGATTGGTCACTGTGCATCTGTTATCCAGTTCATGCACACACCACAAAGCATGGACTGTTCTTGTGTTGTCTCCTTGTCCCCCAGTGATAAACCCACATGATATTTTACAAAAATGAATAATCAAAAAGGGAATTCGCTAACAAAGATGAAAGTACAGCAAAGAAACGAAAAGTGAAAATGCTGGAAGTGAAATTGAATGTAATTTGAAAACGTGACAGCAAAGCAAAGATAGGACAAAGTCTGCATAAACCTATGATGCAAACAATATTGAAAACTTCAATGAATATTTTTAAAAGGTAAAGTCACATTGACATCTTTTAATCTAAATTGCACTAGGAACAGAAAGCTGCTTATGGTTAAAACAATACTTTGGACTGGAGACTGTAATTTAAAAATCCCAGTCAGTTTGGCTAGTGTTCAGGCCAAAGCATTGAAGTTATTTCCAGTAAAGGCTGCTTTAATCATTTCAAAAGTTTGCACGAATTGATTAGTGCTAACCTATCTAGAGAAGTTACTAGCACATATACCACTGTAAAAGTTGCACCCAGATTCCAAAGATTAATTAAGGCTGGTGGTTGTGATAATCATCAACCATTTGATGTTGACACGACAGGTCTTTTTTGAAAGGCAACCCCATCAATAACTTATACGACAAAAGATGAAGGGCCACCAAGTGACCATAAAGGAAAGATTCCAGATATGCATCCAGAGAAACTTAGTGAAGATGAACTTATTGACATAAAGGAGGAAGGTGGTTGTGACAAAAAGGATGTAGATGTCCCAGAGGAAGAGGTACTGGGGAAAAGACCTTCACATTAAAGGAACTCTCAGAGATATTTTGCAAGATTGAAAGTACAAAGGATAAAATGTTGGAAGCTGATCCAAACTTAGAAAGGAGTATGACAATTTCCATGCCAAGGCATGGAAAAGATGCTTGATTCATATTGTAAATTATACTACAAGAAGAAGAGAAACACTGTTCAAACTGCTTCTTTTCAATTTTTCGTTTTGTTTTGTTTTTTGAGACAGAGTCTCACTCTGTTGCCCAGGCTGGAGTGCAGTGGCATGATCACGGTTCACTGTAGCCTTGACCTCCTGGTCTCATATGATTCTCCCACCTCAGCCTCCCTATTAGCTGGGACTACAGGTGTATGCCACCACACCTGGCTAATTAAAAAAAAAAATTCGTAGAGACAAGGTTGTACTATGTTGCCCAGAGTGGTCTTGAACTCCTCAAGAGATCCTCCTGCCTCAGCCTCCCAAAGTGCTGGGATTACACATATAAGCCACCATGCCCAGTCTTAAATGTTTTCATTTCTATATATTTAGAGGGTACAAGTGCAGATTTCTTACATGCATATATTGCATAATGGTGAAGTCTGAGATTTTAATGTGCCCATTACCCAAATAGTGAACATTGTACCCAACAGGTAAATTTTCAGCCCTCATCCTCTCTACCCTCTCACCTTTTGTAGTCTCCAATGCCTATTATTCTACCTTGTATGTTCATATGTACCCATCGTTTAACACCCACTTATAAGTGACTACATGCAGTATTTGACTTTATGTTTCTGAGTTATTTCAGCCAGGATAATGGCCTCCAGTTCCATTTATGTTGCTGCAAAACACATGATTTCATCCTTTTTTTATGGTTGAGTAGTATTCCATGGTGTATATATACTACATTTTCTTTATCCAATCCTTCCTTGATGGGCACTTGATTCCATATCTTTTCTATTGTGAACAGTCCTGTGATAAACATATGAGTGCAGGTATAATGATTGCTTTCCCTCTGGGTGTACACTAGGTAGTGGGGTTGCTGGATCGAATGATAGTTTTATTTTTAGTTCTTTTTTTTTTTTTTTTTTTTGAGACAGGGTCTTGCTCTGTCGCCAGGCTGGAGTGCAGTGGCATGATCTCGGCTCACTACAACCTCTGCCTCCCGGGTTCAAGCGATTCTCCTGCCTCAGCCTCCCGAGTATCTAGGATTACAGGTGCCCGCCACCACGCCTGGCTAATTTGTTTGTATTTTTAGTAGAGACGGTGTTTCACCATGTTGGCCAGGATGGTCTTGATCTCTTGACCTCGTGATCCGCCCACGTTGGCCTCCCAAAGTGCCGCGATTACAGGCGTGAGCCATTGTGCCCGGCCTATTTTTAGTTCTTTAGGAAATCTCCAAACTGCTTTCCACAGTGGCTGAACTAATTTACATTCCCACCAACTGTGTATAAGTGTTCTCTTTTCTCCACAGCCTCACCAATTTATGTTGTTTTTAGACTTTTTAATAATAGCTATTCTGACTGGTGTAAGATGGTATCTGGTGGTTTTAATTTGCATTTCTCTGATGATTAATGATGTTGAACATTTTTCATATGTTTGTTGTTTGCTTGTATGTCTTCTTTTGAAAAATGTCTGTTCATGTCCTCTACCCACTTTATAATGGGCTTATTTGTTTTTTTTTCTTATTGAGCTATTTGAGTTTCTTGTAGATTTTGGGTATTAGCCCTTGTCAGATACATAGTTTGGAAATATTTTTTCTCATTCTGTAGTTTGTCTGTTTACTATGTTTTTTTTTCTGTGCAGAAACTTTTTAGTTTAATTAAATCCTATTTTTCTATTTTTGTTTTGTTGGGTTTACTTTTGAGGACTTGACTTCGTCATAAATTCATTGCCTAAGTCAATGTCCAAAAGAGTTTTTTCTAGGTTTTCTTCTAGGATTTTTATAGTTTCAGGTCTTATGTTTAGCTCTTTAATCCATCTTGAGTTAATTTTGTATGTGGTGAGATATATGGATCCAATTTCATTCTTCTGCCTATGTCTACCCAATTTTCCCAGCACCATTTATTGAATAGGCTGTCCTGTCTCCAGTGTATGTTTTTGTTGACTTTGTCAAACATCAGTTGATTGTAGCTATATGGCTTTGTTTCTCTATTCCTATTCCATTGACCTATATGTCTATTTTTATACCAATACCATGCTGTTTTAGTTATTATAGCCTTATAGTATATTTTGAAGTGAGGTAATGTGATGCCTCCAACTTTGTTCTTTTTGCTTAGGATGGCTTTGGCCATTTGGCCTTTTTTGCTTCCATATACATTTTAGGATTGTTTTGTCTAATTCTGTGAAAAATAACCTTGGTAATTTGATAGAGATTGCATTAAATATGTAAATTGCTTTGGGCAGTATGGTTATTTTAACAACATTAATTCTTCCAATCTATGAACACAGGCTATTTCTCTATTTATTTGCATTTTCTTCAATTTCTTTCATCAATGTTTTGTAGTTCTTATAGAAATTTTTCACTTCTGTATTAGCATTCTCCAGAGGGAAGAACCAATTGTGTGTGTGTGTGTGTGTGTGTGTGTGAGAGAGAGAGAGAGAGAGAGAGAGAGATTATTAGGAAGAATTGGCTCTCACAATTATATGGCAAAGTCCTACAGTAGGCCTTCTGCAAGCTGGGGAAAGAGAGAAGCTGGTAGTGGCTCAGTACAATTCTAAAAGCTTCAAAACCAGAGAAGCTGACAGTGCAGCCTTCAGTCCGTGGCTGAAGGCCCAAGAACCCCTAGAAGCTGCTGGTGCAAGTCTCAGACTCCAGAGGCCAAAGAGCCTGGAGTCCAATCCAAGAGCATGAGGAGAGGAAGCAAGTGTCTGGCATGGGAAGAGAGACAGCCAGAAGATGCAGCAAGCAAGCTTATTCCCTCTTCCTCCACCTGCTTTGTTCTAGCTGGCTGGCAGCCAGTTGGATGGTGCCCACCCACAACGTGGGTGGATTTTCCTCTCCCAGTCCACCAATTCAAATGTCAGTCTCCTCTGGCAACACCTCACAAACACACCCAGAAAGAATACTTTACCAGCCATTTAGGCATTCCTCAATCCAGTCAAATTGACACCTACTATTAACCATCACAACTTCCTTGGTTAAATATATTCCTAGGTATTTTATTTTTTTTGTAGCTATTGCGACTGAGATTGCCTTCTTGATTTGGCCCTCCACTAAATCTTTATTGGTGCATAGAAATACTACTGATTTCTGTACATTAATTTTGTATCCTAAAACTTTACTGAATTTATTTATCAAATCTAAGAGTTTTTTGGTGGAATCTTTAGGGTTTTCTAGATGTGAATATAATAACTTATCATCAGTAAACAGGAATAATTTGACTATATCTTTTCCAATTTGGATGCCTTTTTATTTTTTTCTCTTGCCTGGTAGCTCTGATGAGGACTTCCTGTAGTATGTTGAATAAGAGTGGTGAAAGTGGGCATCCTTGTCTTGTCCCAATTTTTAGAGGGAATGCTTCAACTCTTTCCCTTAAGTATGATGTCAGCTGTGGGTTTGTCATATATTGCCTTTATTATGTTGAGGTATGTTCCTTCTATGCCTAGTTTGTTGAGGATTTTTATCATGAAGCATTGCTGAATTTTATCGAATGCCTTTGCTGCATTTACTGAGATGATCCTATGGTTTTTGTCCTTAATTCTGTTTATGCAATGGATCACATTTATTGATTTGCATGTGTTGAACTATCCTTGCATCCCTGGGATAAATCCAACTTAATCATGTTGTATTTTCTTTTTGAGGTGCTGTTGGATTTGATTTGATACTATTTTGTTGAGATTTTTTGTATCTATGTTCATCAGGGATATTGTTCTCTAGCTTTCTTTTTTTGTTGTGTCCTTCTCTGGTTTTGGTATCAGGGTGATACTGACCTTATAGAATTAGTTAGGGAGAATTCCTTCCTCCTTGATATTTTGGAATAGTTTCAAGAGGATTGGTATTAGTTCTTCTTGGTATATTTGATAGAATTTGGCTGTGAATCCTTCTGGTCCTGGGTGATTTTCTTGGGAGATTTTTTTTATTACTGATTCAATCTCGCTGCTCATTATTGGTTTGGTCAGGAGTTCTAGTTCCTCTTGTTTCAATCTTGGGAGGTTGTGTGTTTCTAGGAATTTATCCATTTCCTCTGGGTTTTCCAGTTCGTGAGTATATAATTGTTCATAATAGTCTCTGATGATCATTTTTATTTCTGTGGTATCAGTTGTAATGTCTCTTTTTTCATTTCAGATTGTGCTCATTTGGATCTCTTCTCTTCTTGGTTAGTCTAGCTACTGGTTTATCAATTTTATTTTTTTTTTTCAAAGAACCAACTTTTTGTCTCATTGATCCTTTGTATTTTTTGTTTGTTTGTTTTCTGTTTCATTTAATTGTGCTCTGATTTTTTGTTACTTCTTTTTTTCTGCTAACTTGGGATTTGGTTTGTTCTTGTTTTCTAGTTCCTTGAGGTATGACATTAGGTTGTTAATTTGTGATCTTTCTGCTTTTGATGTAAGCAATGTATTTTGTTTTTGCTTCGAGTTTTTCAGTTCCAGAATTTCTGTATTTTTTAATGGTATCTATCTCCTTGTTTAATATTTCATTCATATCTTGAATTAATTTTCTGATTTCTTGGTATTGGTTTTCAGATTTCTCTTGCATCTCATTGAGCCTCTTTAAAAATCAATATTTTGAATTTTTCTTTATCTGACATTTTGAGGAATTCTTTGATTGGTATCTGTTGCTGGACAATTGTGGTCTTTCGGTGCTGTCATATTTCCCTGCTTTTTCACATTTCTTGTGTCCTTTCCATTGATATCTGCACATGTGGTGTAGCAGTCATTTGTTCCAACTTTTTAAAATTGCTTTTATGAGGGAGAATTTTTTGCTAAAAATGATATATATTGTTGGTTAAATAGGATACTTTGGCTTTTATTTTAGGTATCTGCAATAGTGTGACCTTTGTATGACTCTTTTGGTAGTACACAGGCAGTACAAGTCAGTGGTATCTGTGATTTCCATGGTGGCTAGAGTACAATTATTAGCTGAGGTGATGGTGAAGTTTTTCTGAGGACTTGGATGTCAACTGAGCCAGTCTTCAGGCCCCAGTGGTGGCAGCAGTGTGGCTGATGTCCCTGGTTTTAGGCCCCAGAGCAGCTTACACTGGATCCAGTGTTAGTGGGTGTTGGAGAGCTACTTCCTGGGCCTCCAGGTGGCTTCCTTAAAAGCTAGTAGTTGGGAGAGTCGTGGGCCTGGTGCGTGGCCAGATTCTCAGACCCCTGGGAAGCTAGGGTCATGTGGGTGATGGCAGTAGCAGTGATGGAGCAACCCAGTGGAACCCAGTTGGTATTCCTGGTTGCTGTGATAGGTTGGGCAAGCTAGTCCCCAGTCCCACAGCCATGCATAGTAGGGTGGTGGATATTGTGCTATGTGTGCTTAGGAGAGCTTGGTCTTCTGTGTCCCTACCCTAGCTATGTGGCAGCTGCAGCCAAATAACTTTGAACTCAGCCTGAGAGTAGGCCACAGCCCAACTTTAAACTCTCAAAATGGTGCCACCTGTGGGCTTGTGACCAGAGAGAGAGTGGGAGGACTTTTAGGCAAGCAGCATTGCAAGAAGCCGTGGGAAGTGTGGTCTGCTTGAATCTCAGTTTCACAGCAGCCCATTGCAAGGCAGTGGATATTGTCCTAGGTATGCGTAGGAGAGCCTGGTGTCCTTGTCCCCCTCAGCCAGGCTGCAATCCACATCAACTTGAACTCAGCCCGAGGGTGGGAAGCAGCCCAAGTGTTAAATTCTCAAAATGGCACCTAGGGCTTGCTACTAGAGAGGGCAAACTAATTCTTAAGTTAAAAAATAAGTTTAATTCTCAATGTTGTTTTAAATTACAGTGCACTAATATCACTTTTACTATTCCATCTATTCCCTATACATTTATACCTGACAGTAAGAGTTGTTCATGCTTTGACAAACAATTTTAAAGGTTATGGAACAATTGTAATTTTCCTCATTGATTATTAAGGTTCCAGCTTGCAATGGTCACTTTTATGGTCTTGCACTACTGTGAAAGCAACAACTACCAGCATCTACAGATCTTCTGTCTGGGCTGTTCAGTTTCTCTGGGGAACAATCCTTCAATCCCTTGCCTGGTGACTATATATCTAGGTGCTAACATTTGGATTTGAGTAGCACAAGAGTTACAGGGGATCTCACCATTGAATATGTAGACTTTTACTTAATCCCACTGTTTTCTAATGGTACCTTGCTGTGTGCCCAATATCCCCAAAACCAAAGCCTCTCGGATTCAGTTTCTCCATGGAATAAATCTCCTGTCTTGTACTAGGATAGAAGAAGAGACTCAGGGGTGTAACTCTTTTTTTTTTTTTTTTGTCTTGCTCTGTCACCAAGCTGGAGTGCAGTCGCATGATCTCTGCTCACTGCAACCTCTGCCTCCTGGGTTCAAGTGATTCTCCTGCCTCAGCCTCCCAAGTAGCTGGGACTACAGGCACGCACCACCATGCCCTGCTAATTTTTGTATTTTCAGTACAGACAGGGTTTCACCATGTTGGCCAGATGGTCTCGATCTATTGACCTTGTGATCTGCCAGCCTCAGCCTCCGAAAGTACTGAGATTACAGGCGTGAGCCACCACACCCAGCCAACTCTTTCTTATACATGCCTTTAGCCAGACTCTTTTCAACTCCACTCTTTTCCCAACCCAACTTTACTCCAATTCTCTGTCTGGGATTCTGCAGGTAAATTGGTTTGCTTCTCATTGGCATTATTCCTTGCATGGACTTAGTGTTCTGCCTTTTCAGCTCTGCTAACTCCTCTATCTGCTTTCCATTTTCCAAATTTTTTCTTATCTCTTATCCTCTGTGTTTTCTTTTTATGCTCTCTTTATTCTCATGTATTTATACTTTTTAAAAAAGTCTTTAACCCCATTTTAGTGGAGTTTAATGAAAGAATAGGTGTTCAATGTGCTATGTTAAAATTTTGTGCTCTATTATAAAAAATGTATAGTGATCCCATCTGTCCTATTGTGTAATTTCTTTGTCAGTGCTTAGGTGGTTGAGTAAAGGCATCAAGGAAGTAGACAATAGAGTTCATCCAGAATTAGGGTTTTACCAGACAGATGCAGCAAAAATTCAGAGGGACAAGAGAGCTTGAGACAGTGGCAAGATGATAAAATGATGAATCATGTAATATAAATTGAATAAGAATGGAAGAAAAAAAAGAAGAGAGTCGATGGACTGAGAGAAAATTAAGGGGTTAGTATATTGGAGTTTCTAATTAGGTTTTAAAAAGGTCATAGTGGGAATAGTCAAATAACTAATCAAGAATGAGAGGAACTCAAACAGTGGGATGTTTGAGTTATTGATTGTGGAGATTGAACAGTCATGGGTGGCTGAGGTGATATAGAGAATAAAGTTATTAGAATGAGGTACCAAAGAACTGAGAAGCCAGATGAATGAGTTGTCCACATGGATGTTGAAGTCATACAGGAAAATAAGCAAAGTTAATCCTACTTGAAGGCAGTGGTCCTTTTGAAGAATAACAATAACAACCAGAAGAAGCCGAAGAAGGAGGAAGAGGAGGTGGAGGATGAGGAGGGGAAGGAGGAGGAGAAATCTAGAGTACCTTTCATCACATTTCCATTCTAGACAGTAGGACAAAAGAAGTTTCAAAGAGGCAAAGGACATGGGCAGCTTTTTTTTTTTTCTTTTCGTAGTCTTGCTCTGTCACCCAGGCTGGAGTGCAGTGGCACAATCTTGGCTCACTGCAACCTCTGCCTCTCGAGTTCAAGCAATTGTCGTGTCTAAGCCTCCCAAGAAGCTGTGATTGCAGGCATGTGCCACCACGCACAGCTAATCTTTGTAGCTTTTGTAGAGACAGGGTTTTGCCATGTTGGCCAGGCTGGTCAATTCCCAGCCTCAAATGATCTGCCTGCCTTGGCCTTCCAAAGTGCTGGGATTACAGGTATGAGCCACCGTGCTCAGCCAACTTTCTCAAAAAATATTCATAGAAGCTGACACATATCACTTAAGCTTACATCCCACTGGTCTGAACTTTACATACCAATGGCTTATACACCCATGGCCACTTTTATCTAGAAAGGAAGCTGGGAAATAGAACATTTTTTCTCTGGGACACCAAAGCCATGCACCTAGCTAAAGTTTATATTACAATGGAAGAATAAGAGAATAGATATGGGGGAGGGGGTAACCAGCAGGCTCTGTCACAGCCCTGGAAATCAGGTAAGAGGGGAGAATTAGTAAAAGGTTTATTGGCCGCAGAGAAATATTCTCACCATTTAAATGATGCTCAAAAATAATCTTAAATTATTTATGCTTCAATGTTGCCTCACTTCTTTAAAAAATAACTGAGTGTGCCAGGCACAGTGGCATATGCCTATAGTTTCAGCTACTTGGGAGGCTGAGGCAGGAGGGTCGCTTGAGTTCAGGAGTTTGAATTCAGCCTTGGTGACAGAGCAAAATTCTGTCTCTAAAAAGTAATAATAATAATAACTGAATAAGTCTTTGGTATCCCTTAACAGAGAAGCCAACAGGAATTCAGATATGCCAAATTAAATAATTAGCCCTTTAAAGTTACCAAGAGGCATGTGAACTTTCACTCTCTTAAATAATAATAAGGGCTACTGTGGTGGGCTAAAAAACACTACCACCACCTCCCAAAAATATTCACATCCTAATCCCTAGAACATGTGAATGCAAACTTATATGGCAAAAGAGGGGGATGAGGGTCTTCGCACCTGTGATTAAATTAAGGATCTTGAGATGGGGAGGTGTTTTGTCTGCCTCCACTTCATCCCATTATTGAGAGAGGGAGTACTGCCCTAGGTTTCTGGTAATGGCCAAATACACGACACTTGACACTGAACAAATGAGATTGACAGCAGTTATTAGTTACATACAGTCACAGCCCAAAGGAGAGGGACACTACATGACATGCAGGGCCACACAGGGGTTGCATTTGGGAACGGAGTAAACCAGAAGAGACTGGGAGGCAGGCTTTGTAGTAACAGAAGGGTGGGGTATCCCCTGGTTTCTCTGGGAGGATGTGATTGCCTTGTCTGAATAATTGCATAGGCTCCCAAAGAGGAGAAACCCATTAGGTTGAGGACTAGGTGGTATGTAGCTGGTACAGCTGATAGAGAGACTATCTGGGTAGGAAACCATTCCTGCTGGATAGGGGACACACGAGGCAAGATTGGAGGAAATCATGGTTGGGCTTTGAGGCCCTGTGAGGCTCAAAGATGTCAAGGCAGCACATGAAAGTTTAGTTCTTACACTATAGGAGATTATCCTGAATTATCTCAGTAAACCCTAAATGCAAGCCCCTGTATCCTTATAAGAGGGATGCAGAGGGAAACTAGACACACAGAAGAGGAGAGGACAATGTGATCAAAGAGGCAGAGATTGGAGTGCTGCAGCCACAAACCGCAAAATGTCAGCACCCACCAGAAGCTGGAGGAGACAGGAAATAGATTTTCCCCTAGAGCCCCTAGAGGGATCGAGGCCCTGCTTACACCTTGATTTCAGTCCAGTGAAACTGGTTCCAGCTTCGATAACTGTGAGAGAATACATTTCTGTTGTTTTCAGCCACCAAGTTTGTGGGAATTTATTACAGAGGCCATAGGAAACTAATTCAGCTACCAACCACTGAGCGTTTACCATGTGCCAGATACTATGCTAAGTCCTTTACATGCATTATCTCATTTAATCCTCACAACAGCCCAAAGAGGTAGATACTGTTGTTAACTTCATTTTGCAGATAGAGAAACAGGTTTAGGGATGATAAATAACTTGTCCAATGTCATGCATATCTCAATGGTTACATTGAGAGAGCTACCCCAAATTCACATGGCCCTGGAGCTCATGCTCTTAATCACTACCCAGTGTTACAATTAGAACATCTAATTTCATGGCCTTGAGAAAGGCTACCTGAGAAAATGGGAAAAAGCATAAAGAAGTTTGGGCAGTAAAGGAGAAAGCCAAGGCATAGAAAATACCATGAAATGAACAAGAATCTCTCCAGGTGCATAGGCTAACAAAGCAGCTATTCATTTATCCATTCATCCATTCTACACATACTTAATGAGTGTCTAATATGCGCTTGGCACTCTGCTAGATGTTGGGTGAATAGAGATAATAAATGACTGAACTTCTCCTTTTGGAATCTCTTTTATTTTCTCTGCCCCAGAGTGAACCAAAAACAGCTTTCTTGGGCAACACCGGCCAGAGACACTATTCCACCTCCCTGCTGAGGTCCAGCTTGAACTTTATTCATTTCAAAACCAAACCATTCAGCCAGACCCTCAAACCACTGAAGACGCTCAGTCAGTCAAAATGGGTCAGAATCAAGTGCAAACCTCTCTGAAGTGCTTATCACTCTCCAGCATCTCCTAAATCTTGAAATGATCCTAGGCCTTTCTTAAGCCTCCCTTCCACCTGCTGGTCAGATAGACCCTGTGTTGTAGGACTCTTCCAGCCTTGGAAAGTGGTTTCCAGAAAAGTTTGCTTGAAGTCTCTCTAATACCCAAGAAAGACATGGAAGCCCCTTGAGGTAAGTGCTGTTCTTCACTGATTGCCCTGCAACACTGCTTTCTGAACATCTACACTTCACCCCTTGCTGCCTTTATCCACAATTCATTAGTTTCCACTGATGAAAACAATCAGGTTGGAATAGATGAATACAGCCATGTGTATGCATTAGCTTGGTCCACTTCCCAGTATGTAGACTATCATATGATAAAGCTTCCATGAATACATTGCATTGCAAAAACAGGAACTGCATACAAATTGACCTTTTATCATCTTAAAAGGTCTTCCCTGAGGACTTTCTAAGCATAAATTCAGTGGAGGAAGTCACAAAGGAAAAATATACATACATGTAACAAAGTTGAAATCAAAAATTTATGTGTATTAAAAAAACAGACATTGCTGGCAGGTAAATAAATTGGTACAACTTTCATGGAGGGAAATCTGGTATATGTATTAAAAGCCTTTCAAATGTGCTTACCATGTCACCCAGTAATCCCACTGCTAAGAATTTATCCAAAGGAAATAAACCATATGGGCACAAAGATTTTGCTATGAGGATATTAATCTAAACTTTAATTATAATAGTGGAAGGTTGGAAGCAACCCAAATGCCCTATAATAGAGGGCTGATACATTGATATGATGGAATACAATGCAGACATTAAAAATCATGTTTTAAAATAATATTTAGTGTCATAGGAAATGTTCAGGATTTAATTAGGTAAAGAAATCGGGATGCAAAATGTATAGTATTTAAAAATATAATAAGTATATGTATTCATTATTTCAAAAAAATATGTATCGAAGATCTACTGAGTATAGTGATAGATTTTGGGGATATTGCAGTGGGCCAAACAGTCTTTGCCCTAATGAAGGAAAAAAGACTAAAAGGAAATAGACCAAAATCCATATCATTAAAGATACCTATGTTCGAGTGGATTAAGGGTGATTTTAATATTTCACTTGATACCTCTCTATATTTTCCATGATTATATACTGCTTTCACAATTAAGGAAAAGTTATTTAAAAAATATCTTCCAAGCCAGGCGTAGTGGTACATTCCTGTAATTCCAGCTACTCAGGAGGCTGGAGGAGGAGAATCACTTGAGCCCAGGAGTTCAAGACCAGCCTGGGCAACATAGTCAGATCCTTTCTCAAAAAAAAAAAAAAAAAAACCTTCCTTCAAATTGAGGCTAGCTACTACGCCTTGTGAAGCCTAATACATAAAAGCATCTTATATTTAATGAACTCTGGAGGATTTGGACCACTTCCATGACCTTCAATTGATTTGATCCTCCATACAATCCTGTGGAGATAGGGAGGGCAGGGATCATCATGCCCATTGTACGGAAAGAGGTTGAGGCAGAAAAAGCAAGTGATTGCCCTGGAAAATAGAGTGGGTTTGGGATAGAATCATAACCCTAAAATCAAATTTCAGGGCTCTCTTAACTCTACCGTATTTCCCCGAAGGTGTTGGGAAGGCAAAGGACCTCCCAAGGCTTTGATCCAAATTCCTTTCCAGACATTTGCCCCTGTTATCTTTCCCTCTTTTTTCAAGTGACTGGATACTATGGAATTCCCAAATCAGCAAGAGAAATAGATGAATCATTTTACTTTCTAGCTTTCCAAAGATTTAGAATTGTAGAATCACATAAGGAAGAGATCTTGGAAAGCATTCCAGCCTTCTATCCAAGTTGAGAAGATTGCCTCGAGGGTACCCCTGCTCCTGATCTCTCTCTCTCTCTCTTCTTTCTCTCTCTCTCTCTTCTTTCTCTCTCTCTTTCTGTCTCTCTCTTTCTGCCAGGTACAGGTACCCTTTCTTTTCCTCTCTTCCCCTTTTGAGAAGTCTGCTAGATGGCCATTTGATTGACTAAACAAATTAGACTTAATGTCTTCTGGCTGGTAATGAACTCATGCCTGAACAGCAAATAGCCATGGCATTTGCATTTTAACTCAGAACTCTGAAGACACCAAACCCAAAAGAGCTATGTAATTTCAGGCAGCATAATAGGCTAGTTAGGGAGGTATCCCTGGGCAGGATCACGTTTTGGCAGCTCTGCTAAAGATTTTACAAAACCTAGGCAGGCTACCTATTCCTACCGCATATATGATCAGCCTCATCCTCAGGGAGCTGGCTCCATTGGAGGAGAAGACTGAGGATACAGTTCACAGCAGCAGGTCCTTCTGGCCTCTGCCTAAGGGGTTAGTGGGTGCAGCCAAGCGCAGTGCCCACAATCACTCAGGAGGAAGTGAGGGAGCTTGCTGAACAAGGAAGGGAATGAGTTGCTAGTGGGAAGATTATCAATCCTTCTGAGAGAAAAACAAATCCAATCTTATTCGTTTGTCTCCTGGTTCCAGCCTCCACCCTGCTTAGCCTCCTTGGGTCAATGACAAATTTGAGCCTTTGTATTAATAGTCAGCCTTCTTGCCTTAGTTCTGGCCTCTACTTGAGCCTGCTGCTGCTGCTGCTGCCGCTGCTACTTAGGACCACTCTCCATCCATTAACACATCTGGCTCCCCAGTTTGCTGCAAGCAAAAATTGAGATTTTGTTGCTCAGGTTCTGCTTCACTGCTTCCGTTCAGGGCTTACCCTCCCTGGGGCATGCAGCTCTTCCCTCTACCCACCCACCACCCTCCCCCATGGCTTTTGCTCAAATTTAAAGCTGTTTTTGGAAGCATCATTTCTGGAGCCAAAGGAAGTAAAATTCAGACTTACACCAAGCCTGACTTGATGTTGGCTGCAGTGGTCACCTGCCTGGCATAGTTTTTAACAGCATTAGGAAAAGATTCCCTGTCCAGGGAATAGTAATAACTAATATTTATAAATAAATATGTGCCGGGCACTGTGCTAAGCAATTTACATGCATAAATCATTTAATCTAAAAAAAAAACTATGTAATAGGCACCACTATTATCCCCATTGTACATTTTTCCAGTTCAAGATGGTAGACTGAGCACAAACATTTAAGTCTTGTCCCTCCAGAGGCCTCATTAAAATAATAGCACAGACATTTTAAAATGCATAAACCCACCACAACAAAGAGAACAGGAGGGAGGCCATCAGTGGCTGAGAAATTTAAATAAATTTCTGAAGTCAGAAAGCATCTGAGCAGTGCTAACTGATGAAGTCGAGTGGAGCAAACAATCAGTTGAAACTCTGTGTGGAAGGGCTGCAGCTAAGGAGACAGCTCGCCTACCTTGCAAACCTTAGCAAGACTACAGGTACGACAGAAATAAGAGTGAGGACTGGGGCTGACACCAGGGAGATTAACCGAAGGTCTGTATAAAGAAGAATTGACCCCCAGTTCCTACATGGAGATGACCTGGAAGACAAATATTTACTTGCCAGCCTAAAACCAAACAGTTTCTTCACTACAGATATTGAATAAAGTCTCTAGAGAGAATTAGGGCAGCTAGTTGTATGTCAGTGACTCAGAGTTAGGCCTTTTGTAGTTTGGTATTTAAACCCCACCCCATATCCTCTGCAAAAGATTAATATACAGATCCCCTCCCATTGTCCTTAAGCAAAATCTGCCCATTGTCAAGGTCTGCTCACATATGCCCAGCTCCCAATCAGACTCTCTATAGCTTCATTTTAAAAGATAAACAGGAAACAAAAGAATATAAGACAATTAGACATGTGAGGGAAGACTGGAACTTTAAAGAAAAATCACAAGATTTAATGAAACGAGCAGAGTTGATTTAGGGAACTAAAGGTGCTATAAATAAAATTCCAAGTAGTATCCACAGAGAAATTTGAGACAGTATTACATCTGTAAAACAATAATAGATTGCAATAAAAAATAAGAACAAAGAATGCAATTGAGCTCTTTGCGAGACTTTTCAATGTAAACATTTGTACATTGCTTTGATGTCTGAACCACGCAAAGGTACTACTTATTTGAAATAAATTAGTTTAATTCTTTTTTTTGAGACAGAGTCTTGCCCTTTCACCCAGGCTGGAGAGCAATGGCGCGATCTCAGCTCACTGCAACCTCCGCCTCCCGGGTTCAAGCAATTCTCCTGCCTCAGCCTCCTGAGTAACTGGAATTACAGGCACCTACCACCTTCCCCGGCTAATTTTTGTATTTTTAGTAGAGACGGGGTTTTGCCATGTTGGCCAGGCTGGTCTCAAAGTCCTGACCTCAGGTAATCCACGCACCTCGGCCTCCCAAAGTGCTGAGATTACAGGCATGAGCCACAGCGCCTGGGCAGTTTAATTTTTTTAAATGATGAGCTATTGGAAATAAAATATATGATTGGCAAAATAAAATATCATAAAAGGTATATTAGTTTTCTATTGCTTCATAACAAATTACCATAAGCTTAGTGGCTTAAAACAACCCACATTTTTAATCTTATGATTTCTGCAGGTCCAGAAGTCCAAGCACAACATAGCAGGGATTCCCTGCTTAGAGCCTCACGAGGCTGCAATCAAGATAACCTTAAGATGTGTCCTTATCTGGAACTCAGGGTTTTCCAAGCTCATGTGGGTTGTTGGCAGAATTCAATTCCTTAAAGTTGTAAGAATGAGACCCTTACAACTCAAAGTTGCCATCTCTGTAGGCAGTTCACAAAACAACTGTTTTCTTATTCAAGGCCAGTGAAAGGGTCACTCCAGGTTCTGTCTCTGACTCCTAGACTCCCTTTGAAAAGCTCACTGGTGAGCTGACAGAAGTAAGCTTCAGAAGGTCAGTAATAACAAACTACTCTGAGCTAAAGGAGGATGCTCGAACCCATCGCAAGGAAGCTAAAAACCTTGAAAAAATATTAGACGAATGGCTAACTAGAATAAACAGTGTAGAGAAGACCTTAAATGACCTGATGGAGCTGAAAACCATGGCACGAGAACTAGGTGACGCATGCACAAGCTTCAATAGCCAATTCAATCAAGTGGAAGAAAGGGTATCAGTGATTGAAGATCAAATTAATGAAATAAAGTGAGAAGACAAAATTGGAGAAAAAGAGTAAAAAGAAACGAACAAAGCCTCCAAGAAATATGGGACTATGTGAAAAGACCAAATCTACGTCTCATTGGTGTACCTGAAAGTGACGGGGAGAATGGAACCAAGTTGGAAAACACTCTTCAGGATATTATTCAGGAGAAATTCCACAACCTGGCAAGGCAGGCCAACATTCAAATTCAGGAAATACGGAGAACACCACAAAGATACTCCTCGAGAATAGCGACCTCAAGACACATAATTGTCAGATTCACCAAGGTTGAAACGAAGGAAAAAATGTTAAGGGCAGCCAGAGAGAAAGATCGGGTTACCCACAAAGGGAAGCCCATCAGACTAACAGTGGATCTCTCAGCAGAAACTCTACAAGCCAGAAGAGAGTGGGGGCCAATATTCAACATTCTTAAAGAAAAGAATTTTCAACCCAGAAATTCATATCTAGCCAAACTAAGCTTCATAAGTGAAGGAGAAATAAAATCCTTTACAGACAAGCAAATGCTGAGAGATTCTATCACCACCAGGCCTGACTTACAAGAGTACCTGAAGGAAGCACTAAACATGGAAAGGAACAACCGGTACCAGCCACTGCAAAAACATGCCAAATTGTAAAGACCATCGCGGCTAAGAAGAAACTGCATCAACTAACGGGCAAAATAACCAGCTAACATCATAATGACAGGATCAAATTCACACATAACAATATTAACCTTAAATGTAAATGGGCTAAATGTCCCAATTAAAAGACACAGACTGGCAAATTGGATAAAGAGTCAAGACCCATCAGTGTGCTGTATTCAGGAGACCCATCTCATGTGCAGAGACACACATAGGCTCAAAATAAAGGGATAGAGGAAGATCTACCAAGCAAATGGAAAGCAAAAAAAAGCAGGGGTTGCAATCCTAGTCTCTGATAAAACAGACTTTAAACCAACAAATATCAAAAGAGACAAAGAAGGCCACTACACAATGGTAAAGGGATCAATTCAACAAGAAGAGCTAACTATCCTAAATATATATATGCACCCAATAAAGGAGCACCCAGATTCATAAAGTAAGTCCTTAGAGACCTACAAAGAGACTTAGATTCCCACACAATAATAATGGGAGACTTTAACACCCCATTGTCAATATTAGACAGACCAACAAGACAGAAGGTTAACAAGGATATCCAGGACTTGAACTCAGCTCTGCACCAAGCAGACCTAACAGATATCTACAGAACTCTCCACCCCAAATCAACAGAATATACATTCTTCTCCACACCACATAGCACTTATTCCAAAATTGACCACATAGTTGGAAGTAAAGCACTCCTCAGCAAATGTAAAAGAACAGAAATCACAACAAACTGTCTCTCAGACCACAGTGTAATCAAATTAGAATTCAGGATTAAGAAACTCACTCAAAACCACACCACTACATGGAAACTGAACTGAACAACCTGCTCCTGAATGACTACTGGGTAAATAATGAAATGAAGGCAGAAATAGAGATGCTCTTTGAAACCAATGAGAACAAAGACACAACGTACCAGAATCTCTGGGACACAACTAAAGCAGTGTGTAGAGGGAAATTTATAGCACTAAATGCCCACAAGAGAAAGCAGGAAAGATCTAAAATCGACACCGTAACATCACAATTAAAAGAACTAAAGAAGCAAGAGCAAACAAATTCAAAAGCTAGCAGAAGGCAAGAAATAACGAAGATCAGAGCAGAACCGAAGGAGATAGAGACATAAAAACCCTTCAAAAAATCAACCAATCCAGGAGCTGGTTTTTTGAAAAGATCAACAAAAATGGTAGACCTCTAGCAAGACTAATAAAGAAGAAAAGAGAGAAGAACCAAATAGAAGCAATAAAAAATGACAAAGGGGATATCACCACCGATCCCACAGAAATACAAACTACCATCAGAGAATATAAGGGCACCTCTAGGCAAATAAACTAGAAAATCTAGAAGAAATGGATAAATTCCTGGACACATACACCCTCCCAAGACTAAACCAGGAAGAAGTTGAATCTCTGAATAGACCAATAACGGGCTCTGAAATTGAGGCAATAATTGATAGCCTACCAACCAAAAAAAGTCCAGGACCAGACGGGTTCACAGCCGAATTCTACCAGAGGTAAAAAGAGGAGCTGGCACCATTCCTTCTGAAACGATTCCAATCAATAGAAAAAGAGGGAATCCTCCCTAACTCATTTCATGAGGCCAGCATCATCTTAAGACCAAAGCCTGGCAGAGACACAACAAAAAAAGAGAATTTTAGACCAATATCCCTGATGAACTTTGATGCGGAAATCCTCAATAAAATACTGGCAAACCGAATCCAGCAGCCCATCAAAAAGCTTATCCACCACGATCAAGTGGGCTTCATCCCTGGGATGCAAGGCTGGTTCAACATACACAAATCAATAAACATAATCCATCACATAAACAGAACCAATGAAGAAAACCACATGATTATCGCAATAGATGTAGAAAAGGCCTTTGACAAAATTAAACAGCCCTTCATGCTAAAATCTCTCAATAAACTAGTTATTGACAGGACGTATCTCAAAATAATAAGAGCTATTTATGACAAACACACAGCCAATATCATACTGAATGGGCAAAAACGGGGAGCATTCCCTTTGAAACCTGGCACAAGACAGGGATGCCCTCTCTCACCACTCCTATTCAACATAGTGTTGGAAGTTCTGGCCAGGGCAATCAGGCAAGAAAAAGAAATAAAAGGTATTCAGTTAGGAAAAGAGGAAGTCAAATTGTCCCTGTTTGCAGATGACATGATTATATATTTAGAAAACCCCATTGTCTCAGCCCAAAATCCCCTTAAGCTGATAAGCAACTTCAGCAAAGTCTCAGGATACAAAATTAATATGCAAAAATCACAAGCATTCCTATACACCAATAACAGACAAACAGAGAGCAAAATCATGAGCAAACTCCCATTCACAATTGCTACAAAGAGAATAAAATACCTAGGAATCCAACTTACAAGGGATGTGAAGGACCTCTTCAAGCAGAACTACAAACCACTGCTCAGTGAAATAAAAGAAGACACAAACAAATGAAAGAACATTCCATGCTCATGGATAGGAAAAATCAACACTGTGAAAATGGCCATACTGCCCAAGGTAATTTATAGATTCAATACCATCCCCATCAATCTACCAATAACTTTCTTTACAGAATTGGAAAAAACTACTTTAAAGTTCATATGGAACCAAAAGAGAGCCTGCATTGCCAAGACAATCCTAAGCAAAAAGAACAAAGCTAGAGGCATCATGCTACCTGACTTCAAACTATACTACAAGGCTACAGTAACCAAAACAGCATGGTAGTGGTACCAAAATAGATATATAGGCCAGTGGAACAAAACAGAGGCCTCAGAAATAACACCACACATCTACAACCATCTGATCTTTGACAAACCTGACAAAAACAAGAAATGGAGAAAGGATTCCCTATTTAATAAATGGTGCTGGGAAAACTGGTTAGCCATGTGTAGAAAGCTGAAACTGGATCCCTTCCTTACCCCTTATACAAAAATTAATTCAAGATGGATTAAAGACTTAAGTATTAGACCCAAAACCATAAAAACCCTAGAAGAAAACCTAGGCAATACCATTCAAGACATAGGCATGGGCAAGGACTTCATGACTAAAACACCAAAAGCAATGGCAACAAAAGCCAAAATAGACAAATGGGATCTAATTAAACTAAAGAGCTTCTGCACAGCAAAAGAAACTACCATCAGAGTGAACAGGCAACCTACAGAATGGGAAAAAATTTTTGTAATCTACTCATCTGACAAAGGGCTAATATCCAGAATCTACAGAGAACTTGAACAAATTTACAAGAAAAAAAACAAACAACCCTATCGAAAAGTGGGCAAAGGATATGAACAGACACTTCTCAAAAGAAGACATTTATGCAGCCAAAAGACACATGAAAAAATGCTCATCATCATCATCACTGGTCATCAGAGAAATGCAAGTCAAAACCACAATGAGATACAATCTCACACCAGTTAGAATGGCGATCATTAAAAAGTCAGGAAAAAACAGATGCTGGAAAGGATATGGAGAAATAGGAACCCTTTTACATTGTTGGTGGGAGTGTAAACTAGTTCAACCATTGTGGAAGACAGTGTGGCGATTCCTCAAGGATCTAGAACTAGAAATACCATTTGACCCATCCATCCCATTACTGGATATATACCCAAAGGATTATAAATCATGCTACTATAAAGACACATGCACGCATATGTTTATTGTGGCACTATTCACAATAGCAAAGTCTTGGAACCAACCCAAATATCCATCAATGATAGACTAGATAAAGAAAATGTGGCACACATACACCATGGAATACTATGCAGCCATAAAAAGGATGAGTTCATGTCCTTTTCAGGGATATGGATGCAGCTGGAAACCATCATTCTGGGCAAACTATCACAAGGACAGAAAACCAAACACTGCATGTTCTCACTCATAGGTGGGAATTGAACAATGAGAACACTTGGACCCAGGGCGGGGAACATCTCACCCTGGGGCCTGTCATGGGGTGGGGGGCTGGGGGAAAGATAGCATTAGGAGAAATACCTAATGTAAATGATGAGTTAATGGGTGCAGCAAACCAACATGGCACATATATACCTATGTAACAAACCTGCACGTTGTGCACATGTACCCTAGAACTTAAAGTATAAAAAAAAAAGCTCACTGATTAAGTCAGGTCTACCCAGAATAATATCACTTTTGATTAACTAAAAATAAACTTATTTGAGATCTTAACGATGCCTGCAAAATTCCTTTACTTTTGCCATATAACCTGATCATGAAAGTAACATGCCATCCTATTCACAGGTCTCACCCACACGCAAGAGGAGAGGGTTATACAGGACATGTACATGAGTCAGGAATCTTGGGGGCAATCGTAGAATTCTGCCTACTACAAAGGACTGGAAGATAAAGATGAGGAAATCCCTCACAATGGGGAAAAATAGATAAGAAATAAAGGAAAAGCAATAATGAAGAAAAAATTAGGAAGTTCAACATCTAGCATCCAATTATTAGAAATTCCAGAAAGAAGGGAGAAAATTATCAAAGAAGTAATATGATAAAATTCTGAAAGCCAATGGAAAACATGAGTTTTCTAACTGAAAAAGCCAACCGAATGTCTCGTAGAGTTGTGTTTTTCAAAGCCACATTCCCAACCATGTCAGGGTTCATATGCTGAATACTATGAAATGCTGATAAAAGAAATCAGATAAACCTAAATAATGGAGAGACATACCATATTCATGAATTAGAAGACTTAACATGGTTAAAATGTCAATTATCCCTAACTGGCTATAGATTTAATGCAATATTTATCATTTATATTCATCATTTGATAAATAATAAATATTTACCAAAATTCCAAGGGGTTTCTTGCAGATATAGACAAGCTTATTCTAAAATTAATATGAAAAGGCAAAGGTGTGGACAATGCCCGCATCGTTCTGAAGATCGACAATGCCTGTCTTGCATCAGCAGATGACTTTAGAGTCAAGGATGAGACAGAGCTGACCATGCACCAGTCTGTGGAGAGCGACATCCATGGGCTCCACAAGATCATTGATGACACCAATGTCACTCAGCTGCAGCTAGAGGCAGAGGTCAAGGCTCTCAAGGAGGAGTTGCTCTTCATGAAGAAGAACCACGAAGAGGAAGTAAAAGGCCTACAATCCCAGATTGCCAGCTCTGGGTTGTCCATGGAGGTAGATACCCCAAATCTCAGGACCTCACCAAAATCATGGCAGACATCCAGGCCCAATATGACTAGCTGGCTCGGGAGAACCAAGAGGAGCTGGACAAGTACGGGTCTCAGCAGACTGAGGAGAGCACCACAATGGTCACCACACAGTCCGCCGAGGTTGGAGCTGCTGAGATGGCGCTCACGGAACTGAGACATACAGTCCAGTCCTTGGAGATTGACCTGGACTCAATGAGAAATCTGAAGGCAAGCTTGGAGAGCAGCCTGAGGAAAGTGGAGGCCCGCTATGCCCTACAGATGGAGCAGATCAACGGGATCCTGCTCCACCTGGAGTCGGAGCTGGCACAGATCCGGGCAGAGGGACAGTGCCAGGCCCAGGAGTACAAGGCCCTGCTGAACATCAAGGTCAAGCTGGAGGCTAAGATCGCCACCTACTGCCACCTGCTGGAAGATGGCAAGGACTTCAATCTTGGTGATGCCCTGGACACCAGCAATTCCATGCAAACCATTCAAAAGACCACCATCTGCCGGATAGTGGATCATAAAGTGATGTCAGACATTAAGCCAGCAGAAGCAGGGTACTCTTTGGGGAGCAGGAGGCTGATTAAAAGTTCAGAGGGGAAAAAAAAGAAAGAAGAGAAAAAGAAAAAAAGAAAGAAAAGGCAAAGGAATTAGAAAAGCCAAGACATTATTTGTGGAAAAAATAAAATTAGAGGAATCACATTGAATGATTTTAAGATTTATAGAAAGTTAAGTAATCAATACTGAGTGTTACTAGTGAAGAGATAGGCACATAAATCAATGAGATGGAAAAGAGAGTTCAGAAAGAGATGTACAAAAAAGAGACAAAAGGCCAGGTGTGGTGGCTCATGCCTGTAATCCCAGCACTTTGGGAGGCTGAGGAGGGCAGATCACCCTAGGTCAGGAGTTCAAGACCAGCTTGGCCAACATGGAGAAACCCCATCTCTACTAAAGATCAAAAATTAGCAGGGCATAGTGGTGGGCACCTGTAATCCCAGCTAATAGGGAGGCTGAGGCAAGAGGATTGCTTGAACCCGGGAGGCAGAGGCTGCAGTGAGCCAAGATGGTGCCACTGCACTCCAGAGCCTGGGTGACAGAGTGAGACTCTGTCTGAAAAAAAAAAAAAAAGACAAAGATGCAAGAACAATTCAGCAGAGAAAACATCATCTTTTCAACAAATAATGCTGAAACAGTTGAACATCCACAGTTTTAAAAAAAGAACATTGACCTAAATATTATACCTTATATAAAAGTGAATTCAAAATAGATATTAGATCTAAATGCAAAACCTAAAACTATAAAACTTTTAGAAGAAGATGTAAGGGAAAATCTTTGTGACCTTGGGTTAGGCAAAGAACTTTTGGATATACCACCAAAAGCTTGATCCATAAAAAAGAAAAATTGGTAAATTGGACTTTATTAAAAGGTAAAACTTTTGCTCTGTGAGAGATACTGTTAAGAGAATAAAAAGACAAGCTACAAATTGGGAGAAAATATTTGCAAATCACATATCTGACAAAGAACTTGTATCTAGAATATGTAAAGAGGCTATTAAAACTTAGTAAGAGGCCAGGCACAGTGGCTCATGCCTGTAATCCCAACACTTTAGGAGGCCAAGAAGGATCACTTGAGGTTGCAGCCTGGGCAACACAGCGAGACTCCATCTGTGAAAAAAATCAAACTCAATAAAACTTACTGAAACAAACCAATATTTTTAAGTGGGCAAAAAATTTTTTGAAAAGTCACTTTACAAATGAGGATACAAAAACGGCTCACAAACACATAAAATTCATCATTCAGGAAATGAGAATTAAAACTGCAAAAGTGTGCCTTTAGAGAGCCACTAGTAATTGAAATAAAAAGGAATGTTAATACCAAGTTTGGCAAGGATGTAAAGCAACTGGAACTCTGTTTCATTGTTGGTGGGATTCTAAAATGGTACAACCACTTTGGAAAGTACTTTGGCAGTGTCATAAAGTTAAACTTAATACCAATCATATGATACAGCTTTTTCACTCGTAGAGAGAATGGAAAACATATGTCTGCACAAAACCCTGTACACAAATCCTCTTAGCAGCTTTATTTACAATTGTCAAAAAATGGAAACAATCCAAATACCCAATAAAAGTGAATAAACAAATTTTAGTAAATCCATACCATGGAGTACTACTCAGCAATAAAAGGGAATTGACTAATGATACATGAAACAACATGAATTTCATAAATATTATGATGTGTGAAAGAAGTCAGACGCAGAAGTACACATACTGCATGATTCTAATTTATAGTGACAGAAAGCAGGTCAGTGGTTGCCTAGGGATAAAGAAATGATTTGCAAAGGAGCCTGAAGAAAACTTTTGGAGGTGTTGGATATGATTGTGGTGATGGTTTCACAAGGATAAACATATGTCAAAACTTATCAAATTGTACACCTTTAACACGTGCAGTTTATTGTAGGTCATTTACACCTCAGTAAAGCTATTTCAAAAGATTATAAAAATTACACTAATTTAAAGAAGTCATGCACAAAAGGTTGCCTACATATGATTCCATTATATGAAGTTTGAGAATGTGAAAATGTTTTAATTTATTTTAAAGTCAGAAGTAAAAATGGATTTTTAGGTCAAAGATGTTTCAGCACATAATATTAATATACTTATCTTTATACTAATGCAGTCATAAAATACAGTTTGTTTAATGAAGGAAGGGTGCAGGAAGGCCAAAGTTCCTTGGGCCCATGCAAATCATAATACATTCCTCTCTGTAGTGAATTATATTGGCAAAGTCACAATAATGTAAACATGATTTATTGGCTGTCAACTTTTAGAATCTACCTATAAACAAAGCATGGGAGATGTATTCATAGTTATAGAAGAAAATGTAAATACTATCAGCTTTGACAATGTAGAAGTAAACATTTGACAGAAAATGAAAGTAGAAGGGGAGAAGAGGTGGAGGGAAGCATATGGACTTGAATAGCTCCATCTGATAAAAATGGGGAGTCAAGAGATGCTATCTATAGTTTATGGTATAATATATAAGATTTCAGATACATTATTCAATGTTCTAAAAGTAATTAGTAGTAGAACAACAATATTCCATAACTCTATTGGGGGTGTGAAGGAGTGGAAGTGGGTATGTTATTGAGTACTGCCCTCTCATCTATCATAGTAGAAATTCAATAGATAAGTATCTCAAGTTGATAAATCAAGGAAGAGAGCAGAGGCATATTATTTAGTGAACTAGAGGTCAATCGTCAGAAGAATTAAAAGAGAAAGATTAAAAATGGCAGCTTTGTGGGTCTGAAGGTGGATGGGGTGGCAGAAAGGGTTTTGCTCTTCATTGTAAGTTTTTCTGTACCGTTTGATTTTTTTAACCAGGTTCATGTGTCATTTCAATTAAAAAAAAAAGTCATCTTCTCTCACCCCTGTCAGTCTCTACTTGAGCATCATTTGTATCCTTCCTTGTTCTCATCACAATCTGTAATTATTTTAGTTATATGTCTGATGATTCAGTTAATGTCTTTTTCTCCCATTAGACTGTAAGCTCCGCAAGGACAAGAACAGAGTCTGTCTTCGTCGCCACTCTGTCCCCAGTGCCTGGCATAGAATGTAGCCCAGGAACCAGGATCACACCATGCATAGCACTCCGGGAACTTCTTATACAAAGGCCTCTCCAAGCTTCTTCTAGGACCAACCGGCAGTTGAGATAGAAGATGTTCTGTTATGGAAAGGCAGTGTCCTCCAAAACGGTAAGAGCAGGGATGGCCATGAGCAGAGAAAGGCACTACAGCCGAATAGTACCCCAGAAAGTGTTCTAAACCTTCCCTGGTGAGGGCATGAGCTGGGGCAAATCAGGTTATTCTTCCAGCATTGAAATCCTCTTTAAAAGAACATTAAAGAGTGCCTTCAAGTGGGCATTTTGCAGGGAGTAAAAGGAAGAGGGAATAGCAAAGGCGCCTCTTAGCCCTGGGAGATATAGGCTGTTGGCATTTCCACACTAGCTAAAGAGGCTTCTCTCAGTCTGCCTGGGCTTGTGTCTGCCAGCAAGTACAGGCAGGTCCAGTAGATGCAGCTGATTTTTGTGGTCCTCCCTGGGCAGTTCTGAAGAGGTCTCTGGAAACTGCTTGATAGCAAAGCTGAAGATTATCTTGTGGTCAGAACAAGAGAGCCTGGGGCATGGAGCAGAGGAATTGGGCTGTCATATCTTCTAGAGCCACTTCCATAAGAACCTTGGGTATGCTGGGGTGAATGGTATGGGCAGACCTGTTTGCTTCCTGATTAAATGAGGAAAGGTGATCTGTGAGGCCACTCCCTCCTGGCCATAGCCTCACACATGATC
The DNA here is from genome assembly GCF_000001405.40 of Homo sapiens. NCBI lineage: Eukaryota > Metazoa > Chordata > Mammalia > Primates > Hominidae > Homo > Homo sapiens. The sequence goes on from NC_000023.11 coordinate 107,433,265, forward strand.
CCTGAAGAGTCATAGACAGGGAGATTTCAAGGTTCAGACAACCCCATTGGACCCCTTGGGCTGTCTAGGGCTTCCTGGAGAGAACATTCTTCTTTTTTAAAAAATTATTATTATTATTATTATACTTTAAGTTCTAGGGTGCATGTGCACAATGTGCAGGTTTATTACCTATGTATACATGCACCATGTTGGTGTGCTGCACCCATTAACTCGTCATTTACATTAGGTAACTCTCCTAATGCTATCCCTCCCCCCTCCCCCCACCCCATGACAGACCCCAGTGTGTGATGTTCCCCTTCCTGTGTCCAAGTGTGAGAGAACATTCTTCCAATGAGGGGAACCAAAAAGAGGGAAGCATGGAAAAAAGCCAATGAGGAATTACGACGCCACCACTGGAGGAAGTGGGTTAGAGTCAAGATGGCTCACAGGGAGAAGTCCTTGCTTAGCAGGCCTAGAAACCTAGCACCTGTAATTGTGCCTCCCTCTTTCTAGGAAGACAACAAACTGTCTTTCAGCTTTGTCTACCAGGTACTGGAACCTCTCTGTGGCCAGATTCCTGGGGCCGGGTGAATTGTCAATAGGCAACTGCAGTCACTCAGAATCTTTCTAGAATGAGTAACTCAAAGACAGGGGTTTGTTTGATCCATTTTGAACTACCGCAGCATGTAGCTCAGTCTTTGGCTCTCATCGGGAGACTTCCAAGTAAACTGAAAAAAGGCAGGAGCTGCTGGGTCAACTGGCAGATTCATCCAGGTCACAGAAAGATGGGGAATTGTAAGAGAAGAAATGAACACTGAGGCCATTTCTCTTAAGTGGGGAGGGCTTGGAGTAGAAAGCATGAAAAATGCCCCTCCTGTGCTGGGCTCACTTCTCAGGGCCTAGGACAAAGGCAGGACATGGTGTTCCTGCTTTCACAGTGATTGAAAAAAACTGGTGGCAGCACACAGCTTGCTGCCGGGCAGACAGCTTGAGTGTCTTCACTACTACTCTTGGTGGTTCAAGGGCAGGTTTGCCTCAGCCCTTAGAACACAGTTCCCTGGATTCCTTGGCCCTCCCACATCTCGAGAGCAGCAGTAACTACTTCACTGTGGGCTGTGAGGAGTCTCTTAGTTGGACAATGTTAGTATATGCAATTGATTCAGAGCCTAACTTCATTTCTTCCTAACTTCTAACTGGTTTCTTCCAAGTTCCTACACTTGGCCTGGCTTCCTTTTCCCTGAGTTGGTCATCAAGTACCCAAATGGAATCCATATTCTATAAATTCTTCCTCTCCGATCTCTGGAGGCAGTAGAGTAGTGCTTAAGGGTACATGCTCTGGGGTCACACTGCCAGGGTTCACAGCCCAACTCTTGTTTGCCAGCTATGCACCCTTGTGCAGTTTACTTACCTTTCTGTGCCAGTTTTTCATCTCTATAATGAGAATGACAATAGTACTTAACTCATAGATCTGTTGTGAGGATTAAATGAGATTGTAATGAGCCTGGCACCTAGTTAGGGTTCAGTAATATTAGCTATTATTTGGAATGAAAAGTCTTTCTTTCCCTCTTGCACACCCCTGCTTCTCTAGTTTCAGATACTTGTTCCTCCTCTCCCCAACGAACTTCTCCCATCCTTCTCCAGACGTTGCAAGCCTTTCAGTGCTAAATGTTCTTAAAAGAAGAGATTTCCGGCTGGGCACGTTGGCTCACGTCTTTAATCCCAGCATTTTGGGAGGCAGAGGCGGGTGGATCATGCGGTCAGGAGATGGAGACCATCCTGGCTAACATGGTGAAACCCCGTCTTTACTAAAAATCCAAAAAAATTAGCCGAGTGTGGTGGCGGGCGCCTGTAGTCCCAGCTTCTCGTGAGGCTGAGGCAGGAGAATGGCGTGAACCCGGGAGGCGGAGCTTGCAGTGAGCCGATTGCGCCACTGCACTCCAGCCTGGGCGACAGATGTCTCAAAAAAAAAAAAAAAAAAAGAATGGGTTTCCTTTTGATCTTTTCCATCTCTTGTATGTCCCATACCCAGGTAATCATTTTTTAATTATTTTTGTATTTTCTGATACATATTTTACATATTTATGGGTCATGTGGGATACTGTGTCATATGCATAAAATGTGTAATGATCAAGCCAGGATATTTGAGGTGTCCATCACATTGAATATTTATCATTTCTATGTGTTGGGAACAATTCAAATCCTCTCTTCTAGCTACTTTGAAATATGAAATTCATTGTTGTTAACAACAGTCACTCTACTCTGCTGTCAAATGATAGAACTTACACCTTTTATCTAACTATATGTTTGTACCTGTTAACTTACCTCTCTTTATCCTCCCTTCTCACCCATACACCCTTCCCACCCTGTAGTATTCATCATTTCTCCCAGGTAATCACTGATTATCAGAATTGGAAAGGTCTTTTATAAATAATCTAGTTTAATTTGCTCTTTTTACAGATTGTCAAAAGTTGGATCCAGAAAGATAAAGCAACTTAGTAAAGATCACATTGAACTAGAATCACAACTTAGTCCTATAGATATTAGCAATGTCAGACATCAAAGCCTGAACATTTAATTCTAATAAATTCAACATATATCCAGTAAGGATCTACTATTAGTGTGTGTGTGTGTTTGTATGTGGTAGTAGGCCATACGCTGAGAGAGATACAAAGATGATTTCAAATCACTTGTCCACTAGAAAAGCTGGCTCTAGGAGGAGGTTATGAGGCATTGTATGTCTTGGGGGGTAGCTCTCCATTCCTCTTATACATAGATCTATAAATAGAGCTATAGTTATCTTTTTTTAAGTTATCTATATCTATAAATGTATATCTGTGTAAGTAGAAATACATAAATAGATCTATGTCTATATATGAGCATATATAGATATATCGTTTATGTATATATTTTATATATAGTTTTGCATATGTATTGTTATATATGTGTGTGAATATGCATATACACATATATGTGTATATATAATTGAAATTAGTTTCACTTCAAGAATTTAGTGAGCTGACTCCTTTTAAAATACCATCCTTCTGCCCTAGCCTGGAGTACAGTGGGCATATCTATGCTAAATGATGGGGACTGTATATGCACACAAATGTAACTACAGTATAACCGGTCTTGAGGACCGGTCCCTTTGGCCCTGAATGTAGCCAACTGGTCCTCATTCTACAAGCAGATGAAAGATAACCCCCCCTATTTTTGGTGGGAGCTAAGTAAAGGATAAAGGGAGAGCAAAACAAAGTATTGATAGGTCTCTGTGAGACCTGGAAGGCAGAGGAGACCTACTGATTACTCAAGTAAAGTTCAGCCTGGATGAGAGGTCGATGTTCCTAGAAACAGAACATACTTTTCTAAGAGCTGGATCGTGACCAGGAATAGATCAGAGTGAACTAAGAGTCCAGAATCAGGGAATCCTTGAGCAAGACAAAACTGGACTCTGGGTCTTCACTGTAAAAAATTATGTATAGAGCGTGTTTGTTCCCTGGAAAATCTTCATGTATTGAGAAAGGCTTGGTAGTAGTTGTTTATGGCTTACTGTGAAGAAATGTCCAGCAGAGTGGAAAATACAATGCTCCTGAGGCTGTGTTCCCAGGAAGGAGGCCCAAGCTGCTGAGGAAAATCGGTGCCAATTTCCTTACCTTCAACAAATTAGCAACACCCTAAGGCTGTCTTGTCCCACCAAAATCCTTCTTTGGGGTCAGGCGTGACTGAATTCTCTTGCAACCTGAAACTGACTCTGAAATCCCTTCCAAAGCAAATACTGAGTAGGAAACCGTGAGATTCTAGATCTGAACCTTTTGGTCACCTTTCAGAGATACTAGTACAGAAGTGGACCTCAGTATATTTGAATCGGTGAATGAAAGAGGGAAGGAAGGAAAAAAAGAAAGGGAAGGGAAGGAACCATGTATTATGTAAGTCTTGATATGTAAACATTAGTAAACTACCCTTCCTTTCATTTAACATTGGTCATACCAATATGGTTATGTTTCTGTCCTCAGCCTACAGGCCCTTTCAGGAGCACTGGACACAGATGGCCTGGGACACTCTCCTTTTTAGGCTGTCATGATACCACATTTTCGTGGCTTGCCTCCTGCCTTGTGCTTTCTCTGTCTGCTTTGCTGACTCTTTTTCCTTTATTCATCCTCCAAATATTTGAGATGCTCTCAGGCTCAACCCTAAATCTCTTTTTCACTCACTCCTTTCCAAGATAATTTCTTTCAGCCCAATAACTCTAAATAGCATTAATAAGATGAACACACCCAAATTTATATTTCTAGCCTTCACCTGCCCTTTGAGCTCTAAACTTATGGCATTCTGGCACAGGGTCTGGAGTTCAAATCCTGATTCCATCACTTACCATGTCAGTTGTTTGACTGTTTTGCCTCAGTTTCCTCTTCTGTAAAGTGAGAGGGTAATAATACCAGATTTTACAAGGTCATTGTGAAAATTAAGTGATTGAGTATATGTAGAGCATTAGGGACAGTATTTGGTACACAGTAAGCATCAATAAATAGATGATGATGATGATGATGGTGATGATGATGATGGTATCTGACTGGCTAACTTGGCATTGCCTCTTGGAGGTCTCATAGGCATTTCATACTTAACATGGCCAAGACAAAACTTGTAACTTCTGCCCTCTAAATTAGTCCTCCCACTTTTTTCCTCAACTTTAGTAAGTGGTGCCACCACGTATCCAGTTGCTCAGGAAGAACCTAAGTGTCATCCTTTCACCTCACTTCTTACATCCAATCCAATAGCAGGGCCTGTCAAACTCCCAAATATATCCAGAATCTATCCACTTCTCTCTATCTCCACTGCTGCCATCATTAAGCCAGTATCACCTCTCACCTGGATTCATCCTCCACACAGATGCTATTAATTTATTTAAAGCAGTCATTCAGATCATGTTGCTCCCTTGCTTAATGGCTTTCTGTGGATTTAGATTGGAATCCAAACCCTCATCATGTAAGGACTTCCAGGATCTGGCCTCTGCCTATTTCTCCAAACTAATCTCCACATTCACTGGACTTTTTTAGGTTCTTGGTTTGCACTAAGCTAGTTTAAGCCTCAGGGCCTTTGCACTAGCTGTCCCTTCTACCTAGAATGTCCTTCCCCCAGGTCCTCATATGACTGGCTCCTTTTCATTCAGAATTAAGGTCAATGTCACAATGTCACTTCCTCGGAGAAGCATTTCTTGACTATTTAATCCAAAGTAACTTCCCCCATCACCGCTCTGTTTTCTTCATAGCACTTATCACTATCTGAAAATATTCATTCAATTGTTGAATACAGTTTGTCTCTCCCTCTCCTCTAAAATACAAGACCCCTGAGAGCAGTAACCTTGTCTGTTCTGTTTACTATTTCCTCCTCAGTGCCTAACAGCATCACAGGGTTGAGGAATTTAAAGGATTGTTTTTTAAAAAAATTTCTGGTAAAATATACATAACAGCTGTACCATTTAACCTTCCCACCAGCAGTATATGTGAGGGTTCCAATTTCTTCACACTCTAGCCAACACTTGTTATTTTCTGTTTTTGTTTTTGTTTTTGTTTTTTTCATAATAGCCACCTTAATGGGTGCGAAGTGGTACATTGTGTGGTTTTGACTTGCATTTCTCTAATGATCAGTGATGTTGAACATCTTTTCATGTGCTCATTGCCCATTTATATATCTTCTTTGGAGAAATATCTATTAAAATCCCTTCCCCGTTTTTTAATTGAGTTGCTTTTTTTGTTGTTGAGTTGTAAAAGTTCTTTATATATTCTGAATATCAATTCTTTATCAGGCATATGATTTGCAAATATTTTCTCCCATTCCATGGGCTGCCTTTTCACTGTGAATAGTGTCCTTTGATACACAAAAGTTTTTAATTTTGATGACGTTAGGATTTTTTTTAAGGGTTAATAGTTGGAGAAGGGGTTGGACTCAGCATGAAGTTTGAGGTGAGAAGGCTGATATTCAAAGGAGGACAGTACAGCAACAAGCCTGAAAAGGATGCCATGAACAGGAATCCTTGATAATCCAAGGATGGCATAAGGCCTCTGGAAACCCTAGGTAAGAAAGGGCAAAAGATGGGAGAATTATGATACAGAGCATTTGCTGAGACCTCACTAGGTACCAAGTATTGTGCTAAGCCCAACACATCTGCTATTTCATTTAATTCTCTTAGCAATTCTGTGAGGTATTATTTTAGCCCTAATTTGTAGATGAGGAAACTGAGGCACAGAGCGATTAAGCAACTTGCCCAGTGTCACAAAGCTATATGTCAGAGTCTAGATTTGAACTAAGGTAGTCTGGCTCCAGATTCTGTGCTGTCATCCATTGGCCTGTAATGCTTCTGTACTAGATAAGTAAAGGCGATTTGAGCAGGGTGTGGGGCATATTGTAGTTGTTAAGACTATGATGAAGAGATAAGCTGCAGGTAGTAGGTTGAAAACATGCCTTGAGGGCATAGAGAAGGTAGTCAAAGGGTAGCCCTTGTTTATATACTTGCTCTGCAAAGGCAGTTTTGTCAGGGCAGAATAGAGAGGTGATGAAATTCACAGGCTTTGGCAACAGAGAGACCTGGGCTTGAATCCCAACTCTGCCACTTACCAGTAGGACCCTTAGGCAAGTTTTGCTTCTCTGTGCCTCAGTTTCCTCATCTACAATTGAGGATAAAAACACTTCATAGAGTTGTTTAGATCTTTGATGTAACCTGTGGGGCATGATCCCTTCCTTGCACCTGATAAAGGCTCAGTAAATATCAGCTCTTTTTCCTCAACCAAACAATGATGCAGCCCCTCCTCCAGCTAGAACATCCCCATCTTCCGATTAAAGAGAAAATTTTCCAGGCCAGGCTGAAGTAGTTGTACTTGAATACCTTAATGGGCCATCAAGGCCCATGAGTGAACATGTAACTGAAAGTGATCCCTCCCAGAACAGAGAAAGGTTCTTCCTTCCCTAAGGACACATTCCCACCAGACTCCTTTAAGACCCAGGAAACGCATTTCTGTCTATCTTAGAACAACCATTTTGTCCCAGCTTCTGGCTACGCAGGGTTAAGAAACTCCTAGCTTCTTGCTAGGCTATATATATATTTGTAAATTATAAAAAGGACATTTACATGCCTGTTTTTAGTGAAGTTTACTCTCAGGGAACAGGAAGTGAAAATGAGGGCTGTCTGCCTCAATAGCAGACACTGAGCAAACAGAAGAGGGAGGGTCGTATGAAAGACAAATTTCTTCAACTTCCCAGTTTTTTTTTTTTTTTGGCTGCCTCTAGATTTATTAATTTCAGAGAAACTGAAGAGGGTCCAGGGAAGAACCATCAAAATGATTAATAAAAGGAAGAAGCTACTGAGTGATGCTAGGAGCTTCCAGTGAAGGACAAGAAAAGGGGATGGGGAGGAGGAGGCCCTGAAGGCTGAAAGCAAAGCACCCACCAGAGACTGCAGAGCTGCGGGGATCTGTGGGAGGAGGGGCAGTTAGCCAGGGCCCAGGTACCTTCATTGAGCACCCCACCATGGGCCCAGCACTGGGCCAGGCATTCTGGGAGATCAAAAGAGGCCTAAGGCTTGGCCTGTGCCCACAAAGGTAGAGAGACAGGGCTATACCCACAAAAGGACAAAGTACAATCCAAGCCAAGAAAGTAAGCGCTGTGACAAGGAACTCACTCGCTGCTATGTGCCAAATGACCGGTGCAGTGAGAAGTGTTCAGTATTCCTAGGAGGAAGGGATCTTCTCAGGTGGTGGGGCTGGAGCCTAAGGGGAGGGACACAATGTGGCTAGGCAGAGAGGGTGGAAAGCAACATAGGTCTGGGAAACGGTAAGACCAAAATACAGGAGGTAGGGTATGGGCAAGGAAGAAGGAGGAGCCATACCTGGCTGGGGTGAGCAGTTCTCTGAAGGGAGTAGTGAGAGATGGACACTAGCAGAAGAATGTGGATTTTCTGCTGCAGGTATTGGGCAGTCACTGAGGCTCCTGAGCAGGAGAATGTCATGGTACCAGTTGTGCTTTGGCAAGATCAATCTGTCTAGGCATGGTGGACTGGAAGTGGAGGTGGGGAGACCAGGCCTAAGACTACAGTCACTAAGAAAACACCTGCAGCTGTAGCCATTGAAAATGTGCCCAAGTGCTGACAGGGGCCAGGTCTCAGATGACAAAGCTGGCTGGGGCCCAATGATCTCTCCAAAAGGTGCAGTCTGGACTCCATACTCTGAGACCACAGCCTCAGTTCCCTCAAGCCCACCCAGCCCGAGGAGCTGGTCATCATTCGCAGCACATCTCAGCAAACTTAGGCCCATACCAAGGACAGATTTCTGGGCAGATGATATCTTTGTTATAAATAGAGAATTTGACTCCAGGTGGGAAATTCAATTTGTGGAAGCAGTTGAAATCTTCTGAAATCAAGATCTGATTTCCTGAGCAAAGGTCCTTGGGTCTTAATGAACAAGAGAAAGAGATAAGGAAAAGAAGACACTATAATTAGGCATTCCCCCTAAATGGGAGGCTTCTTGGATAACCAGGGACCTGCCTGCAGTGCCTTAACGAATGCTTCCCATTTCTGAACCATGGCTTTTGAGGCAAAGAATGACATTAAATATCGATGCAGCACTTAGGAATGGTTGCAAAGTGCTTTTCTGCTCTTGTTATTCATTAGCCATCCCTATCTCCCACCCGCTCTCCTCTCCCTCTCTTTCCCTCTCACCAACCCTGCCATGAGCCTGGCAAAGTTTATGCAGGTTGAAAAGATGAGAACTTGCAGACAGAAAGGTTAATCAATTGATTCCAGGTCAAACACAGGAAGTTACTGACAGTCCAGTGGTGAGAATATTCTTGTCAGGCCTTTCTGGAATTTATTGCTTTAGCCCACCGAGACATATAAAACCACACCTGTTTTTCCTTTCAAAGCTGATTTTTTTTTCTTCCCTGTCTGGTGAAAGGCAGCCAGAGAAACAGAAGATGGGGTCTAGGAAAGACAGAATGAAGAAAAGAGAAATTGATGACAGACAGAAAAAGAGAACGGGAGAAGCCAGCTGATCTCTTCCAGGCCTGGTATTTCTGAGCCCCTTACTCTGCTCAGGTGGAGTAGGCATGGAAAAGAGTGAAGAGCACTTGATCAAAAAATCAGTTGCTTCTTACCTGTGGGATTTTTGAACAGTCATTTAGTCAATCTAAGCCTCAACTTCCTTATCTATAAAATGGGAATTATAGCTGCCCTACCTCTCAGTGTTATTGTGAAGATCAAATTAAACTGTAAAACTTGGTGTACCTATAAGGGATTATCTTGGTGAACCAGGAAAGGCCACCATACCCTCAAACTCCTCAGCTTTCTGCCTCCAAGTCAAACATCCCCACTACCAATCATGCCTTTAGAGAGAGATATTGAGATAGGTTTGGACAAAATGTAAACTGTTCAGAGGTTAACTCATTGGTCCATTACCATTCACTAGCACATTAGCAAAAATTCATTTATCAAATTGGTGGCGACCCCCAGGGCCTTTGGATGGATTTTTAACACCCTTTCTTCCTCAGTCTTTCAAGGGACATTTGTCTCTACATGGTAATTTTTGTTTGTTTGTTTGTTTTTCTCCAAAAGCTCCAGGAGCATCCTTCTTTAAGTCTGCATCCCGGTAAAAAGCAATAGGCAGGCATTCAATTCTCCTTCATGTTCTTTTTTCCCAGGGGGACCTTAGTGCAGAGAGGTTAAGTTAAGTAAAGTGTCCATGATCACACAGTGCCCTACCCAGGATTGAGAGCCTATCAGAGGCACCTAGTCCTCTGCTCTCCAGCCTAGCTACATTTCCTGTCCATCCAGTTTTTCTTCTGCAAATATCCCCCCATCCTCAGCCCCACCCAGACAGGTGAGGAGGGGGAGGAGGCTGGCTCCTGGCAGCACTGTCCCAAGCACACGCCTGAACTCCCTCATGAGGAATAGCTGTACTGGTGGCAACCGCAGCAAGCACTTGGCATCTGACAGGCTCTGTCAGCATCAATTTAAATTGGTATTTTGCTTCCTAACTCCAGGAGGGCAAACATGCCTAAGATGCCAGCAGGGGGGACAGCAGGAAGGCATTCAAGGAAGCCATGGGCGATTCCCTGGAGTCTGTCAACTCAGTTTCCACTCCAAGGCCTTCCAGAGCCACAGGCCTTCCCTCTGTGGGGCTCCCTCTGCACAATGGAGGTGGGCAAGGAGAAGGCAGCACCTTGGAAGCTCTCTAGAGAAAGACAAAAAATAAAAATAAAAAAGAAGCAACAAAAGAAGAGGAAGAAAGAAAAAAGGAAGCTCCAGAACAGGGTCAGAATTGAGGTGGATTGCCCCCACAAAGTCCTCTTAGTACTGGACCCCATGCCCTCTGGAGTAGCATTCCTCTTCTCAGGCCTGCTTCAGCTGTGCTTCGTTGCAGATGCAACCTAGACCCAAGGGGCTTGTTAAAAAAAATAGAGTCCTGGGCTCTAGGGTGGGGCCCAGGAATCAGCCTTTCTACAGCTCCCCAGGTAGAAAGAATTCCCAGATCCCCAGGATTCTGATGCAGCTGGGTCAAGGCCCATAGGTGGGGAAATGTTGCACTCAAGCTCTCCCACCTCACCCCACGGCATCCCAGGAAAACGTCCCTGGTCAGTATTTCATTCCTTTACCGCTCTACCCTCCTGTGAGAGGTGACAGGCAATCTGATAGATTTATTCAGGCGAGTGCATTAATGGGTGCTAATGACTTAATGTGCTGTCCATTCCAGATAACATGTGCAATTTACCGGGACCTTCTGGAGATTGGGCTTTAACCCAAAGGAGAATTTCCGGCAAACACAGCTGGAGGGCAGGTGAATTTGAGTAAGGGGAAGGCTGGTATCACACCAAGTATGTGGCTGCATGCACCTTCTATGATCTAGGGGTGTGGCTGGCTCTGCTGTAATTCCTGTGGGGGGAAATGGAGCCTGAGAAGAAGACAGGCTCACCCACCATGCCCCCACACCCCAGCACTCCAAACGATTCTAGTCATTCATTCTGCTCACTTCTGTCTTCAATAGAGATAGTGGGCCAAAAGACAAACAGGTTCTGGGCATTCATTCAGCACTTCTCAAATGGGGGTCTCTCTACCTTCTAGGAGGTACATAGAGCCACAAGATCAACACAGTGCATCTTTTTCGAGCTTCAATTCATGCAAGGATTTTAGAGACATGCGGTACTTTCATGGTAAATCAAACACAAGTATACTACAGAGTAAAATGTGAAAGTTCTCGTGTTTTCAAAATAAAATGTGAGCTTCAAAAAAATTTTATGCTTTTGGCCACGATGGCTTTCACTTCCAGATTCTCACTTTATTCTATGTTTAGGGATTCTCTCTCTCTCTCTCTCTCTCTCTCTCTCTCTCTCTCTCTCTCTCTGTGTGTGTGTGTGTGTGTGTGTTCATTTTAAAGGTTGAGAAGTATTGCCAATTACCATCTGTGTTTACCTTAGTATAGATTCATTTATCAGATTATCTAAGACTAAGACTAGGGATGGATAAATTTTGATGGGGGGCAGAAATTGCTTTCAGAAAACACCCAAAGCCTGAGGTGCTGTCCAAGGAAGGGCACTCAGAGAAGATCTAGGAATCAAAGGGCTTATTGAAGGGAGGTGCATCTCTGCATGCTGGAAGGAAATCTTGTCAACCCAATACTTAAGTAAGTGAAATGGGCAGAAGCAAGGAAGGCTAGGAATCAAAACAGCCAGCTTCCCTGGGCTGTTTTAAAGAGACCTGGGCTTTATTAATGTAAGTAGTGGCTGCATGACCCCAGTCCCCAGAGAGGAGCCAGGAATTGAGTGACCTCATTCTTGTCACTGGGGCACCATGGTAGTATGAACCCCAGTTTTGACCCAAGGATCCCCCTCCCATGACTGGGCACTTTTCCAGCAAGTTTGAGGGTCTGGGAAGGGATGAATTTTGACAGGGAAGCAGGGAGCTAGCTGAGACACACAAACCTGGCAGGCAGTGAGCCCTGCTCAGCAGCTGCATTTGAGGGGAGAGGGTGCCTGCCAGCCAGCTTCGCGAAGGGGTTGGCTGGCACTTTGCAGCTCATCAGCCCAGGGTTGTTCCATGCCTGGCCCTTCAGTGTCTTCCAGCCCAAACCAGGTAGGCAGGCTCAGCTAGCACACAAAGGGCCACTTAAAAGCCCTCTTAGCATAATTTCCCAGCCTTTTGTCCTTCCTTCTCCTAGTGACAAATCTTTTGAAATGGTCCTTTTCTTCCACATTTTCCACAGGGATTCTCTGTCACCCAGCGTTCCTGCTAGCTCCCAGTTTCCCCAGTAGCTCAGTAGCTCAGGAGGCTTCTCTCCCTTTTCCTTCACCCACCATATACCAAACACCAGAGCCCTGGTTGGCCCTAGATGCTTTGGGGTGACTGGGTGTCTTGCTGAAAGGCAAGATGGAAATTAAAGGGTTGGAGGTTGCAAAATTATAAAGTGGGTTCCCTCCTTGACCTTTCTGATGATATCATCCCCTTTCTATCATCCCAGGGCCAGCTTAGCAACCTGCAGAGTCCCCTTGCTGCCTTAGGCAGATGCAGTTCATACTCCAGCCATTGATGACACCCTGCCCTTCAGGCATTTATCTTTCCTGGGTGCTAATGAGTGGGCGGGCTGCCCCAGCAGAGGCAGGCAGTTTAGTAATGTGTCTGGGAGAAAGGCTAGTAACCTGTCTCTCTGTGTAATCTCAGCTGAAGTCTTGGAGTCATGGCCTTTTTGGAAATACTATCACTCTGCAGTCAAACAAGCATGGGTTCAAATCCTAGATTAGGTTCTACTAGTTGTGTGACCTTATGGAAATTACTTAGCAGCCTCTGTGAGCCTACCCTCTTGGGTTTATTGTGAGAATTAAATTTGATAACGCATGTAAAATGCCATCACAGTGCCTGGCCCATAAAGTGATAAATAAAAGCAATAATAATTATTATTATGAATTATCATGTGGTTGGAATCCAGGTTCCACTACTTACTGCTACATGAGTCTTGGCTTCCTCTTCTGTAAAATAAGAATAATGATGTTACCTGGTAAGAGGGCTGTGGTGATCCTGAAATGAGTTAATACATGTAATGCTCTCAGGGCTGGCTGGAGGTCCTACCAGCAGAGTTGAACTAATTGTACCCCTGAGATGAAGAACTGCTGTCCTTTTCCTAGGAGTGGTAGCAGCATGCCTAGCTCACAGTTAAGTGTTGGATCAATAAATGGTAGTCAGTATTACTATTATTACTAGAGGCCAGGATACTCTCTGTCTATTCATCCGTGGATTCTCAGTTAATGGCGAGTTGGTTGCCTGGTTATTAAGTGCTGATTTCAGAGCAAAGTGCTAGTGAAGCCAGGCTGCCTCCATTCACTCTCAGTATGTAGGGAAGAAAAACAGTCACTTATTATGTTCATCTCAATGTATTGGTTTCAATGGGAAATAGACTTCTGGCTGGAACGTCTTCATTTGTCATCAAATTGTCCTCAGATTTGAAGAGACTGAACTCTTGCCCCAGGGGCCCTCACCAAATTTCAGTGCAACTGGATCCAGGGTCTCCCTTTTGCATGAAAGTGTTTATTTTGCTGCATTTTGGTACAGGGTTAAGAACACTGAAGAATCTTCACCATGCTCTCTCTGTACCCCATCTCCATCATTTCTATTGGACATGGGAAGTACACACAACTTGTCAAACAACAAAAATAAGAACAAGAAAATCCCAGCTACATGATTTTCTGGGGTGAGAGTTCTCTCTCCTTGGAAGTGAAACAAGCTAGTGTTCATCAAGTCCTGAGAACTCACTTTAATCGAGAGCAAGAAACAATGCAAATGCTGCATCACTTCAGACTGGAATTAGGCAGAATATGAACAGAAAAAGGAACCTTTAAATAGATGACTAGGAGGCAAATTCGTTTTGAGAAAGAACGACAGCTAACATTTACTGAGACCTTTTATATCTGTTATCTCATTCAACACTTCCAATAACTCCATAAGGTAGATTCTGCCATCGTCTTCATTTCACAGGTAAGGCTTAAAGAAGTTAAGTGAGCTACCTGAGATCACATCACTAGTAAGAAGCAGATTCTGAAAGCCATGCACCTAATCGCTATCCTAAACCAGACAGTGCCTCACTGGTCACCCAGGAGCCCTCAGATGTGCATTTGTCCAGTGACACAGTTCCTCTCAATACTCTTTCCTGCTTCACCACCCCTTCTTTATTTTGTTTACCACAAAGCAGCTTGAATGGAGCCTGAGCATGTGCTTTGAGTGAGCCCAGAAAGCAGCAGAGGAGGGCCAATCAGATTCGTGAGAGGCATTTATTTTAGTTCTTAACCCATGAGCTTTATTGTAATAACTGATACAAACCAATTTGTTGGGACCTGTGTTATTAATATTAATAAAGACTGAACTAGGTGAGGCTCAGGAGACCCTGGAGGGGATCCCACCTCCTGAGACACCACCCCAAGAAAATCTGCCAGGGACAGTCTGGCTGGAAATATTATTATTCATACTGGACAGCTGGTTCCTGGCTCCCTCTCCAGTCCCTGGAGATGGGAGGCCAATTCTTCCCTGTTTCTCTTCATCTCTTTCCTTCAGAAGGATTAGAAATAAAGTCTGAGTCACTTTTCTGGCTAGCCTTTTTTTTTTTTTTTTGCACTAGCTCAGTGTGTCTGTGGCCCCACATGTGACTGACTCCATGTGTGTCCCTTTGTGTGTGCTGTGTTCCTCAGAGCATCTTCTCAGGTTGGGCTCTGCCTGTGCATTTGCAGGGAATGTTGTGTGTTTCTCTCCCTGCATGTCTTCACTTTCACTTGTCATCCGCTTTTAATAATTCCATCAGCTTGGTTTACCAGCTTAGGCTACTCCCATCCAGATGCAGGGAATTTCCATCCTTTTTTCAAGGTGGGAAGTGCCAGGAAGAAAGCAAAAGTGTGCTCAGTGGACCGATGGCCAAATCTGCTAGTCAGCTACTCCACTGCTGAGCCCAGCTGTGGGAAGCCACGGAGCCCTGTGCCCGGAGCTCTCCTCTGTATCCTGGAAATTCCGTGCAGCCTAGGAGAACAGCCCTTGTCCCACAATTGCCCCTCAGTAGCCCTCCGGCCTCTTCTGAAGCTTTAACCAAGTGCTTGAAAAGAACCGAAAGTGAGGAAATATTCCAACTAGAATGGATCCCTTTGTGCCAACAGCCTCCTTTAGAGTTCAGGAACACAGAGGAAATCGAGGAGGGCTGACTTTTCACCTTAGAACTCACAAGGCCCAAATGTGCCAATGTTTAACTGTCTCTCCGAGGTGCTTCTGACACCCGGAAATTCACCATGTATTTGGCATCACCAGGAGCTCCTCAACTCCACTGCTTCCTCCTGCTTCTCTCTTCCCTGGCCTTAACTTCACCACCCAGACCCACTGTCCAGCTTCCCAGTCTCTCTGGGTCCCCACTGAGGCTGCCCTTTTTGGGGAAGGAAGAGTGGCCTTTTTTCTTGGCCCTCAAAACTCCTCTGAAGGGGTCTGGAGCCCGCTGGGAGACCAAGAGCTTCTCTTGAATCTCGGCTGCTGCATGTTTAGTATTCACAGCATGTCTCTAAAAAACGTCCTGAGATCATTCATCAGGCACTGTGCTGTGTGCCTAGCTGCTCTCCTTCCGGGTGTGTGTGTGTGGCCAGGACCCTCCCTCCATCTGCTGGTGAACACACATGCACACACACCTTAACCTTTTTCCCTTTTCACCAAACCAATCGCATTTTCTAAGCAGACCTTTGCCAGCTGGCAGATCGCTCCCTTACTGAGGTGGGCTCCTGGCGTTGGGCCTGGGCTCGAAGCCGCTCACACTCCAGTGCTGGGGAGAGGCGCTGAGAGCAGGAGCCCGAGCCGAAACTCAAGGTGCGTGTGGATGTTTGCGATGGTGACCAGGAGGGGAGCTGCAGGGAGGGCATCCCCAGCAGAAGGCGAGCAAACAAGGGGCGAGAAGCAAGGTCAGGGGCCAGGGAACGGAGTCTCCGAAGCAAGCGTTCCTGCTGCCCCTTCTCCGCAGTTCACTCCCCGCCCCCCTTTCCCGGGTTCACTTTGGAAATTGGCTTGCCCTCTCGGCAGCCAGCAGTTCCCGGCAGAGTCCGGCCGTAACGGTCAGATTCAAGAAGTGAGGCAGCGCCAGGCTGGGTGGCTGGGTTGCTGGGTTGTTCTTGGGAGATTCTTTCCCCAATTGTCAATTTTTTGCTTATTTTTAGTAGTGACCCGAGCCAGGAACTGCGCCTTTAAGCCGCTTTCCCATTCGGGGAAATCGACGCCAGCACTCGAGGGTCGGGAGGCGCCGGAGAGGCCCCTCATTCTGCACTCCCCTCTTTCCTCCCCCTCCCCCTCCCCCCGCCCCTTCTCCCCTCCCCTCCTCGGCCGTCCGGCCGCCTCGCCGCCATCCGTCACCTCGCAGCCTGCCGCACTCCTGGAGCGAGAGAGCGACGAGCGAGCCACGGCGATGGTGCCGCCCGCGGCGCAGCCATGAAGCCCGCCCGAGGAGCCCGCGCGCGCTCCTGCCATCCTGCCCGCAGCCCGCCGCCTGCGCGCCAGCTCCCCGCGTCCCGGGCCAGCTGCTGCCGCCCTGCCAACCTCTGCCCGCCCCGCCGCCCGGCGCCACTGAGCCCCAAGCCCATGCCGGGCTCGGGGGCACGGGTGCCCTAGTCCCGCTGCCGCCGCCGCCGCCGCCGCCGCTGCGCCGCCGCTGCCGCGCCGCTGAGGAGGCGGAGGAGGAGGAGGAGGAGGAGGAAGAGGAGGAGGAAGAGGAGGGGGAGGAAGGTAAGAGGCGCGCTGCCTTCAGGGGGGCGCGCCCGCTGTCTCAGCCCAACCGGGGGTGGGTCGCGGCGGGAGCGTTCCGCCCCGGGCCGGCTGGGGGGCGACTGGCGCTTGGGCGCCCCCGGGAGCCGGGGGCAGGGCGGGGGGCGCCGAACGTCTGGCCGCCCGGAGTTTGGGCGGGCGGGGTAACGGCCCGTTGCGTGCCCACTGCCCCGGCGAGTCTCTGGCTTGGCGGGCTCGTTTGGCCTCCGCGGGTGCGGGGTGAGGAGTCGAGCGCAGGGGAGTGCAGCGCGTTCATTATGGAGCCTTTGTGTGCGCGCCTGGGCTGTGGGCACAGTTGGGAGAGCTGGCGAGACGCGGGGCCTGGCTGCTAGGAGGTGGCCACTTAGCCGGGGTGCCCGGCGAAGCCCGAGCCCAGGGGCTGCCAGAAACAGCTGTCTGAAGCATGTGCGTGGTTCCCGGGGCCATGTTCACAAGCGGACACGGAGGCGCACACACACGCACACACAGCCGCACAACATACCCGGCGCTCAGCCACACAGTCAGCCCCATGCAAAGACCACACACACACACACACACACACACACACACACACACACAGAGAGAGAGAGAGAGAGCGCGAGCTACACTTGCCCCCTCCCACCAAGATGCTAATAAAGCTCAAACACATATACAGATACATGCACCTCCCCCTAGCGCTGCTAAAACATGCACACACAAACACACTCCTCTACTCCCCAGCCTAGTGCTTTGGAGGTTGGAGAGTGTGTGTGTGTATGTGAGTGTGTGTGTGTTTTCTCAGAGTGGTCTTGAGAAACTACATGACAACTGCACATTACTGCAGATCCAGTACCTGCTGCTTCCCCCCAATACACACCCAGCAACCCCCCGTCACACGCAGCTACTGTAGACACCTCCACCAGAGCCCTTAAGAACCCCATTCTGGCAAAAAGCGTGCCCAACTCTGGTAGTCATACCCTCCACGCTCGAGCTGTTGGGTTTCCTGCACACACACACCACAGCCCCATACACACACACTGAAACCACTGCAGGGGCAAATGTTTGACACCTTCCCCCAGAAGCAGGTGGCACCTCCACCCTTGCAGCTGCAACTAAAGAGCCCCAGATGACAGCAAACGCCGAATTCTGCTAGACCTGCCCCTCCCCTTGGCATCTTGGTCCAGGTGCAAAACCCTGGAGTCCACCGGGTGGTCTTAGCATCCTGCAGCTCTTACGGAGGGCGGGGCAGTCTCTGGACTCCTGCCTTCGGAGGAACTGCTATAAGCGCAAGGCTCCCTTGGGGGCGCCCTTCTCGAAGTGGAGGGTGGGGGATTCTATGCTGACTCAGAGCGAAGCACCAAGTGAGTTTTCCCAGCTGGAGACCGGGGTAAATGGCGAACTCCACCTGGGCCTAGAGGACCCGGGATAGTGTGCCAGTTCAGCCACAGAGGCCCTCAGCTTGGAGGCCCTGCCCCTCCCTCGCCTTCCTTGCCCATGAAGCTCACTGCAGGAGAAGCAGGGGGAACCCAGCTGCCAGCTTCTTGGGAGCTAAGAGAGGCTTTTCGGGAAGCCTTTGCTGTTTCCGCTGAGCAAAGAGATCTTGCTCTACCCGGGGAGACCTCAACAAGACTTGGCCGTGCCCAAGCAAACATGCCAGCGTCTACCCAATTTCATGGCTTGTTTTTTTGTTTGTTTGTTTTTGTATTTCATGTGAAAGGACTAATTCAACCTTAGCAGCTTGTCATGAAGGCACCCCTGAGGTTAAATAAGGCATAATGTATTGTGGATGGGGGAAACAAGGTTGAGGGGAGCAAGGACTAGTGGGTTTTACTGTTTTAAGTAGAGATGCGGAGTTAGAATGTAGACCGTGGTAAAATCGTGACGGCGATGGCTTCTACGTCAGAGCCCCTTCCCTGCTCCTGCCCCTCCCGTCGGCTGCTCAGGGCTCCTCTGGGTCCTCTCCCCCGCCCCCTTAGATTATTTAGGCGGGGCTTTGCTCACTGCTCGGGCAAATTTGATGACAGAATCCCTGCCAGGCCAAGGTGTTAATAGCTGATAGAGGTTTACTGCTTACACCTCACAGGTAACATTTGCATTTTTAAAGGACACAGAGGAGTGACTCTGTTGGTGGGGCTTTCAGGCACCTGTGGCAGGACTCAGGCAGGAGCAGTTTGTGGACAACCTCATCTGTCTACTCTACTGTCTGTGCCTAGGCCAGAGTTATGGGTGATGTGTGTGTGGGAGTGAGGGTGTCAGAAGGTGAGATGTAATTGTGGAGGGTTTTGAGGCCCACAAAGAGAAGGTTTCAATTGACTTGAGAGGCAATTGGGAGCCACTGCCAGATTCTGAGAAAGGAGGGAATAAGATATAAGCAGGAAAGAAACACTCATTGCTGCATGTGGAGAGAATATCCCCTATCTCTCGCTGGCACCCAACACCACAACCGCCTTGCAGTTGTGGGCTGAAGGCCACCAGGGAGAGGAGACTGGCCAGGGGAGGGTGGCAGCTGCCCCAGGCTTCTGGCCCTGAGGGTTTCCCAGATATGTGAGGCATTCTGCTGAGTGGCCAGACTATTGGCCTGAACTCAGTAAGTGCCCCCTCCAACATAAGCTCGTGATGCTGTTGGTGCTATGGCTTCTTTGGATAGTGCAACAGAGCCTCTACCCCACTGGAGGAGAGGTCTGGGGACTCCTATGAGGCTGCGAGCTGCATTTGGAATGAGTCAGGGGACCCCTCCCTCTTGTAAGTGGTGCAGTCCGAGGGTCTTGAGAAGTGAGCTGTGTGGCCCAGTTGGGGGATTTTGTGACCAACGACATCCTCTAGGAGCAGTAGTAGATTGAAAAAGTGCAACAAGAAAGCCCTGGGATTGCTGATGATAGCAGCAAGCTGGGAAAGGCTTGCTGGAGATGGGGGTGGGGGTGGGTAACAGAGGAGTCTCGGGTGGGATGAGTAGAGGAGAGGAATTGCCCCACCGCAGTAATCCTTACTTCAGCCCTTGGAGGGAGCATGGGTGGATGCAGGACAACGGAAGCACTCTGTACCCACCCTCCCCCACTACGCATAAATGATTGGACTCCGTGGCTAATGCCTGATAAGGCACTTGGAGGGGCAGCACCAATGCAACAGAGGAAAGATCCCTGTTTTTGTGGCACCTCCAGGCTAACTGAATGAAGCCATAAGACACACATACATACACATACACACAAATACACACACACATATCACACACAAGACACACACCCCTCAGACACACCCTCAAACCCCAACACATACCTGGGGCAAATTGTGGAAAGAGAGGCTCATGCAGACAAGCTTGGTTTTGGGGGGTTCTTGCCTTCACATATAGGCCCTAGCAATCATTGCTAGGGGGACTAGAATTGATACCTATTGATACTAGATGAAGACCCTTAGCTTTGACAGGCCCCCTGGGAGGAAGCACACTCAAGTCAGCTTCTGTTTGTGGGGCAGCCTTAAGGCCATTAGCATTCCCAGCAGAAAATTCTGTTCTGGCTCTTCTCTCAAGGACTTCTATTTTCCTTTTTACCATAAGTTCAGAAACAAAAACATTCTCTTGCATTATCGGCAGCCAAAATGAAGGACTCTCAAAATGGGGTGGACCTTATTGTCTGCTGAGAAATCCTGGGGCTAGGGGCAAAGGGGTAGGGTAGGGAGCAAATCCAGAGAAACATGCCATTTTCCCTCCTTTCCTCCCCTCAGCTGAGCTGCCAAAGGCAAGGACAGTGATCTTGGGGTTCTGTATTATTTCCCACCCATGACAGGCAGAGCACCCTTTTCTGAGACCTGAGGCACCATCCTTAAAACAGAACATTAACAGCCTGTGGCACACTAGTGCCCAATCCCTGGTAGTCAGAAAATGAGCCTGGAAATGGGAATATGTGTATAACGTGGGGCGGGGAAAGGAGAGAGAGGGAAAGAGGTGCTACTTGTGTATCTGTAGGAGCAGGTGTGTCTATTTCTGTGTGTTTGTGTTAAGGAACATGAGAATGAGCAGGTGTGTGCACTCTTGCAGCTTTCTCAGCATGCATGCCGTAGCCAGTGTTTTTGCTCTGTGCCTCAAATTCACTTTGCCATTAGCCACACTACTAGCCACCCGCAGCTTTTGAAAGAACTCTCTGCTAGGTTCTAATATCTGGGTCTCCTTCCAGCCAAGTGACCCCTCCTTTTTTCTCTTTTATTGCTAGTTCTTCTTACTACCCCTCAAATCTGGGTGTTCTCCAGCTCCTCCTGCTTTCCACTTTCTTTATTGACAAGGACACACAGGCATGCATGGCTTCCCTTCTCACCTCTTTACCAACCATTCCCATTTCTCTAGCCCAAACTTAACCCCACTCCTGAGGTTCAGTCCTATATTTCCAACTGCTTGCTAAACATTTCCTCTTGGATAGCTTGCTCTCAGACTCAGTATTCACAAACTCATCTCATTATTTCTCAGAGATGACTCACTCTTCTCACCTTTCTTTTACCATAAGGCTTCTTGTCTCCCAGTCTAGAAACCTCAAAGCCATCTCTGACTCATCCCCTATGCCCCAGTCCACCCTGACTCCTGCCACCACCTCACAGCCACACTGCACTAGTCTCTTTCCTTTCCAGTCCATAATACACACAACTGCTAGATTAATGTTGTGGAATATCCTTTATTCATAATGCTTCTGATCATCATCCTTGGAGGGTGATACCTGATTGCCTGTGGGATAAATTTCAGCCTCCTTAGCCTGGCATTCAAAGTTCTCCTTGTGTGGACCTAACCCTGTATATTCTTCCAACCCTATTTCTCATGCTTGGTCCACATCATTGATTCTCAAATTTTAATGTGTCTTAAAATTGCTTGAGGGAACTTGTTATAATGCAGATTCCTGAGTCCTACCTCCTGAGCTTCTGATTCAGTAGGTCTGGAAGCTGGAGTCCAGGAATATGCATTTTAACAAGCTCCCCAAGTGATTTTGATACACTTGATCTACTTGTGAAACAAAGCCCTACATGGACCCTTCTACTCCAGCCAAGTTTCTTACCCCAGGATCTCCTAAACGTACCTTGTACATTTTTTTTGCCTCTATGTTTTTGTTCATTCCATTTCACTCACCAGGAATGCCCTTTCCTTTCTGCCTATGCTTCTCTCCTATTCCATATCACTATACCTATCCTTCAGCTCTACATTCAAATTCACCTCCTCTGTGAAATCTTCTCTGATCATTTTAGACTAAAGTGATCTCTCTCTCCTCTCAACTCCTCCGTCTCTAAAATACATTTGGGGCTGGGTGTGGTGGCTCAGGCCTGTAATCCTAACACTTTGGGAGGCTGAGGTGGGAGGACAGCTTGAGCCCAGGAGTTTGAAACCAGCCCTTGCAACATAGCGAGACCCTATTTCTACAAAAAACTAAAACATTAGCTGGGTATGGTGGTGCATACCTGTTATCTCAGCTACTCGGGACTACAGAGAGGCTGAGGCGGGAGGATGGCTTGAACACGGGAGGTCGAGACTGCAGTGAGCTGTGGTCGCACCAGTGCACTCCAGCCTGGGTGACAGAGTGAGACCCTGTCTCTAAATAAATAAATAAATAAAAATACATTTGGCAAGTACATCTTTTTTTTTAATTTTTTTAAATCCCCATAGCATATGTGCCTAATACACAGTAGGTACTCAATAGGCATATGTTGAATTGGACCAAATACTTGTTGATTCATATTAGACAGGGATTCTATCGCATCTCCCCCTGCACATTAGTTCATAAAACATTTATTGAGCACCAATTATGTACAAGGCACTGTGCTAGTTGCTGTGGATAATACAAAAGATGAAGGAGGCTTCCTGTCCTTCTCCTTCTCAGTCATCTTTGAATTTACAGTGCCTAGTGCATAGAAGAGATACTTAATAAATATTTGTTGACTACTCAAATGAATGACTTCATGAATAAGTGAAGGGATGAAGTTCAGACTGGAAAAAACTTGAGCAAGTACGTAGGGTGGCTGTGTCATAGAGAAATAGGGCAGGAATGGAAGATAAGGCTAGGAAGATAGAGTGGGTATAGTGGATGACTATTATTATTATTATTATTATTTTTAGAGACAGGGTCTCACTCCGTTGCCCAGATGAGTACAGTGGCATGATCATGGCTCACTGTAGCCTCAAACTCCTGGGCTCAAGTGATCCTCCCACCTTAGCCTCTCGAGTTGCTAGCTAATTTTTAGTGTTTCATAGAGACAGGGTCTTGTTGTGTTGCCTAACCTGGTCTCCAATTCCTGGGCTCAAGCAATCCTCCCACTTCAGCCTCCCAAAGCACTGGGATGACAGGCATGAGCCACTGTGCCCAGCCTGTCTTTACTTTTTCTTATAAATATTTTCAACCTCAAAAAAATTAGAGAAAATAGTATAGTAACCCCCACATACTCATTATCCACATTAACTAGTTATCAGGACTTTGCCATGTTTGCTTCACCTATCATGCCAAACATCGATCACATCATTTTATTCCTAATATTTCTCTATGCATTTCTTAAAAACTGGACATTTTCTAACATAACTACAGAACTGCTAATACACCTAACAAAAGTAACAATAATGCCTTTGTATTATCCATTACCCTGTCCATAATCATATGCCCTCAATTGTCTCAAAACATGTTTTACAGTTGGCTTGTTTGACGGACGTTCCAAAAAAGTTCCACACGTGACATTTGGTTGTTATGTCTCTAAAGGCCCTTTCAACAGCCCTCTCTCTTTGACTTGTCACAGAAATCAGGTTGTTTGCTCTGCACAATTCCCACATTCTGGTTTGTCCTCTTATTGCCAGTTAGCTTGTTCACCTATCCCCTATATTTTCTATAAATGGAAGTTAGCTCTGGGCTTGATTAGATTCAAGCTCATTTTTCTTTTTTTCTCGCTTTGGCATAATGATTAAAACAAGATCATTCTGGAGGCAGGAAGACCAGTTAGCCGGTTGTTACCATAGCTGGTTGGGGACAGAAAGAAGATGGGTGAATGTATTTGGAGGTAGAGGAAACCTGATTTACCTACCAATTGAATGCGTGGGGTGAGGAAGAAGGAAGAGTCAAAGATGATTCTAAGGCTTTGAGCCTGCATAACCAGGAGGGTACCAATGTCATCCTATGAGAAGGATGAGTTTTTAATGAGAGCAGCAGGTATCATGGTTAGATTAAAGGAGGAACTTTCTCACTTTCTCACAGTAAGAGGCCATCTGCTCTGTTTTTTTTTTCCAGATAATACTATCTTTCCCAGAAAAAAATTTGATTCGTGGTATAGCTAAACATTTGATAATGTTTGGAAAACATTTGGAAAGGGACTCCGTATTTTTTGTTAACTGCAAATAGTTAAATTTCCAGCTCCAGGGCCTTGAGAGGGAGGATAGTATATACAATTCTGGATAGAGAGAAGGTAATGCTGATATCTCCCTTGCAGATGAGCCTACTGTCCCATATCATCATGGGTTTCTGAGTCATCAGGCTTGGGTAGGAGAGTGTAGGATGCCAGAACCTGGGATTTCTCTAGACACAGCCAATGAGCATAGCTCAAGATCCATGTCTTTCCTTGATATTGGCTGAAGTCTCTATCCCACACCCACTCTTCCACCCAATATGGAGGCTGTGTGGACCCTCAGTGGACCATGGCAACAGTGTTCTTGCCAAAGTCAAAAATTGCCTAAAAGCCCTGGGATATTCACTGGACTCTGACAAAGCCCCAAGATTATTTCGACACCTCAGTAGGAACTTGCTTAACTCGTTGAATTGGATTAGGTGAGAACTACTCTCAGCTCCATCCCATCATACCCTCCTTCATAAAGGCTTTTCTCTCTCTTCCTTCCCCTAGCTCATCTTTCTTCTTGCTTTTTCTTCTGCTCCCCCCTCCCTGCTCTTTCTCTTCCAGCGTACATTTATTCTCTCAAGTTAATCAAACACTGGCCCCTACAGCCCATTGTGCCTCAGATTGATCACTTAAGTAGCGTTATTGATTGCCCAGAAAACCTTAGGAGGTGGGAGTGTTCTGAAAGCTAGGATCTGACAGCTGATTGGCTGCCTATGTCTCACTCGGCAGCCTCAGCTCCTCTGCCGTCTGGAACATCTTTTGAGAAAGGTGAGGGAATGAACAGCGGAGATCCTTAGCGGGCTTCACTTATCTCATCCTTCCTTCATACTGGAGTTAAGGCATGGGAAGAGAAGTCTATTGACCACTCCAGGATCTAGCCCTGTACTAATGTTATGGTGAGAAGGGGAAAGCAAAGGCCCTGCTCTCTGGAAATCCGTAATTTAACAGAAAAATAATACTCATTCATATGAAGTAACTAAGAATAATACAAGATGGAAAACAATTATGTGCCACATTTTTTTGCTCTAAACAGTAAGCACTGTAGGGGTTCAAAGCACAGAGAGAATGAGAGTGTGGGCTGGAATGAGGGGAGAAGTCTTCCCAGAAGAAGTTGAACCTGCGTTATGTTTTGAGTAACATGTGAGATTGAGATTGTTGACTAGAAAAGGAACAGGCTTCTGAGGGGGAGGCACAGCATAGGGAAAAGGCTGGAGATGGAAATGGTCAGGGTGTTATCAAGAAAGGGTCAGAAAGAAGTCTGACTAGAGGAGAGGGTGTATATGCAGGCACAGTGGGGAAAAAATGATTGGCTGGGTATGGGACTCCCAGATTTGAAGAGTCTCTGATGTCAGAAGAAGTTTGGACTTGGGTAAACCTTGGGGGCTGTCGGACAATTATGCATAGTGATTCAGGATGGTTAGCTATGCAGTTGGAAGCAGAATTGATTGGAATAGGGAGAGACTTGAGACCAGCCTATAAGATACTACAGCAATCTAAGTGAGAGGTGATAAGGGTGGTGGCAGTGGGCATAGAGAGGAGGGTCAAATCCAAAAGGCTCTCAAGGCATCGGTGTGGCTGATAAACCACCAAGTAGATTTTCTTGACTTGTTTTTGTCTCACTCGCTCCTTCCTCTTAGCCTCAATACTTACACTTTCTTTGCCTCATGCCCTCAGGACCTTAAGGTGGCAGAGTTTCTGGAGCTAAGATAACATTGGGCATTATAATCAGTTATCCTTTCCAAGTAAAGTAGATGCGCACAGGGGCCTTCAGTACCATGACCTGAAAGAGTGAGCAATGAGGAATCTGGCTGCAGAATGCAGTTGAGATGATAGCCAAGCTGGGGTGCTGAGTATTACATCCCCCAACAGGGAGGCCGGAGGCAGGCGATGCCTGTGTCTGGTCTGTTTCAAGTCCCCCAAGGCTTCTGAGAGCTGGTAAGAGTGAGGAAACATCTTTCAACTTCCCTGGTAGAATCAGTTTGAAAACTCTTCTGAGCACTTGGGAATCATCTCAGTGAAGGTCACACCTGTGCCAGAGTATGGCAAGAGCTACCACAGCACTTTGATGCCAGCTGGAGCCCTGTTGCAGCTGGTATAAGGAAACTAAGTGAGGAGTCCACAGGTTGATGGGAGAGTCATGGCCAGGGCCTCTGCCTGCTAAATTGCCTCCCCCACCAACTTTCCCCTCCCCACCCAATCCACTGAATATCAGCCCTGGATAGGTGTCTGGGCCAGGTCTGCCAGCCCTGGATTGGAGGGAAATAGAGAACTGCAGATAAAGGGATATTTGTGAGATTTTAGTCTCCTTTTACTTGTTCTTCTTGTGGGAGCATATGATGCCTTGTAAAGATGAATGAGTACAGTAGTTCTGCTCAGGCTGTGGGCTCCTAACTGCCAAGGGAGCTCTGCTCTGAGGGCAGGACCACCCAATCAAACAGGCTTCTCCTTGCTTCTGATCCAAACCCACTGGGAAAACAGAGGAACAGATGGCTAGATTGGTGGATGAACACACGTGTGTGTGCGTGCGTGCACGCAAGCATACATACACACACACACACACACACACACACACACACACACACACACACACACTCTGCATAGTCTGTCAATCAGCGGCCTCCAGCACTTCCCTGCTAAAGATTTCTGTTTTGATTTCTGTAAAGTCTTCTGATTGCAGATTTGAGGCAGGGGTGGTGGTTGGTGGCTAAGAAGTAGGCAGGTGTCCAGAGTGGAAAATGCTTATGCAGGTGAAGGATTGAGAAGAGAGAATGCAAGTCACTGACTAGGGTAGTTTGTATGTTTACTACCCTTCTGATGGAAAAACCCATTTAAGGCAGAAAGAAGAGGGCATGATGGCAACAACTGGCTTAGGAGTCAACCAGGTAAGTGTCAAGATCTCTCAATTTGGAGATTCTTCTACAGTCTGTACTCACTGTTTGTCTCCTAAGTTTTGTCATTGGTTTATACATTTCTTCCTTCAGTAATTGTTCTCTTTATCATCCCACTTCTAACCTAGACCCAAGCAAGTTGGTTTCAGAAACTGAAGTACCCAGAGGATTTTTTTTTTTTTGACAGGATCTCGGTCTGTTGCCTAGGCTGGAATGCAGTGGCACCACCATGGCTCACTGCAACCTCTGCCTCCCAGGCTCAAGTAATCCTCCCACCTCAGCCTCCCAAGTAGCTGGGACTACAGGTCCATGCCACCACGCCCAGCTAATTTTGTTTATGTTTTGTAGATATGAGCTCTCACTATGTTGCCCAGGCTGGTCTTGAACTCCTGAGCTCAAGCGATCCTACCACCTGGGCCTCCCAAAGTGCTGGGATTATAGGCATTAGCTACCGTGTCCAGCCCCCAGAGGATGTTTTAAATAAATTTGCCTCCAATCCTGTATCAATATGGCCAGGAATCTGGATCTCGCTTTTGTGGACTGGGGTTCTGAAAACCAGCCCACTCACAGGGCTGACAAGGGTCCTGTGTGCCGCACTGGCTCTGTTGCCACCACCGTGAAATTGCAGAGAATGCAGATATGATTAATAAAGTGAGTGTTGTTCCATATTCATCTCGTCACCTACAGTCGAGCTGTAATCTTTCTAATATGTAGAGAAATCACTCACTGACAGAGGAAAAAGAGGGGGTTCTTTAAACAGACCCACTAGTCCGCTGCTGCCACACAGTTTAGTGTCCGTCACCTGCAAAGTCCAAACCAGCATTGGCTGTTGGGTCTGCTTTCTTTTCTTCCCCCGACCCGCTTTAGAGATTTCCACACTTAGTCTAAATATAGCTTGTCCTGCTTTGGAAATCTAGGTGATTGCTGGAAATGATGAAGTCTGGCCTTTAACCGGAGCTCCAGTTGCATTTCATTATTAACTTTAAGGACATTTTCTCTTTGGAGTTTACCATCATTTTAAATTCATCACATCTAGAAGCAAACTCAGGATCTCCTCTCCAACCTTACCCTCCACGCTGAAAGCTCCTGCCCCTCTTCAGCAGGCTGTATCTCTCTATCAATGACACCATCACTCTTTTGATAGCCCAAGGCCTGAGACTTGGAATCAATCACTCCCTCCCCACTCCAGTCAGTCACCACAGTTCATCTCTTGGCAGTTCATCTCTCACAGGTGCCCCACGAATCCACCCCCTCTTGACCATTCCCACAGCCACCATCATAGCCCAAGCTCTCATTACCTCATGCTTAGATTACTGCAGCAGCCTCCTAACTGGTCTCTCTGCATTCAGCCTCCCCATCAGCGCCAAGTGATCCTTCAACGCTGCTGCCAGAGGAATCTCCTTAAAACATCTTTCATCGTGTCAGTCCCTGCTCAAGAACCTATAATAGTGCCCTTTTGCTTACTATATCAAATAGAAGCTCCTCCTCCTGGTATATGAGGCCTGCCTTCCACAACAGCTGGAATTCATTATACATATACATATACATATACATATACATATACATATACATATACATATACATATACGTGTGTGTGTGTCTGTGTGTCTGTCTGTGTGTATCCCTCTGCCCCACTTCCCAATGCCCAGACTCCCCTAGCCTCCTTACTCTCCCTGTCCACTGTACCCCACTTGGTGCTTACTCTTATCCCTGCAGTCATTTTTTTTTTCTTCCCCCAGCCTGCAGTGGCCCCCTTTGCTCCATCTCTGGAAATCCTTCCATCGTATCCTCTAACCAACAAGCTCAAGTCCAGCCTCTGCTATGAAGACTTCCTGATTATTCTAGCTCTCATTGGCTGCCCCCGTTTTTAAAATTATAATTTTTCCCTTATCATAAAAGTAATATCTATGCATAGTAGAAAACTTTGAGAATACAGAAAAATATAGAGGAAAAAAAAGCACCCAATTCCACCTCTTCCTTTTTGGAATCTGAACAGTCTTTCCACCACAATTCAACACTTGATCCCACCATCTCACATTACTTTAATTTTTCTTTCTCCCCAGCTAGAGAGTGAACTCTTCAGGGGCCTCTTTCATCAAGGTATCCTCCAGGCCTGATCCAGACACACATTGCAGGGGCTCAACAAACACTAATTAGTAGAGGAAGGGGAGATGAACTGTACATCATCCAGGCTGTATCTTCCGCACCCTCCACCATGGCCTAGGGTAGAGGGGTGCATGTTTCAGCATCAGAGCTTGGGGCTTCATGCCCCACACAGCCAATGGCTCTGTTACTTCCTCTTCCAGGTGAGGAA